>NC_000020.11:23207350-23835553 GCF_000001405.40 Homo sapiens | reverse complement strand
TACCTCAGTTGGAAATGCAGAAATCACCTCTCTTCTGTGTTGATCATGCTGGGAGCTACAGACTGGAGTCGTTCCTATTTGGCCATGTTGGAATGGCCACGCATATTTAGAACTTTCTAAGGCAACCTGGAATGGGTGGTTTCACCAGATCCCATGATGAATGAGTAGGGGCAGGTTAAACACATCTCCTGACTGCTGGCTTCACTACCTTCCTCTGGGATACCTCAACTCTATCCAGATATTAGGGGAAGACCAATTTTACTCAAACAACAGTCTTTTAAAAATACATTTTTTGAAATCAAACTGCTCCAACCCACGTCTCCCTCCTGGATTCAGTGCAGGGAGTAGAGGTGGAAACAAGAAGCCCCACAATACACCAGGCCTCACCCCCTAACTCTGTGAGGCCCTGCCCATTCTGACTCTGAGCTTGGCCATGTGACCTGCTTTGGCCAATGGGACTTCAGCTGGTGGGAGTCTGCAGTTCCTGGGGCCAGGCCTCTCCTGGGCACTGTGTTCCTAGAATGATCTTAGAAATACTCTTCATGTAAAAGTATCCTCTCACCTTCTTGAAGATGAAAGACCACCTGGAAAGAGATGCCCACTGTTGTAGCTGAGCATATTCCCAGCCTACCCCACCTGAATGCAGCCCCTGAGTGAACCCAACAAGACCAGCAGAAGAGCCACAGACAGATCCAGAGTCATGAGAACCCCCACATCATGTTGCTTTCAGCCAGGAAGATTTGGGGTGGCTTATGATGCAGAAGCCAGTAACTGATGTGTACAGGATGATCTGAACACCTCTCTCAGAAGAGACCCACAGTCCACCCCATGTGGGGTCCAGAGAGGGGGAAATCTCCTCCCCCATAGACTGTGTGGTTTCTCCTGGTATCTGAAACTGCCATGGACATGTGGAGGGCAGCCCTGTCCTTCAGAATCCAGCCTACATTTCATGCTTTCCATCTGCCTTCTCACCAGCTTCCATCCTCTTTTCATAGCACTAGAACTATCCATCAAGCTGCCCCCAGAGGATCAGCCTTTCAAAAGATCTTAAATATGTCTGGGACCAGGTGTACTCAGGATTGCAAGCAAATTTCCAGTGGCAGAACTGTCCAAACTCTCACTCCAAAGGCCAATCCAGAGCTCACCTGCCTGCAGGATGCACCAGGGAGGGCAGGGACAGGCAGGGACAGGCAGGGACAAGATTAGATGCCAAGTACTCATCGAAGATTCCTCAAAGATTGGACAGTCATGAGACAGCCATGAGCATTCTCATAGCTGTGGCAGTGTGGAGGACACATTGGAAATACAGGTCATAGAATGTCACTTGACTTCAATTTTTATTGGTAAGGGAACAATGAGAAATAAACAGGAAACATGATGGATGGATACCTAGATGGATAATTAAATAGATTTGATAGATAAATAGACAGATTACATTTGTAAACCAAGAGTACCTGAGACAGGTCTCAATCAATTTAGAATGTTTATTTTTCCAAGGATAAGGACCATCCCATGACACGGCCTCAGGAAACCCTGATTACATGCATCCAAGGTGGTTGGGTTACAGCTTGTTTTACAAGTTTTAGATAGTCATGAGACATCAATCAGTATATGTAAGATGTACATTGGTTCAGTCCGGAAAGGCAAGACAACTGAAAGTAGGGAGGGGGCATCTGGGTCAGAGGTAGATAAAAGACAGTTTCATTCCTTTGAGTTTCTGATTAGCCTTTAACTGAATAAGCAATTTACAGGAATAGTATTTAGTGAAACAATAGGGGAAAGGAAGCAATCAGATATGTATTTGTATCATGTGAGCAGAGGGGTGATTTTGAGTTCTGTCTGTCCTTTGTTCATAAGGAATTTCCTTGTGGGCAAATTGTGAGGAAGGTATGTAGTTTTTAAATCTTTGTAGCCACCATATTTAGGAATAGAATGAGAGGCAGGTTTGCCCGATGCAGTTCCCAGCTTGACTTTTCCTTTTGGCTTAATGATTTAGGGGTCCTGAGATTTATTTTCCTTTCACACCTAGATAGCTAGATTAGTTAGGCAGATTAGATTAATTGATAGATTGATAGCTAGAAACACAGATATGCCAGGCACTGTACCAAGCACTTCACAAGCATTTCATTAAATTTCCCTGATGCCCCTGTGAGTCAGTGTGGTACACTATTGCGGCATATTATATTATTTGTCTAATTATTCACTTGCTGTCCTCCACCCTCCATGGTAGAGTGCAATTCCCCACCACTTCCTTTTGGGCTGGCCATGTGACTTGCTTTAGTCAAGGGAGAGTTGCAGGTGTGAAGTAACCAGAAGCTTGAAATACTTTTGTGCAATTCAATTTGGCTTCTTGTGCACTGATTTTGTCATGTGAGAATATGAAAAATGTTGGCCATTGGTCCCTGGAGAAGGATGACAGACGTGGACCAGAGCTAGCCCAGATAATCCCATCCCAGGTCAGTGACTCCCAGCTGGACTGCAGATGTGAGAAAAATAACTGGTCAATGCAATAGGCCAATGAGATCATGCAGCACCTTATTACACAGTCCATTGTCATAATAACTCACTGGTACTGGGAATCATTGTATTCCTGTTTTTAAAATGATGAGACTGAAGACTGAATGCTGAATTGTTGGAGCGTGCAGGATGTCCAGTGATGACATCATGGGCAAGAGGATGTGCAGTTTCACTGCTTGAAGACTGAGCTTGGTAGAGATGATTCAAGACTATTGCAATAGTGTCAAGACTCTCAAAATAAGATAGAGAATGAACTCAACTGTAAATACAAGGTGAAGTCCGGATTTATAGCCAAGGATCAGGTGGTGGGGTTAATAGATAAAGAATTACTAAGCAGAGCCATCAAAGGTAGGAGGTTCTAGATAAACTGACCCAACAATATTGTTGCTAAAGGCAGGACAAAGCCTTAGACATCAAAGTTAAGGAATGAAGAACTTGGTCAGATGTTGAGGGTGATCAGATACCAAGGGTGGGGGGAGTCTTTCTAAACTGACTTAGCAGGATTCTTTCCTAAAACTGGGCAATGCAACCCTCGCAAGAACAGGAGGTCCAGGGCTGGGGACTAGGGTTGAGGACTAGGGGAGAAGAAGACTCAGAGGATCCTAACTAAGGTTTGATCAAGGTGAGTCTTGTTGCTGGATCCAGCTCCTCTGTGACAGGAGGAGAGGGCAAGCAGGGCGACAGGAGGGAGCAGGGCTGTCCTGATGACCTCTGGCCAGCTCCAGCACTCAATGATTGAATTGAACAGGATTCCAAGCAGGAAGAGGAACCACTCTCCACAGTCACTGCACTTTGCTAAAGGAATTGATATTTAAGGTTACACAAACAGTGACAGGGAAGTCCCAGCAGTGACCCAAATAGGATAAGAAAGTCTGACCACCCAGAGATGTCAAGGAGATGACTCACCTCCTCAGAGTCATCTGTTTTCCTCGTGGCCAGGCCTCTGCAGACTGCAGCCCAGGGAGTCAGATGGATCCCTGGCTGCAGCAGCCAGCAGCCTGAGTTCCAGAGGCCGCCCCTACTCCCCTCCATTCATATGTGGTTCTTCAGTCAGTGAATCTGCACTGACAAATCCTTTTTTTGAAAAATAAATGTTAACTTCCACTCCAGAACCATGAATACCGTTCAGATGCTGGTCCCTGAGAGGAAGGATTCTCTTTCTCCCCATGGAGTGCAAAACAATCAGACCTGACACTGGGCTCTGCCCTCTCTCGCCTTTCCTAGCTGGGGCTACCAGCAGGCTTCCCCATGAGTATCACAGTTTCCTAATGATGTGGAAGAGCCAAATGTGATACCAACATGGGCCCATAGTTTAGAAGCATCCACATGTCCTAGCAGAGCCAAATGTGTTACCAATATTGGCCCATAGTTTAGGACCTTCCACATGTCCTAGCAGAGCCAAATGTGTTACCAACATGGGCCCATAGTTTAGAAGCTTCCACATGTCCTAGCAGAGCCAAATGTGTTACCAACATGGGCCCATAGTTTAGAAGCATCCACATGTTCTAGCAGAGACAAATGTGTTACCAACATTGGCTCATAGTTTAGAAGCATCCACGTGTCCACCATGTTTGAGGAGAGGGAGAAAAGAAGGAGGGATAGAGTGTGAAAGAGACAAGCTTGACCCCAGAGAATTCCAGGCACTCCGTAAAAGGGGCTTCTGGGCTTCCCATTTGAGAAGCCACCAAATCCTGTGGCTGTTCAGTCTCAGCTCCTACCATAGATCAAAGTGTTAGTTGCTCAAAACCCAGATGTGCAGAATCTCAACTCTTGGCCAGGTTGTCCTCACCACCTGCACCTGTAGGTGATGCTTTCTGTGTTTGGTCATTTGTTTATTGTAGTATTGCTTAGTGTTCACTTATTATTCATCATTTATTGCAGAGAACTTCTACCACTCACCTAACTTCTCATCCTGCTAATTCAGATAATAGGATCAGTAGTCACCCATGCAGCCTAGGGGAACAGAGCTTTCTCTTTCATCACCTAGCAGAAGGAAAACTTGCCCCCTCCTGGGCAGCTAGACTCCTCCAGGTTACATGGGTGCTGGAGGCCCCAGGCTTGTTCCTCAGTCCATGGTTGCTATCTGGCCCCCTCCTAGTGTGTCCTTAAAACTGTGGACTATAGAAATCAGGGAACAAAATGTTCTGTCATTTTTTTTGAGATGGGGGTTTCACTGTGTTTCACAGGCTGGAATTGAACTCCTGGATTCAAGGAATCTTCCTGACTCACTCTCCTAATTAGCTAGGATTACAGGTGCACCACCTCACCTGGCTATTCCATCATTTTCAAACATGTTGCTACATCACTGGTAAAGTCTGCTCATCTCTGCTGGTCTGAACTCCCAGACAATACGCTTTAAAAAGTAGCCTCTTTCTCCACACGCACAACAGACACAACATTTGCCTAAGGTCATCAAACATCTGGAGCAGCTGGCCAGCTACCCCCACCTGCCACTTCCTATCACTCCATACTGGACATCGCACTTGTACCTCCTCAGAAAAGCAACATACATTGGTATCTTTCCTACTGAGATTAGAGAGGTTGCTGCATCAGGACAGCTGACCCTCCCTGCAGTGCATGCCAGCATCCTGACACAAGATGACCACTGGTGGTGTCATCACATACACGGCACAGATCAGCACTTTGGCCTCCCTCCCTCACACTCCACCCACCAGCAAATTCTCACTATTTGGGTTACCTGTTTGGGAAAAGAAAGAGAGATCAGACTGTTACTGTGTCTATGTAGAAATGGAAGACATAAGAGACTCCATTTTGTAAAAGACCTGTACTTTAAATAATTGCTTTGCTGAGATGTTCTTAATTTTGTAGCTTTGCCCCAGGCACTTTGACCCAACCAGGAGCTCACAAAAACATGTGTTGTATAAAATCAAGGTTTAAGGGATCTAGGGCTGTGCAGGATGTGCCTTGTTAACAAAATGTTTACAAGCAGTATACTTGATAAAGGCCGTCGTCATTCTCTAGTCTCAATAAACCAGGGGCACAATGCACTGCGGAAGGCTGCAGGGACCTCTGCCCTTGAAAGCAGGGTATTGTCCACGGTTTCTCCCCATGTGATAGTCTGAAATATGGCCTGGTGGGATGAGAAAGACCTGACTGTCCCCCAGCCCGACACCTGTAAAGGGTCTGTGCTGAGGTGGATTAGTAAAAGAGGAAAGCCTCTTGCAGTTGAGATAGAGGAAGGCCACTATCTCCTGCCTGCCCCTGGGAACTGTATGTCTCAGTATGAAACCCGATTGTACATTTGTTCAATTCTGAGATGAGAGAAAAACTGCCCTATGGTGGGAGGCGAGACATGTTTGCAGCAATACTGCCTTGTAATTCTTTACTCCACTGAGATGTTTGGGTGGAGAGAAACATAAATCTGGCTTACGTGCATGTCCAGTCATAGTACCTTCCCTTGAACTTAATTATGACGTAGATTCTATTGCTCACATGTTTGTTGCTGACCTTCTCCTTATTATCACCCTGCCCTCCTGCTATGTTCCTTTTTGGTGAAATAATGAAGATAATAATCAATAAAAACTGAGGGAACTCAGACCGGTGCCGGTGCAGGTCCTTGGTATGCTGAGCGCCGGTCCCCTGGGCCCACTGTTGTTTCTCTATACTTTGTCTCTGTGTCTTATTTCTTTTCTCAGCCTCTCATCCCACCTGACTAGAAATACCCACAGGTGTGGAGGGGCAGGCCACCCCTTCAACCTGCATCTCCTTTCCAGTGATAAAAAAAAATGAGAGGATTTCTTGACCTTCAGCTTATCCTCTGCACAGCAGCTCTTCCTGAGTCTGGACTCCCAGCTATCCCAGGAAGGTGGGAGCCACAGAGGAGAACTAAGTCCTACCCTTTGGAGATGACCACTCTGCTCACAAACACCTGGTAAGGGACTTCCCTCTCTCTCCCTTCTCTGGGAATTTATCCCCATTCCCTGTCTAACTAGGAGCCATCCTGCGCAGCCCTGTTTGAAGACCTTCCCTCCATCACCCAGCGGTAAACACCATCCCTGGGACACCTGCTGTATCTGCTGGGATGCATGGTTTTTCTAGGTGTGCTGGATTGACAGTGGTGTGCAATGGTCACTGGGCCTTGGATAACAAGGTCCCCTGTCCTAATACTGAACATGAACACCAATGAGTAATATTGTTCCTGCTGCCGGGTCCTGCTGATGCAGCCCCAGCCACGGCTGAGACCCAGGATCCCAGCAGCTCTGGGTTGACTCTGTCTGACCCTCACCTCCACTACTCCCAGGAGAGTCCTCTGGATGCCATGCAAAGGCCCAGGGTTTCCTGGTGTTTCTCACCAAGCCTTCCACCTCACCACAAGGGCATTTGCCACAGGGTCACCTTCAGGCATGGAGGGTTGGGTTGAGAGAACAAAGGGAGCAGCTGTCTGTTCAGGGCCTCCTTCCATCCTCCCCAATCCTGGAGCCACATTCCAGCACAGGCCCACAGCATCCCAAGCTGGAGACTTTGTCACCCCACAGAGCACTGTGGTGATTAGGTCCTCTCAGTCTGTGGAGAAGGAGAACTCCCAATCCTGGCAATGAAGCAACTTGGGGGCCACTGGAAAGCCACGCTGAGCAAAGGACGAAGACACATCTGGGATTGCTCTGCAGGATTCCATTCCTGGGAATCTCAAGGGCAGGTGACAAAGGAGTCTACAGGACTGGACAGGGGCTGCCAGGGTGGGGTGGGCACGAGGATGAGCTGCAGAGGCAGGAGGACACCGTCTGGGGCAAGGCAGATGTCAGAGGTCTGGACAAAGTGGTAATACAGGTGTATGTATTTACAAAATCTTCCAGGTGGGCACATACTATTAGGCATCTTACTGTATGTAAATTCTACCTCCTTCAAGGCAATTTTTAAAATATCAGGTGGGTCTTCCAAGCAGTGCATAGAGGAAAGAAGCTGGAAGCATGGCTGCCTAGGAGAGAAGCAAGTGAGGCCTGTGGGCTCCCACATTCATCCCTTGGCTTCTGCTCCCTCTTCTGACACCCCCACTGCCTGCCAGGTGTCTCCCTGCACCTTGTGGGCCCCACCCACAGTTACCATGAGACACCAGGTCATTCCCTTCCCTGCTCACATCCCCTCCAGGAGCTTCCTCTTCCTGGAGCAGGCATGTCCCAATCCCACCTCAGGGCCTTTGCACTGGCTGTTCCCCAATGCCTGGGGCTTCTCAACCTCTCCAGTCTCATAGAGACCACCCTGACCAGGGTCCAGTGGTCTCTCTCTAGCCCCTGTTCTATTTCACTTCCAACAGAGTGAGTATAACTCCCTGATCCTAATTGTTGACCATAACCTATCATCCCCTACACACACTGTGTAGGAACGGACTGTACAGTTTCATAGCCACCTGCCACATGTGCCACGGGACACTTGAAATGGGGCCAGTCCAAAATGACTCCCAGGCTAAGTGTAAAAAATACACAGCGAATTTCAAAGATTTACAAAACCCCTCCAACAAAAAAAAAATCTCATTAATAATAGTTCCTATTAGCTGAAATAATATTGTGGCTGTATTAGGTTAGATAAATATTTTAAACATTACTTTCACCCATTTTTTCTCATCTTTTAAAATGCATCTACTACACATTTTCATATGCTCGTGGGTTCATGTCACATCTCTGTGGGCAGCAGCTCTGCAATGTCACCTCTATGGCTCATCATCCAGGTTCAGTATTCAAGCCCTAGACCTCCTGGCACGGGGAGTAGCTGGTGATAAGTTTTTTTATTGAATAATGAGTTATGAAAAGAGAACCCAGTGACCTTTTCAAAAAAGGTTAATTCCCTTGAATTTGGCAAAGAAATTCTCCATAATAGGGTGTGGACAGGGTCTTCTGGAACCTTCTGAAATAACCTCCCTGTTCCAGAGATTCAGAGACCGTGACCAAGTGCTCCTGGATGCCTCTGATATCTGAAGACCCCGGAGGCCAAGCCCTGTATTTTTCACTTTTCTGAGCAAACAGGAGGTCACATTGTTTTCATAGCCAAAGGAGAAGTGTCATCTCTGTGGAGACCTGGTGACTCAAGCTTGGGAGCACTGGGGAAGAGAGGCATGGCTCGGGGAGGCTGCAGTGAGGACAGGAGTGGGGAGGAGGGGTAGATAGAGGAGGAGGCCTGGGAGGGGCAGGGAGAACTTAGGCAGGGAGGGATCTTGTGGTTTCTGAGGAGTGAAAAGAGAGATGGAGAAAGAGGGAATGAGCAGAAAGAGGAGGAGGAGTCAGGGGCAGGTCATGGAGGGGGGTGGGGCTGAGCTGCCAAAGCAGGATAAATGCACAGCTGCCTGCTGGTCTGGGATCCCCGCCTCAGGCTCTCAACCTCCTCTCCTGCAGCTCCAGCTCTGTGCTCTGCCTCCGAGGAGACCATGGCCTGGCCCCTGTGCACCCTGCTGCTCCTGCTGGCCACCCAGGCTGTGGCCCTGGCCTGGAGCCCCCAGGAGGAGGACAGGATAATCGAGGGTGGCATCTATGATGCAGACCTCAATGATGAGCGGGTACAGCGTGCCCTTCACTTTGTCATCAGCGAGTATAACAAGGCCACTGAAGATGAGTACTACAGACGCCTGCTGCGGGTGCTACGAGCCAGGGAGCAGGTGGGTGCTGCCTCCACCTGAGGGGTCCTGAGTCCCAGCCTTGTTTGTTGCCCGATCCATAAGAGCATTCGCAGCACATCAACACTGATACATTCATGATCTAATGCTCAGATTCATTCAGCTTTCCCTGACTCTCTGCTTATGGCCTTCATGCCTAAGCATGCTCCCGGGGGATGGAGACTATGCTGACTCTGGATGGGCTTGATGCTGCTCAGGATGAGATCCAGGCCATGAGGCTCACCCTCCTCCCTGAGTCCTCTCCTCAGGGGCCACACAGGAACTTCGCTTCCTGTTCTGCAGAGCCCTACTTCACTCCCCAAGTCACACCCGTGGGTACAGCCCTTTAGGGCTAATGGCCTTCACCCTCAGGCCGGCTGACCACCCCCTACAGCCCAGGGCAGCTGAGTCCCTGCTGGGGTGGAGCACGCCTGACCCTGCCTCTATGAGTTGATGCAGAGTTAGACCTCAGCCAGATGAGGACAGCAGTTACCCAGTAGAGAGGAGGAGGTGTCAGGTCAAGAGAGAGCTTCAGAAGGGCTATTGGGCCCAGCTTTACCTGCATCCCATGGCAGAGCAGCAAATAGTGACACAGGCTTTAGAGCTCCTCCACCTTCTCTTGGAAATTCAAAGGAATCCAGACCAGCCCCATTTCTCCTCCTGCAGCTGTCAACTGGGACCCTCACCCTGCACGGGAGGTGCACTCCCTGGTGCCATGGTCCCCGCTTGCCTCCACCTCCCTTTCAAGCATGACAATAACTTGGAGTGAAGCACAGGGCATTGCAGACCATCAGGCCCGGACGCCTATTTTATACATGGGTAAACTGACACCCATGGGTAAAAAGAGTCAGTGTTCCCTTGCCCCTGAGCCACAGGTGGCAGAATTCAATGAATCCTTTTACCCAGCACAGAGAAAACAATATTTAAGAGGGGGCATGAGGCCCAGCACCCTGCCAGCTGACAGGAAGAGGGGGCTTGTGTGCCTTGTGTTGACATGTGGGCAGCTCACGAAGCCCCCAAGCAAGTCCAGTGACTCAGCCACAGTGAAGTGCCTGTGAGTGCATGAACTGATGGGGGCGCTGTCCGTGCATCCTGTTTTCTCATGTGTGTAGATCGTGGGCGGGGTGAATTACTTCTTCGACATAGAGGTGGGCCGAACCATATGTACCAAGTCCCAGCCCAACTTGGACACCTGTGCCTTCCATGAACAGCCAGAACTGCAGAAGGTACGTTCCTGATGCGGGTCCCAGGCCAGTCATGCACTGCAGAGGGGTGCGTATGTGTCAGTCTCTGCCCTACACATGTTTGGAGGGTGTGTGTGTGCAGGTGGGTATGTGGGGAGTCATGTATGCATGGATGTATACATGTTCATGTACTTGTGGAGGGTTGTGCATGTAGATGTGCATGTGGAAAGGTGCATGTGTGTACACACATGTGCCAGTGTGTGCAGGGAGCTGTATGGGAGCATGTGTGCCTGTGTGTGGGGATTCTGGGGGTTTGTACATAGATCCATGGGGTTGAGGGGTCCAAGTGAGTTTACGTAGTTGCCTATGTGTGTGCAGATGGGGTGGTGAGGGAGGAGGGTGATGTGTTTGATTTGCTAGGAAGCCTTCAGCTTGGGAATGGTTACTGGGAGATCAACTCTGCCTGCTTTGGGGTGTTGCCTGTTGGACAGGAAGAAGCAGCTGTGGGGCTGTGTGCTGGGCAGGGAGAAGGGGCTCTGTCTAATCCCAGCCTCAGGTACCTGCATGCAGCCACAGACACAATGATCAGATTAGTGGGACCTAGAGGCCTGTTAGCTGGGAAGCCCTGGACCTGCCCGGCTCACCCAACACCAGCCTCTCCAGGGACCTGCTGGTTCTTGTGAGGTCTCCACTCAGGGGAGAGCCACACTCCCCTTGTTACCATTGCCCCATGCCCCAGCTCTTTGAGGCGGAGTTGCCCTGCTCTGGGTTCTTCCCTCTGGCCCCTCTTAGTGCTGGCCTGAGTGCTGGAGGTGGAAGGAGCTGGGGGAAGTGAGCCACCTCCCCATGCCCTGCACCCTTGGGGCTCCCAAGGTCTTGCACAGGCTGATCCTCACAGGGCTGTGCTGGGACAGGACACTGCAGGCTGCGGTGGGGGCCCAATGCCACCTGGTGACTTGGAGCCTTGGGAGGGGCAATGGAACAGTCACTATTCATTCTAGTTCAGTGCTCTGGGACTCAGCAGGGGTGGGTGAGGGCCCAGTGTCTCACCTCCATCCTCCTCACTCAGGCTGTGACATCTCATGCCTGGGTGACTTCCCCTTTAACTGTAACTCACACTGATTGGCCCTCTCTCTTCCCTTTCACAGAAACAGTTGTGCTCTTTCCAGATCTACGAAGTTCCCTGGGAGGACAGAATGTCCCTGGTGAATTCCAGGTGTCAAGAAGCCTAGGGATCTGTGCCAGGGAGTCACACTGACCACCTCCTACTCCCACCCCTTGTAGTGCTCCCACCCCTGGACTGGTGGCCCCCACCCTGTGGGAGGTCTCCCCATGCACCTGCAGCAGGAGAAGACAGAGAAGGCTGCAGGAGGCCTTTGTTGCTCAGCAGGGGACTCTGCCCTCCCTCCTTCCTTTTGCTTCTCATAGCCCTGGTACATGGTACACACACCCCCACCTCCTGCAATTAAACAGTAGCATCACCTCCCTCTGAGTTCTTGGCTGTCTGGGGATGTGCACACAGGCAGGGTTTCTGCAGTTCCTTTATGAAGCCTCCTTGTTCTGCTTGTGTGGAGATCAGAGGAGTATCTGGGACCTGACATGGCCACAGCAAGGCTGTCAGGGGAGCTGCTGCCACTTTTGGAGGCCTGAGCTTTAGAACAGGGAGACAGCAGCCAGGGGCTGGAAACCCAGGCCTTCAGGTGCAGCAGCCTCTGGTGAGGGGGTCAGGGAGAGGAGTGGGCCAGACTGCTGCCCGGGAAGCTGGGCTGCTGCTTTGGTCTGAGCTACTGGTCCAACCAGGAGGAGGGGGCTGGCTGTGTCCACAGGCAGGGCTCAGGCCTCGGTGGAGCTTGCTAGGCTGTAGATTCCATCTGTGCTTGCAGAGTTGAGCAGACTCCAAGTGTAGCAGGATGAGCCATAGACAAATGTCCTCAGACACCAGATTAAAGAAGGAAGAGGTTTTTATTTGGCTGGGAGCATCAGCAGACTTGCGTCTTAAGAGCCAAGCTCCCGGAAAAAGAAATTCTTGGCCTTTTTATAGGCTTACAGCTTTAAGGGGTCCACATGAAAGGGTCATGATACATCAAGCAAGCGTGGGAAACTTGACTGGGGCTACATGCATCAGCTAACAGAACAAAAAGTTTTACAGTGCTTTTTTCATACAGTGTCTGGAATTTACAGATACCACAAGTAGTTTGGGTCAGGGGTTGATGTTACTATTATTACTTTTTTTAACTCCTAGAGCCAGGTGGTGGTGCCAAGGTTGTCTGGCTATTTATCTTACTTTTGTTTTTTTCCAACCTTTTGCTTTTTCTCTCCTCCTGTCTTGTGAACTAGGCAAGGTGGAGGGAAGAGGGCAGCAGGAGTACCAGTGGTCTCCTTCCTTACAGGGACTGAGCTGCTCTCATCAAATGCCCTAGACACTAAATAGATAGCGATCGATGTGTGGTTCTTTCCACAAGAGACTTTAGGCCCCTACATGGAAACAAAGAACACAAATTTGTGTGTGTGTGTGTGTGTGTGTGAGTGTGTATAGCTGATTGGGAAAAATGCCACCCAGACAAAAGATGGGCAACATCACACAGAGAAAGCAGAGACTGCTGTCATCCATCCTGGGAGGGTGCGCCCATGCTGGGAGGTTGTCTCCTATGCTAGGAAGCTGTGCCCTAGAAGAGTTTTACACGTTCACATCCAGCCGCCCTTTCTCTGGACTTGGATTTAAAAGAAGCACTCAGGTCAGGCTTCTTGACAGGGATGGAGAAGTTAAAACACAAATGAAAGTGACATACAGTGGACACTCATTTTTTTCACAAAGGATGTTTTAATTAATAAATAACATCACCTTAGTGTCAAAACCATTCTCTAGAATAGTGGGTAGTTGTGCTCCAAAGAAGAAGCTACAGTCCTAAGACCCAGCCCACCCTGCAAGGCCCTTCCCTTTGCCATTTCAGGGCAGGGGGTGCAGCCCTCAGGGCAGGTGCCTCTGGGAAGGGCTCTCAACTATCTTCCATACCTAGAGCTGTGTTGACCAAGGGTGGCTGCCATGAACACCGAGGGGGAAAAGACAAAGGGGAAACTGCCAAAACAGCCCTGAGGCCAGCACCCCATGTGCC
Source organism: Homo sapiens (assembly GCF_000001405.40). NCBI lineage: Eukaryota > Metazoa > Chordata > Mammalia > Primates > Hominidae > Homo > Homo sapiens. The sequence goes on along the minus strand of NC_000020.11, from coordinate 23,822,138 downwards.
GCACATAGAAAGCCAGGAGGAGAATGGTCTAGCAGGGAGAGTGGGGCGCATGTTCTTCATTTCCTCTCCACCCCCAAGGGATTTAACCAAGGTTTTGGATTGAAGAAAGTGAAGCAGCACCCAGGAGACCATGAGCTGAGGAGATCTGAGTCTGGGCCTCACCCAGTGTCAGGTGGTCGGGGGTCACACACACTGATTTAGGCTTCTGTTGGAAGAGAGGGGCTGAGAGCAGAACAGCAGGTGCCAGGGAATGGTGGTTAGGGGTGAAGTCTTCCCTGCATGGAGATCCTCATGGTTCTCTACCTGGGGAAGGGTCTGTCTTGACATAAGCAACCACCATCCAAGGACACAAGGAACAGGTGATTTTCTGTAAACCAGTAACTTTTCTGACATCTCTCTTCCTGGGAAAGTGGAGGGGGAAGTCTGGCTCTGTAGAAGGCTCCCTCCACCATCTCCCTGTGTGTCTGTTCCCTAGGAGGGGAGCTGGGGGCAGGGAGGCTTGAAGGTGAGCATGTGGGTCTTTCTCTTCTGGAACAAGCTGAGAGTCTGGGCCCTGTCCAGAAGCTACTGGGTCTTTGGAGTAAAGAAGTCTCATGAGGGTCATGTTTTGAAAATATTGCACCCCTTCTAAGAGTTCCTTTAGCAAAAATAATGTCACAAATTCTTGCTAAAAGACTAAAACCGCTGAAGTTAGAAACTCCACCTTCAGCATAAACAAATCACTCTGAAAGGAGGGATAAGTCCATTGGAGGCCTGGGAAGCAGGAACCAGTGCAGTCATTCCCTGGGCAGGTGGATTCTCAGCACTATGACCACAGACAACCCAGGTTCCGTGAGGTCTAAGGCTTACATAATACACAGAGTTATCTGCATGAAAAATAGCATAATATAACCAATCAGAAACTAAGCACAAAAGTTAGTGTTTATTTAAGAAGAGGAAATAAGTCACAACAAATTACTCATCTTAAAGTCCTAATAAATACTACAATCATCCCAAATTCCAGAAAAATAATATATATCTTAGTGCAGTCAGTCACCAAAACTGATTTTGCAGTCAACAGACTATTGGCTTGTAGCAAAAAGGGAATAAATTCACATCAACCAACCTGGGATGATTCAAAAAACAAAGCAAAGAGAATATTATAAGACTGTGGGGAGGGATTTTTGAGGCTGTAGTGATGGACTCAGAGCATGGCAGGTCTTAGTGTAAAGCAGCCAGTGTCAAATCTGCTCTGCAAAGTGGACCTAGGTCTTGTGTCCTTAGAACCCATAAAGTCCTGCCAGATTTGGAATGTTCCATCCAGAAACCCCTTCTCTGTAGCTCTGTGCTTCTGTGAAGAGGTGGATGTAGATCCTCCAAGAACTGGGATGTTCTTCTTACTCATAAGCAAAGTTTCTGACAGCCCCTGACGTTGGAGAACAAGGTCTCCCGTTGAGTCAGAAAGCAGTTGTCAGCCAAGGAAGAGGCTGTTTGACATTTTGAAGCTGCAGCTTGAGAGAAACATTGTTTCCTGCTCATGATGTCACTGGCTTTGTCCTCATCAGTCCATCCATCCACCCTGCAGATGAAAGGGCAGATTTGCCTTTCCTTAATTTGTGTTCCTTTTACTTACTAACATAACATTTTTATTAACTAGTGGACACAACAGTGTAACCAGTTATTTCTATGTTTTCATACTCAACTATTGAGTCACTATTTGCTTCATCACGTGATATTGATTTTATAATAGAATTTTCTGTAAATATAGCAGAAAGATAAACCAGTCTTTCCACTAAGTTTGATCACTTTAAAATTCTGATAAATAATACAATCATCCAAAATTATGAAATACTACAATCAATCCTACTTGTGAAAATCATGGATTATAACATTTTCTTTCTGCTTCAAGACTCATATAGGTAATGTTATGCAAATTTGTCTGATTGTTGTCTAATTTGGAAAAGCTTCCAGTTTTCTTTCGTGTGAGTGCTAAGATTTTGGTACTTTCTAAATTTTCTTGACTTAAGATTGATGATCTTAAAGACTGTATCAACAATGCTCACTAAACACAGCATTTAAAAACTCTGACTGTTGTAGTGGGCTTCAAAATTGTGCAAATGTAAGCTATATACTATATTGATTACCTCATGGGATGCACAGAGTTTGTCCTGAAAGAAATATTTCTTCAAGCATCTTACTGTTGGTCAATGTTGTGTCTCTGTTGTTTGGAGCTTGCAATTTCATCAGGATAACAGGAGGTTGAAGGCCAAGTCTGATCCACCGATTCTGTGCCAACTCACAGGCATACATCCTTGCTGTGGGTAGTTTCACTATGCAGGTCTGCACCCTACAAATGTGAAAAATCAAGAAATTCTACCCATTAAATTCCCATAAAAAATAAAACAACTTGGGTCTCACTTGGGTAAAATTAAAAACAAAATAACAAAATAAAAACAAACTGCATGGTGCGCTATTGTACATACCATATTAGTGAGTACATTTTCATGACACTAACCTATTTTCAGCATTATTAAAGACAATAGATTCCAACCAAGAATGTCCTATCCCATCCAACTAAGCTTCGTAAGCAAAGAAGAAAAATAAATCTTTTCCAAACAAGCAGTTACTGAGAAAACTTGTTACCACTAGACCAGCCTTAAGAGATGCTTAAGGGAGTTCTAAACATGGAAATAAGAGAACAATACCTACTGTTGCAAAAATACAGTTAAATATAGCTCAAAGACAGTATATAGCAACAACACAATACATACTGCAGGGAAACCAGTTGTCACCTTCATGATAGGATCAAAAACTCACATATAAATATTAACCTTGGGCCAAGCACAGTGGCTCAAGCCTGTAATCCCAGCACTTTGGGAGGCCGAGATGGGTGGATCATGAAGTCAGGGGTTCGAGACCAGTCTGGCCATCATGGTGAAACCCCCGTCTCTATTAAAAATACAAAAAATTAGCTGGGCATGGTGGTGCGCACCTGTAATCCCAGCTACTTGGGAGGCTGAAGCAGAAGAATCACTTGAACCCAGGAGGCGGAGGTTGCAGTGAGCTGAGATTGTGCCACTGCACTCCATCCTGGGTGATAGAGTGATACTCTGTCTCAAACAAACAAACAAAAATTAACCTTGACCATAAACAGCCTAAATACTCCACTCAAAAGCCACAGATTACAAGTTGTATTTAAAAACCCAGACCCATCCATCTGCTGTCTTCAAAAGATCCATCTCACATGTAATGACACCCATGGTCTTAACATAAAAGGTTGGAGGGAGATCTATCACAGAAATAGAAAACAAAAAAGGGAGAGGGTTACTATTTTTACATCAGATGAAACAGACTTTAAACCCAAAACAGCAATTTAAAGAGGACAAAGAAGGGCATTACATGATGACAAACGGTTCAATTAAACAAGAAGACTTAATTATTCTTAAACATATATGCATCCAACATTGCAGCCCCCAGATTCATAAACAAGTATGCCAAGGCCTACAAAAAGAATTAGCCAGAGAATTATAATGGGGTACTTCAACATCCCCCTGGCACTGTTAGATAGATCATCAAGGTAGAAAACTAACAAAGAAATTCTGGATTTAAATTTGACACTTGACCAATTGGACCTCATAGACATCTACAGAATGCTCCACCTATCTGTGTCCTGAATTGGTTCCTTCTGGTGGGTTCTTGGTCTCGCCGACTTCAAGAATAAAGCTGCGGACCCTCGCAGTGAGTGTTACAGTTCTTAAAGATGGTGTGTCCGGAGTTGTTCCTTCAGATGTTCATATATGTCTGGAGTTTCTTCCTTCTGGTGGGTTCGTGGTCTTGCTGACTTCAGAAGTGAAGCTGCAGACCTTCACAGTGAGTGTTACTGCTCTTAAGGTGGCATGTCTGGAGTTGTTCATTCCTCCCAGTGGGTTTGTGCTCTCGCTGACTTCAGGAGTGAAGCTGCAGACCGTTGTGGTGAGGGTTACAGCTCATAAAGGTAGTGAGGACCCAAAGAGTGAGCAGCAGCAAGATTTATTGTGAAGAGTGAAAGAACAAAGCTTCCACAGTGTGGAAGGGGACCCGAGCAGGTTGCCACTGCTGGCTGGGGTGGCCAGCTTTTATTCCCTTATTTGGCCCCACCCACAACCTGCTGATTGGTCCATTTTACAGAGTGCTGATTGGTCTGTTTTTACAGAGTGCTGATTGGTGCCTTTACAAACCTTTAGCTAGACACAGAGTGCTGATTGGTGCATTTACCATCCTTTAGCTACACATAAAAGTTCTCCAAGTCCCCACCTGACCCAGAAGCCTAGCTGGCTTCACCTGTCAATCCCCCCTCAAACAGGACACCACAACTGCTGTTGGGAATTCAGTGATGACCACTGTAGCTACTTCCTGCTGGATAGGGGCAAAGAAGGGACCCTGAAGTTGTAGTGTCCTCCAGATGTGAACTCTTTAGGCCAGTGAAAGGGCCAGCGGGTCAGTCCAGGGGTCCTTGGTAGAAGTTGTTAGTTGAGCTCATTTGGGTTTCCATATGTAAGAACATCAGAAAAGTGTTATCTGATTTCAGAAGGCTTTTTCTGTCAATGCTGAGTGGCAACTTGTACTATCCCTGACTGGTTAGTGTAAAAACAACACTCTTCCCCTAAGAAGGTACAGAGTCCTCCTTTCTCAGCAGTGAGGATGTCTAGGCCTCGGTGGTTTTGGAGAGTCATGGCTGCCAAAGACTCTGTTTGGGGTTGTAGAGTAAGGATAGATTTCGCTATTTCTTACAAACTGTCTGAGAAATCCTTTGAGAGTGTGTGGTAGTAGGATAATGAAGTAAATATACTGGCTATTCTGGTTCATGTAGCAGTAGCCATTCCTAACCCTGTAAGTAGGGGTATTAGTTGTATAGCTCTGCACTGACGGACTTGAGCTTTAATATCAGTTATAGGGTAATTGAGCTATAATATCAATTATACTTGGGCTATAATATCAGTTATAGGGTACTGATAGGGTCTGATTTCACAAGACTAGAAGTTAGGATAATATATGTTTGCACTGTTAACTTTTAGCAAACTTTACTTTTGTTGAAAACCTTTTAAGTTTGGAATTTCAATTATTCTTCACTATTAATAAGACCTCGTTCAGTCCATATTAACTTAGAACTGGTATGGATGGCTCCTTCCTGATTCTGTAAGTACTTTAAGGTTTGGGTTAGTGCAAACAGCTCGCACCCTTGAGCAGATCAATTATTAGAAAATTTTCCTAATTCTGATTCTATGATTTTCCTTATCACTTACTGAATACCCATTGTGTCTTTTTCCTTTATCACCTGGGAGGAACCATCTATCCTCCTATCCTGAAGAGAGTTCTTCCTAGATCTGGTCGGACCTTTGTATAGTAATTAATTAAGATTTAGATCCCCTGTTAGGAAACCTACTGGGTTAAGGATTTTTGATAGGAAGGCTACAGGTTGTCAGTGGCCTCAGTGCTTTCAGGCTACACCCTTGTTTACACTGACAAGGTGGTATTGGAGTGTTATAGGGTTACAGAGAAAACCTTCATTTATCAATTATAGGTTTTAATTTCACCCTGGCTTTTAAAGGAATAGGGTACACTTTTTTCTTTACTACTTCTCTCTTTCTCTTTGATTTCTTTGTCTCTCTCTTTCTTTGTCTTTCTCTTTGTTTCTCTCTTTGTCTGTCTCTTCCTCTCTCTCTTTGACTTTCTGTGTCTCTCTTTTTCTCTCTTCTGACTCCCTCTTTGTCTCTCTCTCTTCCTCTGTCTCTTTGACTTTGTCTCTTTCTTTCTTTCTCTCTGACTCCTTTTTTCTCTCTCTCTTCCTCTCTCTGTCTCTTTCTCTAACTTTCTGTCTCTTTCTCTCTTTCCTTTCTGCTGGTCTTTCCCTGCCTCTGCCAGCTGCTTATGCTGCTGTTCTCCCCTCTCCTTCCCCTTTTGATGGGTTTGGCAGTGTAAGACTGCCACCTCCTTGGATTTTTGCACTGCATGCAATAACTCCATGGCTTCCTTGTAGTATTTAATGGGGGTTCTTCCTTTCTTTCCAGATTGCAGCATGGGCATGTAGGATTAGATAAGCATACTTGCTATTTGTATACATATTTATTCTTCTTCCCTTTCCCAGTTCTAAAGCTTGGGTAAATGCCACTAGTTCTGCTGACTGGGCGCTGGTCCCTGGGGGAAGAGGCCTTACTTTCAAGTACTGTTACTATGGCATAACCTGCCCTTCATATCCCATTCTCCACAGATAAACTTCCATCAGTATATAGGTTAAGGTCAGGATTAGTTAAGGGGACTTCTAAGAGATCATCTCAGGTGGCATAAATCTGGACTATAATTTGTTGGCAGTCATGCTTGATTGGCTCATCATCCTCTGGGAGAAAAGTGGCAGGGTTGAGGGCCATGCATGTACATATTTGAAGCACCAGTCCCTCAAAGAGTAGGGCCTGGTATCTAAGTAGATGGTTGTCTGATAACCATAAACTTCCTTTGGCACCTAGTATGTCATTTACATCATGAGTAGTCCAGACAGTGAGATCCTTTCCTTGTATTATTTTGATAACCTCTAACACTAAGATGGCCACCACCACAACCACCCATAAATGGTGAGGCCAGCCTTTTGCTACCACATCAACTTCCTTACTTAAGTATGCCACTGATGTGGGGTTGTCCCACGAGTCTGAGTAAGGACTCCAAGAGCTATTCCTGCTCTCCTTGTGATGTATAAAGAGAAGTTTTGTCCTGTGGGAAGGTTTAAGGCTGGAGCTTGAGTTTGTTCCTTCCAATGCCCAGACTTCAGGGTTGATTCCCTCCTCAAGCAGGGGACAACAAATGGGTAACTTTTCCCCCATATTCATGTAAATAATAGCTGCAGCTTTGGCTAATATATCCCTCCCTAATAAGGGTATGGAACTTTCAGGCATAACAAGAAAGACATGTGAAAAGAGCAAAGTCTCCCAATTACAACTGAGGAAGTGGGAGAAATACCTGTCCCGGGATTCCTCAGATGGTAACAGACCTTGAGGACAGCTGTCCAGAACAGTAGATTAACACTGACAAAGCTGTGCCAGTGTCCAGGAGGAAGTCAATTTCCAGGCCTTCAATGGTTATACATACCCGGGGTTCAGTGAGAGTAATGACATGAGCTGGCACTTGCCCCGGGCACCCTCAGTCTTGTTGTTGGATCATCTGATTGGGGGCTTCTGGCCCAGAGAACCATTGCACTCTGGGGCAATGTGCCTTCCAGTGATTGCCTCGGCATAGTGGACACGGACGAGGAGGCAGCTTGTTTCTCATAGGACAATCTTTTAAAAGTGTCCTTGTAAACCACACTGATAACAAGCGCTACCTGGTGATTGGCCTGCTCCATTTTCTGTCCTCTCTGAACCACCAGTGTTTGTTTGTCTGAGGCCATGACTAAAGCTGTGGCCTTTCTCTGATTTTGCTTTTCCTTTTGGGCCTGTTCCTCTTGGTCCCTATTATAGAACACTGAAGTTGCCAGGTTTAATAATGTCTTCAGATTTTGTTCAGGGCCCATGGCTTACTTTTGGAGCTTTCTCCTGATGTCTGCAGCTGATTGGGTAATAAACTTCTCTTTTAGGATCAATTGACCCTCCAGTGAGTTGGGTGACAGGGGAGTATATTTTCTTAAGGCCTCCCGTAGCTGCTTGAGGGAGGCAGAAGCATTTTCTTCCTTTCCCTGACATGGTGGACATCACTGAATAATTCATGGGCTTTTTCCTCATTCTCCTTACTCCTTCTAGAACACAGGTTAACAGATGTTTGTGACTCCAGTCTCCATGATCTGAGTTGAGGTCCCAGTGGGGAGCCCTACTGGGGATGGCTTGCTGAGCAGTAGGGAATTTGTCCCTTTCTTCAGCTGTCATTCTATCATTTACTTGAGTAAGATACCAGGTATCTCCAAACTCTTTGGCTGAAGATAAAGCTGCATTCTTTTCATTAAAGGCCAGGATTTGATCTAATAATAGCATGACATCTCTCCAAGTGAGATTGAAGGTTTGCCTTAGGCCCTGTAGGACATCTATGTAACTATCAGGATCATCTGAAAACTTCCCCAGGTCTGTCTTGATCTGCCTTAAATCAGAGAGGGACAAAGGGACATGTACCTGGGTTGGGCAAAATTCCCCTCCCCCTACAGCTTGAAGGGGGCATAACTGATAGCCCAGGGGTTTTTGTGGTCCTTTGGAGATTTGGTTGCCTATTTCCTTCTCAGTGGGGGAGATTAGAGGAGGCTTATCATTAATAGGAAGGGGAGCTATAGGGAGGCTAGGATATGGGGGTAACCTGAAAGGTCCTCCTGTGGGATGTAAATTGTAAGCTTTGCATAGTTGTGTATTCTCCTTCAATGTAAAGAAAGCTTGGGCATAAGGTATTTCACTCCGTTTGTCTTCCTTCTTACAGAAATGGTCAAGCTGCAGGATAGTATTGTAATTTATACTTCCATCAGGTGGCCACTTTCCCCCTTCAGAGAGGGAATATTGGGGCCAAGCCATATTGCAGAAAAAAATGAGCCACCTCTTTTTCAGGGTTTGTGGGTCAAATTGGTCCCAATGGCTTAGGATGCATTTCAAGGGTGAGTCTGTTGATGCCTGAGTGTTTCCCATCTGAAAGACAAAACTGCCCATGGTTTTGGTTTGCTTGTTTCTCCCCCTGCCCAAGAACCCACAATGGTCATTGGAATCTGCTGATTGGAATAGTTGCACTCACAGATGCAGCAGCAGAAACACCTCTTGCCCAAGAACACGCAACAGTCCCTGGACCCTGCTGATTGGAATAGTTTCACTCACCGACACAGCAATAGAAACACTAGTTTTCTTCCACTAGGAGGACTGAGGGAGGTCAGATTTAGTGGCCCTTACCAATGCATTCTTGAAAACCTGCACCCTTGCCTTTCCTCCTAGACCACAAAGAAGACTGAGAAAAATTGGATTTAGTGGCCCTTACCAACACGTTCTTGAAAACCTGTTAGTCCTAAGCATTCTCCTGTTAGTATTGGGACTTTAACCCTGTCCTATAAAGATGTTATGCCTGAAAAATGAAGTGGGGGGCCGTATCCTGAGGGAGGGGAGGGATCATCAGAGTTGGAAGAGTGATGCCTTTTTGTCCTCAGTTATATGAATAGGAAGGATATCATTTCTGAAGCTCCCCATATCCTAGCTTCCAGAATAGCTTCATTAGGCCTGCTTGTCTGAGGAGGGATCCTAAAATTCCAGATAGTACCCCCTGTGATGGGGCTTTGGGCAAAAATTATGTCTTTCTGATTGGTGAACCAGGGAGCCTAAAGAAGGTAACAGAGTCCTGAAGTTTATACTAGAAATCACTCTTGCAGGAGAAATTAGAAAAGCACCAGAGATAGGGAGTAGTTTTTAGAAGTGGGACTAGCCTCAGAGAAGAGAGGTGAGAGGAAGTTTGTCTGACAAGCATTAGAATCCAGGAGGCAAGGGTCAGGAGAGATAGGATAGATAGGATAGATGGGCGAGTCTTGCTTGGGCGACATGACTTTGAGAGTTCCACTCATGGCTTCAGGGTCAACCAACTTGTTGACCCTGAGAGCTGAATGGCTTTCCTCTCTGTTGACCCCCAGCTCAGCCCAGAAGTACAGGAAAAGTGGAAGCTGGTTCCAGGCAAACCAACGCTCCCAGCTTCAAAGAGTTGGGGGTTGTTAGAGAGCCCTTTCCCAGAAAGCCTGACACCCATGTCTTTAGTCTGGTGGCTGCGCTAGTCACTTTTAACAGGCCGACAGGTGCCCAGTATTTAGCACCCAAATTCTAAGGAAAAATAGGACAGAATAAATAGCAAAAGGGGTCCGATGGTACTCACTGCTTGGTCATAGGCAATAGTGCCTTCATGATCACCAAAATGTGTCCAGAATTGGTTCTTTCTGGTGGGTTCTTGGTCTTGCTGACTTCAAGAATGAAGCCGTGGACCCTCATGGTGAGTGTTACAGTTCTTAAAGATGGTGTGTCCAGAGTTGTTCCTTCTGAAGTTCAGATATGTCTGGAGTTTCTTCCTTCTGCTGGGTTTGTGGTCTTGCTGACTTCAGAAGTGAAGCCGCAGACCTTCACAGTGAGTGTTACAGCTCTTAAAGGTGGCGCATCTGGAGTTGTTCATTCCTCCTGGTGGGTTCATGGTCTCACTGACTTCAGGAGTGAAACTGCAGACCTTCATGGTGAGGGTTACAGCTCATAAAGGTAGTGCAGATGCAAAGAGTGAGCAGCAGTAAGATTTATCGTGAAGAGCAAAAGAACAAAGCCTCCACAGCATGCAAGGCAACCTGAGCAGGTAGCAGCTGCTGGCTCAGGTGGCCAGCTTTTATTACCTTATTTGGCCCCACCCACATCCTGCTGACTGGTCCATTTTACAGAGAGCTGATTGGTCCATTTTACAGAGTGCTGATTGGTCTGTTTTTACAGAGTGCTGACTGGTGCATTTACAAACCTTTAGCTGGACACAGAGCATTGATTGGTGCATTGACAATCCTTTAGCTAGACAGAAGAGTTCTCCAAGTCCCCACCTGACCCAGAAGCCTAGCTGTCTTCACCTCTCACATCAACCACAGAACATACATTCTTCTCATGGGCCTACAGAGCATACTCAAAGACAGAGCTGCTGGTCTGAATTGGGAGTGTGGGCCACAGCTCCCTTATCTTGCAAATAACTTGGCAAAGCAACAAACCCCCTCAGGTCCAAGCCTGGGCATATTTCCCAGCATTCAACACTTCCACTTCCTGAAATAAGGGCCTAGCAGCCTTTCCTGCAAAGACCTTGTTGCAATAGCCATTTCACTGCTCTGAAGCAAATTTTTTTGTTCCTCACTGAGGGGCATATTTCCAGGCATTTGGCCCATTTGCTCACCTAGATTAAGACCCTGGGTCACCCTTCCATTCCCGTGCAGACATCTTGGTATAGAAGCACCCTCTTCATTCCACAACCAGGCATAATTTCAAGAATTCAGTGTGCCCCCTCACCTGGATTAGGAGCATAAGTTGCCTTTCCCTTCTAATGCGGAGATCTTGGTGCATCTGTGCCTTTCTACTCCACTCTAAGGCATAGTTCCAAGCATTCAGCACACCTGCTCTACTGGACTGCAATCCTGAGTCACTTCTCTTGTCCTGTGTGGAAATCTTGGGACAGCAGTGCCCTCTCTGTCATGCTCAGGGATACTTCCAGGCATTTTGAGGACCCACTTACCCGGAATAGGAATCTGAGCTGCCCTTCCCTTCTCACGCAGAGATCTTTCTGCAGCAGCACCCTCTCCACTCCATGCTAGGCACATTCCCAGGCATTTGGAGAACCTTCTCACCTGGATTAGGAGCCTCAGCCACTCCTCCCTTCAGGTGCATAGGTCTTGAATCAGCAGCACCCACTATGCTCCATGCCTGGACATATCTTCAGGCATGTGGAGTACTCACTTTTCAAGATTAGAAGGGTAGGTTACCACTCCCTTTCCAGGCAGAGAACTTCGGGCAGCAGAGGGTTATCCCCTCCATACCCAGGCACATCTCTGGATGTTTTGCAGCTGCCTCTTTATCTGCCCTCAGAGCTAGTGTTTGCCCTTACCACTGGCAGACATGTAGGCATGTCTGCATTCTCTGGCCCCAACCAACTTGTTCCCTCAGTCCAGGACTGTACAGGGAGCTCACACCACTGTGCATTCCACAACATAGCCCATTGCCTGAGGCAACAGAAAGCATCTCGCCATAAACAAAGATCAAGTATATGCCCCATCTGCATCAGCCTTAGCTGGTTCTTATCCATAAGCACCACACACTGGCTTGGAAAATAAATGACACAATCTAATAGAAAATCTGCTGACAGAAATGCATTGCACTGGAGAATGAGATAAGCTTCCTGAGACCTTAACCATACTGGACTTGTAGGAGACAGTGAACCCACTCATTCATCCCTACACCACTACTATAACCAACGTCTGAGAAAGCCACCATACAAAGACTATCTATAACCAAGGAACATACACAGAACCTTTAACAATGAAAGCCCAGAACCAAAGTTGAACCCTACACAGCAGACATTATACACATTCTCAAGGGAGAAAAGGAAAAAACAAAAACATCTCTTCCAAATGAAAGTAAATTTAAAAATTAGAAACAGAGATAGCTTTTGCAGATGAGAAGGAATCAGCAAAAAAAAATTCAAAAGTATGGAAAAGCAGAGTGTAACAGTACCTCAAAGGGACCACACTAACTCTCCAGAAATGGGTCTTCATGAAAATAATTTTTTTTGAAATGCTTGATAAAGAATTTAAAATACTGATTTTTAAAAGGCACAAAATAATCCAAGAGAAAGTTGAAAAGCAACATAAATCAGAAATACAATTCAAGATATGAAAAAAGAGATAGATTTTTAAAAACCCATACAACTACTAAAAATAAAAACTGTATTGGTGAAATTTTAAAATCCAGGTAAAAGCATCAACAGTAGGCTTGACCAAAGCAGAAGAAATTATTTCAGAGATGGAAAGTAGGTCTTTCAAATTAATCCAGCCAGACAAAAATAAAGGAAAAAAAATTTTAATGATTAAAGATTTCAAGAAATATGGGACCATATAAAAAGCATGTAAAAATAGGAGTCATAGATATTTCAGAGAGAGAAGAAAAAAGTAAAAAATATAGAAAAATCTATAAATGAGACAAAGAAGGTAATTATATAATGATAAAGAAATTTATTTGAGAAGATCTAACATTTTCAAATACATGTGCACGAAACATTGGAACACCTAGATTCATAAAACTAATACTACTACACCTAAAAAAAAAAGATAGCTAGCAATACAGTATTTGTATGGGACTTCAATATCCCACTGACAGAACTAGACAGTTCATAGAGGCAGAAAATCAACAACAACAGAAAATTCTGGATTTAAGTTGAATTCTAGAGCAAATGGACCTAACAGATATTTACAAAATATTCTACCCTACAACCTCAGAATATACAGTCTTCTCATGTATGCATGAAACATTCTCAAAAATTTATCATTTGCTAGGTCACAAGGAAAATCTCAATAAATGTAAAAAAATTGAAATCATATCAAGTACATTCTAAAAACAACAGTGAAATAAAAATACAGATCAACACTAAGAGGAATACTCAAAACTATATGAATACATGAAAATTAAGTGATCTGCTTCTGACTCACTGTTGGGTCAATGATGAAATTAAGACCAACATCAAAAAAATTGTCAATGAATAAAAATAAAGATATAGCTTTCAAAAATGTCTGAAAAACAACCAAATCGTGCTAAGAGGGAAGTTTATAACATTAACTGCCTACATGAAAAAGATAGAGAGATTTCAAATAAGCAACTTAAGGTTACACCTCAAGAAACTTGAGAAAAAAAGAAAAAAAAAACCACACCCAAGGCTAGTAAAAGAATAAAGATCAGAAAAGGACTAAATGAAATTGAGACCAAAAATAAAAAGAATCAATGAAGTGAAGTTGGTTGTTTGAAAAGATCAACAAAATCAATAGACCACTAGCTAGATTAACCAACAAAAAATGAGAGAAGATTCAAACAAGTGCAAGTAGAAGCGATAAAGGTGTCATTACAACTGATATAACAGAAATACAGAAGATTATCAAAGACTACTCTGAGCATCTCTATGTGATCAAATGAGAGAACCTAGAAGAAATAGATGGATTTCTGGAAATATACAACCCCCTAAGGTTCAACCAGGAAGAAATAGAAATTTTGAACAGACCAATAATAAGTAATAAAATTGAATTAGTAAGAAAAAAAATCCCAACAACAAAAAAGCCTAGGATCAGATGAGTTCAAACCCAGATACTATCAGATGTACCAGACAGAACTGCTGCCAATCTTACTGAAACTGTTCCAAAAAGGGAATCTTCTCTAATTTATTCTATGCAGTCAGCATTGCAATGATACCAAAGATAGACAAGAACACAACCAAAAACAACAACAAAAAAAAGCTACAAACCAATATCTCTAATAAACATAGAAGCAAAAATCCTTAACAAAATGCTACCACACAAAATCTAACAGCATATCAAAGACATAATACACCAAGATTGAGTGGGTTTTATTCCAGAGATGCAAGATTGATTCAACATACACAAATCAAAAAATAGGATTCACCATATAAACAGAATTAAAAACAAAACCATGTGATCATATCAAAAGATTCAGAAAAAGGCATTCAACAAAATCCAGCATCTCTTCATAATAAAGACCCTTACCAATTAGGCATAGAAGGAGCATACCTCAAAACGGTAAATGCCATATATGACAAACCCAAAGCCAACATCATTCTGAATGAAGAAAAGTTGAAAGCATTTTCCCTAAGAATAAGAACAAGGCAAGGATACCCACTACGAGGACCCCTATTCAACGTACTACTGGAAGTTCTAGCTGAAGCAATCAGGCAGAAGAAAGAAATAAAGTACATCAAAGTTCTAAAAGAGGAAGTCAAATTCTCGTATTTTTTTTATGATATGAACTTATACCTAGAAAACCCTAAAGATTCCCCCAAAAGGCTCTTCGATTTGATAAATTTCTTCATGAAAGTTTCAGGATACAAAATTAATGTACAAAAATCAGTAGCATTTCTATATAACAATAATGTCCAAGCTGAGAACCAAATCAAGAACTCAATCCAATTCATAATAGTTACAAAAAGTAATAAAATACCTCGAAATACATTTACTCAAGGAGTGAAAGATCTCTAGAAAGAGAACTATGAAACACTAAAGAAAGACATAATAGATGGCAAAAAAATTTTAAAAATCCCATGCTTATAGACTGGGGAATCAATATCATTAAAATGATCATACTGCCCAAGTTATCTACAGATTCAATTAAATTACTATCAAACTACCAATGTCATTCTTCATAGAATCAGAAAAAAAAATTGTAAAATTCACACGGATCCAAAAAAGATCCTGAATGCCCAAAGTAATGCTAAGCAAAGAGAATAAAATTGGACAGATCACATTATATTGTATGGCTGTAGTAACCAAAACAGCATGGTCATGTTATAGAAAGAGACACATACGGAAAAATATAGCCACATAGCTACAACCAACTGATCTCTGACAAAGTTGACAAAATTATATAAAGGGAAATCACATTCTATTCAATAAATGGTGCTGGGATAATTGGTGTGCCATATGTCGATTCATGAAACTGGCCTCTTACCTTCCATCATGTACAAAAATTAACTCAAGGTGGATTAAAGACTTAAATGTAAGAACTGAAACTATAAAAATCTTAGAAGACAACCTAGGAAAAACTCTTCTAAATATTGGTCTAGACAAAGAATTTATGATGAAGTCCTCAAAATAAAATACAACAAAAACCAAAACAGAGAAATGGGACTTAATAAAAGTAAAAAGCTTCTGCACAGCAAAAGAAATAATTCTCAGTAAACAAACAAACTGTAGAATGGGCGAAAAGATTTGCCAGCAGTGTATCTGACAAAGAGCTAATATTCAGACTCTACAAGGAACTTAAACAACTCAACAAGAAAAACAAGAATAACCCCATTAAAAAGTGGCCACAGGGTATGAACAGACATTTTTAAATAAAAGACATACAAACGGCAAACATATGAAAATACTTAACATAATTAAGTATCAGAGAAATGAAAATTAAAGCCACAATGCCATGCCATCTTATACTAGTCACAATGGCTGTTATTAAACAGTCAAAAAACGGACAAGTGCAGTGGCTCATGCTTGTAATC
The DNA here is from genome assembly GCF_000001405.40 of Homo sapiens. Taxonomy (NCBI): domain Eukaryota; kingdom Metazoa; phylum Chordata; class Mammalia; order Primates; family Hominidae; genus Homo; species Homo sapiens. Next base: position 23,806,415 of record NC_000020.11, on the reverse strand, counting down.
ACAGTATTTTGAGAGGCTGAGGTGGGTGGATCACTTGAGTCCAGGCATTCAAGATAAGCCTGGGCAACATAGTGAGACCTTGTCTCAACAAGCAAAAAAAAAAAAAAAAAAAAAAAATTCCACGTGTGGTGGTGTGGGCCTGTAGTCCTTGCTACTTAGGAGGCAGAGCCAGGAGGACGCCTTGAGCCCAAGAGGTTGGGACTGCACTGACCTATGATCATGCCACTGCACTTCAGCCTGGGCAACAGAGGGAGACCCTGTCTCAAAAATGGTCAAAAAACAAGATGTTGGAAAATATGTATCGGTTGATGTGTAACTCATATGACCTCTATGGAAAACAGTATGATAATTTCTAGAAAACTAAAAATAGAACCACCCTTCAATCCAGCAATTCCACTACCGCACATGTACCCCCCAAAAGGAAACAAATCATTATATAAAAAAGCCTTCTGCATTTGTATGTTTATTGTAGCACAGTTCAGAATAGCAAAGTTGTGAAATCAACCTAAGTGTCCATCAACACTTCATTGAATAAAACAATCTGGTAGATATACACCATGGAATACTATTCAGCCATAAAAGTGAATGAAATTATGACTTTTGCAGCAATGTGTATGGAACTGGAGGCCATTACCCTTAGTGAAATGACTCAGAAACAGAAAATCAAGAACTGCATGTTCCCACTTATACATGGGTGCTAAACCATGGACATGGACTTACTGAGTGGAATGATAGACATTGGAGGCTCCAAACAGTGGGAGGATAGAATGAGGGTGAAAGTGAAATGCTGCCTATTGGGTACAATGTATCTTATTTGGGTAGTTGTACATAAAAGCCCAGATTTCATCTCTACAAAATATATCCATGTAACACAACTGCACCTGTACCCCTAAATCCATCAAAAATCTAAAAAAAATTAGTTTTAAATAAATACATTTTTAAATGCCATACATCCTATAATTCAACAATGTATAGCTGATCGTTAGCCACTGTTATTTCTGTAAATCAATGAGAATTAGATCAACAACTTTGGTAATCATGCCTTCTCTTCACTTGTACTTGTTTTCCTTAAAATCTTGAGTTTGATTTTTTGTTCTACAGAGCAGTCCCCAAGGCAACCTGAAAGTGTGTCCTGTGCTCCACTCTTGCTTGATCTCTGTGCTTAAATAAACTCTCTTTCAACTGGAAAAAAAAATTAAGAGAAATGAATGAATGAGTACAAAAATAATTTCAAAACAAACTGTATAGTGTACACAGAAGCCTTAATGTTTATCTTATAATTAGTTATTGAAGTCTCTTCTTGATTGTTTTCTTTTTCTGGATATAGGAGATCAAAGTGAAACCAATAAGTATACAGACAACATTTGGCTATAAATCTATGAACTGAATGTTGACATACTATACCTTTTAAAAGGAGGAGAAATATGCAGAACAAAGGTGAATGTATAGTGTATAGTAGATGGGCAATAAATATTTGCATTTAGTGGAAAATGAATAAAACTCTGTTTTACAAAAAGCATGAGATGTCCTATAAAATTAATGGAAGATCTTCCTTCCTTTTTTAAAATAAAACAAACTTTCAAAAGGGAAGAAAATTCTAAGAAATTATAAAGATTGCATGTGCTTGGTTCCTAGTTTATTATTTTTTCCCCTTACATATCTTCTTCCTCTCACATTAATTCTATTTCTCCTTCTCCTGCTCTGAGTAAATAATCAAATGTTTCTGCCCTCATTTTGTCTATATCTTAATTGTCAAAACCAGAACACATACCTATAAGGCAAGCACAGTGGGTAGGAACATAATGTCCAATCTTAAGAAAATATCTTAATCTTTCTCAGTCGCATTTCTCTTATCTGGAAATGGTGGCATCAGTCAGGATGAGCTGGGTTATGCTGTGGTAACAAAAAAAAGTATGAGGGACTTAAGACAGCAACATACCATTCCATTATTGTGACTGTTATTTGTATAGATGCACTGCATGTGTGTCGGGGGTGCTGAACTATGTTGTGCTCACTCTGGATCCCAAGATGATGGAGAAGACACCCTCACAACAGTATCAGGGGCCAAGGCAATAAGCACCAGCTTTCCCCAAGTGCAACTGGAAGTAACAGATGTCACTTATTCATCTATTATATTGACCAAAGCAGGTCATGACTACAACAAACTCAAAGGAAGGGGACAATCCTGTCTTGTACCCATAAGACACAGAAGCACTCAAGGGACAGCCCTAAAGACTATCACAAATGCCCACCCAATCACACCAGGCAGATATCTGTGTTTCTGCCCACAGCACCAGGGTACCACGCAAGCAATGGCACAGCTCAGATCCCAGTTTCTCCCTGCTCACCACCTCCACTTCCCCAGACATTTTGGACATAGTGGACCTGAAACCAAATAATAGTATAACAAAATACAGTCATCTGACAGGGGAGATGGCTCATGCCTACAATCCCAGCACTTTGGGAGGCCAAGGCGGGTCGATCACTTGATGTCAGGAGTTCGAGACCAGCCTGCCCAACATAATGAAACCCTGTCTTTACTAAAAATACAAAAATTAGCCGGGCATGGTAGCGCATACCTGTGTTCCCAGCTACTTGGGAGGCTGAGGCAGGAGAATTGCTTGAATCTAGGAGGTGGAGGTTGTATTTAGCTGAGATTGCACCACTGCACAGCAGCCTGGGGGACACAGTGAGACTCCATCTCAAAAAAGAAAAAAATGTATATATATATATATATATATATATATACACACACACACACACATATACATACAGTATCCTGAAAATGCCTTAAAGTTCACAGAAAACATTTTACCCATCTTTGGGCAGTCAAGCATCACCTAGGCAGAGTACCTTGATGACCATTTGTGTTTTCACCCACCAAGTTCACCAAGATGCCAAGATTATTTTGCCCTGAACCCACTTGGAACTGTCTGGGTGCTGGCACGTGGCTTCGGGTTGCCTCTCTTACCCAATTCCTTGTTTCATGGAAGGGAATGAGCTTCATGGTACCTGTGATTCATTTTCACCTTTACCTTGTTTTAGTTTTGGGCCTCCAAGCTAATGATTACAATTTTCCTTGCCTCTCATTTCCTTTATAGACATTTTAACTTTTCTGTGTGATTTTTTTTTAAATGACATAAAGCTATTTGCTTTTTGTTCCTGCAACTTTTATAAAATGTTCCTCTTTTAATTATTCAAGAATATTTGTCTGTAAATTAAAGTTGCTAAAGAAAGATTAATGGAAAATTTTCAGGCTTGTCATAAAATGGGCCTAATTGTGTCCTCCTCCTGTATCATTGAGCATGTGATGTGTGGTAGGTGCTCGATTGGGTGCTGGAGATATCAAACAGGAAGATCCGAGTCACCCACCCTCAATGAATGTCAGGTCTGCTAGACAGGGAAGTGGAAATCAGAGGAGAGAACAGGGCACTGGAGAGCACAGAGAAGGGAACCAAACCCACAGAGAGGCTGGGAGAGGAGGACAAGCTCCCCACATTGCTGGGTCCTCTCTACTTGAGCACCTGTCAGCCCAACTTCCAATTGCCAGCATCTGTACCCATTTACCTGTACAAATAGCCCAAGTAAGTGCAAGATAACTAATTCCCTGACACATTCTCCAAGGACTGACACCAGCTGACATGTTAAACACAATCTCCCAGAAGTTCCCAGCAGAAATGAGCTGCATAGCAGTAGCCTGACAGTTCACACTCATAGTATTGACCACCTTCTCATTCCTATTTCATTTCCTCACTGTCCTAGGAGTGTACCCTGGGACTGCCTTCCAGATAAGCCACAGGAAATTGAATTCTGGTTACAAGGTCTCCCTCTGGGTAGCCCAATCTTGACAGTCATCTTTATGGAGAATGTAATTTCTGTGGAATCACAAAAGGAATCAATGAGGTGACATAGGGGAAGGGAATTCCAAAACAGGGAGTCTGGGCCAAGACATATGGGTGTGAATAAGTGTCAAGTTCCATATGAGGAGAGATGACCCTGGAGTTTCAGGGGTTTCAAACACTGAGCTCCAGGTCAAAGGCTATCAAACTGGGCCCACCATGGAATTTGCCAAGTATCCAAAGGTGTTGAGGACTGGGGACTGCTGGGACATCTAACCTCATGCCAAAAGCATGAAACCAGACTGCATGGGTTAAAAGCCTGGTTCTTCCACTTATAAGCTGTGTGACTTTGTAATACTTGCCTCTCTGTGGTTCAATTTCTTCATCTGTAAAATGGAGACAGTAATAGTAACTACTAAGCAGTTATGTGATGCTATAATAAATTATTGAATTATGTTCATTGTAAGGTGACATTATTATTAGCTAGTTTTGGTTTGTGATTCTGTCAGTGATCTCTGAAAGGCACATCACATGGGGAAGGAGACTCAGTCCTTGCTCTCCAAGACCTCAGGGAATGGTTGGGGACAGAAATAGACATACAAGTAAGAAAGACCATGAGAGGAGGATGATAAATGCCTACAGTGAACATAAAAGTGCTGTAGGAGACCAAAATCAAAAGGTTCACACCTGGCTACACGGATCAGAGAAGGATTTATAGAAAAGGTTTGTGTAGACCTGAACTTTGGAAGCATGTTATATTTGAAGAGGCAAAGATCTAGGGTGGGTGGGGAGCTACAGGTGCCCTTTCCAGAAGGGCAAATTCATATAAGCTTGGACAGGATGTGTCTGAGCACATCAAGGAAGTCCAGCTTCTCTAAAGGCCAAGCTATGTGATGGGGAAAAGCTGGAAGGCAGCCACAGAGGGCAAGTTTCCAGGACCTCATGTGGCAGGGGATATGGCTTTCAGAACATTTGAGGACCAGAGAAATGGAATCTAAGGGTGGAGACCAGTGGACTAGTGAGGACTTCACTGTGGATGTCCAGACCAGACCTATCTAGACAGCATCCAGCAATGTGGGAGATGAAAAATAAAATAAGTCTTCTTTTTTATTGATTTCAAACTAGTTCTGAGACTAGAAGGCAGTTATAATGTTACAAAGCCAATTACCACCTTCTTTTTCTGTATAAAATATAGAATCAGAGTGACTGTATAATCACAAGAGGTTGATAAAGGGCATAACACAATATCCAATGCAGAGTAACTGCTGACACCTGGCAGTGACAGTGAAAATGATGATGGTGATGATGACAGTATTGTGGAGATGGAGATGGTGATGGTGGTGAAGATGCTGATGATGATGCTATAGCAGCAGTGGTGATTCTGGTGATGATGATAGTAATGGTGGTGATAGTGATGGTGATGATGGGGATTGTAGTGGTCATGTTGGTGATAATGGTCATAGCATGGTGATGGTAGTGATGATGGTGGTGATAATGTTGGTGATGGTGGTGATAGTGGTTATGATGTGGCAAAAGTGGGGATGGTGATGGTGGTGGCAGTAATGGTGCTGGCGGTGATGATAACGGAGATGATGGTGCTGATGATAGTGATGATGGTGGTGAGAGTGGCGGTGATTATGGTGATGATGGTAATGAAGACAGTGATGTGGTGATGATGGTGGTTATGGTGGTCATGTTGATATTGGTAATGGTAGTCATGATGATGATGGTGTTACTGATGAGGATTACCATGGTGATTGTGGTGGTAATGGTGATGGCAATGGTGTTGGTGATGGTAGTGATGATGATGGTGATGGTAATGGTGGTGGTTGTGGTGATAGTGGTGATGGTGATGTTAGTAGTAATACTGATGGCAATGGCAATGGTGTTGATAATGATGGTGATGGTGGTTGATAGTGATAGTAATAGTGGTGATGGGGTGTTGATGATAATGGGGATAAATGTGCTGATGGTACTGAGAGTGATGATGGTGATGTTGGAGATAATAATGGTGACACTAGAGATGATGTTTACAACAGTGGTGGTAACGGTGATGGTGATGGGACAGTGGTGATTGTCATGATGATAATGGTGATGGCTTGGATGGAGATGGTGGTGATATTATGTTTTATGAGAGAGGATGAATCTGTTTGGAGCAGAATGTAAGCACCAGGCCTGACCAGGTACCAGTAAGAGAGTTCTACTCTCTAGAGATTTATCAGGTCGGTACACAGGTAAATCTTCTCCTTAGACTCCTCATCTTTGATGGAAAACTGTGTCTGTCACAAATGGATCACGTGTCCCTATTTTTTTTTTTTTTTTTTTTTTTTTTTTGAGACGGAGTCCCTCTCTTTAGCCCAGGCCGGATTGCAGTGGCATAATCTCGGCTCACTGCAAGCTCCGCCTCCCAGGTTCACGCCATTCTCCTGCCTCAGCCTCCTGAGTAGCTGGGACTACAGGCGCCCGCCACCGCGCCCGGCTAATTTTTTGTATTTTTAGTAGAGACGGGGTTTCACCGTGTTAGCCAAGATGGTCTCGATCTCCTGACCTTGTGATCCGCCCGCCTCGGCCTCCCAAAGTGCTGGGATTACAGGCGTGAGCCACCGCGCCCAGCCACGTGTCCCTATTAACCGCAGGAACAAAAGTAGATTTTCCCTGGCATTCATACCTCTGACCTCCAGAAGGGACCATGAGCAAGAAGGAGATGGGAGATGGGTAGCTTTAGTAAATGGGGAGAGGAGGAAGAGAGTGAACAGGGAGATAAGCGGAAGGGGGAAGAGTGAAAGAGAGGAAAGAAACCAGACTTGTCCCCAGAGTTGTCCACATGTTCATCACCCACCCTGAGAGAGTCCTTGTCTTCTGAGAGGGTCCATTCTGGGCCTGTCCAGCAGGGGCTGTGGGGACAGCTGCAGGAACAGGAGGCTATGCCATCTACTGGCCATGGCTCTGAGCAATAAAACCCTGCACACCCAGGTAACCCAGAGCAGCAAGGACAGAGCCAAGCAGAGGGGCCTCTGCAGAACCCATACAGCACTCAGGGAGTGTTTAGTTTGTAGAGCTTCTTCCTTCAAGGCAGACCCTATGTCGACCCCAGGGCCACCTGCAGAGCCTGCTCCCCAGGGTGAAGCTGGAGTAGAGGGACCTGAGGGACTGGACATCAGTGGGTGAGTGCTTCCCTCTGGTGGTCAGTGTGGTGAAGTGGAGGATGCAGGCCCCACCTTACAGAGGTTCTCTGCAAACTCATGAACCCAGCAGGATTTTTAGGTCAGGTGGCTGTGGGCAAAGGAATTGCCCTGTAGCTTTTGGTTTCTCTGCCGCCTTGCAAGATTCTCTTCATGATGTCTTCATCGTCACATGTCACATTTCAACATATTGTCCTCTTCTTTATCGTGAGGTTGGATGATTGCCACTCTGTGAGCCTCTTCCCACCTTAGTTCCCGTCAGATGCCCTCTGTCTCTCAGAAATCAGCCACCCACCCTGCCTGCCAACTCTGATACAGCCCAGGATCCCTCTCAGACACCTTCCAAGCCATGGGTTATAGACTCTGGGTTCCTGTAATCCATGCTTTTTTAGATTAAGAACTGCTAATGTTGATTTTCCAAATATGGTTGGCAAAGATTAAAATTGACTATCATTAATTCATAATGGAAAACCACGTGGCATTGCCCCAAATGAAGTCCATGATCAAAATTGAGAGATTCCCTCCCCTGCAAGCTCGTAAAACCTGAACCTCCAGGCTGGATCCAGGGAGTAGCATTTGAGATCCACACTCCTACATGCATGACATCCCAAGCCTCTGTGGGAACAGCTCTGGATTCCTCTCCAAAGCGCCAGCCCTGACAATCTGCTCATCCTCACCTCTGCCTTGGCTGAGTAACCAACCTGTGACTTACTCAGGCCTGGGCTGGAATTCTGTTCTTTCCTCCTCACTGCGCCCTCTACCCAGCCCTTAGCAAGTCCTGCCCCGCCACCTCTCATAGGCATCCTGAGTCTCCTGTGCTCCACCTCCCAGCCACTGCACAGACACAGGCCACTATCCTCTCCTTCCTGAGGAACTGCAATGTCCTCCTGACTGTTCTCCACCCTCCCATTCTCACCGACTAGAAGCCTGTTCCTTCCCTGTGGTCACGCCAGCCTTCTAACAATACAAAAGGTGTACTGTCATGTCCTGGTAAAACCTTTCAAAGGCTTCTCATTTCACTTGGAGTAAAACAGAAATTCTTCAGCACGGTGTGAAAGGTGTGGCAGGAATTGATATCTGCTCATCCACCAAACCCAGTCTGCTTACCTCTCCTGCCGGCCGGTCCCTCACTCAATTCAGGAGCTTCCACAGGTTAGGATCATTTCCAGCTAGGGATCGGTTTATGATTTTCTTTGCATTAAACACCCCTCTTGTTGGCTTTCTGCAGCTGGCTCTTTCGCCTCCTTAAAAGTCTAGCTCACATGTTATTTCCTCAAATCGATCCTTCCTGATCCTTCTCTGCAGTTAGAATTTGGCTTGGCCACCAGTTTGTTGAAGGCAATATTGTATCCATCTCATTCTCTGTAATGTGTCTGTGCTTCTCACAATCTGTGGAATGTGGAGGACACTCAGTGTGCATACTGGATGAACATGCCTTTGTGGATGTTTCAGAGACTTTCCCACTGTGTATAAAATGATTCCATGTGGATAGCTTGCTGGCAGCCCCCATGAGGCCGTGATGACTCTAAGACGACTTGTTAGAACTGCCATTTCAATGGCTAGAGTTTTAATTACTTTTGGATCTTTTGAAAAATAGTGAAATCTTAGCAGGAAATATCAAAGTGCAAACGAGGAAGGATAAGAAATGACCCTGCGGAGGGTGGCAGGAAGCACAGGGTGTCCCAGAAGAAGAGTCCTGGAACCCAGCCAGCAGAGACCCCACCAACAACACTGTCACCCTTTCTCCAGGGCTTCTCTGTGCCAAGCAATTTGGCAAGAATCTCTTACACATCATCATTTTGTTCTTCACATATTCCCAAAATATAGAGAGATTCTTTTTCTGATGAGAAGATAATTCCTAGCATACAACAGGCACACCATAACCTTATTTTGAAGGAATGCGTACAGGTATCCTACATCCACTCTTAAGGAGAGGAGATCGCTGGAGAGTTCCAAGATTCCAGGCAGAGCTCAGCAGTGATGAGATCACAGTGTGGGGTCTGACACTTTTTGTTGCAGGTTCCTTGTCTGAAAAATGTGGAAAACACATTTTATAAAGATTGTTGGAGAATCCTTTCATTCACTCAACTAATTCCTTACTGAGTCCTGTGCTAGGGCTGAGACCACAGCATTGAGCAAGTAGACAGTGTTCCATGTGCATGGAACAAAGGAGGCAGAGAGGCAATGGCACGGCAGCTGATAGACACCCCCTTCTTTCCTTCTCAGCCTGTGATTCTCACTAGAAGAGGGTGCCTTGGAGTAGGTTGAGCCCACTGGTAGGAAGCACAGGAGGTAAAGTGAGTGCATCTCCAATGTGATGCTACCCTAGGAAAATGCCATGGTGCTGCTGAACTCGACAGTGATAACAAATGCTGCAGTGGGAACCCAGAGACCTCAGAAAACAGCAATGAGGGCTTCCAGGGGAACACAAGAGCTGCTGAATGGAGTGAGCCATCAGGGGACCCGTAGTGGGCAGCTCTCAGGCTCCTGAGGGATTGGTGCCTTGTTCAGGTGCATGCACACACACAATCTCAAACACACATACACAGTCTCATGCAATAGTGTACTACTACAGAGAAAACCAGCTGTATAAATATTTCTTAGTAATGAATTTCCTCAAAAGCATGAAATTCTTTATGTTCATGGAAAAATGTAGAAAAACTCCTTGCAGGGTGCAAAAGATCTAAAACAGTGTTTGCAAACTGTTGCACACAGCACAAATGTGGCTATGAGTTAATACATGCTCCTAATTACATTTTCAAAGATTCCTCGAAAAATACATTGAAATTATTCTGTATACAAAAGCCTCCATTCAGAGATAGCAATGCACATTAGAATATTCATTAAAACATAAAATACTTGCGATAAGAATCTGATTAATTCTCTTCCAACTTTCCTAGTCGATTCTGTTCCTCATGTTCTTTGTGTTTTGCAGGGAAAGGCTAACACGTATCAGCAACCGTGAGAGTGCCATGTGAAGATAAATTTGGAAACACTGATCTAGAATAATGTTTCACTTTCTGTGAGTTCTAGTACACAGAAAGCAAGTAAATATATTGATGATAATGGAATTAAAGTTGATAATTGTCCAAGAAAGGAGCCACAACTATAGAAAGGAGGGGACTGGAAAGAATCTCATTGCTTTGGGTTTGGTGTCGATATTAACTCAGAGTTTTTAATACATAACTAGGTAATAGAACAATAGCTATCTACACGTGCGTAAGTTTTTTTGTGTGTTTTTTTTAGCACTGACCAACAGACAAGGCCAAGAACAAGGTTCCTCACCTTCTGCACTGTGGCCATTTGAGACCTAGGAATTCTTTTTCTGGAAATGTCCTGTGCATTGCAGAATGTTGATCAGCATCCCTGTCCTCTCTCCCTAAATGCCGGTAGCACCTGCCTTACAAATTGGAACAACCAAAGACACCCTAGACATTACCAAATGTGCCCTGGGAAGCAAAATTGCCCCAGGTTGAGAACCACTGACTGAGGCCTCATGGCATTCCAGGAGTGGTGAGTACAGGGAGCACGCGGGAATTGCTTTCTACATTCACTGCAGATTCCAACCACTGATTTTCACCTTGGATCAGAGAAAGTAAAATATAAATCCGGAACTTCTTGTTTTATCAGAAAGTAAGGATAGGCTCAAATAATGATGGAAATATATTAAGAGGACACAGGAAGCAGCTTAAAGGGGCTCCCACTAGCCTAATCTAATGTAATTTTCACATTCTAATAAGCAAGAACAATACATTCTAACTCCCTGAGTAAAATAAGAAACCATGAGTCAGATAGATCTATAGAAAGATATATGACTAACAGATATATGGATAGGTAGGTAAAAGGGAAAAGTGTTTCCTTGCAGTAGAATGAATGTCATTTATAAGTATTTTTTTAAAATGCAGTTAGGAATACAATTTGAAAGCAATCATAATAACAATTGATTCAAACAGGAATTATTATTGTATGCTAAAGCTAGAAAGCAAAAGTGAAAACTTTATAAGACATAAATAAATGTTTCAAAGTATTGCTCCATGAAATAATTCTTAATTATAAAGGAGAGAAGAGTAAACCATACTGTGCAGATAGCTGTCAGATACCATCTGAACCTAGAGATCAAAGTTAGTGTCTATCAGCCGTGGGACAGCGTTGTTATGGCCTCCTGGTAGGAGGTACTGGGAGAAACAAGATCATATTTACAGTTCTCTGAAAACCTGCATAGCCTGAATCTCATCCATTGACAAAGCCCAGCTGAGGACGTTCTATGAAATCGCCAGTTATCTTCAAAAATGACAAGATCACAAAGATAAGAAAGACTGAGAAACTGTTTCAGATCAGAGGAGACTGAAGCTGCCTGACAACGACACACGGTTGATGAATTGCATGGACGACAGATTAGACGACAATGTGGACCCATGCTAGTGCTGTGATTCCACTCACTGCACTGAAGCTGTGCTGGAGAATGTCCTTGGCCTTAGGGGACACACATGAGAATGTCTAAGGACAAAAGGAGTCACACCTGCAACTTGCTCTGAAATGGCTCGGGAAAAGCTGTAACAGTGCGTACACATATAGAAAGAGGGAAAAGCGCGCGAGACACAATGTGAGGAGTGGGAGGGTCTGGGTGTGTACAGGAGCTCTTTATATTACTCTTGCTGCTTTTTGTAAGTTTGAAGTCACTTCAAAACTACAATAAAAAAAGGTTTATTACTTCTTTTCTAATGAATATAGAAAAATAAAATTGCTTCTTTTTTCTATATTTATTAATGGCATTCTTTTTACTCCAAGGAAGAACTTTTCTCCTTTATCTGTATCTATCTTTCCATCTCTCTATCTGTTAATCATCTATTTATCCACAGATCTAGAAGACTCATGGTTTCTTATTTTATTCAATGAGTTGTAATCTGTTACTATCACTTATTTGAATGTTTAAAATATCTCAGAGTTGAATAGTGAGAGCCCCTTTAAGCTGTTTCCTGTGTCCTCCTGACGTACTTCCATCATCTTTTTATCTTTTATAAAAAATTAAAAATTAAAAATACAGTAAAGTGCTGCCTCAGCATTGACACCGCAGCCCCACCCATCATGCACAGGCCTGTGTGCTCAGCTTGTTGGAACACTGTACTGTTCCTTGGAGCAGAGAAACAGGGTGTGAGACGGCAGGGACTGGCGCACTGGAGAGAATGCATGGGCAGAGGTTGAGGAAGAAGCGCCCTCTGCTTCCACCAGACGTGTTGCCTCACAAGGGACAGCCATGTTCCCCACCACTCACTGTACCTGCACCTCCCTCTGCAACACAGGGGGGTCACTACTGTTTCACAGCCGCCTTCTTCTGTTTCCTCCTGGGTTTTCACCATAAGCCCCCTCTCCCACATGCACACCCCCACCAGCATGGGCCTGTGAGTCTGGTACCACATTGGCAGCAATAGGTAGAGTTGGGAATGGAGGTCGGAGGGGGTAAATTCTTCATCTGGAGTAACACAGTAATCAATGGATCACAAATTATAGGCCTAAAAAGGACTCTCTGAAGCCATGGCCTTTGACCTGCTCATTTTTATAGAGAAGAAAAAGAGGGCCTGAAAAGGGAGCTGTCCGCACTTGGAGGACTCCTTAGAAGCCAACACTTCCCAGACATCCCAGGAGGGGACAAAGGAGACAGAGAAAAGTCAGCCTTGATAGCGGGAGTTCAGCCAATCACTGCCAGCACGAAATCCACCAGCTTCCTGGGCACATATGTGCCATGTCACAGCAGTGTTTTTCCAAGATTCACGGGGGTGTGGCAGGATGGATGGACAGCTGGCTCCCTCACTGGAACTAAAGTATACATCCATGCCCTCTGCCAGGCAGCTAGCAGCGCCTCTGTCCAGGAAATGCAGAGTAGACCCCCATTGCCGTTGTGCATGGTCATGGGTCTTGCTTGGCCCATAGGATGTTAACACATGGGACAAGCACAGAGCCCTTAACTGGCATGTGTGAGAAGCTGGTCCTCCTGCTCTTCTCTGAGCCTCCATGAGAAGAACTTGGCCCAGACGGGCACCACCCCTTCAGCATGGGCCCCAGCATGAAGACACAAGCCAAGCCAGCACCAGACCCCCTGACCCCCAGCCAATGTGCAGCTGGTAGAGCATGACTGGAATAGCTTGTTGGTGTCAGCCCTTGAGCAGCCATTGAGTTCCAGATCTTCCCTCTGACACAGCTTACCCAAGTGTGAAGGAAACCAAAAAAACAATTCTGGTAGTATGAGAAATTCAGGTTAGTTAACACCCCAAAAAATTACATCAGCTCACCAGCCATGGATCCAAACCAAGATGAAATCTCTGAATTGCCAGAAAAGGAATTCAGAAGGTCAATTATTAAACCCACCAAGGTGGCACCAGAGAATGGTGAAGTCCAATTTAAAGAAATTTTTAAAAAAGATGCAGCACATGAATTGAAAAATCTGTAGTGAAAATAGATGGAATAAACAAAATATAATCACAACTTTTGGAAATCAAGGACACACTTAGAGAAATGCAAAATCCACTGGAAAATCTCAGCAATAGACTCAAACGAGTAGAAGAAAGAACTTCTGAGCTCAAAGACAAAGTTTTCAAATTAACTCAGTCCAATAAAGATGAAGAAAATAGAATTTAAAAATAAACAAAGCCTCTCACAAGTTTGGGATTGCATTAAATGGCCAAACCTAAGAATAATTGCTGTTCCTGAGGAAGAAGAGAAATCTAAAAGTTTGAAAAACATATTTGAGGGAATGATCATGGAAATCTTCTTTGGCCTTGCTAGAGATCTAGACATACAAATACAAAAAGCTGATAGAACCCTTGGGAAATTCATTGCATAAAGATCATCACCTAGGCACATAATTATCAGGTTAACTAAATTCAAGGTGAAGAAAAGAATGTTAAGAGATGTGAGGCAAATCATCAGGTCACCTATAAAGGAAAACCTATCAGATTAACAGCAGATTTCTCAGCAGAAAACTTACAAGCTGGAAAGGATTAGGGTATTTTCTTTAGCCTCTTTAAACAACGACAACAAAAATCAGCCCAGAATTTTGTATCTAGTGAAACTAAGCTTTATAAATGAAGGAAAGATAGAGTCTTTTTCAGACAAGTGTTGAGAGAATTTGCCACTACCAGGCCAGCACTATGAGAACGGCTAAAAGGAGCTCTAAATCTTGAAACACATCCTCAAAATATACAAAATAGAATCTCCTTAAAGCATAAATCTCACAGGACCTATAAAAGAATATCACAATGAAAAAAAAAACAAAAGCACATGGTTTTGAGGCAAGAACTAGCATGATGACTAGACATCTCACTTCTTCGTGACCACAGCAAGTCATGACCACACCAAACTCAAAGGAAGAAGAAGGACCATTGTCTCTTGCACTTATGAGAAGAAACTGATCCTGGACTTTTTTTGGTTGGTAAGCTATTAATTATTGCCTCAATTTCAGAGCCTGTTATTGGTCTATTCAGAGATTCAACTTCTTCCTAGTTTAGTCTTGGGAGAGTGTATGTGTCGAAGAATTTATCCATTCCTTCCAGATTTTCTAGTTTATTTGCATAGAGGTGCTTATAGTATTCTCTGATGGTAGTTTGTATTTCTGTGGGATCAGTGGTGATATCCCCTTTATCATTTTTCATTGGGTCTATTTGATTTTTCTCTCTTTTCTTCTTTATTAGTCTTGCTAGTGGTCTATCAATTTTGTTGATCTTTTCAAAAAACCAGCTCCTGGATTCATTGATTTTTTGAAGGGTTTTTTGTGTCTCTATTTCCTTCAGTTGTGCTCTGATCTCAGTTATTTCTTGCCTTGTGCTAACTTTTTAATGTGTTTGCTCTTGCTTCTCTAGTTCTTTTAATTGTGATGTTAGGGTGTCAATTTTAGATCTTTCCTGCTTTCTCTTGTGGACATTTAGTGCTATAAATTTCCCTCTACACACTGCTTTGAATGTGTCCCAGAGATTCTGTTATGTTGTGTCTTTGTTCTCATTGGTTTCAAAGAACATCTTTATTTCTGCCTTCATTTTGTTATCTACCCAGTAGTCATTAAGGAACAGGTTGTTCAGTTTCCATGTACTTGAGCAGTTTTGAGTGAGTTTCTTAATCCTGAGTTCTAGTTTGATTGCACTATGGTCTGAGAGATAGTTTGTTATAATTTCTGTTCTTTTACATTTGCTGAGGAGTGCTTTACTTCCAACTATGTGGTCAATTTTGGAATAGGTGTGGTGTGGTGCTGAAAAGAATGTATAATCTGTTGATTTGAGGTGGAGAGTTCTGTAGATGTCTATTAGGTCCACTTGGTGCAGAGCTGAGTTCAATTCCTGGGTATCCTTGGTAACTTTCTGTCTTGTTGATGTGTCTAATGTTGACAGTGGGGTGTTAAAGTCTCCCATTCTTATTGTGTGGGAGTCTAAGTCTCTTTCTAGGTCTGTAAGGACTTGCTTTATGAATCTGGGTGCTCCAGTATTGGGTGCATATATATTTAGGATAGTTAGCTCTTCTTGTTGAATTGATCCCTTTACCATTATGTAATGGCCTTCTTTGTCTCTTTTGATCGTTGTTGGTTTAAAGCCTGTTTTATCAGAGACTAGGATTGCAACCCCTACCTTTTTTTGTTTTCCATTTGCTTGGTAGATCTTCCTCCATCCCTTTATTTTGAGCCTATGTGTATCTCTGCACATGAGATGGGTTTCCTGAATGCAGCACACTGATGGATCTTGACTCTTTATCCAATTTGCCAGTCTGTGTCTTTTAATTGGAGCATTTAGCCCATTTACATTTAAGGTTAACATTGTTATGTGTGAATTTGATCCTGTCATTATGATGTTAGCTGGTTATTTTGCTCATTAGTTGACACAGTTTCTTCCTAGCCTTGACGGTCTTTACAATTTGGCATGTTTTTGCAGTGGCTGGTACTGGTTGTTCCTTTCCATGTTTAGCGCTTCTTTCAGGAGCTCTTTTAGGGCAGGCCTGGTGGTGACAAAATCTCTCAGCATTTGCTTGTCTGTAAAGGATTTTATTTCTCCTTCACTTATGAAGCTTAGTTTGGCTGGATATGAAATTCTGGGTTGAAAATTCTTTTCTTTAAGAATGTTGAATATTGGCCCCCACTCTCTTCTGGCTTGTAGAGTTTTTGCCGAGAGATCAGCTGTTAGTCTGATGGGCTTCCCTTTGTGGGTAACCCGACCTTTCTTTCTGGCTGCCCTTAAAATTTTTTCCTTCATTTCAACATTGGTGAATCTGACAATTATGTGTCTTGGAGTTGCTGTTCTCGAGGAGTATCTTTGTGGTGTTCTCTGTATTTCCTGAATTTGAATGTTGGCCCGCCTTGCTAGATTGGGGAAGTTCACTTGGATAATATCCTGCAGAGTGCTTTCCATCTTGGTTCCATTCTCCCCGTCACTTTCAGGAACACCAATCAGATGTAGATTTGGTCTTTTCACACAGTCCCATATTTCTTGGAGGCTTTGTTGATTTCTTGTTATTCTTTTTTCTCTAAACTTCTCTTCTCACTTCATTTCATTCATTTGATCTTCCATCACTGATACCCTTTCTTCCAGTTGATCTAATTGGCTTCTGAGCCTTGTGCATTCGTCATGTAGTTCTCATGCCATGGTTTTCAGCTCCATCAGGTCCTTTAAGGACTTCTCTGCATTGGTTATTCTAGTTAGCCATTTGTCTCATCTTTTTTCAAGGTTTTTAACTTCTTTGTCATGGGTTCAAACTTCCTCCTTTAGCTCAGAGTAGTTTGATCATCTGAAGGCTTCTTCTTTCAACTAGTCAAAGTGATTCTCTGTCCAGCTTTGTTCCATTGCTGGTGAGGAGCTGCGTTCCTTTGGAGGAGGAGAGGTGCTCTGATTTTTAGAATATTCAGTTTTTCTGCTCTGCTTTTTCTGCATCTTTGTGGTTTTATCTACCTTTGGTCTTTGATGATGGTGACATACAGATGGGGTTTTGGATTCACAGCCAAATTCTACCAGAGGGACAAGGAGGAGCTGGTACCATTCCTTCTGAAACTATTCCAATCAATAGAAAAAGAGGGAATCCTCCCTAACTCATTTTATGAGGCCAGCATCATCCTGATACCAAAGGCTGGCAGAGACACAACAAAAGAAGAGAATTTTAGACCAATACCCCTGATGCACATTGATGCAAAAATCCTCAGTAAAATACTGGCAAACTGAATCCAGCAGCACATCAAAAAGGTTATCCACCATGATCAAGTGGGCTTCATCCCTGGGATGCAAGGCTGGTTCAACATACTCAAATCAATAAATGTAATCCAGCATATAATCAGAACCAGTGACAAAAACCACATGATTATCTCAACAAATGCAGACAAGGCCTTTGACAAAATTCAAAAGCCCTTCATGCTAAAAAGTCTCAATAAGTTAGGTATTGATTGGATGTATCTCAAAATAATAAGAGCTGTTTATGACAAACCCACAGCCAATATCATACTGAATGGTCAAAAACTGGAAGCTTTCTCTTCGAAAACTGACTCAAAACAGGGGTGTCCTCTCTCACCACTCCTATTCAACATAGCGTTGGAAGTTCTGGCTGGGGCAATCAGGCAGGAGAAAGAAATAAAAGGTATTCAATTAGGAAATGAGGAAGTCAAATTATCACTGTTTGCAGATGACATGATTGTATATCTAGAAAACCCCAACGTATCAGCCCAAAATCTCCTTAAGCTGATAAGCTACTTCAGCAAAGTCTCAGGATACAAAATCAATGTGCAAAAATCACAAGCCTTCTTATAAACCAATAACAGACAAACAGAGAGCCAAATCACGAGTGAACTCCCATTCACAATTGCTTCAAAGAGAATAAAACACCTAGGAATCCAACTTACATGGGATGTGAAGGACCTCTTCAAGGAGAACTATAAACCACTGCTCAATGAAATAAAAGAGGATACAAACAAATGGAAGAACATTCCATGCTCATGGGTAGGAAGAATCAATATCGTGAAAATGGTCATACTGCCCAAGGTAATTTATAGATTCAATGCCATCCTCATCAAACTACCAATGACTTTCTTCACAGAATTGGAAAAAACTACTTTAAAGTTCATATGGAACCAAAAAAGAGCCCACATTGCCAAGTCAATCCTAAGCCAAAAGAACAAAGTTGGAGGCATCACGCTACCTGACTTCAAACTATACTACAAGGCTACAGTAACCAAAACAGCATGGTACCGGTACCAAAACAGAGATATAGACCAATGGAACAGAACAGAGCCCTCAGAAATAATGCCACATATCTACAACTATCTGATCTTTGACAAACCTGACAAAAACAAGAAATGGGGAAAGGATTCCCTATTTAACAAATTTTGCTGGGAAAACTGGCTAGCCATAGGTAGAAAGCTGAAACTGGATCCCTTCCTTACACCTTATACAAAAATTAATTCAAGACGGATTAAAGACTTAAATGTTAAACCTAAAACCATAAAAACCCTAGAAGAAAACCTAGGCATTACCATTCAGGACATAGGCATGAGCAAGAACTTCATGTCAAAAACACCAAAAGCAATGGCAACAGAAGCGTAAATTGACAAATGGGATCTAATTAAGCTAAAGAGCTTCTGCACAGCAACAGAAACTACCATTAGAGTGAACAGGCAACCTACAGAGTGGGACAAACTTTTTACAATCTACTCATCTGACAAAGGGCTAAGATCCAGAATCTACAATGAACTCAAACAAGAAAAAAACAGACAATCTTATCAACACATGGGCAAAGAATATGAACAGACACTTGTCAAAAGAAGATGTTTATGCAGCCAAAAGTCACATGAAAAAATGCTCATTATCACTGGCCATGAGAGAAATGCAAATCAAAACCACAATGAGATACCATCTCACACCAGTTAGAATGGCAATCATTAAAAAGTCAGGAAACAACAGGTGCTGGAGAGGATGTGGAGAAATAGGAACTCTTTTACACTGGTGGTGGGACTGTAAACTAGTTCAACCATTGTGGAAGTCAGTGTGGTGGTTCCTCAGGGATCTAGAACTAGAAATACCATTTGACCCAGCCATCCCATTACTGGGTATATGCCCAAAGGATTATAAATCATGCTGCTATAAAGACACATGCACATGTATGTTTATTGCAGCACTATTCACAATAGCAAAGACTTGGAACCAACAAAAATGTCCAACAATGATAGACTGGATTAAGAAAATGTGGCACATATACACCATGGAATACTATGCATCCACAAAAATGATGAGTTCATGTCCTTTGTAGGGACATGGTTGAAGCTGGAAGCCATCATTCTCAGCAAACTATCGCAACGACAAAAAACCAAACACCACATGTTCTCACTCATAGGTGGGAATTGAACAATGAGAACACATGGACACAGGAAGGGGAACATCACACACTGGGGCCAGTTATGGGGTGCGGGGAGGGGGGAGGGATAGCATTAGGAGATATACCCAATGTTAAATGACGAGTTAATGGGTGCAGCACACCAACATTGCACATGTATATATATATATGTAACAAACCTGCACGTTGTGCACATGTACCCTAAAACTTAAAGTATAATAATAAAAAAAAAATCCAGAAACTGAAATACTCGGAAGACAGCCCTAAAAATGACCACAAGTGCCCACCTAATAGCACCAGGTAGATCTTTATGCTTCTTCAGGCAGCACTAGGCTACCAGACAGGCACAAGGAGAACTCAGACCCCACTTTGTACCTGCTCACCTCTTCCTCTTTTCTGGACATCTTGGACATAGGGGTCCTGAAATCACATAAAAGAAGTATAATGAAATGCAAGATCTTAACAATTCCTTAAAGTACACAGAAAAACATTTTGTCCATCTTTTTGGACAGTCAAGTGTTCCTGAACAGGGTACCTGGGTGATTACTCACACTTTTCATCCATTCACTTATGAAGTTCACCAAAGTACCAAGAGGATCATTTTGCCCTGAACCCACTTGGAACTGCTCAGCTGCCAGCACATGGCTTCTGGTTGCATTTCTTACCCAATTTCTTGTTCGGTGGAAGAGAATGAGCTTTGTGGCACCTGTGATTCATTTTCATTTCTACTTATTTTACTTTTGGGGCTCTAGGCTGATGATTACATTTTCTCTCTCTCTCTCACTTCCTTTTTATGCATTTTATATTTGGGGATGATTTTTCAAATTACACAAAGCAATTTTCTTATTGTTCCTGGCAACTTCTATAAAATATTTTTCTTTCAATTATTCAAGAGAATTTCCCCATAAATTAATGTTTCTAAATAAAGATTTTTGAAAGTTTATCAGACTTTTCAAAAAATGGGCTTAATTTCATCACTCCTACTGTCTTTGTTGAGTATACATTTTATGCTAGAAAAGAAATCTGTTGCTGGAGAAAAGAAAGTGAAAGAGCCAAGTCCTCCATCCTCGAGGAATGTACAGTATAGAATTCTGGGTGGTAGACAAGCAAGTGGAAATCAGAGAAGAGAATATGGCACTGGAGAGCACAGAGAAGGGCACCAAACACACAGAGAGGGCTGGGGGAGGAGGACAAGCTGCCCAGATCCCTTGATTGGTCCTCACTGCCTTACCTCACTGCGCTTGCCAGTCCACATTCCAGTTGCCACCATCCCCACAAGTTTACCTGTGCACATGGCACAAGCAAGTGCGAGAGAACTAATAGCCCTGTACATTCTTCTTCCAAGGAATGACACCAGCAGACATGTTCTATGCAATCTCCCAGAAGTTCCCAGCAGAATTGAGCCCAAGGTATGAATAGCAGTAGCCTGAAAGTTCACACTCACTGTATTCAGCACCTTCTCTTTCCTGTATCATTTCCTCAATGCCCCAGCAGTGTGTCCTGGGACTACCACCCAAATAAATCACTTTCATTTGCATCCTCTTGTCAGGTTTTTCTTCTGTCAATCTGGAAAGTCACCTTTATGGAATATAGAATATCTACAGAATCACAAATGATGAAGAGAAATCAATGAGGTGACATAGGAGATGGGAATTCCAAAAAGAAGGAGAGTCTGGACCAAGACACGTGGGCAGGAATCATTGTCAAGTTCCGTATGAGGTGGTGATGACCTTGGCACTTTAAATGACCCCATCCTCTGAGCTCCAGTTCAAAAGCAGCATAACTGTGGCTCAACATGAGATTTCTCAAATGTACAAAGTTTCAGGGACAGCAGACTGCTGAGGCATCTCACATCATGGCAATGACATGTAGTCAGACTACACAGGTTAAAATCCTGATTCTTCCATTTACAAGCTGTGTAAATTTGACATATTTCCCTAAACTCTCTGTGGCTCAGTTATTTCATCTATAAAATGAAGACAGTAATAGCACCTACTAAGTAGTTATTATGAGGTGATGATACATTATTGAGTGTTATGTTCATTATTAGTGTTAGCTAGTTTTTGTTTGTGATTATCTCAGTGATCTCTGAGAAGGAAATCACAGGGGGAAGGGGACTCAGTCTTTATCCTCTAGGTCCTCATGGCCTGGTGGGTGACAGAAGTAGACACACAAGTAAGAACAACTCTCAGAGGAGGATAGAAAATTCCTCTTGTGCACACAAAAGTGCAATAAGACCCCAAATTCAAAAGGGTCACACCTGGCTGGCTACATGGACCAGAGAGGGATTCATAGACAGGGTTTGTGTAGACCTAAACCTGAGAAGCAGTAGCATTTGTGGAGGTAAAGATTTAGGGTGGAGTGGGCATCTACAGGTAAACATTTGAGAAAGAATTATGTGAGCCTGGACAGTTCTGTGTCTGGAGAACATCAAAGAGTCCAGTTTCTCTAGAGGCCAGGCTATGTCATGGCAAAAGCAAGAGTGCAGAGACAGAAAGCAAGATGCCAATGCTTCATGTGGCAGAGGATATGGGTTTCTAAACATTTTAGAACCAGAGAAACAAAATCTGAGGGTGGAGACCAGCAAACCAGTGAAGACTTCACTGTGGATGTCCACATCCGACCTCTCTAGGGAAGATCCAGCAATGTGGCAGCTGAGAAATAAAGTGAGTCTTCTCTTTCATTGATTGCAGATAGTTCTGAGAAGAAAAAGCAGGTTCTCACACTCTTCTATCATGTTTCAAAGCCAATTACCACCTTATTTTTTTCTATAAAATACAGAATCAGCATGACTATGTAATCACATGAGGTTTATAAAGGGTGTGGCACAATGTCCAATGCAGAACAGCTGCTGACAGACACCTGGCAGTGGTGCTGAAGATGATGATGGTGATGAGAATGATATGCTGGGGATGAAAATGGTGATGGTGGTGGTGGTTTTGAAGATGATGATGATGGTATGGTGGTAATGCTGGTAATGGTAATGATGGTGATGGTGTTGATGATGATAGTGGTGCTCATGATGTGTATAATGATGATGAGTATACTGATGGTGATGGTGGTAATGGAGATGGTGATGTTGATGACAGCAGTAATGCTGGTATTGTTAATGGTGATGGTGATTGTGATAATAGTGATGATGTTGGTGGTGGTGGTGGTGGTTATAATGGTGGTGATGATGGTAGCTCTTGTAGTAATAGTAGTGGTGATGGTAATAGTGGTGAAGTTGGTAATAGTGATGGTAGTAATAGTGGTGGTGGTGATGGTGATGATGGCAGAGATGGTGGTATTGATAATGATGGTGGTGGTGATGATAGTGATGATGTTGATAATAGTGTTGGTGGTAATGATGGTAGTGATGGTGGGTATTATGGTGGTACTGGTGTTGATGGTGATGGTCTTGGTGGTGGCAGTAATGGTGACGGTGATGATAATAGTGATGGTGATGGTAGTGATGATTATGATGATGGTGGTGATGATGGTGATGACCATGATGTTGAGGTTATGGTGATGGTGATGATGATGGTGATGGTGATGATGCTGGTGATGATGATAGTGATCATGGGAGTGGTATTGATGGTGATAGTGTTAAAGATAATGGTGATGGTGGTAGTGATGATTGTGGGGATGGTGGTGGTGATGCTGGTGATAGTGATGGTGGTTATGGAAGTGGCAATAGTTGTGAAGATTATGGTGATATTGATGATATAGTGGCGATGGTGGTGATATGATATTTGATGTGAAAAGATAAAGCTCTTTGGTGCAGAATATAAGCACGAAGGCAGAGCAGCTATCGTTAAGGTTTTCCTCTGTTTGCAGGCTCATCAGATCTGGACTCAGGTGAATCTGGTCTTCAGACACCTCGCCTTGCATGGGAAACCGTTTTTCAGTAATGGATCATGTGTTCTTCTTAACCACAGCAGCAAACGTGGTTTTTCCATGGTATTCATGCCTCCGACTGACTAAGTTGACCATGAAAAAGAAGGAGATGGGTAGTTTTAGAAAGGGGCAGGAAGTAAGAGAGGGAGCACCAGGAAAGGGGTGAGGAGGAAGAGAGTGGAAGAGAGGATAGAAACCAGACTTGTCCACGGGGTGTCCACACGTTCATTGTCACCTGCCTTCAGAAGGTCCCTGTCTTCTGAGAGAGTCAGCTCTGGGCCTGTCTCTCCTTCCTGGAAATATCCAGCAAGGGCCCTGGGGAGAGCTACAGGAACAGAAGACTGTGCCATCTACTGGTCATCGCTCTGATCAATAAAACCCCACATGCCCAGGTAGCCCAGGTAGCCCAGGGCAGCGAGGACAGAGCCAAGCAGACGGGCCTCTGCAGAACCCGTACGGCACTCAGGGAATGCTTAGTTTACAAAACTCCTTTCTCCAAGGCAGATGCTATGACAACCCCAGGGTTACCTTCAGAGCCTGCTCCGCAGGGTGAGGCTGGAGTAGAGGCACCCAAAGGGCTGGTCATCCATGGGTGAGTGCTTCCCTCTGGTGGTCACTGTGGTGAAGTGGAGCATGCAGAACCTAGAGGTTCTCTGCAAACTCATGAACTGAGAAGGATTTACAGGGCAGGTGGCTGCAGGCACAGGAATTGCCCTGTGGCTTTGTGGTTTATCTGCCACATTTGAGCATTTTCCTTGTGATGTGTTCATCTTCACATGTGATGTTTCAGCATATCATCCCCTCCTTTATCATGGGGTGAGGAGGTTGCCAACTCTGCAAGCCTCTTCCCACTTAGTTCCCATTGGATACTCTCCATATCTTAGGGCCCCAAAGCCCACCATTCCTGCCAACTCTGACACAGCTCAGGCATCCTTCTCAGACACCCCAAATGGCATGCACACCTGTGCATAAACACATTCATAAACTTCAGAGTACAATGGAGTTTCTACAAGCTCTCGATGAACACTCATATAAGTGACTTTGTTCTGGAGACCAGCCATTGTCAGTTCCTTTCCTCTTGCCTGCCCCTGAGTGCAAACAGTGAAAGTATCAGGCAATGGACTTCCAAGCCTTCCTCACCCCTGGGGAAATGGAGCTCAGGTCCAGCCAGCAACTGCTAAGCACTCGGCCGGGTTGCTACTAAGAGAGTATCTGCTGGATAAACAGAGAAAAGCCCCCTGAGGAGAGTTCTCTCTCTCTCTTTCTCTCTTTCTCTCTCTCTACCTCTATCTCTCTGTCTCTTTCTCTCTCTCTCCCTCAACCCTCCTCTCACGCCCTGTGACCTCCGCCTGCTCCTACTCCTCACCTTTCAGGCTGTAGTGTGGGACAGGATGTCTAGGGCTATGGTGTCCACCTTTCACTCATGAACTGTGTGCCCAAGAACAAAAGCCCAAGGAATGATGGAGAAGATGGAAGGAAACCACCTGGGCCCCTGCTGAGGATGCTGCAACTCTGTGAACACCATTCCCACAGCCTTTGTTAAATAACAAGTGTCATCGTGGGAGAGGCGGCAAGTGTTTCTCAGGACTCCTGCTACCTGCGGCCAGGACGCTCCTAGGAGTGATGGAGCTGACACATCACTTAGTGTCAGTCCCAGAGCCAGGGTGGCAAATGAAGCTTACTGTGTGACAAGAACATAATTAAGCTGAAAATTACATGACCTGACATCTTATCCTCAACCTACCTCCTACTTATTTTCTTAAGAGTAAAAAGGGTTTCTGGTACCTGCCCAACCTTCCTCAACAGCTAGATCAAATGAAATTATATGAGTGAAAATATTTCACCAAGTCCAATACAGATGGATACTTTGGTTTGCATTTCACTAGGGATGAAGAGGGGGAAAAAAGACCCAGCTGAGTAAGCGATTTTTGGGAACAAGGAACTTTCCAGATGAAGCATTGGTTTTCTTCAGCAGGTCTCATGGGTGTGAGAACATTGAGATCATCTATTGAAGGGAGATATCCAATCTCCTAGACAAAAATTTTCCAAACTTTCACAAACCTAACACCCACTGTGGTTAAAAGGCAAGATATTTGTGGTGTGGGTCCTGACTCCACCATCTCTTGGTTAGGGTTCCTGGGAACCAACTCAGATGGAGATTCACAGGCAAGAGGCTCACTGAGGCATGTGCTGGGAAGGCAGGGGCCCTCCCAACACTTTGAGAGGCCGAGGCGGGCAGATGACGAGGTCAAAAGTTTGAGACCAGCTTGACCAAAATGGTGAAACTCCGTCTCTACTAAAAAAAAAAAAAATACAAAAATTAGCCAGGCCTCATGGCACGTGCCTGTAATCCCAGCTACTCGGGAGGCTGAGGCAGGAGAATCACTTGAACCCAGGAGGTGGAGGCTGCAGTGAGCCAAGATCATGCCATTGCACTCCAGCCTGGGCAACAGAGTGAGACTCCATCTCAAAAAAAGTGGGCATAGAATGCCTAGGAATACAATTTACAAGGCAAGCAAAGGACCTCTTCAAGGAGAACTACAAACAGCTGCTCAAGGAAATAAGGCAGGACACAAACAAATGGAAAAAAATTCATTCTCATGAATAGGAAGGATCAATATCATGAAAATGGCCATACTGCCCAAAGTAATTTATAGATTCAATGCTATTCCCATCAAGCTATCATATTGATTTTCTTTGCAGAATTACAAAAAAAAACTACTTTAAATTTCATATGAAATCAAAAAAAGATCCCATATAGCCAAGCTAATACTAAGCAAAAAGAACAAAGCTGCAGACATCATGCTACCTGACTTCAAACTACACTACAAGGCTGCAGTAACTAAAACAGCATGGTACTGGTACCAAAACAGAGATATAGACCAAGGGAACAGAACAGAGGCCTCAGAAATAACATCAAACATCTACAACCATCTGATCTTTGACAAATCTGACAAAAACAAGCAATGGGAAAGGATTCCCTATTTAATAAATGGTGCTGGGAAAACCGGTTAGCCATATGCAGAAAACAGAAACTGGGCCCCTTCCTTATATCTTATACAAAAATTAACTCAAGATGGATTAAAGACTTAAATGTAACACCTAAAACCATAAAAACCCTAGAAGAAAACCTAGGCAATAGCATTGAGGACATAGGCATGGGCAAAAACTTCATGACTAAAATATCAAAAGGAATTGCAACAAAAGTCAAAATTGACAAATGGGATCTATTTAAACTAAAGAGCTTCTGCACACCAAAAGAAACTATCATTGGAGTAAACAGGCAACCTACAGAAAGGGAGAACATTTTTGCAATCTATCCATCTGACAAAGGTCTAATATCCAGACCTTTGCACAAAAAGTGCACAAAGGATATGAAGAGACACGTCTCAAGACATTTATGCAACCAATAAACACATGAAAAAAAGCTCATCATCATTGGTCATTAGAGAAATGCAAATCAAAACCACAATGAGATACCATCTCATGCCAATTAGAATGGCAATCATTAATAAGTCAGGAAACAACAGATGCTGGCGAGGCTGTGGAGAAATAGGAAGGCTTTTACACTGTTGGTGGGAATGTAAATTACTTCAACCATTGTGGAAGACAGTGTGGTGATTCCTCAAGGATCTAAAACCAGAAATGCCATTTGACCCAGCAATCCCATTACTGGGTATATATCCAAAGGATTATAAACCATTCTACTACAAAGACACATGCACACATATGTTTATTGCAACACTATTTACGATAGCAAAGACTTGGAACCCAAATGCCCATCAGTGATAGACTGGATAAAGAAAATGTGGCACATACACTATGCAGCCATAGAAGAGAATGCATTCATGTCCTTTGCAGGGACATAGATTAAGCTGGAAACCATCATTCTCAGCAAACTAACACAGGAACAGAAAAACAAACACCACATGTTCTCACTCATAAGTGGCAGTTGACCAGTGAGAACACATGGACACAGGGAGGGGAAAATCACATATCGGGGCCTGTCAGAGACTGGGGGACAAGTGGAGGGAAAGCATTAAGACAAACACCTAATGCATGTGGGGCTTAAAACCTAGATGACAGGTTGATAGGTGCAGCAAACCACCATGGCACATGTACACCTATGTAACAAACCTGCACATTCTGCACATGTATTCCAGAACTTAAAGTAAAATTTTTAAAAGTGGGCATAGCATATAAACAGATATTTTTCAAAAGAAGACATACAAGTGGCAAACATGCTTGTGAAAAAATGCTCAACATGACTAAATATCTGAGAAATGCAAATTGAAACCACAATGAAATATCATTGTACACCAGGGAGAAAGGCTGTTTTTAAATGTCAAAAGACAGCAGAGTGCAGTGGTTCATGTCTATAATCACAGCACTTTGAGAGACCAAAATGGGAGGATTGCTTGGGGCCAGGATTTCAAGACCAGCCTGGACAAAATAGTGAAACCCTGTCTCTACAAAAAATAAAAATGTCTTGCCATGGGCCTGTAGTACTAGCTACTCAGGAGGCTGAGGCAGGTGGATCATTTGAGCTCAGGAGTTTGAGGCTATAGTTAGGTATGATCGTGCCACTGCCTTTCTGCCCAGGTAAGAGTGTGAGATCCTGTCTCAAAAGAAAGTCAAAAAACAACAGACATTGGAGAAGATGTGGGGAAAAGAAAAAAATTATGCACTGTTGGTGGAAGTGTACATTAGTGCAACCTCTATAGAAAACTGATGATTTCTCAAACAACTAAAAGCAGAACTGCCCTGTGATCCAGCAGTTCCATTACTGGATAGGTACCCTCTAAAAAGAAATCATTATGTAAAAATGACACCTGCACTTGTATGTTTCTTGCAGCACTTTTCACATAGAAAAGTCATGGTATCAATGGACAGATGGACAGTTGGATAAAACAAGGTGGTTTGTGTGTGTATGAATACTACATATATATATATATATATATACTCACACGTATACATATATATGTATATATGTATACGTGTGTATATGTGTGTATATATATATATATATATATGCACACACACACACACCCCATGGAGTAATACTCAGCCACAAAAATGAATGAAATTATGTTTTTTTGCAGCAACGGATATGGAACTGGAGGCCGTTATCCTTATTGAAGTGATTCAAACTGAAAATCAAAAACTGCATGCTCTCACTTGTTAAGTGGGAGCTAAACAATGGGTACTCACGGACATGCAGAGTGGAATGATAGACAGTGGAGGCTCAAAGGTGGGAGAGTGGGATGGTGGTGAATGTGAAATATCACCTAGTGGATATAACGTACATTATCTGGTAATGGGTACCCTAAAAGCCCAGATTTCACCTCTATGCAATATATCCACATAACGCAACTACATCTGTACCCCAAAATCCATAAAAATAAACAAATCCCCCAGGTTACACATACATAATTAGGCGTTTTATTGTATGTAAATTCTACCTCATTCAAGGCAATTTTTAAGAATCAGGTGAGTTTTCCAAGTAGTGCACAGAGGACCAGTGCCGGCAGCTTGGCTGTCTGAGGGGAGGAACAAGAGATACCCGTGGGCTCCCACATTCATCCCGCGGCTGCTGCTCCCTCTCCTGACACCCCCATCACCTGCCAGGAGTCTCCCTGCACCTCCCACTGGGCCCCACCCACAGTTACCCTGAGACTCCAGGTCATTCCCTTCCCTGCTCACACCCGCCCCAGGAGCTTCCTCTTCTTGGAGCAGGCATGCTCAGCCCCGCCTCAGGGCCTTTGCACTGGCTGTTCCCGCTGCCTGGAGCTCTGCTTCCTGTCTAGACAGGGCTTCTCACCTTTCCAGTCTCCCTGACCACGGTCCAGTGGCTCCATCTGTCTCTACCTCATACTCTTTCACTTCCAACAGACAGACTAATTTCCTGATATTAATTATTGATTATCGCTTTCTCATCCTCCATACCCTAAGGAGCAGAACCACTGCCACCAGCCACATGTGGCCATGGGTCACTGAAAATGAGGCCAGTCCAAGATGACATTTGGTCTAAGTGTAAAAAAAAACAACAGGGAGTTTCAAAGACTTACACACATTCAAAAGAATGTAAACTATCTCATTAACAACTGTTCCCATGTGTTGAACTAATATTTTGGATATATTAGGTTAAACAAGAAATATTATTAAAATCACTCCCTCTGTTTCTTTTTCCTTTTTTAACGTGTCTATTATAAAACTGAAAATTGCTCATGGGTTTGTGTCACATCTCTGTCCATGGCTCGGTCATCCGTGCTCCCTCTCTAGGTCCTAGACCACCTGGTACCAGGAGGAGCTGGTAAAGGGTTTGTGCATTGAATAATGAGGACTCATGAAAAGAGAACCTAATGGCCTTTTGCAAAACATTAATTCTCTTATGTCTGGCAAAGAAATTCCCCAGAGCAGGATGCAGAATAAGCCTTCCAGGAGCTCCTGAAATCATCTCTCTGTTTCATGGATTCCCAGACTGTGACCAAGCTCTCACTGATGCCTCTGAAAACTGAAGATCCCAGGAGGGCCCTGCACTTTTCCCTTTTCTGAGGAAACAGGAGGTCATGTTGCTTTCACAGCCCAGTGAGCAGTGTGCCCTCTCTGGGGACAACGGTGAGCCAGCTTGGGAGCAATGGGGTGGAGGGGCAGGGCTGGAAAAGGGGTGGGAGTGAGGAGAGTAGTGAGGAGGAGGGGGAGACGGAGGAGCAGACTGGGGGATGGAGGGGCAGGGGCGGAGGGGCAGGGGGAACTTAGGCAGGGAGGGAGGTTATGGGGGGCCGGGCGGGGCGGGTAGGGGGAGTAGTGAAATGAGAGATGGATAAAGAGGGGGATGGGCAGAAAGAGGAGGAGGAGCCAAGGGCGGGCATGGAGTGGGGTGGGCTGGGGCTGCGGAAGCACGATAAATGCACAGCTGCCTGCTGGTCTGGGCTCCCTACCTTA
Source organism: Homo sapiens (assembly GCF_000001405.40). Taxonomy (NCBI): domain Eukaryota; kingdom Metazoa; phylum Chordata; class Mammalia; order Primates; family Hominidae; genus Homo; species Homo sapiens. The sequence continues at coordinate 23,776,225 of NC_000020.11, read as the reverse complement.
GGCTCTCTCCCTCATCTCCTGCAGCTCCAGCTCTGCGCTCTGCCTCTGAGAAGCCCATGGCCCGGCCCCTGTGCACTCTGCTGCTCCTGCTGGCCGCCCTGGCAGTGGCCCTGTCCTGGAGCCCCGAGGAGGAGGAAGGACAATCGGGGTGACATCTATGACACACACCTCAATGATGAGTGGGTACAGCGTGCCCTTCACTTCACCATTAGCAAGTACAACAAGGCCACCAAAGATCAGTACTACAGACGCCCGCTGTGGGTGCTGCGAGCCAGAGAGCAGGTGGGTGCTGCCACCACACCTAGGGATGCCATAGCCTCTGCTTTGCCCCTCTGAGAGCATTCCCAGCAAATCAGCACTGACACATTCATGATCTAAGGCTCAGACTCATTCAGCTTTCCCTGACAGTCCGCTGACGGCCTTCAAGCCCAAGGATGCTCTTGGGCCATGAGTGCTTGAGTTCAGCCTTGTCGTGTCCACTTGGCCACCTTTAACCTGCAGCAGTCACTGGGTCTGTGCCATGATGTTAGCATTTCCCAGGGTCCAGCAGGTGTGGATGGAGACTGTGCGGACTCTGGGTGGGCTTGGTGCTGCTCAGGATGAGATCCAGGCCATGAGGCTCATCCTCCTCTCTGACTCCTCTCTGCAGGGGCCACAAAGGAGCCTGGCTCCTTGTCCTGCAGAGCCCTGCTTCCCTCCCCAAGTCACGCCCTGGGTACAGCCCCTTAGGGCTACCAGCCTTCACCCTCAGACTCACTGACCACCTCCTGCAGCCCAGGACTGCTGAGTTCCTGCTGGGGTGGAACACACCTGATGACCCTCCCTCTGCCAGCTGACACAGAGTTAGACTCAGCCAGTGAGGACAGCAGTCACCCAGCAGAGTAGAGGAGGGAGTTGGGTCAGGAGGGAGATTCAGCAGGGCTACCAGGCCCAGGTTGACGTGCATCCCGTGGCAGAGCAGCAAACAGTGACATAGACTTTAAAGCTCCTCCACCTTCTCTTGGAAATTCAAAGGAGTCCAGACCAGCCCCGTTTCTCCTCCTGCAGCCATCAGCTGGTGCTCTCTGCCCGCACATGAGGTGCATTCGCTGGTGTCACAGTTCCTCCTGGCCTGCAAGTGTCTCTGAAGTGTGACAGTAACTCAGAGTGAAGCAGTGGATGATGTGAATTGTTGGGCCCAGGATCCTAATTTACAGATGGGGAGACTGATGCCCTAGAGAACACACAACTACCTCTTGGTTCCACAGCCTGGTTCCCAGGGCTCCTTCTCCTGTGCTTCTCCCAGTTCTGACAAGTTGCGCCTCCATGATGCCCTGTGCAGGGAAAGCATTCAATTCTCTTCTGCAATAGCAAGTTTAACACAAGTAGGTGTATGACCCTAGAAATACTGGAGCCAAAAACCCACTCAGAATGGAGGCATTAGAGAGGAAGTCTCCTATTGGCCTAAAACATCCACTCAGAACAGAGGCATTAGAGAGGAAGTCCCTTATTGGCCTAAAACATCCACTCAGAATGGAGGCATTAGAGAGGAAGTCTCTTATGGATGTTTTAGGCCGGCACTAAAGCATCCACTCAGAATGGAGGCACTAGAGAGGAAGTCTCTTGTTGGCCTAAAACATACATTTGTGTGAAGCCTCTCATCTCCTACTGATAAAAGAGGGAATAAATAAATCTGAGTTAAATGGAGGAAATAAGATGCTCAATGGGCTGAATGCTAGAAACTGGAAGTTAGCTGAAATTTCATCATCAGACGACAGCCTTCCTAGAAGAAATACAGGGTCCCTGCCCCTTGGGCCAGCAGATTTCAGTTAATCCTTTGCACTGGCACAGAGAAAACAAGTTACCAGGGAGGCCTGGGGCATATCACCCCTGCCAGCCGGCAGGAGGTGACTGTGTGCCTTGCAGGTGGGAGTGTGGGCAGCTCATGAAGGCAGGAATGAAGCCCCAGGCAATTCCCTTGACTCAGTCACAGTGATGTGCCTGTGTGTGCATGAAACTGGTGGAGAGCACTGTCCGTGCATCCTGCTCTTTCACGTGAGTAGGTCGTGGCTGCGATGAACTAAATCTTTGATGTGGAGATGGGGCAAATCAAATGTGCCAGGTCCCAGCCCAACTTGGAAAAGTGTCCGTTCCATGACCAGCCAAAACTTCAGGAGGTGTGTGCATGATGTGGGTCGGGGACAGTTGTGCATTGCAGAGGGGTGTGTGTGTGTGTGCTCGTTCATATGTTTTGAAGGGTATGTGTGTAAGCGCATCGGTATGCCTAGAGCAGGGCATGCAGGCATGGGTACATTTATATGGCGACATGCATGTGTGTTTATGCAAACATGGCAGATGTGTGTTGGGAGAGACATGAATGTATGTGCATATGAAGTTATATGTCTGTGCATGTACATGTGAGTAGGTGTGCAGGTGTTTTGCTCATGGAAAGGGGCATGTGTACACACACATGTGCAAGTGTGTGGGGGAGGTGCATGGGAGTGTGCATGTGGTTGTGTGGGAGAAGTATGGACGTTTGTGCATAGATCCATGTGGGTGAGAGTTGGGGTGAGTTCATGTAGATGAATATGTGTGTGCATGTAGGTGGGGTGGTGTGGAGAGGAGTGAGGAATTTGATTTGCTAAGAGGGCTTTAGCTTGGGAATGGGGGTACTGGGAGCTCCACCTCATGTGCTTAGGGTTGTTGCCTGCTGAACCATAGGAAGCAGCTGCAGGGCTGGGTGCTGGGCAGGGAGATGGGGCTCTGTCTAATCCCAGCTTCAGGCACCTGCCCACAGCCACCGCCACGCTGAGCAGATTAGAGGGACCTAGAGGCCTGTTAGCTGCAAAGCCCTGGACCTGCCCCGCTCACCCAACAACAGCCTCTCCAAAGACCTGCTTGTTCTTGTGAGGTCTGCAATCTGGGAAGACCCGCACTCCCCTTCTCGCCCGCTCCCTACGCCCCAGCTCTTTCAAGGGGAGCTGCCCTGCCCTGGCTTCTTCCCTCTGGCCCCTCATAGTGCTGGCCTAGGCACAGGAGGTGGAAGGAGCTGGGGGCAGTGTGCTGCCTCCCCCTGTCCTGCACCCTTAGGGCTCCGGAGACCTTGCACAGGCTGCTCCTCCCAGGGCTGTGCTGGGGCAAGAACCCTGCAGGCTGGAAATGGGGGCAATGCCACCTGGTGAACTGGAGCTTTCCATCCCCACCTGAGAGGGGGAATGGAGTAATCACTGCACAATTTGGTTCAGTTCCTTGGGTCTCAGCAGGAGCAGGTGGGGACACAGTGTCTCACCTCCATCCATCCTTGCCTCCATCAGATGCCTCATGCCTGGGCGCCTCTCACTTTAACTGCAGCCGACACTGTTAGTCCCTCTCTCTTTCCTTTCACGGAAACAGTTATGCTCTTTCCAGATCTATGAAGTTCCTTGGGAGGACAGAATGTCCTTGGTGAAATCCACGTGTCAGAATGTCTAGGGGTTTGTACCAGGCCAGCTGCACAAACCACCTCCTACTCCCATGCCACTGTAGTGCTCTCACCCTTGAATTGGTGGTTCCTGCCCTGGGGGAGGTCTCCTCTGAGGGTCTTCACCAGGAGACAGGCAGAGAAGACATCAGGAGGCTTTCTTCACAGCAGGGGTTTCTGCCCTGGCTCCTTGCTTCTTACAGCCCCGGTGTATGGTACACATGCCCCCTTCTCCTGCAACTAAACAGTAGCATCTGCTCCCACTGAGTTCTTGGCTGTCCAGGGCTGTGCAAACAGGAAGGGTTTTGGCGGACCCTTTATGAAACTCTCCTTGTCCACCAGCCCCCTCCTCCAAGTCTGACCTCTTCCAAAGGGAGCAGCCCAGGTTCTAGTGTGAGAGCAGTGCCTCCTTTCATCAGTTCCATGTGGGTGTGCCCTGCGCAGGGAGATCATACCCTATGCTGAACAGGGAGATTGTGCATTACACTGGGAGGTAGTGCCCTGCGCTGGGAGGCTATGTGCTATGATGAGAGGTGGTGTCCTATGCTGAGAGATGGTGCCCTATGCTGGGAGGCTGTGTCCTATGCTAAGAGGTGGTGTCTTATCCTGGGAGATTTTGCCCTGTGCTTGGAAGTTATGCCCTACACTGGGAGGCAGTGCCCTGTGCTGGGAGGTTGCACCCTAGGAGCATTGTTCACGTTCACACCCACTAGTACTTTCTCTTGGACTTGGATTTAAAGCAAGTCGTCATGTCAAACTTAACATAAAGTATGTAGAAATTAAAACATTCAGGACTGTAATGCAGTGGATGCTCTTCAGGTTTCAAGAAGGATGTTCTCATTAATAAAGAACATCACTTAATTGTCACTAACATTCCAAAGAACAGTGGACATTTCTGCCCTGAACAGGAAACTACAGTCCTAAGTCACACAGCCCACCCTGCACAGTCCTCTTTGCCATTTCAGGGTACAGGGGGGCAGCCTCATGGCCGGTGCCCCAGGCAGGGCTTTCCAATACCTTCCATGCTCAGAGTCACATTGAGCAAGGGCTGCTGCCATGAGCATGGCGGAGGGCAGGGGCACAAAATGATAAGAGGAAATCTGCCCAAATTGTCCAGAGGCTGGCACCCATGTGCCACACCTTTCTAAGACTTTCTCTCCCAAAAATGATGTCACAAATCAGTGGTAAAAGATTGAAAATGAAGATGTTAGAAAGGATTTTGAAGGGATATTGAGGCTCTCAGAGCATGGCAGGACTTTGTGTAAAGCAGCCAGTGTCAAGCCTGGTCTGCAAAGTGGACCTAGGTCCTGTGTCCTTAGAACGCATAAAGTCCAGATAGATGTGGAATGTTCTGTCCATAAACCCCTTCTCTGTAGCTCTGTGCTTCTGTGTAAAGGTGGATGTAGATCCTCCAGGCAGTGGGATGTTCTTCTTACTGATAAGCAAAGTTTCTGACAGCCCCTGACTCTAGAGGATGAGGTCTTCCATTGAGTCAGAAAGCAGTCTTGTGTTGACCTCCTATCTCATCCTGTGACTTAGAATGCCTTAACCATCTGGGAATGCAGCACAGTAGGTCTCAGCCTCATTGTACCCAGCCCCTACTCCAGATGAAGTTGCTCTGATTCAAACGCCTCTGACATGAGCACGTAGATGGGGTGGTGGGGAACAAATGTGATGAATTTGATTTGGTAAGTGGGATTTAACTTGGCATTGGGGGTACTGGGAGCTCCACCCTGCATCCTTTGGGATGTTACCTGCTGGACTGGAGGAAGCAGCTTCAGAGCTGGGTGCTGGGCAGGCAGAAGGGGCTCTGTCTAATCCCAGCCTCAGGCACCTGCCCAGAGTCAGAAAGCAGTCATCAGCCAGCAAGAGGCTGTTTGACATTTCAAAGCTGCAGCTTGAGAGAAACATTCTGTCCTGCTCATGATGCCACTGGCTTTGTTAACATCAGTCCATCTATCCACTCTGCAGATGAAAGGGCAGATTTGCCCTTCTTAATCCACATGATTTTTACTTCCTCACATGATATTTTTATTAATCAGCTACTGACACAACTCATAATTTCATTCGATGTTTTTATACTCAACTAATGAATCACTATTTGCCTCATTGTAAGACATTTATCATAGGACTTTGTCAAGTATAACAGAAGAATAAAGCAGTCTTTCCACTAAAAGGTTTGATCACTTGTAAAATTGATGGCTCATCACATCTTGATTCAAACTCATACTTGGTCATATCGTGCACATTTTTCTGATTGTTGTCTAATTTGGAAAAGCCTCTTTCATTTTCCTTTCATCTGCAAGCTCTAAGATTTTAATACCTCTAAAATTTCTTGACTTAAATTTGAAGACCTTAACAAATCTTTCTACTGACAATACACACAAACACAGCATTTTTAAACTGTCACAGTTGTATTGAGCTTCAGAATTATCTAAAAATGTCATTATGGGTTATATTTATTAGCTCATTGTATGTGCAGGAGGTGTTTGTCCTGAAGCAAGTATTTCTTCGAGCTGTCTTTCTGCTAGTCACAGTTTTATATCTGTGTTATGTGGAGCTCCCAGACTTGATCAGGATAAGAAGAGGTGGGAGGTCAGCCCCATCCTCAGTTCTGTGCCGCTTCACACACATATGTCCTTATTATGGGTAGTTTCACCACACAGATCTGTGCTCTACAAATGTCAAAAATTCAGAAATTCTATCTCATTCAATTCCCATCAAAAATAAAGACAACTGCATAATGCACTAATTATGTTATATGCCATATTACTAAATACATTTCCAATAGAATAAAACTTCCTTTTTTGACTAGGGTCAAAAAGAAACAAAACACTCACTTAAAATTTTGCATGTTTCTTCTGGGAATAATTTTCCACAGATGGGCTTCTGGCGCCACACATTGCAAACCTTCTTTCCTCTGCTAATCACAGGCTTCCAATGTGAGGTGCTGGGGACATTTTCTGATCAAGGTTCTACCTCTCCTCAATGCTTTAGGTAAAATCCAAGATGGTGGTAGGGCCTTGTCTGGGGCCTCTCCTGCACCAGGACAGTTTGAGGCAACATGACTATGCACAGGAGTGACTGAGAACCATGGGACTGTGTTCCCCTCACCCCAGGTTAAATGCATCCCAACTCAACTTCCTCTTAGCCAGATACCAAAATGCCTGTGTCCACCCTACACCATCCAGAGGGCCATGAATGGGAAGAGGAAAGCCAGAGTAGAAAAATCCAGTGTTCTTAGCTGACTACAGTGAAAATATCACACATCTTTTATTGTACAAAACATCCAGCCAAGTAAAGCTGTTGCTAGGGCCCACTTGGAGCCTTTTGTGGGGTTTTTGAAGATCTCTGTACTTAAACGTCATTAGCATCATTGAAGATCTTCTGGATTTTTATGAGAAGACTTTACTATTTTTGCAAGAGTGGATGGGCCAAGGGGAAATGGGAAGGAGGCAAATCCACCATCCACAAAAATAGGAGACATGGAGAAGAAGTGAGGGAAGGAGAAACTCATGCAAAAGAAACCTGCACGTGCATGAGGACCTGGCAAGAGGCTTTCCGCAGCATGTAAGAAAGTCCCCAATTAAAAATGGCTTGAATGCAAAGGGAGTGCTCTACCTTTCATAATAAGAAGGCCCTGGGTGAGACAAGCTTTAGGAACAGAACTCCCACCATCTAGCTCTGCTTCTCTGGGATTCTCTCATTCGTACCTCTCTGTTCATGATGCTGCAGCCTCAAGCTGGTAGCAAGGTGGTTGCCACAACTCCAGACATCACATCATCAGCACCAACATCCAGAGGCAGAAAGATCCTAGGGAGAAGCCTCTGTTCCACCCGTCCTTCCTGAATGTGAGTAAGCTCCTCCTATGCACTCACTCCTTTTGATGCCTCATAGGCCAGGTCTGGATCACAGGCCCATCCCCTACACCAATCATACACTTAATAGATCTTAATACATCTACACTTAAAAGATGTTGAGAATCTATTAATACATCATTGATAGTGTCACCAACACTCAGTGAAACCTGTGGATGACCATGGCAATGTCCTGGTAATAGCACAAACTTTAACATGATCAAAATGATGTCATCACTAGAGACTACTCAAATAAATTATAGAGCACACACATTATGGAAGAGTGGTTAAGAATTAGATAGCAATATATGTATTAAACTGGAAATAATTTTAATATATCTTGAATATATTATTTTATTGAAAGCAAGGTATATATGGTGTGTTAATATAAAGCTTGTTGTAAAAACAAAGTAAACACACATGTGTATGAGTGGCTATATAGACATTTAGACACATATTTCCACATATGGATATACACATACACATCTAAAATATGGGAAAGGAGAGAGGCAAGCAGTCATTTGTATTTATTAACATTGGATATCACCGAAGAGAGGTGGTAGTGTGTGTAGGGAAACGGATAATTTGGCTTTTGCTTTTTTTATATTTAGAATCTTTCTTTTCCATTTGAATATTACAAAAATATGTGTGTGTTCTTTCTACCTCTTTTTTAGTGTCAGCTAGGAGTCTTTGGGTGATGAGATTACAGGTTATTTCCCCTTGGATCCTCCCTATGTCTCTATTTTTAAAACTAACAAATACTATGGCTGAATGACTTATTGGTGTGGTTGATATACCCACATATGCCTAACAGCTTATCAACTATGAGTTAATCGGCAGTTTATTTTCAGCATAAGTGTTCTCACAGCTGGGTACAGTGGCTCATGCCTATAATCCTAGAACTTTGGGAGGTCGAGGCAGGTGGATGATTTGAGGTTGAGAGTTCAAGACCAGTCTGGCCAACATGGTGAAACCCCATCTGGCATGCACCTGTAATCCCAGCTACTCGGGCGGCTGAGGCAGGAGAATCACTTGAACCTGGGAGTTGGAGGTTGCAGTGAGCCAAGATCATGCCATTGCACTGTAGCCTGGGCAAAAAGAGTGAAACTCCTTCCTAAGGGGGAAAAAAAATTGTTCTCACATGCTCCCTGATTTGTGAAAGCCACTTAGTATTTAATAAGTGTTTCCTTGTTTTTCATGGCAGTAAATGTTTTCAGATATATCCTCCGCCATCTATACTCTGAGCTCCTGGGGAAGAGAAGGTGTCTTAGGTCACATTCCCTACGAAGCCTTCACCACCAGAGAATTCATCACTGCCGTGGACTCAGTGACTGTGATTAGCAAGTGGGCTTTGGCTTGGCTTTAGTGTGCTCGATTTCATCCTCTTTCATTCTCCTGTATTCTACTTTGATTGAATGTAAAGAGGAGGTAGCCTGCTGCCCAGTTCAGTTGAAAGTAATGGACGTCTGAAGCTCAAGAGGTGAGTCTGTATTTAATTTCAGTGCAAACTCACGGCATTTCATTTACATCTCAGCGTCGATACTTCAACATTAGAATGGTGTACCAGTCACTGATCCCATTAGGAATCAGATGAGTATTGTAGAAATGGTGTGTATGTATGCATAGGCACACTCCTGCACAAACCCACTTGTAACCTTTTGAGTACTATGGAGTTTCTACAAACTCTTTGTGGACTCTTATATTAAGAAATTTTGTTCTGAAAACCTCACCAGCCATTCCCTACTCCCTTTCTCCTGCCTGCCCCGAGTGCAAAGGCTGAAAGCATCAGCCAATAAACTTCCTGGCCTTCCTCACCCCAGGGGGCATAGGACCCAAGTCCAGGCAATAACATCTAAGAAGACAGCCAGGTCATCACAAAAAAAAAAAAAAAAAAAAAAAAGCCTATACTGAATAGAAAAGATCGAGGCCTTGGAAAGAATCCTCTCTCTCTCTTTCTCTCTCTCTCTCTCTCACACACACACACACACACACACTCTCTCTCTCTCTCTCTCACTCACTCTCCACACCCTCCTCTCACCACCTGTGACCTCCTCCTGCTCCTGCTCCTCATCTTTCAGGCTGTAGTGTGGGACAGAATGTCCCAACTATGGTGTCTGCCTTTCACTATGAGCCGTGTGCCCAACAACAAGAGCCCAATGAATGATGGAGAAGATGGAAGGAAACCACCTGGGCCCCTGCTGAGGACACTGCACCAACTCTGTGAACACCACCCCCATGGCCTTTGGTAAATGACCAGTGTCATCATGGGAGAGGTAGCCTGTGTTTCTCAGGACTCTTCCTCTCTGCAGCCAGGATACTTCCAGGAATGATGGAGCTGACACATCACTAAGTGCCAGTCCCAGAGCCAGGGTGGCAAATGAAGCTTATTGTGCAATGTGAACAAAATGTATCTGAAAATTACATGACCTGGCTTATTGTCCCCAAATTGCCTTCTACATATTTCCTCAAAATTACAAAGGGTTTGTGTTACCTGCCTAGCCTTCCCCATCAGGTAGATCCAAAGAAATTTGGTAAGTGAAATATTTCACCAAGACCAATGCAAATGGAAGCTTTGGTTTTCATTTTACTAAGGAGTAAGGAGGGAAAAATAGTCCTGCTGAGTGAGAGATTTTCAAGAACAGGGAACTTTCCAGATAAAACACCATTTTTCCAAATAAGTCTCAGGTCTGAATGCATTTGGAACATCCTACCCCTTGAATCCTGAGAAGAGAGACATCCAGTCTCCTAGACAAGAATTGCTCCACCCTCCAAACATTCACAGACCTAACACCCACTGTAGTTTAAAAGGCAGGATATTTGTGGTGTGAGTCCTGACTCCACCATCTCTTGGTTAGGGTTCCTGGAAACAGACCCAGATGGAGATTCATGGGCAAGAGGCTCACTGAGGCATGTGCTGGGGAGGCAGGGGCATGGGGTAGGGCAGAGGAAGAAGTCAGGCAGGGGTGCAGCTCAGCAGATGACAGCCACAGCCAGGCCCATGGAGAGCTCTGCAATGGGGATGGCCTCAGAGTGGTAGCATATCAGGGCAAAAGAGTCAACATTTTGTACCCGCATATAGACCTATTATTTAAAATAGGCAATTCCAGGAGGGGCATGAACTTGGACAAAGCAGCTTCCTTTGACTCAGATCAATGCCCACAGAAGGACTCAACTGTGAGCCATCAGCGGCCACACTCCCAGTAGCTGAGAGAATGAAGTCTCACTGGTAAAGGGGAAACTGGTGGATGGAGCCCCTGCTGAGAGAGCGAGGGATGTCATCTCGAGGAGACTCAGTTAACTCATCTGTACAATGGGAAAAATTATAACTATGACTACGTATGGTCATTTAAGGTCTGTGGACTATGTACTTAAGTTTGTTTTTATGGTAGCAGGGATCTTTTGTTTCCATGTGTAGTACTTCCTGAAGAATCTCATGTAAGGCTGGTCTAGTGGTAACAAATTTCCTTAGTGATTGTTTGCCTGAAAAACATTTTATTTCTCTTTGCTTCTAAAGCTTAGTTTGACAGAATATGAAATTCTTGGTTGAATTTTCTTGTCTTTAAAAATGCTGAAAATAGGCTCCCATCACTTCTGACTTGTACAGTTGCCACTGAGAACTTTGCAGTTAAACTGATGGGGCTTCCTTTGTACATTATCTGACATTTTTCTCTAGATGCTTTTAGATTTTTTATATAATTGACCTTGAAAAACCTGGTGACTATAGGCATTGATGTTCATTTTGTGTAGTATCTTTCATGTGCGTCTGTGTGAAGAGACCACTAAACAGGCTTTGTGTGAGCAATAAAGCTTTTAATCACCTGGATGCAGACAGACAGGCTGAGTCTGAAAGAGAGTCAGCAAAGAGAGATGGGGTGGGGCTGTTTTATAAGATTAGGGTAGGTAAAGGAAAATTACAGTCAAAGGGGGGTTGTTCTCTGGTGGGCAGGAGAGTGGGGGTCACAAGGTGCTCGGTAGGGGAGCTTTTGAGCCAGGATGAGCCAGGAGAAGGAATTTCACAAGACAATGTCTTCAGTTAAGGCAGGAACAGGCCATTTTCACTTCTTTTGTGGTGGAATGTCATCAGTTAAGGCAGGAAATGGCAATCTGGATGTGTACCTGCAAGTCACAGAGGATATGATGGCTTAGCTTAGGCTCAGAGTCCTGACAGTATCTCGCAGGTGTTCTCTTCATTTTTTGTGTCTAGATGTCTATGACACTAGCAAGATTAGGGAAATTTTCTTGGATTACCTCAGATATGTTTCCCACATTGTTTATGTTTTCTCCTTGTCTCTCAGGAATGCTAACAATTCAGAGGTTTGGTCATTTTATATAATTTCATATTTCTCAGAGACTGTTCATTATTTTTGTCTGTCTGGGTTAGTTCAAAGTACCAATCTTCAAGCTCTGAAGTGGTTTTTTTGTTTGGTCTAGTCTAATAATAAAGCTTTCAACTGTATTTTGAAATTCCTTAAGTGGAGTTTATCAATTCCACAAACTCTGATTGATTTCTTTTTAAAATGTGTATTTCTTTCTTCATCTCCTGGATTGCTTAAGAAATTTGTTTTTGTTGATTTTGAATATTGTCTTGGATCTCATTGAGCTTCTTAGCAATGTATGCTTTGAATTCTTTATCTGTCATTTTTGAGTTTTCATTTTGGTTAGGAACCATTGCTGGGGAGATAGTGAGATCCTTGATGGTCTCACAATATTCAGATGTTTCATGGTGCCAGGATTCTTGTGCTGTTTTTTTCTCATCTGGACACATTGACACTTCTAATTTTTGAAATTATTTTCATGCAGACAGAATTTTTTTTCTATCTTTCTCTATATCATTGTTTTTCTTTCCATTTCTACCCCTCTCTAGGGTGTGTGACTATAGGGTTTTTGGCTTTGCTTCTATAACACTATGCACTTTTGTCAGTATGTTTTATATTGGGCCACGTGGTTTGTCTACAGGCCAATAGACGGTGCTTGTCTGTAAGAGTTGGCTGTGGCTAATGCAGATGGGTATATACTTGATTCTTGTTTACCGGGAGAAGTTTTCTGTTGCCTCTGGCATTGGGCTGATCCTGAAGTGCACCATGGTGTGAGCTCCCTGCTTATGCCTGGATGAGGTGACCAAGAAGGGCAGGCATAACTACAGGTGCTCCAATAGCAGGTACAAGCACCAGCATTGAGTGGGAGTCCAGTGGGCATCAATTGAGCACCCAGACATGTGCCTAGGCCTGGATGTGAGACACCTCCTTGGACTCAAATTCTCTGCAAGGGGTAGAATGCCTCAATTCCTAATCCAGGGGAGTCAGTGCTCCAGATGCCTGGATATCTGCCTGAGCATGGAGTGCAGCAGGTGCTGCTATACCAAAATCTCTGCACAGGAATATTGGGGCAGCTCAGGATGTTGTTCCAGGTGAGCAGGTGCTCTACATGTCTGGAGGTCTGCCTGGGCATGGAGCAGAGAGGGTCCTGCTTCACCACTGTCTCTGTACAGGAAGGGTAAGGCAGAAAAGCCTGCTGATTTAGGCACAGGGGTGCTCTGAATGCCTGTAGATCTACCTGGGTATGGAGTACAGAGGGCCCTGCTACACCACAGTCTATACATAGGAAGGGTGGGGTTGCTTAGGCTGCTCATCCGAGTGAGCAGGTGTTCTGAATGCCTAGAGATCAGCCCTAGTGTAGGGCAGATAAGATCCAGCTGCTCCATGATCTCAGGGAAGAAGTCTGGTGCATCCAGCACCGATACACAGAGACCAGTTCCAGGTACCAAGATGACCTTGGCTGCAAGTCTCATGACATAGGAGAACCCATGACTGCAGTAGCCCTCCTCTGGCTTCAGACTGGCAACAAGGGTGAACACAATTCCAACACCTATTATTAGGGCATTTTTCGCAGTCATTGCTCAGTTCTAATATGGAGACCCCTACCCCATTCTAGCACAAGCACTCCCATATGGCCCAAGACTAAAATGAGTTTGTAGGCAAGCTGCTGGGTCACCTAAGAATGACTGACTTATGAGCCCAGATTAAAACTAGCATACTGCTCTTAGTCCTAGGTCTAAGAAAATGGCAGCAACTTTTTCCAGTGTCTTTCCTTCTCAGAGTGTCCAGCATCTCCCCAAGTTAGCTCTAGGGCTTGGGAGAAACAAAGTGCTCTCCCTTGACCTGGGTCCATGGAATCCCCAGTGGAAGGGTACATCACAGAGGGAGACTCTCTACCCCCTCACATTCTGGGACATCGCTCACTTTTATCAGGAGCACATTAACATAGGGGCTATTTGCCTACATTCTCCTCCCCAGAATCTGAGGTGTCCTTCAGGATTCCAGTGGATTCCCACTCTCCTTCTTGAGTTAAAACTCACAGAGCCGATCACTAGGTACTATTTTGCTATTTCCAAGTGCTTAGGCACACTGAAAGCTTCTAATCTACCACTGGGGGGAAAAATGCACAATGTTTATCAGAATCCCTGACCTCTGTCCACTAAATGCCAGTAGCACATCCTCCCAAGTAGCAACGACCAAAAATGTCCTAGACATTACCAGTGTGCCCTGGGAAGCAAAATTGCCCCAGGTGAATAACTACAGACAGAGGCACCATGGCCTCCCTGTAGCAATGAATGTGCACAGGCACCACTCGGGATTGCTTTCTGAACTCACCACAGATTTCAGCCAGTAATTCTAGAGTTGGATGAAGGAAAGTATAAAATAGATCTAGAACTTCTTGTTATTAATACATGAGAAGGTAAGGATAGGCTCCAATAATAATGGAAACATGTCAAGAGAACAGAGGAAGCTGTTTAAAGGAGCTCTCGGTAGCCAACTGTGAGATAATCTACACATTGCAATAATAGTGGTAACAGATTATAACTTCTTGAATAAAATAAGAAACCATGAGTTAGATCTATCGAGAGACAGAAGCTAGGTAGGTAGGTATGTAGATAAACAGACAGATGAGAAAAGCAAGTTTTCCTTACAGTGGAATGAATGCCATTAATAAATACAGAAGAAATGATGAAGTTAGAAAAAATAGTCACAATCATCATAATAGCAATTGATTCATGGAAGAATTATCATTATATGCTAATGGTAGAAAGTAAAAGTTCAATAATAAGTAGAACATAAACCTATTTTCTAAGTATTGCTCCTTGAAATACTTATTAATTATACAACAAATAAAGTAACTTTAGAGTGGAGAAAGCTGGAAGATGCTATCTAAATCTAGAGATTAATGTTAACATCTATCAGCAGTTGGACGATGGTATCCTAGCCTCCTGGAATGAGGTACTGAGGGACACCATATCACTTCTATAATTTTCATCTGAAAAATGCATCACCTGAATCTAATCCATTGATGACCCCAACAGAAAACATTCTACAAAATAGCCAGTTATTGTCAAAAATGACAGGATAACAAAGACAAGAGAGAATGAAGGGCTTTTCCAGATTAAAGGAGACTAAGGAAGCTTGGCAAATAAACACCATTGATAAATTGTCTGAACAACAGACTAGACAAAAGGATGTATCCACACAAGCATCATGATTTTGCTCATTGAACTGAGGTTGTGTTAGAGAATGTCCTTGTCCTTAGGACACACACATGAAAGTATCTGAGGACAAAAGAGGCCATGTCTGCAATTTGCACTCAAATGACTTGTAAAAACCTATAATAGCTTGTACACACATAGAAAGAGAAGGAAAAAGCACAAGATACAATGTTATGAGTGGGAGAATTTGAATGTATACAAGAGTTCTTTATATTACTCTTCCCACTTTTTGTAAGTTTGAAATCACTAGGCCGGGCGTGGTGGCTCACGCCTGTAATCCCAGCACTTTGGGAGGCCAAGGTGGGCAGATCACAAAGTCAGGAGATCGAGACCATCCTGGTTAACACGGTGAAACCCCGTCTCTACTAAAAAAATACAAAAAATTAGCCGGGCGTGGTGGCGGGCGCCTATAGTCCCAGCTACTCAGGAGGCAGGAGAATGGCGTGAACCCGGGAGGCGGAGCTTCCAGTGAGCCGAGATTGTGCCACTGCACTCCAGCCTGGGTGACAGAGCAAGACTCTGTTTCAAAAAAAACAAAAAAGAAAGAAAAAATAGAAATCACTACAAAATAAAAGGTGCCAAAAATAAAAATTCAAAATACAGCAAAGTTCTATGTAAGGATCATCGACATGCACAGCCCTGTGTTGTCAGCTAGTTGGGAAGTCATGGAAACACCTCCTAACTTCTCAGCCTAGCATCAGTGTGTCAGGGGAATGTCCAAGCCATTGCGTGATGAAGCTGCAGGCTGGCTGGTTACTAAGAACACGTTTCACCAGCATCCACACTCTGTACTGTTCCTTAGAGCAGAGACAGAATGTGAGATGGAAGGGACTGGGGCACTGGAGAGGATGCAGGGACAGAGGCTGAGGAGGAAATTCCCTCCAATTTCCCTAGATGTTGCACCTCACAAGAGATGGCCACGTTCCCCACCTCATCCTACCTGCACCTCCCTTTGCAGTGCAGGGGGGTCACTGTTGTTTCCCAGCCCCCTTCTTCTATTTCATCTTGAGTTTTCATCATAAAACCCCATCCTGCACATTGCACACCTTCACAATTATTTGGCTATGATTCTGATACCATGTGAACCACACTGGGTGGGAGTAGAAGTGAATTCTCTATTAGGAAGAACTCAACAATCAATACATAACAAATCATAGGCCAAAAAAGCCTCTACCAGGCCATACCCTTTGACCAGCCTGTTTTTATGGAGAATAAACACGGGCTTTTGGAGAGGAGCTTTCCTCATATGGAGGATCCCATCTAGGGAGCCAGCACTTCCCAGATACCCCAGGTGGAACTCAGGAGACTGAAAAAATCACCCTTGTTAGCAAAAGTTTAGACAGCCATGCCAGCATGAAAGCCACAGGCTTCCTGGAAGTGTGTGCCATGTCATGGCACAGAGAAAAGGGGTTTTCCTAGATTCAAGGGGGTATGCCAGGATTGATGGAGAGCTGTCTCCCTTGCTGGAACAAAACTATACATGCATGCCCCCTCTGCCATGTGGCTAGCAGCAACTCTCTCCAAAAATTGCAGCATAAACCCCCATTGCCTTTGTGCATGGTCATGGGTCTTGCTTGGGCCTTAACAGATGTGACAAGGACAGAAACCTTAACCCTGCAGATGCGAGAGGTGGGTCCTCCTGCTCACCTCCTCACCATCATGAAGAAAACCTGATCCAAGCAGACACTGCCCCTTAGCATGGGCCCCAGGTTGAAGACACAAGGCAAGCCAGACCAGATCTGCTAAGCCCCAGCCCATTTGCAGGCTCCAGAGCGTGACAGGAACAGTTTCTTGCTTTTAGTCCCTAAGATGTTAAGAGTTTTTCCTGTGGAACAGCAACTGACTCACACATGATTTATTCCATTTTCCACTGTACTCCTTCTCCACTCTTTTCCCAAATGAACTCTTTACTGTCCCCTTGACAACCTACCTCCCATAAGTAATTGAGCTGCTGGCTGTAAAGAAACAGAAGCTTTAAAAGTTTCCTTTTGGCAAATCCTAAAAGCAGCCCATATATCAGAGACCCAGGACAGCACTTAACTCTTCCCAGATACAAATAAGCAATCCAGGAGGTCTGTGGGGGCACAGCATGCTGGTCCTCCGCATTGCCCAGGTCCTGGCTCCTGACTGTAAGTCAAGACAGCACCTCAGTGAGAAAAGGGGAGGATCCCGGTTCACCCTGTCAAACGCCACCCTAACCCTAAAGTGGCATGCTAAAGAGAGGCAAAGGAGAATGCAAACCACCACTGAATGGCTGTTCCTTTAGAGAGCAAAACAATAATCACAGAGGCTGGAATCCACTTTTAGCTTTTATAATCTGATGCACATGACAAACAACACAAGTAGAACTGGGGACTCCCAGGTTGGCTACCCTATTTCAGTTTGATTATTTATCAGATATTTAGAACTTTCCCTCTTTTTTAGACTTTAAGTTCTAGGGTACATGTGCACAATGTGCAGGTTTTTTACATATGTTTACATGTGCCATGTTGGTTTGCTGCAGCCATTAACTCATCATTTACATTGGGTATTTCTCCTAATGCTATCCCTCCCCCACACCCCCACCCCATGACAGGCCCCAGTGTGTGATGTTCCCCGCCCTGTGTCCAAGTGTTCTCATTGTTCAATTGGCTCTCTGTTGGTCTGTTATCGGTGTATAGGAATTCTTGTGATTTTTTCACGTGGATTTTGTATCCTGAGGCTTTGCTGAACTTGCTTATCACCTTAAGGAGATTTTTGGCTGAGACGATGGGGTTTTCTAAATATACAATCATGCCATCTGCAAACAGGGACAATTTGACTTCCTCTTTTCCTAATTGAATACCCTTTATTTCCTTCTCCTGCCTGATTGCCCTGGCCAGAACTTCCAACACTGTGTTGAATAGGAGTGGTGAGAGAGGGCATCCCTGTCTTGCACCAGTTTTCAAAGGGAATGCTTCCAGTTTTTGCCCATTCAGTATGATATTGGCTGTGGGTTTGTCATAAATAGCTCTTATTATTTTGAGATATATTCCATCAATACCTAGTTTATTGAGACTTTTTAGCATGAAGCACTGTTGAATTTTGTCAAAGGCCTTTTCTGCATCTATTGAGATAATCATGTGGTTTTTGTCTTTGGTTCTGTTTATATGCTGGATTACATTTATTGATTTGCATATATTGAACCAGCCTTGCATCCCAGGGATCAAGCCCACTTGATCTTGTTGGATAAGCTTTTTGATGTGCTGCTGGATTCGGTTTGCCAGTATTTTATTGAGGATTTTCACATCGATGTTCATCAAGGATATTGGTCTAAAATTCTCCTTTTTTTGTTGTGTCTCTGCCAGGCTTTGGTATCAGGATGATGCTGGCCTCATAAAGTGAGTTAGGCAGGATTCCCTCTTTTTCTATTGATTGGAATAGTTTCAAAAGGAATGGTACCAGCTCCTCTTTGTGCCACTGGTAGAATTCAACTGTGAATCTGTCTGGTCCTGGACTTTTTTGGTTAGTAGGCTATTAATTATTGCCTCAATTTCAGAGCCTGTTATTGGTCTATTCAGCAATTCAGCTTCTTCCTGGTTTAGTCTTGGGAGGGTGTATGCGTCCAGGAATGTATCTATTTCTTCTAGATTTTCTAATTTATTTGCATAGAGCTGTTTATAGTATTCTCTGATGGTAGTTTGTATTTCTGTGGGATTGGTGGTGATATTCCCTTTATCATTTTTTATTGGGTCTATTGATTCTTCTCTCTTTTCTTCTTTATTAGTCTACTAGTGGTCTATCAATTTTGTTGATCTTTTCAGAAAAAACAGCTCCTGGATTCATTGATTTTTTAAAGGGTTTTTTGCGTCTCTGTCTCCTTCAGTTCTGCTCTGATCTTAGTTACTTCTTGTCTTCTGCTGGCTTTTGAACTTGTTTGCTCTTGCTTCTCTAGTTCTTTTAATTGTGATGTTAGGGTGTCGATTTTAGATCTTTCCTGCTTTCTCTTGTGAGCATTCGGTGCTATAAATTTCTCTCTACACACTGCTTTAAATGTGTCCCAGAGATTCTGGTACGTTGTGTCTTTGTTCTCATTGGCTTAAAAGAACATCTTCATTTTTTACTTCATTTTATTATTTACCCAGTAGTCATTTAGGAGCAGGTTGTTCAGTTTCCATGTAGATGTGTGTAGGGAAAAGAAAGAGAGATCAGACTGTTACTGTGTCTATGTAGAAAGAAGTAGACATAAGAGACTCCATTTTGTTCTGTAATAAGAAAAATTCTTCTACCTTGAGATGCTGTTAATCTGTAACCCTACCCCCAACCCTGTGCTGGCAGAAACAAGTGCTGTGTTGATTCAAGGTTTAACGGATTTAGGGCTAGGTAGGACGTGCTTTGTTAAACAAATGCTTGAAGGCAGCATGCTTGTTAAAAGTCATCACCACTCCCTAATCTCAAGTACACAGGGACACAAATCACTGCAGGAGGCCACAGGAACCTCTTCCTAGGAAAGCCAGGTATTGTCCAAGGTTTCTCCCCATATGAAAGTCTGAAATATGGCCTCGTGGGAAGGGAAAGACCTGACCATCCCCCAACCCCACACCTGTAAAGGGTCTGTGCTGAGGAGGATTAGTAAAAGAGGAAGGCCTCTTTGCAGTTGAGATAAGAGGAAGGCATCTGTCTCCTGCTACTCCCTAGGCAATGGAATATCTGCTTGTAAAACCCAATTGAATGTTCCATCTACTGAGATAGGAGAAAACCACCTTCAGGCTGGAGGTGAGATATGTTGCTGGCAATACTGCTCTTTAATGCACCAGATATGTTTATGTATGTGCACATCAAAGCACAGCACATTTTCTAACCTTGTTTATGACACAGAGACATTTGTTCACATGTTTTCCTGCTGACCATCTCCCCACTATTACACTATTGTCCTGCCACAACCCCCTCTCTGAGATGGTAGAGATAATGATCAATAAATACTGAGGGAACGGAGAGACCTGTGCCAGCGTGGGTCCTCCCTATGCTGAGCACTTGTCCCCTGGGCCCACTTTTCTTTCTCTATACTTTGTCTCTGTGTCTCTTTCTTTTCTCAGTCTCTCATCCCACCCAATGAGAAATGCCCACAGGTGTGGAGCAGCTGGCCACCCTTTCATCTGGTGCCCAACGTGGGTGCTTTCCTCTAGGGTGAAGGTACGCTCAAGCGTGGTCACTGAGGACAAGTTGATGAGAGATTCCCGAGTACGTCTACAGTCAGCCTTGTGGTAAGCTCGAAAGAAGCCAGGGTAACAATGGGGCAAACTAAAGTAAATATGCCTCTTATCTCAGCTCTATTAAAATTTTTGTAAAAAGTGGGGGAGTTAGTGTTTCTACAAAAAATCAAATCACGCTATTTCAAACAATAGAACGATTCTGCCCATGGTTTCTAGAACAGGGAACTTTAGATCTAAAAGATTGGAGAAAAATTGGAAAACAATTAAAACAAGCAAGTAGGGAGGGTAAAATCATCTCACTTACAGTATGGAATGATTGGGTCATTATTAAAGTAGCTTTGGAACGGTTTCAAACAGAATTACTAAGCAGAGACATCAAAGGTAGGAGGTTCTAGATAAACTGACCTAACAATATTGTTGCTAAAGCCAGGACAAAGCCTTAGACATCAAAGGAAAGAAGAACTTGGTCAGATGTTGAGGGTGATCAGATACCAAGGGTGGGGGGGAGCCTTTCTAAACTGACTTAGCAGGATTCTTTCCTAAAACTGGGCCATGAAGCCCTCGCAAGAACAGGAGGTCCAGGGCTGGGGACTAGGGTTGAGGACCAGGGCAGAGGAAGGCTCAGAGGAGCCTAACAAGGGTTTGGTCAAGGTGAGTCTTGTCACTGGATCCAGCTCTTCTGTGACAGGAGGAAAGGGCAGGCAGGGCCACAGGAGGGAGCAGGGCTGTCCTGATGGCCTCTGGCTCCAGCTCCAACACTCAGTGATTGAGTTGAACAGGATTCCAAGCAGGAAGAGGAACCAATCTCCACAGTCACTGCATTTTGCTAAAGGAATTGATATTTAAGGTTACACAAACAGTGACAGGGAAGTCCCAGCAGTGACCCAAACAGGATAAGAAAGTCTGACCACCCAGAGATGTCAAGGAGATGACTCACCTCCTCAGAGTCATCTGTTTTCCTCATGGCCAGGCCTCTGCAGGCTGTAGCCCAGGGAGTCAGATGGATCCCTGGCTGCAGCAGCCAGCAGCCCGAGTTCCGGAGGCCGCCCCTACTCCCCTCCATTCATATGTGGTTCTTCAGTCAGTGAATCTGCACTGACAAATGCTCTTTTTGATTTTTGAAAAATAAATGTTAACTTGTACTCCAGAGCCAGGAATACCATTCATGTGCTGGTCCCTGAGAGAAAGGATTCTCTTTCTCCCCACGGAGTGCAAAACAATCAGACCTGACACTGGGCTCTGCCCTCTCTTGCCTTTCCCAGCCGGGGCTGCCAGCAGGCTTCCCCATGAGTATCAGTTTCCTAATGATGTGGAAAAGCCAAATGTGGTACCAACATGGGCCCATAGTTTAGAAGCATCCACATGTCCTAACAGAGCCAAATGTGTTACCAACATGGGCCCATAATTTAGAAGCATCCACGTGTCCACGATGTGTGAGGAGAGGGAGAAAAGAAGGAAGGATGGAGTGTGAAAGAGATGAGCTTGACCCCAGAGAATTCCAGGCACTCCATAAAGGAGGCTCCTGGGCTTCCCATTTGAGAAGCCACCAAATCCTGTGGCTGTTCAGTCCCAGCTCCTACCATAGACCAAACTGTTAGTTGCTCAAAACCCAGTTGTGCAGAATCTCAACTCTTGGCCAGCTTGTCCTCACCACTTGCACTTTTACATGATGCTTTCTGCGCTTGGTCATTTATTATGGTATTGTTTAGTGTTCACTTATTATTGGTCATTTATTGCAGAGAACTTCTGCCACTCACCTAATTTCTCATCCTACTAATTCAGATAATCAGATCAGTTCACCTGTGCAGCCTAGGGGAACACAGCTTTCTCTTTTGTCACCTAGCAGAAGGAAAACATGCCCCCTCCTGGGCAGCTGGACTCCTCTAGGTTACATGGGTGCTGGAGGCCCCAAGCTTGTTCCTCAGTCCATGGTTGCTATCTGGCCCTCTTCTAGTGTGTCCTTAAAACTGTGGACTATAGAAATCAGGGAACAAAGTGTTCTGCCATTTTTTTTAGATGGGTGTTTCACTGTGTTGCACAGGCTGAAACTGAACTTCTAGACTCAAGGAATCTTCCTGACTCACTCTCCTAATAAGCTAGGATTACAGGTGCAGTACCACACCTGGCTACTCCATCATTTTTAACCATGTTGATACATCACTGCTGAAGTCTGCTCATCTCTGCTGGTCTTAACTCCCAGATACTATGCTTTAGAAAGTAGCCTCTTTCTCCAGATGCATGACAGACACACCATTTGCCTAAGGTCATCAAACATCTGGAGCAGCTGGCCAGCTACCTCAACCTGCTACTTCCTATCACTCCATACTGGACATCGCACTTGTACCTCCTCCTAAGAGCAATGTACACTGGTATTTTTCCTACTGGGATTAGAGAGCTTGCTGCATCAGAACAGCTGACCCTCCCTGCAGTGCATGCCAGTGCCCAGACAGAAGATGACCACTGGTGGTGTCATCACATACAGGGCACAGGTCAGCACTCTGGCCTCCCTCCCTCATACTCCACCCACCAGCACATTCTCGCTATTTGGGTTACCTGCATCTCCTTTCCAATGATTAAAACAAAACAAAACAAACAAACAAAAACAAACAAAAAAACAAGAGGATTGCTTGACCTTCAGTTTACCCTCTGCACAGCATGTCTTCCTGAGCCTGGACTCCCAGCTGTCCCAGGAAGGTGGGAGCCACAGAGGAGAACTAACTCCTACCCTTTGGAGATGACCATTCTGCTCCCAAACACCTGGTAAGGGACTTCCTTCTCTTTCCCTTCTTTGGAAATCTCTCCCCATTTCCTGTCTAACTAGGAGGCATATGTGCAGCTTTGTTTGAAGACCTTCCCTCCTTCACCCAGCAGTAAACACCTTCGGTACACCTGCTGTATCTGCCGGGCTGCACGGCTATTCTAGGGGTGCTGGATTCACAGTGGGGTGAGATGGTCACCAGGCCTCAGGTAACAAGGTTCCCTGTACTAATACTGAACATGAGCACCCATGAGTAATATGGTTCCCAATGCCGGGTTCCTGCTGATCCAGCCCCAGCCATGTCCCAGCCCAGGATGACTCTTGGCCAGCTTGTCCTCATCACTTGCACCTTTATGTGATGGTTTCTGCACTTGGTCATTTGTTTATTATAGTATTGTTTAGTGTTCTAAACAGGTCTGGGCTGACACTGGCCAACGCTCACCTCCACCACTCCTGGGAGAGTCCTCTGGGTGTCCTGCTAAGGTCCAGGGTTTCCTGTAGCTTCTGGCCAAGCCTGCCACCTCCCCATAAGGGCATTTGCCACAGGGTCACCTTCAGGCATGGAGGGTGGGGTTGAGAGAACAAAGGGAGCAGCTGTCTGTTCAGAGCCTCCTTCCACCCTCTCCTCTCCTGGAGTCACATTCCAGCCCAGGCCCACAGCATCCCGAGCTGGGGGCTTTGTCAGCCCATAGGACACCCAACTGACCAAATCCTCTCAGTCTGCGGAGAAGGAGAACTCACAATCCTGGCAATGAAGCAACTCGGGGGCCGCCGGAAAGCCACACTGGGCAAAGGACAAAGACACACATGGGCTCGCTCTGCAGGACTCCATTCCTGGGAAGCTCAAGGACAGGCGACCAAGGAGTCTATGGGGCCGGATGGGGACTGCCAAGGTGGGGTGGGCACGAGGGTGGCTGGAAAGGCAGGAAGATACTGTCTGGGGCAAGGCAGATGTCACAGGTCTGGATAAAGTGGTAACACAAGTGTATGCATTTATGAAACACCCCAGATTGAGCACATACTATTAGGCATTTTATTGTATGCAAATTCTACCTCATTTAAGGCAATTTTTAAAATATCAGGTGAGTCTTCCAAGCAGTGAACAGAGGAAAGGAGCCTGAAGCATGGCTGCCTAGGACAGAAGCAAGAGAGACCTGTGGGTTCCCACATTCATCCCGTGGCTGCTGCTCCCTTTCCTGACACCCCCACTGCCTCACAGGGGTCTCCGTGCACCTTCCACCGGGCCCCACCCACATTTACTGTGAGACTCCAGGTCGTTCCCTTCCCTCCTCATACCCCCTCCAGGAGCTTCCACTTTCTGGAGCAGGCATGTCCCAACCCCACCTCAGGGCCTTTGCACTGGCTGTTCCCCACTGCCTGGGGCTTCTCAACCTCTCCAGTCTCATAGAGACCACCCTGACCAGGGTCCAGTGGTCTCTCTCTAGCCCCTGTTCTATTTCACTTCCAAAAGAGTGAGCATAACTCCCTGACCCTAATTTTTGATCGTAACCTACCATCCCCTACACACATTGTGTAGGAATGGACTATGGAGTTCCATAGAACCAGCCACATGTGCCACAGGATACTTGAAATGGGGCCAGTCCAAAATTACTTCTGGTCTAAGTGTTAAAAATACACAGGGAATTTCAAAGATTTACAAAACCAAAAAAAAAAAAAACAAAAAAAAAAAAAACATAAACGATCTCATTAATAATTGTTCCCATTAGCTGAAATCACATTGTGGCTATATAAGGTTAAATAAATATTTTAAACATTACTTTCACCCATTTATTCTCATCTTTTAAAATGCATCTACTAGAAATTTTCAATTGCTCGTGAGTTCGTGTCACATGTCTGTTGGGCAGCAGCTCTGCAATGTCACCTCTATGGCTCATCATCCAGGTTCCGTCTTCAAGCCCTAGACCTCCTGGCACGGGGAGTAGCTGGTGATAGGTTTGCTTATTGAATAATGAATTATGAAAAGAGAATCCAGTGACCTTTTCCAAAAAGGTTAATTCCCTTAAATTTGGCAAAGAAATTCTCCACATTAGGGTATGGACAGGGTCTTCTGGAACTTTCTGAAATAATCTCCCTGTTCCAGAGATTCAGAGACTGTGACCAAGTGCTCCTGGATGCCCCTGATATCTGAAGACCCTGGGAGGCCAAGCCCTGTATTTTTCCCCTTTCTGAGCAAACAGGAAGTCACATAGCTTTCACAGTCAAAGGACCAGTGTCACCTCTGTGGAGACCTGGGTGACTCAAGCTTGGGAGCACTGGGGAAGAGAGGCATGGCTCGGGGAGGCTGCAGTGAGGACTGGAGTGGGGAGGAGGGGGAGATGGAGGAGGAGGCCTGGGAGGGGCAGGGGGAACTTAGGCAGGGAGGGAGCTTGTAGTAGCGGGGGAGTGAAAAGAGAGATGGAGAAAGAGGGGATGGGAAGAAAGAGGAGGAGGAGTCAGGGGTGGGGCATGGAGGTGGGTGGGGCTGGGCTGCCAAAGCAGGATAAATGCACACCTGCCTGCTGGTCTGGGCTCCCTGCCTCGGGCTCTCACCCTCCTCTCCTGCAGCTCCAGCTTTGTGCTCTGCCTCTGAGGAGACCATGGCCCAGTATCTGAGTACCCTGCTGCTCCTGCTGGCCACCCTAGCTGTGGCCCTGGCCTGGAGCCCCAAGGAGGAGGATAGGATAATCCCGGGTGGCATCTATAACGCAGACCTCAATGATGAGTGGGTACAGCGTGCCCTTCACTTCGCCATCAGCGAGTATAACAAGGCCACCAAAGATGACTACTACAGACGTCCGCTGCGGGTACTAAGAGCCAGGCAACAGGTAGGTGCTCCCTCCACCCCAGGGGTCCTGGGTCCCAGCCTGGTTTGTTCCCCAACCCCCAAGAGCATTCCCAGCAAATCAACACTGATACATTCATGATCTAATGCTCAGATTCATTCAGCTTTCCCTGGCTCTCCGCTGATGCCCTTCATGCCTAAGCACGCTCCCCGGCCGTGCACAAACTCAGCTTCCTTTAACCTGCAGCAGCCACTGTGTCTGTACCATGACTGTGGCATTTCCCAGGGTCCAGCAGGTGTGGATGGAGACTGTGCTTACTCTGGGTGGGCTTGATGCTGCTCAGGATGAGATCCAGGCCATGAGGTTCATACTCCTCCCTGAGTCCTCTCTGCAGGGGCCACACAGGAACCTGGCTCACTGTTCTGCAGAGCCCTGCTTCCCCAAGTCACGCCCCTGGGCACAGCCCCTTATGGCTAGCGGCCTTCACCCTCAGGCCGGCTGACAAACCCCTACAGCCCAGGGCGCTGAGTCCCTGCTGGGGTGGAGCATGCCTGACCCTGCCTCTACCAGCTGATGCAGTTAGACCTCAGCCAGATGAGGACAGTGGTCACCCAGCAGAGCAGAGGAGGGGTCAGGTCGGGAGGGAGCTTCAGCAGGGCAACTGGGCCCAGCTTGACCTGCATCCCATGGCACAGCAGCAAATAGTGACACAGTCTTTAGAGCTCCTCCACCTTCTCCTGGAAATTCAAAGGAATCCCCACCAGCCCCGTTTCTCCTCTTGCAGCTGTCAGCTGGGGCTCTCTCCCTGCATACGAGATACACTCCCTGGTGCCGTGGTCCCCGCTGGCCTGCATCTCCCTTTCAAGCATGACAGTAACTTGGAGTGAAGCACAGGGCATTGCAGACCATCAGGCCCAGAAGCCTATTTTAGACATGGGTAAACTGACACTCGAGGGATCTCAGCAGTTCCTCCTGGTTCCAGAGAGTCCCTCATCCCAGGTTTCTCCACAGCTCTGCCACATTGTGTCTGGGAAAGGCCCTATGCAGGGAAAGGGTTCAATTCTAATCTGCAACTGTAAGACACGCAGGTGTGCTGCTGACTTGAGAAATGTATCTTGAATCTCACACTTGAAATGGTGGCATCCGGGCGGCCCCATTGATCCAAAATATCTGTGTGTGTGAAGCATCTCATTTCCTACTCTGAGTGAAGTAATAAATCTATGTTAAATGGAGGGAATAAGATTTTCAGAAGTTAGGTGAAATTTTGTCATCAGACAGACTTCCTAGAAAAGAGTCAGTGTTCCCTCGCCCCTGAGCCACAGACAGCAGAATTCAATGAATCCTTTTACCCAGCACAGAGAAAGCAATGTTTAAGAGCGGGTATGAGGCTCAGCACCCTGCCAGTTGACAGGAAGAGGGGGCTTGTGTGCCTTGTGTTGACATGTGGGCAGCTCACGAAGCCCCCAAGCAAGTCCAGTGACTCAGCCACAGTGAAGTGCCTGTGAGTGCATGAACTGATGGGGGCGCTGTCCTGTTTTCTCCTGTGTGCAGACCGTTGGGGGGGTGAATTACTTCTTCGACGTAGAGGTGGGCCGCACCATATGTACCAAGTCCCAGCCCAACTTGGACACCTGTGCCTTCCATGAACAGCCAGAACTGCAGAAGGTACGTTCCTGATGCAGGTCCCGGGCCAGTCATGCACTGCAGAGGGGTGCGTATGTGTCAGCCTCTGCCCTACACATGTTTGGAGGGTGTGTGTGTGCAGGTGGGTATGTGGGGAGCCGTGTATGCATGGATGTGTACGTGTTCATGTACTTATGGGGGGGTGTGCATGTAGGTGTGCATGTGGAAAGGTGCACGTGTGTACACACCTGTGCCAGTGTGTGCAGGGAGGTGGATGGGAGCATGTGTGCCTGTGCATGGATGTGTGGGGGGTGTATGGGGCTTTGTACATAGATCCATGGGGATGAGGGGTCCAAGTGAGTTTACGTAGTTGTCCATGTATGTGCAGATGGGGTGGTGAGGGAGGAGGGTGATGTGTTTGATTTGCTAGGAAGGCTTTAGGTTGGGAATGGTTACTATAAGGTCAATTCTGCCTGCTTTGGAGTGTTGCCTGTTGGACAGGAAGAAGCAGCTGTGCGGCTGTGTGCTGGGCAGGGAGAAGGGGCTCTGTCTAATCCCAGCCTCAGGCACCTGCATGCAGCCACAGCCACAGTGATCAGATTAGTGGGACCTAGAGGCCTGTTAGCTGGGAAGCCCTGGACCTGCCCGGCTCACCCAACACCAGCCTCTCCAAGGACCTGCTGGTTCTTGTGAGGTCTCCACTCAGGGGAGAGCCACACTCCCCTTGTTGCCCTTGCCCCATGCCCCAGCTCTTTGAGGGGGAGTTGCCCTGCCCTGGGTTCTTCCCTCTGGCCCCTCTTAGTGCTGGCCTGGGTGCTGGAGGTGGAAGGAGCTGGGGGAACTGAGCTGCCTCCCCATGCCCTGCACCCTTGGGGCTCCCGAGGCCTTGCCCAGGCTACTCCTCACAGGGCTGTGCTGGGACAGGACACTGCAGGCTGGGGTGGGGTCCCAATGCCACCTGGTGACTTGGAGCCTTGGGAGGGGCAATGGAACAGTCACTATTCATTCTAGTTCAGCACTCTGGGACTCAGTAGGGGTGGGTGAGGGCCCAGTGTCTCACCTCCATCCTCCTCACCCAGGCTCTGACATCTCATGCCTGGGCATCTTCCCCTTTAACTGTAACCCACACTGATTGGCCCTCTCTCTTCCCTTTCACAGAAACAGTTGTGCTCTTTCGAGATCTACGAAGTTCCCTGGGAGAACAGAAGGTCCCTGGTGAAATCCAGGTGTCAAGAATCCTAGGGATCTGTGCCAGGCCATTCGCACCAGCCACCACCCACTCCCACCCCCTGTAGTGCTCCCACCCCTGGACTGGTGGCCCCCACCCTGCGGGAGGCCTCCCCATGTGCCTGCGCCAAGAGACAGACAGAGAAGGCTGCAGGAGTCCTTTGTTGCTCAGCAGGGCGCTCTGCCCTCCCTCCTTCCTTCTTGCTTCTAATAGCCCTGGTACATGGTACACACCCCCCCACCTCCTGCAATTAAACAGTAGCATCGCCTCCCTCTGAGTTCTTGGCTGTCTGGGGATGTGCACGCAGGCGGGGTTTCTGCAGTTCCTTTATGAAGCCTCCTTGTCCTGCTGGTGTGGAGATCACAGGAGTACCTGGGAGCTGACGCAGCCACAGCAAGGCCATCAGGGGAGCTGCTGCCACTTTCAGAGACCTGAGCTTCAGAACAGGGAGAGAGCAGCCAGGGACTGGGAACCCAGGCCTTCAGCTGCAGCAGCCCCTGGTGAGGGGGTCAGGGAGAGGAGGGGGCCCAGGCAGCTGCCCCAGAAGCTAGGCTGCTGTTTTGGTCTGAGCTGCTGGTCAGACCACGAGGAGGGGGCTGGCTGTGTCCACAGGCAGGGGCCAGGCCTCAGTGGAGCTCGCCAGGCCATAGAGTCCATCTGTGCTTGCAGAGTGGAGCAGACTCCAGGGACTGAGCTGCTCTCATCAAATCCCCTAGACACTAAATAGACAGCGATCAACGTGTAGTTCTTTCCACAGGAGACTTTAGGCACCTACATGGAAACAAAGTCCAAAAGTGTGTGTGTGTGTGTGTGTGTGTGTGTGTGTGTATAACTTATTGGGAAAAATGCCACCCAGACCAAAGACAGGCAAGATCACCCAGAGAAAGCAACGCCTGCTCTCATCCATCCTGGGAGGGTGTGCCCCAGGCTGGGAGGTTGTCTCCTATGCTAGGAAGCTGTGCCCTAGAAAAGTTTTACACGTTCACACCCAGCCGCCCTTTCTCTGGACTTGAATTTAAAATGAGCACTCAGGTCAGCCTTCTTGGCAGGGATGGAGAAGCTAAAACACAAATGAAAGTGACATGCAGTGGACACTCGATTTTTTCACAAAGGATGTTTTAATTAATAAATAACATCACCTAAGTGTCAAAACCATTCTGTAGAATAGTGGGTAGTTGCGCTCTAAAGAAGAGGCTACAGTCCTAAGACAACGCCCACCCTGCACGGCCCTTCCCTTTGCCATTTCAGGGCAGGGGGTGCAGCCCTCAGGGCAGGTGCCTCTGGGGAAGGGCTCTCAACTATCTTCCATGCCTAGATCTGCGTTGACCAAGAGTGGCTGCCATGAACACCGAGGGGAAAATGACAAAGGGGAAACTGTTGAAACAGCCCTGAGGCCAGCACCCCATGTGCCGCACATAGAAAGCCAGGAGGAGTATGGTCTGGCAGGGAGAGTGGGGAGCACCTGTTTCATTTCCTCTCCACCCCTATGGGATGTAACCAAGGTTTTACGTTGAAGAAAGTGAAGCAGCACCCAGGAGGCCATGAACTGGGGAGATTTGAGTCTGGGCCTCACCCGGTGTCAGGGGGTGGGGGCTGCACACACTGATTCAGGCTTCTGTTGGAAGACAGGGGCTGAGAGCAGAGGAGCATGTGCCCAGGAATCATGGTTAGGGGCAGAGTCTTCCCTGCATGGAGATCCTCATGGTTCTCTACCTGGGGAAAGTCTGTCTTGACATAAGCAACCACCATCCAAGGACACAAGGAACAGACAATTTTGTGTAAACCAGTAACTTTTCTGACATCTCTCTTCCTGGGGAAGTGGAGGGGGACGTCTGGCTCTGTAGAGGGCTCCCTCAACCATCTCCTTGTGTGTCTGTTCCCTAGGAGGGGAGCAGGGGGCAGGGAGGCTTTAAGGTGAGCATGTGGACCTTCATCTTCTGGACCAAGCTGAGGGTCTGGGCCCTGTCCGGAAGCCACCCGGTTTTTGGGAGTAAAGGAGGATACTGAGGGTCATGTTTTGGAAATATTGCACCCCTTCTAAGAGTTCCTTTAGCAAAAATAATGTCACACATTCTTACTAAAAGCCTAAAACCGCTGAGGTTAGAAACTCCACCTTCAGCATAGACAAATCACTCTGAAAGGAGGGATAAGTCCATTGGAGGCCTGGGAAGCGGGAACCAGAGCGGTCATTCCTTGGGCAGGTGGATTCTCAGCACTATGACCACTGGCAATCCAGGTTCCGTGAGGTCTGAGGCTTACATAATTCAGAGGGTTATCTACATGAAAAATAGCATAATATAAACTATTTGAAACTAAACACAGAAGTTAGTGTTTATTTAAGAAAAGGAAATAAGTCACAACAAATTACTCACTTTAAAATGCTGAAAAATGCTACAGTCATCCCAAATTCCAGAAACTAATATACATCCTAGTGCATTCAGTCACCAAAACTGATTTTGCAGTTAACAGACTCAGGATTATTGGCTTGTAGCAAAAAGGGAATAAATTCACATTAAGAAACCTGGGATGACTAAAAAAACAAAGCAAAGAGGTTATTATAAGACTGTGGGGAGGGATTCTTGAGGCTGTAGTGATGGACTCACAACGTAGCAGTCCTAAGTGTAAAGCAGCCAGTGTCAAGTCTGGTCTGCAAAGTGGACCCAGGTCCTCTGTCCTTAGAACCCATGAAGTCCAGCCAGATGTGAATGTTCCATCCAGAAACCCCTTCTCTGTAGCTCTGTGCTTCTGTGTAAAGGTGGACCTAGATCCTCCAGGCAGTGTGATGTTGTACTTACTCAAAAGCAAAGTTTCTGACAGCCCCTGATGCTGGAGAGCAAGGTCTTCCTTTGAGTCAGAAAGCAGTTGTCACCCAAGGAAGAGGCTGTTTGACATTTCGAAGCTGCAGCTTGAGAGAAGCATTGTTTCCTGCTCATGATGTCAGTGGCTTTGTCCTCATAAGTCCATCCATCCACCCTGCAGATGAAAGGGCAGATTTGCCCTTCCTTAATTTGTGTTCTTTTTACATGCTAACATAGCATTTTTATTAACTACTTGACTCAACAGTGTAACAAGTTATTTCTATGTTTTCATACTCAACTATTGAGTAACTATTTGCTTCATCACATGACATTGATTTTATAATAGAATTTTCCATAAATATAGCAGAAAGATAAACCAGTCTTTCCACTAAGTTTGATCACTTTAAAATTCTGATAAATAATACAATCATCCAAAATTATGAAATACTACAATCAATCCTACTTGTGAAAATCATGGATTATAACATTTTCTTTCTGCTTCAAAGCTCATATAGGTAATACTATGCAAATTTGTCTGATTGTTGTCTAATTTGGAAAAGCTTCCAGTTTTCTTTCATGTGAGCGCTAAGATTTTAGTACTTTCTAAATTTTCTTGACTTAAGATTGATGATCTTAAAGACTCTATCAATAATGCTCACTAAACACAGCATTTTAAAACTCTGACTGTTGTAGTGGGCTTCAAAATTGTGCAAATGTATAGCTATATACTATATTGATTACCTCATGGAATGCACAGAGTTTGTCCTGAAAGAAATATTTCTTCAAGCCATCTTACTGTTGGTCAATGTTGTGTCTCTGTTGTTTGGAGCTTGCAATTTCATCAGGATAACAGGAGGTTGAAGGCCAAGTCTGATCCATCAGTTCTGTGCCACCTCACAGGCATACATCCTTGCTGTGGGTAGTTTCACTACGCAGATCTGCACCCTACAAACATGAAAAATCAAGAAATTCTATCTCATTAAATTCCCATAAAAAATACAAAAACTTGGGTCTCACTTGGGTAAAATTAAAAACAAAATAACATAAAATAAAAACAAACTGCCTGGTGTGCTATTGTACATACCATATTAGTGAGTACATTTTCATGACACTAACCTATTTTCAGCGTTCTTAAAGACAATAGATTCCAACCAAGAATGTCCTATCCCATCCAACTAAGCTTCATAAGCAAAGAAGAAAAACAATCTTTTCCAGACAAGCAGTTACTGAGAAAATTTGTTACCACTAGACCAGCCTTAAGAGATGCTTAAGGGAGTTCTAAACATGGAAATAAGAGAACAATACCTACTGTTGCAAAAATACAGTTAAATATAGTTCAAAGACAGTATATAGCAACAATACAATACATACTGCAAGGAAACCAGTTGTCACCTTCATGGTAGGATCAAAAACTCACATATAAATATTAACCTTGGGCCAGGCACAGTGGCTCAAGCCTGTAATCCCAGCACTTTGGGAGGCCGAGACGGCCGGATCATGAAGTCAGGGGTTCGAGACCAGTCTGGCCATCATGGTGAAACCCTGTCTCTATTAAAAATACAAAAAATTAGCTGGGCATGGTGGTGCACACCTGTAATCCCAGCTACTTGGGAGGCTGAGGCAGAAGAATCACTTGAACCAAGGAGGCGGAGGTTGCAGTGAGCTGAGATTGTGCCACTGCACTCCATCCTGGGTGCTAGAGTGAGACTCTATCTCAAACAAACAAACAAACAAACAAAAATTAACCTTGATTATAAACAACCTAAATACACCACTTAAAAGGCACAGATTACAAGTTGTAATTAAAAACCCAGACCCATCCATCTGCTGTCTTCAAAAGATCCATCTCACACGTAATGACACCTATGGTCTCAACATAAAAGGTTGGAGGGAGATCACACAAATAGA
Source organism: Homo sapiens (assembly GCF_000001405.40). Classification (NCBI taxonomy): domain Eukaryota; kingdom Metazoa; phylum Chordata; class Mammalia; order Primates; family Hominidae; genus Homo; species Homo sapiens. The sequence goes on along the minus strand of NC_000020.11, from coordinate 23,743,123 downwards.
AAATAAAAAAGGGAGAGGGTTGCTATTTTTACATCAGATGAAACAGACTTTAAACACAAAACAGCAATTTAGAGAGGACAAAGAAGGGCATTACATGATGACAAACGGTTCAATTAAACAAGAAGACTTAATTATTCTTAAACATATATGCACCCAACATTGCAGCCCCCAGATTCATAAACAAGTATGCCCAGGCCTACAAAAAGAATTAGCCACAGAATTATAATGGGGTACTTCAACATCCCACTGGCAGTGTTAGATAGATCATCAATGTAGAAAACTAACAAAGAAATTCTGGATTTAAATTTGACACTTGACCAATTGGACCTCATAGACATCTACAGAATGCTCCACCTATCTGTGTCCTGAATTGGTTCCTTCTGGTGGGTTCTTGGCCTCGCCGACTTCAAGAATAAAGCTGCGGACCCTGGCGGTGAGTGTTACAGTTCTTAAAGATGGTGTGTCCAGAGTTGTTCCTTCAGATGTTCATATATGTCTGGAGTTTCTTCCTTCTGGTGGGTTCGTGGTCTTGCTGACTTCAGAAGTGAAGCCACAGACCTTCACAGTGAGTGTTACAGCTCTTAAGGTGGTATGTCTGGAGTTGCTCATTCCTCCTGGTGGGTTTGTGCTCTCACTGACTTCAGGAGTGAAGCTGCAGACCTTCGTGGTGAGGGTTACAGCTCATAAAGGTAGTGAGGACCCAAAGAGTGAGCAGCAGCAAGATTTATTGTGAAGAGTGAAAGAACAAAGCTTCCACAGCGTGGAAGGGGACCCAAGTGGGTTGCCACTGCTGGCTAGGTGGCCAGCTTTTATTCCCTTATTTGGCCCCCCCCACAACCTGCTGATTGGTCCATTTTACAGAGTGCTGATTAGTCTGTTTTTACAGAGTGCTGATTGGTGCCTTTACAAACCTTTAGCTAGACACAGAGTGCTGATTGGTGCATTTACCATCCTTTAGCTACACATAAAAGTTCTCCAAGTCCCCACCTGACCCAGAAGCCTAGCTGGCTTCACCTGTCAATCCCTCCTCAAACAGGACACCCCAACTGCTGTTGGGAGTTCAATGATGACCACTCTAGCTACTTCCTGCTGGATAGGGGCAAAGAAGGGGCCCTGCAGTTGTAGTATCCTCCAGAGGTGAACTCTTTAGGCCAGTGAAAGGGCCAGTGGGTTAGTCCAGGGGTCCTTGGTAGAAGTTGTTAGTTGAGCTCATTTGGGTTTCCATATGTAAGACCATCTGAAGCTTGGTGGCCTCAATCCTAGAGGAAACAAATTTGACAAGGAGGTTAAAAATACAGGGCCCGAAGGCAGGTAATAGCAAGATGGCTGCCAGGGTACCTAGAAAGGGGAGAAGCCATGTTGCTCAACTCCAGAGGTTGGTATAAGAGCTTGAAAGGTGTTATCTGATTTCAGAATCGTTTTTCTGTAAATGTCGGGTGGCATCTTGTACTATCCCTGACTGGCTAGTGTAAAAACAACACTCTTCCCCTAAGAAGGTACAGAGTCCTCCTTTCTCAGCAGTGAGGAGTCTAGGCCTCGGTGGTTTGGAGAATCATGGCTGCCAAAGAGTCTATTTGGGATTGTAGAGTAAGGATAGATTTCGCTATTTCTTGCAAACTGTCTAAGAAATCCTTTGAGAGTGTGTGGTAGTAGGATAATGAAGTAAATAAACTGGCTATTCCGGTTCCTGTAGCAGTAGCCATTCCTAACCCTGTAAGTAGGGGTATTAGTTGTATAGCTCTGAGCTGATGGACTTGAGATTTAATATTAATTATAGGGTACTTGAGCTATAATATCAATTATACTTGAGCTATAATATCAATTATAGGGTACTGATAGGGTCTGATTTCACAAGACTGGAAGTTAGGATAATATAAGTTTACACTGTTAACTTTTAGCAAACTTTACTTTTGTTGAAAACCTTTTAAGTTTGGGATTTCAATTCTTCTTTGCTATTAATAAGACCTCGTTCAGTCCATATTAACTTAGAACTGGTATGGATGGCTCCTTCCTGATTCTGTAAGTACTTTAAGGTTTGGGTTAGTGTAAACAGCTCGCACCCTTGAGCAGATCAATTATTAGACAATTTTCCTAATTCTGATTCTATGATTTTCCTTATCACTTACTGAATACCCATTGTGTCTTTTTCCTTAATCACCTGGGAGGAACCATCTATCCTCCTGTCCTGAAGAGAGTTCCTCCTAGATTTGGTCGGATGTTTGTATAGTAATTAATTAAGATTTAGATCCCCTGTTAGGAAACCTGCTGGGTTAAGGATTTTTGATAGGAAGGCTAAGGGTTTTCAGTGGCCTCAGTGCTTTCGGGCTACACCCTTGTTTACAATGACAAGGTGGTATTGGAGTGTTATAGGGTTACAGAGAAAACCTTCATTTATCAATTATAGGTTTTAATTTTACCCTGGCTTTTAAAGGAATAGGGTACACTTTTTTCTTTACTACTTCTATCTCTCTTTCTCTTTGATTTCTTTGTCTCTCTCTTTTTGACTCTCTCTTTTTCTGTCTCTTCCTCTCTCTCTTTGACTTTCTGTGTCTCTCTTTTTCTCTCTCTCTCTGACTCCCTCTTTGTCTCTCTCTCTTCCTCTCTTTGTCTCTTTGACTTTTTCTCTTTCTTTCTCTCTGACTCCCTTTTTCTCTCTCTCTTCCTCTCTCTGTCTCTCTCTCTCTAACTTTTTATCTCTTTCTCTCTTTCCTTTCTGCTGGTCTTTCCCTGCCTCTGCCAGCTGCTTATGCTGCTGTTCTCCCCTCTCCTTCCCCTTTTGATGGGCTTAGCAGTGTAAGACTGCCACCTCCTTGGGTTTTTGCACTGCGTGCAATAACTCCATGGTTTTCTTGTGGTATTTAATGGGGGTTCTCCCAGAGGTTAGGAACTCCCTTTCTTTCCAGATTGCAGCATGGGCATGTAGGATTAGATAAGCATACTTGCTATTTGTATACACATTTATTCTTCTTCCCTTTCCCAGTTCTAAGTCTTGGGTAAGTGCCACTAGTTCTGATAACTGGGTGCTGGTCCCTGGGGGAAGAGGCTTACTTTCAAGTACTGTTACTATGGCATAACCTGCCCTTCATATCCCATTCTCCACAGATGAACTTCCATCAGTATATAGTTTAGGTCAGGATTAGCTAAGGGGACTTCTAAGAGATCATCTCAGGTGACATAAATCTGGACTATAATTTTTTGGCAGTCATGCTTGATTGGCTCCTCATCCTCTGGGAGAAAAGTGGCAGGGTTGAGGGCCATGCACATACATATTTGAAGCACCAGTCCCTCAAGGACTAGCACCTGGTATCTAAGTAGGTGGTTGTCTGATAACCATAAACATCGTTTGGCACCTAGTATGTCATTTACATCATGAGTAGTCCAGACAGTGAGATCCTTTCCTTGTATTATTTTGATAACCTCTAACACTAAGATGGCCACCCCCACAACTACCCATAAATGGTGAGGCCAGCCTTTTGCTACTACATCAATTTCCTTACTTAACTATGCCACTGATATGGGGTTGTCCCACAAGTATAAGTAAGGACTCCAAGAGCTATTCCTGCTCTCCTTGTGATGTATAAAGAGAAGTTTTGTCTTGTGGGAAGGTTTAAGGCTGGAGCTTGAATTTGTTTCTTCCAATGCCCAGACTTCAGGGTTGATTCCCTCCTCAAGCAGGGGACAACAAATGGATAACTTGTTCCCCATATTCATGTAAATAATAGCTGCAGCTTTGGCTAATATATCCCTCCCTAATAAGGGTATAGGACTTTCAGGCATAACAAGAAAGACATGTGAAAAGAGCAAAGTCTCCCAATTACAACTGAGGAAGTGGGAGAAATATCTACCCCGGGATTCCTCGGATGGTAACAGACCTTGAGGGCACCTGTCCAGAACAGTAGATTAACACTGACAAAGCTGTGCCAGTGTCCAGGAGGAAGTCAATTTCCTGGCCCTCAATGGTTATACATACCCAGGGCTCAGTGAGCGTGATGACATGAACTGGCACTTGCCCCGGGCACCCTCAGTCTTGTTGTTGGATCATCTGGTTGGGGCTTCTGGCCCAGAGAACCATTGCACTCTGGGGCAATGTGCCTTCCAGTGATTGCCTTGGCATAGTGAACATGGACAAGGAGACAGCTTGTTTCTCATAGGACAACGTTTTTTAAAGTGTCCTTGTAAACCACACTGATAACAAGCGCTACCTGGTGATTGGCCTGCTCCATTTTCTGTCCTCTCTGAACCACCAGTGTTTGTTTGTCTGAGGGCCATGACTAAGGCTGTGGCCTTTCTCTGATTTTGCTTTTCCTTTTGGGCCTGTTCCTCTTGGTCCCTATCATAGAACACCGAAGTTGGCAGGTTTAATAATGCCTCCAGATTTTGTTCAGGGCCCAGGGCTTACTTTTAGAGCTTTCTCCTGATGTCTGCAGCTGATTGGGTAATAAACTTATCTTTCAGGATTAATTGACCCCCTAGTGAGTCGGGTGACAGGGGAGTATATATTCTTAAGGCCTCCCATAGCTGCTCGAGGAAGGCAGAAGCACTTTCTTCCTTTCCCTGACGTGGTGGACATCACTGAATAATTCATGGGCTTTTTCCTCATTCTCCTTAGTCCTTCTAGAACACAGGTTAACAGAGGTTTGTGACTCCAGTCCCCATGATCTGAGTCGAGGTCCCAGTGGGGATCCATACTGGGGATGGCTTGCTGAGCAGTAGGGAATTTGTCCCTTTCTTCAGCTGTCATTCTATCATTTACTTGAGTAAGATACCACGTATCTCCAGACTCTTGGGCTGCAGCTAAAGCTGCATTCTTTTCATTAAAGGACAGGATTTGATCTAATAATAACATGACATCTCTCCAAGTGAGATTGAAGGTTTGCCTTAGGCCCTGTAGGACATCTATGTAACTATCAGGATCATCTGAAAACTTCCCCAGGTCTGTCTTGATCTGCTTTAAATCAGAGAGGGAGAAAGGGACATCTACCTGTGTTGGGACAAATTCCCTTCCCCCTACAGCTTGAAGGGGGCATAACTGATAGCCCAGGGGTTTTTGTGGTCCTTTGGAGATTTGGTTGCCTATTTCCTTCTGAGCTGGTGAGATTAGAGGAGGCTTATTATTAATAGGAAGGGGAGATATAGGGAGGCTAGGATATGGGGGTAACCTGAAAGGTCCTCCTGTGGGATGTAAATTGTAAGCTTTGCATAGTTGTGTATTCTCCTTCAATGTAAAGAAAGCTTGGATATAAGGTATTTCACTCCATTTGTCTTCTCTCTTACAGAAATGGTCAAGCTGCAGGATAGTATTGTAATTTATACTTCCATCAGGTGGCCATTTTCCCCCTTCAGAGAGAGAATATTGGGGCCAAGCCATATTGCAGAAAAAAATGAGCCACCTCTTTTTCAGGGTTTGTGGGTCAAATTGGTTCCAATGGCTTAGGATGCATTTCAAGGGTGAGCCTGTTGATGCCTGAGTGTTTCCCGTCTGAAAGACAAAACTGCCCATGGTTTTGGTTTGCTTGTTTCTCCCCCTGCCCAAGAACCCAAAATGGTCCTTGGGACCTGCTGATTGGAGTAGTTGCACTCACCGATGCAGCAGCAGAAACACCTCTTGCCCAAGAACATGCAACAGTCCCTGGACCCTGCTGATTGGAATAGTTTCACTCACCAATGCAGCAACAGAAACGTTAGTTTTCTTCCACAAGGAGGACTGAGGAAGGTCAGATTTAGTGGCCCTTACCAATGCATTCTTGAAAACCTGCACCCTTGCCTGTCCTCCTAGACCACAAAGAAGACTGAGAAAAATTGGATTTAGTGGTCTTTACCAACACATTCTTGAAAACCTGTTAGTCCTAAGCATTCTCATGTTAGTGTTGGGACTTTAACTCTGTCCTATAAAGATGTTATGCCTGAAAAATGAAGTGGAGGGCCATAGCCTGAGGGAGGGGAGGGATCATCAGAGTTGGAAGAGTGATGCCTTTTTGTCCTCACTTATATGAATAGGAAGGATATCATTTCTGAAGCTCCCCATATCCTAGCTTCCAGAATAGCTTCTCTAGGCCTGCTTGTCTGAGGAGGGATCCTAAAATTCCAGATAGTCCCCCCTGTGATGGGGCTTTGGGCAAAAATTTTGTCTTTCTGATTGGTGAACCAGGGAGCCTAAAGAAGGTAACAGAGTCCTGAAGTTTATACTAGAAATCACTCTTACAGGAGAAACTAGAAAAGCACCAGAGACAGGAAGTAGTTTTTAGAAGTGGGACTAGCCTCAGAGAAGAGAGGTGAGAGGAAGTTTGTCTGACAAGCATTAGAATCCAGGAGGCAAGGGTCAGGAGAGATAGGATAGATAGGATAGATGGGCGAGTCTTGCTTGGGCGACATGACTTTGAGAGTTCCACTCATGGCCCCAGGGTCAACCAAATTGTTGACCCTGAGAGCTGAATGGCTTTCCTCTCTGTTGACCCCCAGCTCAGCCCAGAAGTACAGGAAAAGTGGAAGCTGGTTCCAGGCAAACCAACGCTCCCAACTTTAAAGAGTTGGGGGTTGTTAGAGAGCCTTTTCCCAGAAAGCCTGACACCCATGTCTTTAGTCTGGTGGCTGCGCTAGTCACTTTTAACTGGCTGACAGGTGCCCAGTATTTAGCACCCAAGTTCTAAGGAAAAATAGGACACAATAAATAGCAAAATGGGTCTGATGGTACTCACTGCTTGGTAATAGGTGATAGTGCCTTCGTGGTCACCAAAATGTGTTCAGAATTGGTTATTTCTGGTGGATTCTTGGTCTTGCTGACTTCAAGAATGAAGCCGTGGACCCTCGTGGTGGGTGTTACAGTTCTTAAAGATGGTGTGTCCAGAGTTGTTCCTTCTGAAGTTCAGATGTGTCTGGAGTTTATTCCTTCTGCTGGGTTTGTGGTCTTGCTGACTTCAGAAGTGAAGCCACAGACCTTCACAGTGAGTGTTACAGCTCTTAAAGGTGGCGCATCTGGAGTTGTTCATTCCTCCTGGTGGGTTCATGGTCTCACTGACTTCAGGAGTGAAATTGCAGACCTTCATGGTGAGGGTTACAGCTCATAAAGGTAGTGCAGACCCAAAGAGTGAGCAGCAGCAAGATTTATTGTGAACAGCGAAAGAACAAAGCTTCCACAACATGCAAGGCAACCCAAGCAGGTAGCAGCTGCTGGCTCAGGTGGCCAGCTTTTATTCCCTTATTTGCCCCCACCCACATCCTGCTGATTGGTCCATTTTACAGAGTGCTGGTTGGTGCATTTACAAATCTTTAGCTAGACACAGAGCATTGATTGGTGCATTGACAATCCTTTAGCTAGACAGAAGAGTTCTCCAAGTCCCCACCTGACCCAGAAGCCTAGCTGTCTTCACCTCTCACATCAACCACAGAACATACATTCTTCTCATGGGCCTACAGAGCATACTCAAAGACAGAGCTGCTGGTCTGAATTGGGAGTGTGGGCCACAGTTCCCTTATCTTGCAAATAACTTGGCAAAGCAACAAACCCCCTCAGGTCCAAGCCTGGGCGTATTTCCCAGCATTCAACACTTCCACTTCCTGAAATAAGTGTCTAGCAGCCTTTCCTGCAAAGACCTTTTTGCAATAGCCATTTCACTGCTCTGAAGCAAATTTTTTTGTTCCTCACTGAGGGGCATATTTCCAGGCATTTGGCCCATCTGCTCACATAGATTAAGATCCTGGGTCACGCCTCCATTCCCGTGCAGACATCTTGGTGTAGAAGCACCCTCTTCACTCCACAACCAGGCATAATTTCAAGAATTCAGTGTGCCCCCTCACCTGGATTAGGAGCATAAGTTGCCTTTCCCTTCTAATGCAGAGATCTTGGTGCATCTGTACTTTGCTACTCCACTCTAAGGTATCGTTCCAAGCATTCAGCACACCTACTCTACTGGACTGGAACCCTGAGTCACTTCTCTTATCCTGTGCAGAAATCTTGGTACAACAGTGCCCTCTCTGTCATGCTCAGGGATACTTCCAGGCATGTTGAGGACCCACTTACCCGGAATAGGAATCTGAGCTGCCCCTCTCTTCTCATGCAGAGATCTTTCTGCAGCAGCACCCTCTCCACTCCATGCTGGGCACATTCCCAGGCATTTGGAGAACCTTCTCACCTGGATTAGGAGCCTCAGCCACTCCTCCCTTCAGGTGCATAGGTCTTGAATCAGCAGCACCCACTATGCTCCATGCCTGGACATATCTTCAGGCATATGGATTACTCACTTTTCAAGATTAGGAGGGTAGGTTACCACTCCCTTTCCAGGCAGAGAACTTTGGGCAGCAGAGGGTTATCCCCTCCATACCCAGGCAGCTCTCTGGATGTTTTGCAGCTGCCTCTTTATCTGCCCTCAGAGCTAGTGCTTGCACCTACCACTGGTGGACATGTAGGCATGTCTGCATTCTCTGGCCCCAACCAACTTGTTCCCTTAGTCCAGGACTGTACAGGGAGCTCACACCACTGTGCATTGCACAACATAGCCCATTGCCTGAGGCAACAGAAAGCATCTCGCCATAAACAAAGATCAAGTATATGCCCCATTTGCATCAGCCTTAGCTGGTTCTTATCCATAAGCACCACACACTGGCTTGGAAAATAAATGACACAATCTAATAGAAAATCTGCTGACAGAAATGCATTGCACTGGAGAATGAGATAAGCTTCCTGAGACCTCAACCACACTGGACTTGTAGGAGACAGTGAACCCACTCATTCATCCCTACACCACTACTACAACCAACATCTGAGAAAGCCACCATACAAAGACTATCTATAACCAAGGAACATACACAGAACCTTTAACAATGAAAGTCCAGAACCAAAGTTGAACCCTACACAGCAGACATTATACACATTCTCAAGGGAGAAAAGAAAAAAACAAAAACATCCCTTCCAAATGAAAGTAAATTTAAGAATTAGAAGCAGAGATAGCTTTTGCAGATGAGAAAGAATCAGCAAAAAAAAATTCAAAAGTATGGAAAAGCAGAGAGTAACAATACCTCAAAAGGACCACACTAACTCTCCAGAAATGGGTCTTCATGAAAATAATTTTTTTGAAATGCTTGATAAAGAATTTAAAATACTGATTTTTAAAAAGCACAAAATAAGCCAAGAGATAGTTGAAAAGCAACATAAATCAGAAATACAATTCAAGACATGAAAAAAGAGATAGATTTTTAAAAACCCATACAACTACTAAAAATAAAAACTGTATTGGTGAAATTTTAAAATCCAGGTAAAAGCATCAACAGTAGGCTTGACCAAAGCAGAAGAAATTATTTCAGAGATGGAAAGTAGGTCTTTCAAATTAATCCAGCCAGACAAAAATAAAGGAAAAAAAAATTAATGATTAAAGATTTCAAGAAATATGGGACCATATAAAAAGCATGTAAAAATAAGAGTCATAGATATTCCAGAGAGAGAAGAAAAAAGTAAAAAATATAGAAAAATCTATAAATGAGACAAAGAAGGTAATTATATAATGATAAAGAAATTTATTTGAGAAGATCTAACAATTCCAAATACATGTGCACCAAACATTGGAACACCTAGATTCATAAAACAAATACTACTACACCTAAAAAAAAAGATAGCTACCAATACAGTATTTGTATGGGACTTCAATATCCCACTGACACAACTAGACAGTTCATTGAGGCAGAAAATCAACAACAACAAAAAATTCTGGATTAAAGTTGAATTCTAGAGCAAATGGACCTAACAGATATTTACAAAATATTCTACCCTACAACCTCAGAATATACAGTCTTCTCATGTATGCATGAAACATTCTCAAAAATTTATCACATGCTAGGCCACAAGGAAAATCTCAATAAATGTAAAAAAATTGAAATCATATCAAGCACCTTCTAAAAACAACAGTGAAATAAAAATACAGATCAACACTAAGAGGAATACTCAAAACTATACAAATACATGAAAATTAAATGATCTGCTTCTGAACGACTGTTGGACCAATGATGAAATTAAGACCCACATCAAAAAAATTGTAAATGAATAAAAATAAAGATATAGCTTGCAAAAAATATCCGAAAAACAACAAAATCAGTGCTAAGAGGGAAGTTTATAACATTAACTGCCTACATGAAAAAGATAGAAAGATCTCAAATAAACAACTTAAGGTTATACCTCAAGAAACTTGAGGAAAAGAAAAAAACACACCAAAGGCTAGTAAAAAAGGAAAAAAAGAATAAAAATCAGAAAAGGACTAAATGAAATTGAGACCAAAAAAAAAAAAAAAAAGAATCAATGAAATGAAGTTGGTTGTTTGAAAAGATCAACAAAATCAATAGACCACTAGCTGGATTAACCAACAGACAAAGAGAGGAGATTCAAACAAGTGCAAGCAGAAGTGATAAAGGTGTCATTACAACTGATAACAACAGAAATACAGAAGATTATCAAAGACTACTCTGAGCAACTCTATGTGATCAATGAGAAAACCTAGAAGAAACAGATGGATTTCTGGAAATATACAACCCCTGAGGTTCAACCAGGAAGAAACAGAAATTTTGAACAGACCAATAATAAGTAATAAAATTGAATTAGTAAGAAAAAAAATCCCAACAACAAAAAAGCCTAGGACCAGATGAGTTCAAAGCCAGGTACTATCAGATGTACCAGACAGAACTGCTGCCAATCTTACTGAAACTGTTCCAAAAAGGGAATCTTCTCTAATTTATTCTATGCAGTCAGCATTGCAATGATACCAAAGATAGAAAAGAACACAACCAAAAACAACAACAACAACAACAAAAAAAACTACAAAACAATATCTGTAATAAACATAGAAGCAAAAATCCTTAACAAAATGCTACCACACAAAATCTAACAGCATATCAAAGACTAATACACAAGATTGAGTGGGTTTTATTCCAGAGATGCAAGATTGATTCAACATACACAAATCAAAAAATAGGATTCACCATATAAACAGAATTAAAAACAAAAACCATGTGATCATATCAAAAGATTCAGAAAAAGGCATTCAACAAAATCCAGCATCTCTTCATAATAAAGACCCTTACCAATTAGGCATAAAATGAGCATACCTCAAAACGATAAATGCCATATATGACAAACCCAAAGCCAACATCATTCTGAATGAAGAAAAGTTGAAAACATTTTCCCTAAGAATAAGAACAAGGCAAGGATATCCACTACGAGGACTCCTATTCAACGTACTACTGGAAGTTCTAGCTAAAGCAATCAGGCAGAAGAAAGAAATAAAGTACATCAAAGTTCTAAAAGAGGAAGTCAAATTCTCGTATTTTTTTATGATATGAACTTATACCTAGAAAACCCTAAAGATTCCCCCAAAAGGCTCTTCGATTTGATAAATTTCTTCATGAAAGTTTCAGGATACAAAATTAATGTACAAAAATCAGTAGCATTTCTATATAACAATAATGTCCAAGCTGAGAACCAAATCAAGAACTCAATCCAATTCATAATAGTTACAAAAAGTAATAAAATACCTTGAAATACATTTAATCAAGGAGTGAAAGATCTCTACAAAGAGAACTATGAAACACTAAAGAAAGAAATAATAGATGGCAAAAATGTATTTTAAAAATCCCATGCTTATAGACTGGGGGAATCAATATCATTAAAATGACCATACTGCCCAAGCTATCTACAGATTCAATTAAATTACTATCAAACTACCAATGTCATTCTTCATAGAATCAGAAAAAAAAAATCGTAAAGTTCACATGGAACCAAAAAAGATCCTGAATACCCAAAGCAATGCTAAGCAAAGAGAATAAAATTGGACAGATCACATTATATTGTATGGCTCTAGTAGCCAAAACAGCATGGTCTTGTTGTAGAAAGAGACACATATGGAAAAATAAAGCCACATAGCTACAACCAACTGATCGCTGACAAAGTTGACAAAATTTTATAAAGAGAAATCACATTCTATTCAATAAATGGTGCTGGGATAATTGGTGAGCCATATGTAGATTCATGAAATTGGCCTCTTACCTTCCATCACATACAAAAATTAACTCAAGGTGGATTAAAGACTTAAATGTAAGAACAGAAACTAAAAAAATCTTAGAAGACAACTTAGGAAAAACTCTTCTAAATATTGGTCTAGGCAAATAATTTATCATGAAGTCCTCAAAATAAAATACGACAAAAACCAAAACAGAGAAATGGGACTTAATAAAACTAAAAAGCTTCTGCACATCAAAAGAAATAATTCTCAGTAAACAAACAACCTGCAGAATGGGCGGAAAGATTTGCCAGCAGTGTATCTGACAAAGAGCTAATATCCAGGCTCTACAAGGAACTTAAACAACTCAACAAGAAAAACAAGAATAACCCCATTAAAAAGTGGCCACAGGGTATGAACAGACATTTTTAAATAAAAGACATATAAACGGCAAACATATGAAAATACTTAACATAATTAAATGTCAGAGAAATGAAAATTAAAGCCGCAATGCCATACCATCTTATAATAGTCACAATGGCTGTTATTAAACAGTCAAAAAATGGCCAAGTGCAGTGGTTCATGCTTGTCATCACAGTATTTTGAGAGGCTGAGGTGGGTGAATCACTTGAGTCCAGGCATTCAAGATAAGCCTGGGCAACATAGTGGAACCTTGTCTCAAGAAACAAGAAAAAAAATATCCAGGTGTGGTGGTATGGGCCTGTAGTCCTTACTACTCAGGAGGCAGACCCAAGAGGATGCCTTGAGCCCAAGAGATTGGGGTTGCAGTGACCTATGATCATGCCACTGCACTTCAGCCTGGGCAACAGAGGGAGACCCTGTCTCAAAAATGGTCAAAAAGCAAGATGTTGGAAAATATGTATTGGTTGGTGTGTAATTAGCATGACCTCTATGGAAAACAGTATGATAATTTCTAGAAAACTAAAAATAGAACTACCCTTCAATCCAGCAATTCCACTACTGCACATGTACTCCCCAAAAAGAAAGAAATCATTATATAAAAAAGCCTTCTGCATTTGTATGTTTATTGTAGCACAATTCAGAATAGCAAAATTGCGAAATCAACCTAAGTGTCCATCAACATATCATTGAATAAAACAATCTGGTAGATATATACCATGGAATACTATTCAGCCATAAAAGTGGATGAAATTATGACTTTTGCAGCATGTGTGTGGAACTGGAGGCCATTACCCTTAGTGAAATGACTCAGAAACAGAAAATCAAGAACTGCATGTTCCCAATTATACATGGGTGCTAAACCGTGGACATGGACTTACTGAGTGGAATGATAGACATTGGAGGCTCCAAACAGTGGGAGGATAGAATGAGGGTGAAAGTGAAATGCTGCCTATTGGGTACAATGTATCTTTTTTGGGTAGTTGTACGTAAAAGCCCAGATTTCATCTCTACAAAATATATACATGTAACACAACTGCACCTGTACCCCTAAATCCATCAAAAATCTAAAAAAATTAGTTTTAAATAAATACATTTTTAAATGCCATACATCCTATAATTCAACAATGTATAGCTGATCATTAGCCACTGTTATTTCTGTAAATCAATGAGAATTAGATCAACAACTTTGGTAATCACGCCTTCTCTTCACTTGTACTTTTTTTCCTTAAAATCTTGAGTTTGATTTTTTGTTCTACAGAGCAGTCCCCAAGGCAACCTGAAAGTGTGTCCTGTGCTCCACTCTTGCTTGATCTCTGTGCTTAAATAAACTCTCTTTCAACTGGAAAAAAAATTAAGAGAAATGAATGAATGAGTACAAAAATAATTTTAAAACAAACTCTATAGTGTACACAGAAGCCTTAATGTTTATCTTATAATTAGTTATTAAAGTCTTTTCTTGATTATTTACTTTTTCTGGATATAGGAGATCAAAGTGAAACCAATAGGTATACAGACAACATTTGGCTATAAATCTATGAACTGAATGTTGACAAATTATACCTTTTAAAAAGAGGAGAAATATGCAGAACAAAGGTGAATGTATAGTGTATAGTAGATGGGCAATAAATATTTGCATTTAGTGGAAAATGAATAAAACTCTGTTTTACAAAAAGCATGAGATGTCCTATAAAATTAATGGAAGATCCTCCTTCCTTTTTTAAAATAAAACAGACTTTCAAAAGGGAAGAAAACTCTAAGAAATTATAAAGATTGCATGTGCTTGGTTCCTAGTTTATTATTTTTCCTCCTTACATATCTTCTTCCTTTCACATTAATTCTCTTTCTCCCTCTCCTGCTCTGAGTAAATAATCAAATGTTTCTGCCCTCATTTTGTCTATATCTTAATTGTCAAAACCAGAACACATACCTATAAGGCAAGCACAATGGGTAGGAACACAATGTCCAATCTTAAGAAAATATCTTAATCTTTCTCAGTCGCATTTCTCTTATCTGGAAATGGTGGCATCAGTCAGGATGAGCTGTGTTATGCTGTGGTAACAAAAAAAAGTACGAGGGACTTAAGACAGCAACATACCATTCCATTACTGTGACTGCTATTTGTATAGATGCACTGCATGTGTGTCGGGGTGCTGAACTATGTTGTGCTCACTCTGGATCCCAAGATGATGGAGAAGACACCCTCACAACAGTATCAGGGGCCAAGGCAATAAGCACCAGCTTTCCCCAAGTGCAACTGGAAGTAACAGATGTCACTTATTCATCTATTATATTGACCAAAGCAGGTCATGACTACAGCCAACTCAAAGGAAGGGGAAGGACAATCCTATCTTGTACCCATAAGAAACAGAAGCACTCAAGGGACAGCCCTAAAGACTATCACAAATACCCACTCAATCACATCAGGCAGATGTCTGTGCTTCTGCCCACAGCACCAGGATACCAGGCAAGCAATAGCACAGCTCAGATCCCAGTTTCTCCCTGCTCACCACCTCCACTTCCCCAGACATTTTGGACACAGTGGACCTGAAACCAAATAATAGAAGTATAATAAAATATAGTCACCTCACAGGGGGGATGGCTCATGCCTATAATCCCAGCACTTTGGGAGGCCAAGGCGGGTCGATCACTTGATGTCAGGAGTTCGAGACCAGCCTGGCCAACATAGTGAAACCCTGTCTTTACTAAAAATACAAAAATTAGCTGGGCATGGTAGCGCATACCCGCGGTCCCAGCTACTTGGGAGGCTGAGGCAGGAGAATTGCTTGAATCTAGGAGGCAGAGGTTGTATTTAGCTGAGATTGAGCCACTGCACTGCAGCCTGGGGGACACAGTGAGACTCCATGACAAAAAAAAAAAATATATATATATATATGTATACAGTATCCTGAAAATGCCTTAAAGTACACAGAAAATATTTTACCCATCTTTGGGCAGTCAAGCAACACCTAGGCAGAGTACCTTGATGATCATTTGTGTTTTCACCCACCGAGTTCACCAAGATGCCAAGATTATTTTGCCCTGAACCCACTTGGAACTGTCTGGGTGCTGGCATGTGGCTTCGGGTTGCCTCTCTTACCCAATTCCTTGTTTCATAGAAGGGAATGAGCTTCATGGCACCTGTGATTCATTTTCACCTTTACCTTATTTTACTTTTGGGCCTCCAAGCTAATGATTACAATTTTCCTTGTCTCTCATTTCCTTTATAGACATTTTAACTTTTCTGTGTGATTTTTTTTTTAATGACATAAAGCTATTTGCTTTTTGTTCCTGCAACTTTTATAAAATGTTTCTCTTTTAATTATTCAAGAATATTTGTCCATAAATTAAAGTTGTCAAACAAAGATTTATAGAAAATTTTCAGGCTTGTCATAAAATGGGCCTAATTGTGTCCTCCTCCTGTATTATTGAGCATGTGATGTGTGGTAGACGCTCGATTGGGTGCTGGAGATATCAAGCAGGAAGATCCGAGTCATCCACCCTCAATGAGTGTCAGGTCTGCTAGAGAGGGAAGTGGAAATCAGAGGAGAGAACAGGGCACTGGAGAGCACAGAGAAGGGAACCAAACCCACAGAGGCTGGGAGAGGAGGACAAGCTGCCCACATTCCTGGGTCCTCTCTACTTGAGCACCTACCAGCCCAACTTCCAATTACCAGCATCTGTACCCATTTACCTGTACAAATAGCCCAAGTAAGTGCAAGATAACTAATTCCCTGACACATTCTCCAAGGACTGACACCAGCTGACATGTTAAACACAATCTCCCAGAAGTTCCCAGCAGAAATGAGCTGCATAGCAGTAGCCTGACAGCTCACACTCATAGTATTGACCACCTTCTCATCCCTATTTCATTTCCTCACTGTCCTAGGAGTGTACCCTGGGACTGCCTTCCAGATAAGCCACTTGAAATTGAATTCTGGTTACAAGGTCTCCCTCTGGGTAGCCCAATCTTGACAGTCATCTTTATGGAGAATGTAATTTCTGTGGAATCACAAAAGTTGAAGAGGAATCAATGAGGTGACATAGGGGAAGGGAATTCCAAAACAGGGAGTCTGGGCCAAGACATATGGGCGTGAATAAGTGTCAAGTTCCATATGAGGAGAGATGACCCTGGAGTTTCAGGGGTTTCAAACACTGAGCTCCAGGTCAAAGGCTATCAAACTGGGCCCACCATGGAATTTGCCAAGTATCCAAAGGTGTTGAGGACTGGGGACTGCTGGGAGATCTAACCTCATGCCAAAAGCATGAAACCAGACTGCATGGGTTAAAAGCCTGGTTCTTCCACTTATAAGCTGTGCAACTTTGTAATACTTGCCTCTCTGTGGTTCAGTTTCTTCATCTGTAAAATGGAGACAGTAATAGTAACTACTAAGCAGTTATGTGATGCTATAATAAATTATTGAATTATGTTCATTGTAAGGTGACATTATTATTAGCTAGTTTTGGTTTGTGATTCTCTCAGTGATCTCTGAAAGGCACATCACATGGGGAAGGAGACTCAGTCCTTGCTCTCCAGGACCTCATGGACTAGTGGGGGACAGAAATACACACACGAGTAAGAAAGACCATGAGAGGAGGAGGATAAATGCCTATAGTCAACATAAAAGTGCTGTAGGAGACCAAAATCAAAAGGTTCACACCTGGTTACATGGATCAGAGAAGGATTTATAGAAAAGGTTTGTGTAGACCTGAACTTGGGAAGCATGTTATATTTGAAGAGGCAAAGATCTAGGGTGGGTGGGGAGCTACAGGTGCACTTTCCAGAAGGGCAAATTCATATAAGCTTGGACAGGATGTGTCTGAGAACATCAAGGAAGTCCAGCTTCTCTAAAGGCCAAGCTATGTGATGGGCAAAGGCTGGAGGGCAGCCACAGAGGGCAAGTTTCCAGGGCCTCATGTGGCAGGGGATGTGGCTTTCAGAACATTTGAGAACCAGAGAAACAGAATCTAAGGGTGGAGACTAGTGGACCAGTGAGGAGTTCACTGTGGATGTCCAGACCAGACCTATCTAGACAGCATCCAGCAATGTGGGAGATGAGAAATAAAATAAGTCTTCTTTTTTATTGATGTCAAAATAGTTCTGAGAATAGAAGGCAGTTATAATGTTACAAAGCCAATTACCACCTTCTTTTTCTGTATAAAATATAGAATCAGAGTGACTGTATAATCACATGAGGTTGATAAAGGGCAGAAAACAGTGCCCAATGCAGAGTAACTGCTTACACCCAGCAGTGACGATGATAATGATGATGGTGATGATGATGGTATTGTGGAGGTGGAGATGGTGATGGTGGTGAAGATGCTAATGATGATGCTATAGCAGCAGTGGTGATTCTGGTGATGATAGTAATGGTGGTGATAGTGACAGTGATGATGGGGATTGCAGTGGTCATGTTGGTAATAATGGTCATAGCGTGGTGATGGTAGTGATGATGGTGGTGATAATATTGGTGATGGTGGTGGTAGTGGTTATGATGTGGCAAAAGTGCTGATGGTGATGGTGGTGGCAGTAATGGTGATGGTGGTGATAAGGGAGAAGATGGTGGTGATGATAATGATGATGGTGGTGAGAGTGGCGGTGATTATGGTGATGATGATGGTAATGAAGATAGTGATGTGGTGATGATGGTGGTTATGGTGGTCATGTTGATACTGGTAATGGTAGTTATGAAGATGATGGTGTTACTGATGAGGATTACCATGGTGACTGTGGTGGTGATGGTGATGGCAATGGTGGTGGTGATGGTAGTGATGATGGTAATGGTGGTGGTTGTGGTGATGGTGGTGATGGTGATGTTAGTAGTAATAATTATGGCAATGGCAATGGTGTTGATAATGATGGTGATGGCGGTGATGGTGATGGTGGTTGATAGTGATGGTAATAGTGGTGATGGGGTGTTGATGATAATGGGGATAAATGTGCTGATGGTACTGAGATTGATGGTGATGTTGGTGGAGATAATGATGGTGACACTAGTGATGATGGTTACAACAGTGGTGATAACGGTGATGGTGATGGGACAGTGGTGATTGTCGTGATGATAATGGTGATGGCTTGGATGGAGATGGTGGTGATACTATGTTTTATGGGAGAGGATGAAGCTATTTGGAGTAGAATGTAAGCACCAGGCCTGGCCAGGTACTAGTAAGAGAGTTCTACCCTCTAGAGATTTATCAGGTCGGGACTCAGGTAAATCTTCTCCTTAGACTCCTCATCGTGGATGGAAAACTGTGTCTGCCACAAATGAATCGCGAGTCCCTGTTAACCACAAATGAATCGCGTGTCCCTGTTAACCACAGGAACAAAAGTAGATTTTCCCTGGCATTCATACTTCTGACCTCCAGAAGGGACCATGAATAAGAAGTAGTTGGGAGATGAGTAGCTTTAGTAAAGGGGGAGGGAAGGAAGAGAGTGAACAGGGAGATAAGCGGAAGGGGGAAGAGTGAAAGAGAGGAAAGAAACCAGTCTTGTCCACAGAGGTGTCCACATGTTCATCACCCACCCTGAGAGAGTCCTTGTCTTCTGAGAGGGTCCATTCTGGGCCTGTCCAGCAGGGGCTGTGGGGACAGCTGCAGGAACAGGAGGCTGTGCCATCTACTGGCCATGGCTCTGAGCAATAAAACCCTGCACACCCAGGTAACCCAGAGCAGCAAGGACAGAGCCAAGCAGAGGGGCCTCTGCAGAACCCATACAGCACTCAGGGAGTGTTTAGTTTGTAGAGCTTCTTCCTTCAAGGCAGACCCTATGTCGACCCCAGGGCCACTTTCAGAGCCTGCTCCCCAGGGTGAAGCTGGAGTAGAGGGACCTGAGGGACTGGACATCAGTGGGTGAGTGCTTCCCTCTGGTGGTCAGTGTGTGAAGTGGAGGATGCAGGCCCCACCTTACAGAGGTTCTCTGCAAACTCATGAACCCAGCAGGATTTTCAGGGCAGGTGGCTGTGGGCAAAGGAATTGCCCTGTAGCTTTTGGTTTCTCTGCCCCTTGGAAGATTCTCTTCATGATGTCTTCATCTTCACATGTCACATTTCAAAATATTGTCCTCTTCTTTATTGTGAGGTTGGATGATTGCCACTCTGTGAGCCTCTTCCCGCCTTAGTTTCCGTCAGATGCCCTCTGTCTCTCAGAAATCAGCCACCCACCCTGCCTGCCAACTCGGACACAGCCCAGGATCCCTCTCAGACACCTTCCAAGCGATGGGTTATAGACTCTGGGTTCCTGTAATCCATGCTTTTTTGGATTAAGGACTGCTAATGTTGATTTTCCAAATATGGTTGGCAAAGACTAAAATTGACTATCACTAATTCATAATGGAAAACCATGTGGTACTGCACCATATGAAGTCCATGATCAAAATCGAGAGGTGCCCTCCCCTGCACTCTGGTAAAACCTGAACATCCAGGCTGGATCCAGGGAGTAGCATTTGAGATCCACAGTCCTACATGGGTGACATCCCAAGCCTCTGTGGGAACAGCTCTGGATTCCTCTCCAAAGCCCCAGCCCTGAAAATCTGCTCATCCTCACCTCTGCCTTGGCTGAGTAACCATCCTGTAACTTACTCAGGCCTGGGCTGCAGTTCTGTTCTTTCCTCCTCACTGCGCCCTCAACCCAGCCCTCAGCAAGTCCTGCCCCGCCACCTCTCACAGGCATCCTCAGTCTCCTGTGCTCCACCTCCTGGCCACGGCACAGGCACAGGCCACTATCCTCTCTTTCCTGAGGAAATGCAATGTCCTCCTGACTGTTCTCCGCCCTCCCATTCTCACCAACTAGAAGCCCGTTCCTTCCCTGTGGCCATGCCAGCCTTCTAATAATATAAAAGGTGTCTTGTCATGTCCTGGTAAAAGCTTTCAAAGGCTTCTCATTTCACTTGGAGTAAAATAGAAATTCTTCAGCACGGTGTGCAAGGCATGGCAGGAATTGATATCTGCTCATCCACCAAACCCAGTCTGCTTACCTCTCCTGCCGGCCAGTCCCTCACTCAATTCAGGAGCTTCCACAGGTTAGGATCATTTCCAGCTGGGGGTCGGTTTATGATTTTCTTTGCATCAAACACCCCTCTTGTTGGCTTTCTGCAGCTGGCTCTTTCTCCTCCTTAAAAGTCTAGCTCAAATGTTATTTCCTCAAATTGATCTTTCCTGATCATTCTCTGCAGTTAGAATTTGACTTGGCAACCAGTTCATTGAAGGCAATATTGTATCCATCTCATTCTCTGTAATGTGTCTGTGCTTCTCACAATCTGTGGAATGTGGAGGACACTCAGTGTGCATACTGGATGAACATGCCTTTATGGGTGTTTCAGAGACTTTCCCAGTGTGGATAAGATGATTCCATGTGGATAGCTTGCTGGCAGCTCCCATGAGGTGATGATGACTACTTGTGAGA
The DNA here is from genome assembly GCF_000001405.40 of Homo sapiens. NCBI lineage: Eukaryota > Metazoa > Chordata > Mammalia > Primates > Hominidae > Homo > Homo sapiens. The sequence continues at coordinate 23,722,328 of NC_000020.11, read as the reverse complement.
ACTGCTGTTTTGATGGTTAGTGTTTTAATTACTTTTCCATCTTTTGAAAAATAGTGAAATCTTAAAGGAAATATCAAAATGCAACTGGGGAAGGATAAGAAATGACCCTGGGGAGGGTGGCAGGAAGCACAGGGTGTCCCAGAAGAAGAGTCCTGGAACCCAGCCAACAGAGCCCACACCAGCAACACTCTCACCCTTTCTCCAGGGCTTCTCTGTGCCGAGCAGTTTGGCAAGAACCTCTTACACATCATCATTTTGTTCTTCATGTATTCCCAAAATATAGAGAGATTCCTTTTCTGATGAGAATATAGTTCCTAGCATACAGCAGTCACACCATAACCTTATTTTGACTGAATGAGTGCTGAGCAGTGATGAGATCACAGTGTAGGGACTGACACTTTTTGTTGCAGGTTCCTTGTCTGAAAAATGTGGAAAACACATTTTGTAAAGATTGTTAGAGAATCCATTCATTCAGTCAACTAATTCCCTACTGATTCCTGTGCTAGAGCTGAGACCACAGCATTGAGCAAGTAGGCAGTGCGCCATGTGCATGGAAAAAAGGAGGCAGAGAGGCATAGACATGGCAGCTGATAGACACCCCTTTCTTTCCTTCTCAGCCTGGGAGTCTCATGAGAAGAGCTTGCCTTGGAGTAGGTTGAGCCCACTGGTAGGAAGCACAGGAGGTAAAGCGAGTGCATCTCCAATGTGATGCTACCCTAGGAAAATGCCATGGTGCTGCTGAACTACAACAGTGATAACAAATGCTGCAGTGGGAACCCAGAGACCTCAGAGAAGAGCAATGAGGGCTTCCGGGGGAACACAAGAGCTGTTGAATGGAGTGAGCCATCAGGGGACCCGTAGTGGGCAGCTCTCAGGCTCCTGAGGGATTGGTGCCTTGTTCAGGTGCATGCACACACACAATCTCATACACACATACACAGTCTCATGTAATAGTGTACTAGTACAGAGAAAACCTGCTGTATAAATATTTCTCAGTAATGAATTTCCTCAAAAGCATGAAATTCTTTATGTTCATGAAAAAATCTAGAAAAACTCCTTGCAGGGTGCAAAAGATCTAAAACAGTGTTTGCAAACTGTTGCACACAGCACAAATGTGGCTATGAGTTAATATATGCTGCTAATTACATTTTCAAAGATTCCCTGAAAAATACATTGAAATTATTCTGTATACAAAAGCCTCCATTCAGAGATACCAATGCACATTAGAATATTCATTAAAACAAAAAATACTTGTGATAAGAATCTGATTAATTCTCTTCCAACTTTTCTAGATGATTCTGTTCCTCATACCCTTTGTGTTTTGAGGGGAAGGGCTAACATGTATCAGCAACCATGAGAAAGAGTGTCCTGTGAAGATAAATTGGGAAACACTGATCTAGAATAATGTTTCACTTTCTGTGAGTTCTAGTACACAGAAAGCAAGTAAATATATTGATTATAATGGAATGAAGGTTTATAATTGTCCAAGAAAGGAGTCACAACTATAGAAAGGAGGGGACTGGAAAGAATCTCATTGCATTGGGTTTGGTGTCAATAATAACTTAGAGTTTTTAATACATAAATATGTAATAGAACAATAGCTATCTACACGTGGGTAAGTTTTTGTATGTATTTTGTAGCACTGACCAACAGACAAGGCCAAGAACAAGTTGCCTCACCTTCTGCACTGTGGCCATTTGAGACCTAGGAATTCTTTTTCTGGAAATGTCCTGTGCATTGCAGAATGTTGATCAGCATCCCTTCCCTCTCTCCCTAAATGCCAGTAGCACCTGCCTTACAAATCGGAACAACCAAAGACATCCTAGACATTACCAAATGTGCCCTGGGAAGCAAAATTGCCCCAGGTTGAGAACCACTGACTGAGGCCTCACGGCATTCCAGGAGCGGTGAGTACAGGCAGCACGCGGGAATTCCTTTCTACATTCACTGCAGATTCCAACCACTGATTTTCACCTTGGATCAGAGAAAGTAAAACATAAATCCGGAACTTCTTGTTATATCAGAAAGTAAGGATAGGCTCAAATAATGATGGAAACATATCAAGAGGACACAGGAAGCAGCTTAAAGGGGCTTCCACTAACCTACCCTGAGGTAATTTTCACATTCTAATAAACAAGAGCAATAGATTATAACTCCTTGAGTAAAATAAGAAGCCATGAGTCAGATAGATCTATGGAAAAATTGATGTCTAACAGATAGATGGATAGATAGGGAAAAGAGTAAAGTGTTTCCTTGCAGTAGAATGAATGTCATTTATAAGTATTTTTAAAAAACGAACTTATGAATATAATTTGAAAGCAATCATAATAACAACTGATTCAAACAGGAATTATTATTGTATGCTAAAGCTAGAAAGCAAAAGTGAAAACTTTATAAGTAAGACATAAATATATATTTCAAAGTATTTCTCCATGAAACACTTACTAAATATAAAGGAGAGAAAAGTAAACTGTACTGTGGAGAGACCTGTCAGATACCATCTGAATCTAGAGATCAAGGTTAGTGTCTATCAGCCATGGGACAGCGTTGTTATGGCCTCCTGGTAGGAGGTAATGAGGGACACAAGATCACATCTACAATTCTTCTCTGAAAATCTGCATAGCCTGAATCTCATCCATTGACAAAGCCCAGCTGAGGACATTCTATGAAATCGCCGGTTATCTTCAAAAATGACAAGATTACAAAGATAAGAAAGACTGAGAAACTGTTTCAGATCAGAGGAGACTGAGGCGGCCTGACAACGACACACGGTTGATGAATTGCCTGGACGACAGATTAGACGACAGTGTGGACCCATGCTAGTGCCGTGATTCCGCTCACTGCACTGAGGCTGTGCTGGAGAATGTCCTTGGCCTTAGGGGACACACATGAGAATGTCTAAGGACAAAAGGAGTCACACCTGCAGCTTGCTCTGAAATGGCTCAGGAAAAGCTGTAACAGTGCATACACATATAGAAAGAGGGAAAAGCGCGCGAGACACAATGTGAGGAGTGGGAGGGTCTGGGTGTGTACAGGAGCTCTTTATATTACTCTTGCTGCTTTTTGTAAGTTTGAAGTCACTTCAAAACTACAATAAAAAAGTTTATTATTTATTTTCTAATGAATATAGAAAAATAAAATTGCTTCTTTTTTTATATATTCATTAATGGCATTCTTTTTACTCCAAGGAAGAACTTTTCTCCTTTATCTGTATGTATCTTTCTATCTCTCTATTTGTTAATCATCTATTTATCCACAGATCTAGAAGACTCACGGTTTCTTATTTTATTCAATGAGTTGTAATCTGTTACTATCACTTATTTGAATGTTTAAAATATCTGAGTTGACTAGTGAGAGCCCCTTTAAGCTGCTTCCTGTGTCCTCCTGACATAATTCCATCATCTTTTTATCTTTTACAAGAAATTAAAAATTGAAAATACAGCAAAGTGCTGCCTCAGCACTGAGACCCCAGCCCCACCCAACATGCACAGGCCTGTGTGCTCAGCTTGTTGGAAGGTCCCGGCTCATGCTTTCCAGCCTAGCATGGACTTCCCAGCCAAGCCGCAGCACCATGAAGCTTCAGGGCAGCTGGTTATTAAGGATGAGCTTCACCAGTGTCCACACCCTGTACTGTTCCTTGGAGCAGAGAAACGGGGTGTGAGACGGCAGGGACTGGCGCACTGGAGAGAATGCATGGGCAGAGGTTGAGGAACAAGCGCCCTCTGCTTCCACCAGACGTGTTGCCTCACAAGGGACAGCCACGTTCCCCACCACTCACTCTACCTGCACCTCCCTCTGCAGCACAGGGGGGTCACTACTGTTTCCCAGTCCCCTTCTTCTGTTTCCTCCTGGGTTTTCACCATAAGCCCCCTCTCCCACATGCACACCCCCACCAGGATGGGCCTGTGAGTCTGGTACCACATTGCCAGCAATGGGTAGAGGTGGGAATGGAGGTAGAAGGGGGTAAATTCTTCATCCGGAATAACACAGTAATCAATGGATCACAAACTATAGGCCTAAAAAGGACTCTCTGAAGCCATGGCCTTTGACCTGCTCATTTTTATAGAGAAGAAAGAGAGGGCCTGAAAAGGGAACTCTCCGCACTTGGAGGACTCCTTAGAGGCCAACACTTCCCAGACATCCCAGGATGGAACAGAGGAGACAGAAAAAAGTCAGCCTTGATAGCAAGAGTTCAGCCAACCACTGCCAGCATGAAATCCACCTGCTTCCTGGGCGCATATGTGCCATGTCACAGCAGTGTATTTCCAAGATTCAGGGGAGTGTGGCAGGGTGGATGGACAGTTGGCTCCCTTGCTGGAACTAAAGTATACATCCATGCCCTGTGCCATGCAGCTAGCAGCACCTCTCTCCAGAAAATGCAGAGTAGATCCCCATTGCCATTGTGCATGGTCATGGGTCTTGCTTGGCCCATAGGATGTTAACACATGGGACAAGCACAGAACCCTTAACCCTGTGTGTGTGAGAGGCTGGTCCTCCTCCTCTCATCTGAGCTTCCATGAGAAGAACTTGGCCCAGACGGGCACGACCCCTTCAGCATGGGCCCCAGCATGAAGACACAAGCCAAGCCAGCACCAGACCCCCTGACCCCCAGCCCATGTGCAGGCAGCAGAGCATGACAGGAACAGCTTGTTGCTGTCAGCCCTTGAGCCACTGTTGAGTCCCAGATCTTCCCTCTGACACAGCTTACCCAAGTGTGAAGGAAACTGAAAAACAATTCCGGTAGTATGACAAATTAAGGTTATTTAACACCCCAAAAAATTACATCAGCTCACCAGCCATGGATCCAAACCAAGATGAAATCTCTGAAATGCCAGAAAAGGAATTCAGCAGCAATTATTAAACCAACCAAGGAGCCACCTGAGAAAGGTGAAGTCCAACTTAAAGAAATTAAAAAAAAAAAGATGCAGCATATGAATAGAAAGACCTCCAGTGAAAATAAATGGAATAAACAAAATACAATCACAACTTTTGGAAATCAAGGACACACTTAGAGAAATGCAAAATCCATTGGTAAGTCTCAGCAATAGAATCAAATGAGTAGAAGAAAGAACTTCTGAGCTCGAAGACAAAGTTTTCAAATTAACTCCGTCCAACGATGATGAAGAAGATAGAATTTAAAAATAAACAAAGCCTCCAACAAGTTTGGGATTTTGTTAAATGACCAAATCTAAGAATAATTGATGTTCCCAAGGAAGAAGAGAAATCTAAAAGTTTGAAAAACATATTTGAGGGAATGATTGAGGAAAACTTCTTTGATCTTGCTAGAGATCTAGACATACAAACACAAGAAGCTGACAGAACACTTGGGAAATTCATTGCAAAAAGATCATCACCTAGGCACATAGTTATCAGGTTAACTAAAGTGAAGATGAAGAAAAGAATCTTAAGAGCTGTGAGGCAAATCATCAGGTAACCTATAAAGGAAAACCTATCAGATTAACAGCAGATTTCTCATCAGAAACCTTACAAGCTAGAAGGGATTCGAGTCTTATCTTTAGCCTCTTTAAACAACAACAACAAAAAATCAACCAAGAATTTTGTATCCACAAACAAATGGAAGAACATTCCATGCTCATGGGTAGGAAGAATCAATATCGTGAAAATGACCATACTGCCCAAGGTAATTGACAGATTCAATGCCATCCCCATCAAGCTGCCAATGACTTTCTTCACAGAATTGGAAAAAACTACTTTAAAGTTCATATGGAACCAAAAAAGAGCCCGCATTGCCAAGTCAATCCTAAGCCAAAAGAACAAAGCTGGAGGCATCACATTACCTGACTTCAAACTATACTACAAGGCTACAGTAACCAAAACAGCATGGTACTGGTACCAAAACAGGGATATAGATCAGTGGAACAGAACAGAGCCCTCAGAAATAACACCACATATCTACAACTGTCTGATCTTTGACAAACCTGAGAAAAACAAGCAAAGGGGAAAGGATTCCCTATTTAATAAATGGTGCTGGGAAAACTGGGTAGCCATATGTAGAAAGCTGAAACTGGATCCCTTCCTTACACCTTATACAAAAATCAATTCAAGATGGATTAAAGACTTAAACGTTAGACCTAAAACCATAAAAACCCTAGAAGAAAACCTAGGCATTACCATTCAGGACATAGGCATGGGCAAGGACTTCATGTCTAAAACACCAAAAGCAATGGCAAACAAAGCCACAATAGACATATGGGATCTAATTAAACTAAAGAGCTTCTGCACAGTAAAAGAAACTACCACCAGAGTGAACAGGCAACCTACAAAATGGGAGAAAATTTTTGCAACCTACTCATCTGACAAAGGGCTAATATCCAGAATCTGCAATGAACTCAAACAAATTTACAAGAAAAAAACAAACAACCCCATCAAAAACTGGGTGAAGGACATGAACAGACACTTCTCAAAAGAAGACATTTATGCAGCCAAAAAACACATGAAAAAATGCTCACCATCACTGGCCATCAGAGAAATGCAAATCAAAACCACAATGAGATACCATCTCACACCAGTTAGAATGGCAATCATTAAAAAGTCAGGAAACAACAGGTGCTGGAGAGGATGTGGAGAAATAGGAACACTTTTACACTGTTGGTGGGACTGTAAACTAGTTCAACCATTGTGGAAGTCAGTGTGGCGATTCCTCAGGGATCTAGAACTAGAAATACCATTTGACCCAGCCATCCCATTACTGGGTATATACCCAAGGGACTATAAATCATGCTGCTATAAAGACACATGCACACATATGTTTATTGCGGCATTATTCACAATAGCAAAGACTTGGAACCAACCCAAATGTCCATCAATGATAGACTGGATTAAGAAAATGTGGCACATATACACCATGGAATACTATGCAGCCACAAAAAAAGATGAGTTCATGTCCTTTGTAGGGACATGGATGAAATTGGAAATCATCATTCTCAGTAAAGTATCGCAAGAACAAAAAACTAAACACCGCATATTCTCACTCATAGGTGGGAATTGAACAATGAGAACACATGGACACAGAAGGGGGAACATCACACTCTGGGGACTGTTGTGGGGTGGGGGGAGGGGGGAGGGATAGCACTGGGAGATATACCTAATGCTAGATGACAAGTTAGTGGGTGCAGCGCACCAGCATGGCACATGTATACATATGTAACTAACCTGCACATTGTGCACATGTACCCTAAAACTTAAAGTATAATAATAATAAGTAAATAAATAAATTAAGAATTTTGTATCCAGTGAAACTAAGCTTTATAAATGAAGGAAAGATACAGTCTTTTTCAGATAAATGTTGAGAGAATTTGCCGCTACCAGGCCAGCACTATGAGAACTGCTAAAAGGACCTCTAAATCTTGAAACAAATCCTCAAAATACACAAAATAGAATCTCCTTAAAGCATAAATCTCAAGGACCTATAAAAGAATACTACAATGGAAAAAAAAACACATGGTATTCAGGAGAGAACCAGCATGATGACTAGACATCTCACTTCTTCTTCATCACCATAGCAAGTCATGACCACACCAAACTCAAAGGAAGAAGAAGAACAATCCTGCCTTGCACTCATGAGAAGAAACTGAAATACTCAGAAGACAGCCCTAATTATGACCGCAAATGCCCACCTAACAGCACCAGGTAGATGTTTGTGCTTCTTCAGGCAGTACTAGGCTACCAGACAGGCACAAGCGGAACTCAGACCCCACTTTGTACCTGCTCACCTCTTCCTCTTTTCTGGGCGTCTTAGACTTAGGGGTCCTAAAAACCACATAAAAGAAGTATAATGAAATGCAGGATCTTAACAGTTCCTTAAAGTACACAGAAAAACATTTTATCCGTCTTTGGGCAGTCAAGTATTCCTGGACAGCATAACTGGGTGGTCACTCACACTTCTCATCCACTCACTTATCAAGGTCACCAAAGTACCAAGAGGATCATTTTGCCCTGAACCCACTTGGAACTGCTCGGGTGCCAGCATATGGCTTCTGGTTGCATTTCTTACCCAATTCCTTGTTCGGTGGAAGAGAATGAGCTTTGTAGCACCTGTGATTCATTTTCATTTCTACCTTATTTTGCTTTTGGGACTCTAGGCTGATGATTACATTTTCCCTCTCTCACACTTCCTTTTTATGCATTTTATTTTTGGGGATGATTTTTCAAATTACACAAAGCAATTTTCTTTTTGTTCCTGGCAACTTCTATATAATATTTTTCTTTTAATTATTCAAGAGAATTTCTCCTACATTAATATTTCTAAATCAACATTTATGAAAGCTTTTCAGACTTTTCATAAAATGGATTTAATTTCACTCCTACTGTCTTTGTTGAGTGTACATTCTATGCTAGAAACAAAATCTGGTACTGGAGAAAAGAAAGTGAAAGAGCCAAGTTCTCTATCCTCAATGAATGTTCAGTATAGAATTCTGGGTTGTAGACAGGCAAGTGGAAATCAGAGGAGAGAATATGGCACTGGAGAGCACAGAGAAAGGCACCAAATGCACAGAGAGGGCTGGGGGAGGAGGACAAGCTGCCCACATCCCTTGATAGTTCCTCACTGTCTTACCTCACTGCACTTACTAGCCCACACTCCAGTTGCCACTATCCCCACCAACTTACCTGTGCACATGGCACAAGTAAGTGTGAGAGAACTAATAGCCCTGTATATTCCTCATCCAAGGAATGACATGAGCAGACATGTTCTACGCAATCTCCCAGAAGTTCCCAGCAGAATTGAGCCATAGGTGCCCATAGCAGTAGCCTGAAAGCTCACACTCACTGTATTGAGCACCTTCTCTTCCCTGTATCATTTCCTCAATGCCCCAAGAGTGTGTCTTGGCACTACCTCCCAAATAAACCACTTTCATTTGTATCCCCTTGTCAGGGTTTTCTTCTGTCAATCTAGAAAGTCACCTTTATGGAAAATGTAATATCTACAGAATCACAAATGATGAAGAGAAATCAATGAGGTGACATAGGAGATGGGAATTCCAAAAAGAAGGAGGGTCTGGGCCAAGACACATGCCTGTGAATCATAGTCAAGTTCCATAAGAGGTGGTGATGACCTTGGCATTTTAAATGGCCCCATCCTCTGAGCTCCAGTTCAAAAGCAGCATAACTGTGGCTCGACATGAAATTTCTCAAATGCACAAAGTTTTGAGGACAGCAGACTGCTGAGGCATCTCACATCATGGCAATGACATGGAGTCAGACTACACGGGTTAAAATCCTGATTCTTCCATTTACAATCTGTGTAAATTTGACATATTTCCCTAAACTCTCTGTGGCTCAGTTATTTCATCTCTAAAATGAAGAAAGTAATAGTACCTAGTAAGTAGTTATGAGGTTATAATATATTATTGAGTGTTATGTTCATTATTAGTGTTAGCTAGTTTTTGTTTGTGATTATCTCAGTGATCTCTGAGAGGCAAATCACATGGGGAAGGAGATTCAGTCTTTATCTTCTAGGACCTCATGGCCTGGTGGGTGACAGAAATAGACACACAAGTAAGAATGACCCTAAGAGGAGGATAGAAAATTCCTCTTGTGCACACAAAAGTGCTATAAGACCCCCAAATCAAAAGGGTCACACATGGCTGGCTACATGGACCAGAGAGGGATTCATAGACAGGGTTTGTGTAGACCTAAACCAGAGAAGCAGGTAGCAGTTGTGGAGGCAAAGATCTATGGTGGAGTGGGCATCTACAGGTAAACATTTGAGAAAGAATTATGTGAGCCTGGACAGTTCTGTGTCTGGAGAACATCAAAGAGTCCAGTTTCTCTAGAGGCCAGACTGTGTAATGGGCAAAAGCAAAAGTGCAGCCACAGAGAGCAAGATGCCAATGCTTCATGTGGCAGGGGATATGGGTTTCTAAACATTTTAGAACCAGAGAAACAAAATCTGAGGGTGGAGACCAGCAAACCAGTGAAGACTTCACTGTGGATGTCCACATCAGACCTCTCTAGGGAAGATCCAGTAATGTAGGAGCTGAGAAATACAGTGATTCTTCTCTATCATGGATTGCAGATAGTTCTGAGAAGAAAAACCAGATTCTCACTCTTCTATCATGTTACAAAGCCAATTGCCGCCTTCTTTTTTTCTATAAAATATAGAATTAGCATGACTATGTAATCACATGAGGTTTATAAAGGGTGTGGCACAATGTCCAATGCAGAAAAGCTACTGACAGACACCTGGCAGTGGTGCTGAAGATGATGATGGTGATGAGAATGATATGCTGGAGATGAAAATGGTAATGGTGGTGGTGGTTTTGAAGATGATGATGATGGTATGGTGGTAATGCTGGTAATGGTAATGATGTTGATGGTGTTGATGATGATAATGGTAATGGTGGTCATGATGAGTATAATGATGGTGAGTATACTGATAGTGATGGTGGTAGTGGTGATGGTGATGGTGATGACAGCAGTAATGTTGGTATTGATAATGGTGATGGTGATTGTGATAATAGTGATGGTGGTGGTGGTGGTGGTTATAATGGTGGTGATGATGGTAGCTCTTGTAATGATAATAGTGGTGATGGTAATAGTAATGAAGTTGGTGACAGTGATGGTAGTAATAGTGGTGGTGGTGATGGTGATGATTGCAGAGATGGTGGTATTGATAATGATGATGGTAGTGGTGATAATAATGATGATGATGGTGACAGTGGTGATGGTGGTAATGATGGTAGCGATGGTGGGGATTATGCTGGTACTGGTGTTGGTGATGGTCTTGGTGGTGGCAGTAATGGTGATGGTGATGATAATAGTGATGGTGATGGTAGTGAGGCTCATGGTGATGGTGGTGATGATGATGATGACCATGATGTTGATGTTATGTTGATGGTGGTCTCATGCCTGAGAGTCTCCTGCTTTAACTGCAACTCACACTGATTGTCCCGTTCTCTTTCCTTTCACAGAGACAGTTCTGCTCTTTCCAGATCTATGAATTTCCTTGGGAGGACAGAATGTCCTTGGTGAAATCCACGTGTCAGAATGTCTATGGGTTTGTAGTAGGCTAGCTGCACCAACCACCTCCTACACCCATGCCACTGTAGTGCTCTCACCCTTGGATTGGTGGTTCCTACCTTGGGGGAGGTCTCCTCTGCAGGCCTGCACCAGGATACAGACAGAGAAGGCATCAGGAGGTTTTTTGCGCAGCACGGGTTTCTGCCCTCCCTCCTTGCTTCTTACAGCCCCGGTGCATGGTGCACACAACCCCTTCTCCTGCAACTAAACAGTAGCATCGGCTCCCTCTGAGTTCTTGGCTGTCTGGGGCTGTGCACACAGGAAGGGTTTTAGCAGTCCCTTTATGAAGCTCTCCTTGTCCACCAGCCCCCTCCTCCAAGTCTGACCTCTTCCAAAGGGAGCAGCCCAGGTTCTAGTGTGAAAGCAGTGCCTCCATTGATCAGTCCCATGAGGGTGCACCCTATACAGGGAGGTCATGCCCTATGCTGGACAGGGAGGCTGTGCCCTACACTGGGAGGTAGTGCCCTGTGCTGGGAGGCTATGTGCTATGATGAGAGGTGGTGTCCTATGCTGAGAGATGGTGCCCTATGTTGGGAGGCTGTGTCCTATACTGAGAGGTGGTGTCTTATCCTGGGAGATTGTGCCCTATGCTTGGAGGTTATGCCCTATGGTGGGAGGCAGTGCCCTGTGCTGGGAGGTTGTACCCTAGGAGCATTGTTCACGTTCACCCCCACTGGCCCTTTCTCTGAACTTGGATTCAAACCAAGTTATTATGTCAAGCTTAACATAAAGAATGTAGAAATTAAAACATTCAGGACTGTAATGCAGTGGACGGTCTTCAGTTTTCAAGAAGGATGTTCTCATTAATAAAGAACATCACTTCATTGTCACTAGCATTCCAAAGAACAGTGGATATTTCTGCCCTGAACAGGAAACTACAGTCCTAAGTCACACAGCCCATCCTGCACAGTCCCCTTTGCCATTTCAGGGTACAGGGGGGCAGCCTCATGGCCGGTGTCCCGGGCAGGGCTCTCCAATACCTTCCATGCTCAGAGTCACATTGAGCAAGGGCTGCTGCCATGAACATGGCGGAGGGCAGGGGCGCAAAATGATAAGAGGAAATCTGCCCAAATTGTCCAGAGACTGGCACCCATGTGCCACACCTAGAAATCCAGAGTGGGAAACACATGGACAGGGAGAGTGGAGAACATCTACATCCATTTCATCTCCACTTGGACTTGATTTTACAGAGGTCTTTGGGATCTGGGAAGTGAAGCACCACCCAGGAGGCCATGACCTGGGGGACTTGAGTCTGAGCCTCATCCTCTTGGGGATGGGCAGATGTAGTCACTCAGGCTTCTGGTGGGAGAGAGGGGTTGCATGCAGAGTAGGAGGTGCTCAGAGTGGTGATTAGGGGTGAAGACATCCCTGCAGAGAGTTGCTCATGATTTTCTACCTGGATGGAAAATCTCCTTTGACGCAAGCAACCATCCTCAAGACACACAATGAAGAGATGATCTTGTGTAAACCAGCCACTTCTCAGACACAATTCTCTCTCCCTTGAGAAAGTTGGGAGTAAAGTGGGGGGTGTATAGTGGGCTTCCCCCACCTTCTCCCTGTGTGTGTGTCTGCTCTCTAGGAGGGAAGAAGTGGATAGGGATGCTGAGGGTGAGCAGGAATAGCTTCTGAGCCAATGAATTGTCTGAACTGAGTCCTGAAGCCACTAGGTCTTTGTAGGAGAGTAAGACAGGGTTTCACTACACTGATCTGCGCCTACAAATATCAAAAAATATAAAATTCCATATCATTCAGTTCCCATTTTGGAAATTTTATGCCTTTTCTAAGACTTTCTTTCCCAAAAATAATGTCACAAATCAGTGGTAAAAGACTGAAAATGAAGAAGTTAGAAACCCCTAATCCAGCATAGAGAAATCACTCTGGAAGGAGGGTTGAGTGCATCGGAGGCCAGATAAGCACAAGACAGCACAGTCTTTCCATGGGCAGGCAGACACTTGCCATAACAAGGACAGGAGGACCAAGGAGCTGCAGGGTCTGAGAAGCAAACATAAGGGCTCTCTGTGGAAAAAAAGAAAAAAAAAAAAAAAAAAGCACTGTGTTAGCAATACAAAACTAAGCACAAAAATTAATGTTTATTTAGGAAGAGAAAATAAATCATGGAAATTATATGTATGAAAATGCTGAAAAATACTGCGAACATCACAAAATTGGGAAAAATAACACATATCTATTGCAATCAGTCACTAACACCGATTCTGCAGTCAACAGATTCAGGTCTATTGCCTTGTTGCAATAAGGGAATAAACTCACACCAAGAAACCTGGGATGACTCAAAAAAGAAAAGAGGTTTTTCTAGGACCAGGGGAAAGGATTTTGAGGTGACATCGATGCACTCAGGGCATGGCAGGCCTCTGTGTAAAGCAGCCAGTGTCAAGCCTGGTCTGCAAAGTGGACCTAAGTCCTGTGTCCTTAGAACCCATAAAGTCCAGACAGATGTGGAATGTTCTGTCCATAAACCCCTTCTCTGTAGCTCTGTGCTTCTGTGGAAAGGTGGATATAGATCTTCCAGGCAGTAGAATGTTCTTCTTACTGATAAGCAAAGTTTCTGACAGCCCCTGACTCTAGAGGATGAGGTCTTCCATTGAGTCAGAAAGCAGTCTTGTGTTGACCTCCTATCTCATCCTGTGACTTACAATGCCTTAACCATCTGGGAATGCAGCACAGTAGGTCTCAGCCTCATTTTACCCAGCCCCTACTCCAGATGGAGTTGCTCTGGTTCAAACGCCTCTGACATGAGCAGGTGGATGGGGTGGTGGGGGACAAATGTGATGAATTTGATTTGTTAAGAGGTATTTAACTTGGCAATGGAGGTACTGGGAGCTCCACCATGCATCCTTTGGGATGTTGCCTGCTGGACTAGAGGAAGCAGCTGCAGGGCTGGGTGCTGGGCAGGGAGAAGGGACTCTCTCTAACCCCAGCCTCAGGCACCTGCCCAGAGTCAGAAAGCAGTCATCAGCCAACAAGAGGCTGTTTGACATTTCAAAGCTGCAGCTTGAACATTCTGTCCTGCTCATGATACCACTGGCTTTGTTAACATCAGTCCATCTATCCACTCTGCAGATGAAAGGGCAGATTTGCCCTTCTTAATCCACATGATTTTTACTTCCTCACATGATATTTTTATTAATTAGCTACTGACACAACTCATAATTTCATTTGATGTTTTTATACTCAACTAATGAATCACTATTTGTCTCATTATAAGACATTTAATTTATCATAGGATTTTGATTAAGTATAGCAGAAGAATAAACCAGTCTTTCCACTAAAAGGTTTGATCACTTGTAAAATTGATAGTGCATAACATCTTGATTCAAAACTCATAATTGGCCATATCATGCACATTTTTCTGGTTGTTGTCCAGTTTGGAAAAGCCTCTTTCATTTTCCTTTCATCTGCAAGCTCTAAGATTTTAATACCTCTAAATTGTCTTGTTTTAAAACTGAGGACCTTATCAAATCTTTCTGTTGACGATGGACACAAACACAGCATTTTTAAACTGTCACTGTTGTACTGAGCTTCAGAATTGTCTAAAAATGTCCTTATGTGCTATATCTATTAGCTCATTGACTGTGCAGGAGGAGTTTGTCCTGAAGCAAGCATTTCTTTGAGCTGCCTTACTGCTGGTCACAATTTTATATCTGTGTTATGTGGAGCTCCCAGACTTGGTCAGGATAAAAAGAGGTGGGAGGTCAGCCCCATCCATCAGTTCTGTGCCGCTTCACACACATATGTCCTTACTATGGGTAGTTTCACCACACAGATCTGTGCTCTACAAATGTCAAAAATTGAGAAATTCTATCTCATTCAATTACCATCAAAAATAAAAACAACTGCATGATGCAATAATTATTTTATATGCCATATTACCAAATACATTTCCAATAGAGTAAAACTTCCTTTTTTGACTAGGGTCAAAAAGAACCAAACACTCACTTGAAATTTTCCATGTTTCTGCTGGGAATCATTATCCATAGATGGGCTTCTGGCTCCACACATTGCAAACCTTTTTTCCTCTCTGCTAATCACAGGCTTCCAATGTGAGGTGCTGGGGACATTTTCTGATCAAGGTTCTACCTCTCCTCGCTGATTTAGGTAAAAACCGAGGGGGTGGTAGGGCCTTGTCTGGGGCCACTCCTACACCAGGACAGTTTGAGGCAACATGACTATGCACAGGAGTGACTGAGAACCGCGGGAATGTGTTCCCCTCACCCCAGGTTAAATGCATCCCAACTCAACGTCCTCTTAGCCAGATATCAAAATGCCTGGGTCCAACCTACACCATCCGGAGGGTGGTGAATGTGAAGAAGAAAGCCAAAGTAGAAAAAGCCAATGTTCTTAACTGACTACAGTGAAAATACCACACACTTTTTTATTGTACAAAACATCCAGCAAAGTAAAGCTGTTGCTGAGGCCCACTTGGAGCTTTTTGTGGGGTTTTTGAACAGCTCTGTACTTAAAAGTCATTAGCATCACTAAAGGTCTGGATTTTTATTAGAAGACTTTAATATTTTTGTAAGAGTGCATGGTCCCAGAGGAAATGGGAGGGAGGCAAATCCACCAGCCACAAAAGTAGGAGACATGGAGAAGAAGTGAGGGAAGGAGAAACTCATGCAGAATAAACTTGCATGGGCATTGGGAGCTGGCAAGAGGCTTTCCACTGCATGTAAAGAAAGGTCCCAATTAAAAATGGCTTGAATGCAAAGGGAGTACTCTACCTGTCATAATAAGAAGGCCCTGGGTGAGACAGGTTTTAGGAGCAGAACTCCCAGCATCTAGCTCTGCTTCCCTGGGATTCTCTCATCCTTACCTTTCTGTTTATGATGCTTCAGCCTCGAGCTGGTAGCAAGGTGTTTGCTACAGCTCCAGACATCACATCATCAACACCAACATCCAGAGGCAGAAAGATCCTAGGGAAAAGCCTCTGTTCCACCCGTCCTTCCTGAATGTGAGTAACCTCCTCCTATGCACTCCTTAGCTCATTCCTTCTCATGCCTCATAGGCCAGGTCTGGATCACAGGCCCATCCCCTACACCAATCATACATTTAATAGATGTTAATAAACCTACACTTAAAATATGTTAAGAATCTATTAATATATCATTTACAGTGTCACCAACACTCAGTGAAACCTGTGGATGACCATGGCAATGTCCTGGTAATAGCACAAACTTTGACATGATCAAAATGATGTCATCACTAGAGACTGCTCAAATAAATTATAGAGCACACACATGATGGAAGAGCGGTTAAGAATTAGATAGCAACATATGTGTTAAACTGGAAATAATTTTAATATATCTTGAATATATTATTTTATTGAAAGCAAGGTATATGTGGTGTGTTAATATAAAGCTTGTAAAAACAAAAGTAAACACGCATGTGTATGAGTGTATAGACATTTAGACACATATTTACACATGTGGATATACACATAAAAGCCTAAAATATAGGAAAGGAGACAGGCAGTCAGTCATTTGTATTTATTAACAGTGGATACCACGGAAGAGAGGTGGTAGAGTGGGTAGGGAGATGGATAATTTGGCTTTTGCTTTTTTTTATATTTAGGATCTTTATTTTCCATTTGAACATTACAAAAATGTGTGTGTGTTCTTTATACATTTTTTTTAGTGTCAGTTAGGAGTGTTTGGGTGATGAGATTATAGGTTATTTCCCCTTGGATCCTCCCTATGTCTCTATTTTTAAAACTAAAACTAACAAATACTATGGCTGAATGACCTATTGGTGTGGTTGATATGCCCACATATGCCTCACAGCTTATCAACTATGAGTTAATCGGCAGTTTATTTTCAGCATAGGGTGTTCTCACAGCTGGGTACAGTGGCTCATGAATATAATCCCAGAACTTTGGGAGACCAAGGCGGGTGGATGATTTGAGGTCGAAAGTTCAAGACCAGCTTGGCCAACATAGTAAAACTCCATCTCTACTAAACGTACAAAATTAGCTGGGCATGGTGGTGTATGCCTGTAATCCCAGCTACTTGGGAGGCTGAGGCAGGAGAATCGCTTGAACCTGGAAGGCAGAGGTTGCAGTAAGCCATGATCACACCATCGCACTGTAGCCTGGGCAAAAAGAGTGAAACTCCTTCCAAAGTGGGAAAAAAATTGTTCTCACATGCTCCCTGAGTTCTGAAAGCCACTTAGTATTTAATAAGTGTTTGCTTGTTTTTTGTGGCACTGAATGTCTTCAGATACATGCTCTGAGTTCCTGGGGAAGAGAGGATATCTTAGGTCACATTCCCTACAAAGCCTTCACCACCAGAGAAATCATCACTGCTGTGGACTCAGTGACTGCAATTAGCAGGTGGGCTCTGGCTTGGCTTTAGAGTGCTCCATTTCATCCTCTTTCATTCTCCTGTATTCTACTTTCATTGAATGTAAAGAGGAGATAGCCTGATGCCCAGTTCAGTTGAAAGTAATGGATATGTAAAGCTCAAGAAGTGAGTCTGCATTTAATTTCAGTGCAAACTCATGGCATTGCATTTACAACTCAGCATCCATACTTCAACATTAGAATAGTGTAATAGTCACTGATCTCATTAGGAGTCAGATGAGTATTGTAGAAATGGTGTGTAGGTATGTGTATGCACACTCCTGCACAAACACGCTTGTAATCTTTGGAGTACAATGGAGTTTCTACAAACTCTTTGTGGACTCTCATATTAAGAAACTTTGTTCTGAAAACCTCACCAGCCAGTCCCTACTCCCTTTCCCTTCCCCTGAGTGGAAAGTCTGAAAGCACCAGGCAATAAACTTCCTGGCCTTCCTCACCCCCCGGGGCATAGGACCCAAGTCCAGGCAGTAACATCTAAGAAGGCAGCCAGGTCATTACAAAAAAAAGAAAAAAGAAAAAAGAAAAAGAAAAAGGAAAGAAAAGAAAAGCCTGTACTGAATAGAAAAGACAGGGTCCTCGGAATGAATCCTCTCTCTCTCTCTCTCTCTCTCTCTCTCTCTCTCTCTCTCTCTCACACACACACACACACACTCTCTCTCCCACTCACTGTCCACACCCTCTTCTCACCCCCTGTGACCTCCTCCTGCTCCTACTCCTCACGTTTCAGGCAGTAGTGTGGGACAGAACGTCTCCAACTATGGTGTCTGCCTTTCACTTATGAGCCATGTTCCCAACAACAAGAGCCCAATGAATGATGGAGAAGATGGAAGGAAACCACCTGGGCCCCTGCTAAGGACCCTGCACCTACTCTGTGAACACCACCCCCATGGCCTTTGGTGAATCACCAGTGTCATCATGGGAGAGGCAGCCAGTGTTTCTCAGGACTCCTGCTATCTGCAGCCAGGACACTTCTACAAATGATGGAGCTGACACACCACTAAGTGCCAGTCCCAGAGCCAGGGTGGCAAATGAAGCTTATTGTGCAATGCGAACAAAATTTATCTGAAAATTACATGACCTGCCTTATTGTCCCCAAATTCCCTTCTACATATTTCCACAAAATTACAAGGGGTTTATGTTACCTGCCTAGCCTTCCCCATCAGGTGGATCCAAAGAAATTTGGTAAGTGAAATATTTCACCAAGTCCAATACAAATGGAAGCTTTGGTTTTCATTTTACTAAGGAGTAAAGAGGGAAAAATAGTACTAGCTGAGTAAGAGATTTTCAAGAACAGGGAACTTTCCAGATAAAACACCATTTTTCCAAATAGGTCTCAGGTCTAAATACATTTGGAGCATCCTACCCCTTGAATCCTGGGAAAAGAGACATCCAGTCTCCCAGACAAGAATTGCCCCATCCTCCAAACATTCACAGATCTAACACCCACTGTAGTTTAAAAGGCAGGATATTTGTGGTGTGGGTCCTGACTCCACCATCTCTTGGTTAGGGTTCCTGGAAACAGACTCAGATGGAAATTCAAGGGCAAGAGGCTCACTGAGGCATGTGCTAGGGAGGCAGGGGAATGGGGTGGGGCAGAGGAAGAAGTCAGGCAGGGGTGCAGCTCAGCAGAGGGGCATGAGGTGGGGCAGAGGGAAAAGTCAGGCAGGGGTGCAGGTCAGCAGAGGCCAAAGTCAGGCCCATGGAGATCTCTGCAATGGGGATGGCCTCAGAGTGGTAGCATATTAGGGCAAAAGAGTCAACATTTTGTACTCCCTTATAGACCTATTATTTAAAATAGGCAATTCCAGGAGGGACATGAACTTGGACAAAGCAGCTCCCTTTGACTCAGATCAATGCCCACAGAAGGACTCAGCTGTGAGCCATCAGTGGCCACACTCCCAGTAGCTGAGAGAATGAAGTCTCACTGGTAAAGCAGAAACTGATAGATGGAACCCTTAATGAGAGAGCTAGGGATGTCATCTCTAGGAGACTCAGTTAACTTATCTGTACAATGGGAAGAATTATAACTATGACTACATATGGTCATTTAAGAAATAAATGAAATTTTGCTCCTCTCATGAAGTTATTAGCTGGTTGCTTTGTAGTTTCTATTGCATAGTTGCTTTACAAAGTCTGTGGACTATGTACTTGTTTGTTTTTATGTTAGCTGGATCTTTCTTTTGTTTTCATGTGTAGTACTTCCTTAAGAATCTCTTGTAAGCCTGGTCTACTGGTAACAAATTTCCTTACTGATTGTTTGCCTGAGAAAGATTTTATTTCTCTTTGCTTCTAAAGCTTAGTTTAACAGGATATGAAATTATTGGTTGAATTTTCTTGTCTTTAAAAATGCTGAAAATAGGTTCCCATCACTTCTGACTTGTACAGTTTCCACTGAGAACTTTGCAGTTAGCCTGATGAGGTTTCCTTTGTACATTATCTGACATTTTTCTCTAGATGCTTTTAAGATTTTTTATTTAATTGACCTTGAAAAGCCTGGTGACTATACGCATTGATGTTCATTTTGTATAGTATCTCGCAGGTGTTCTCAGTATTTTTTGTGTCTGGATGTCTATGACACTAGCAAGATTAGGGAAATTTTCTTGGATTACCTCAAATATGCTTTCCACATTGTTTATGTTTTCTCCTTCTCACTCAGGAATGCTAACAATTCAGAGGTTTGGTCATTTTATATAACATCATATTTCTCAAAGACTGTTCATTTCTTTTGTCTGACTCGGTTAGTTCAAAGCACTACTCTTCAAGCTCTGAAGTGATTTGTTTTGTTTGGTCTAGTCTAATAATAAAGCTTTCAATTGTATTTTGAAATTTCTTCAGTGGAGTTTATCAGTTCGACAAGCTCTGACTGATTTCTTTTAAAATGTGTTTCTCTTTCTTCATTTCCTGGATTGCTTAAGACATTTGTTTTTGTTGATTTTCAATATTGTCTTGGATCTCATTGAGCTTTCTTGCAATGTATGCTTTGAATTCTTTATCTGTCATTTTTGAGTTTTCATTTTGGTTAGGAACCATTCTGGAGAGATAGTACAATCTTTTGATGGTGTCACAACATTCAGATGTTTCATGGTTCCAGGATTCTTGTGCTGTTTTTTTCTCATCTGGACATATTGGCACTTCCAATTTTTGTAATTATTTTCATACAGACAGATTTTTTTTTCTTTCTTTCCCTACGTCATTGTTTTTCTTTCCATTTCAACCCCTCTCCAGGGGGTGTGATTATAGGGTTTTTGGCTTTGCTTCTATAACCCTATAGGGCAGGCATAACTACAGGTGCTCCAATAGCAGGTACAAGCACCAGCATTGAGTGGGAGTCCAGTGGGCATCAATTGAGCACCCAGAGATGTGCCTAGGCATGGATATGAGAAACCTCCTTGGACTCAGCTTCTCTGCAGGAGGTGGAATGCCTAAATTCCTAATCCAGGGGAGTGCGTGCTCCAGATCCCCAGATATCTGCCTTGGCATGGAGTGCAGCAGGTGCTGCTACACCGCAATCTCTGCACAGGAATGTTGGGGCAGCTCAGGCTATTGTTCCAAGTGAGCAGCTGCTCTAAATATCTGGAGGTCTACCTGGGCATGGAGCAGAGAGGGTCCTGCTTCACCACTGTCTCTGTACAGGAAGGGTAAGGCAGCAAAGGCTGCTGATTTAGGCACACAGGTGCTCTGAATGCCTGGAGATCTACCTGGGTGTGGAGTACAGAGGGCCCTGCTGCACCACAGTCTATACATAGGAAGGGTGGGGCTGCTTAGGCTGATGATCCGAGGGAGCAGTTGCTCTGAATGCCAAGAGATCAGCCCACGTGTGGGGCAGAGAGGATCCAGCCACTCCACAATCTCAGGGAATAAGTCTGGCGCATCCAGCACTCATACACAGAGACCAGTTCCAGGTACCAAGATGACCTTGACTGCAAGTGTCATCACCCAGGAGAAACCATGGCTGCAGCAGACCTCCTCTGGCTCTAGACTTGCAACAAGGGTGAGCACAATTCCAACACCTATTATTAGGGCATTTTTCGCAGTCACTGCTCAGTTCTAATATGGAGGCCCCTACCCCATTCTAGCATAAGCACTCCCATATGGCCCAAGACTAAAATGAGTTTGTGGGCAAGCTGCTGGGTCACCTAAGAATGACTGACTTATGAGCCCAGATTAAAAATAGCATACTGCCCTTAGTCCTAGGTCTAACAAAATGGCAGCAGCTTTTTCCAGTGTCTTTCCTTCTCAGAGTGTCCAAGCATCTCCCCAAGTTAGCTCTAGGGCTTGGGAGAAACAAAGTGCTCTCCCTTGGCCTGGTTCCATGGAATCCCCAGTGGAAGGGTACATCACAGAGGAAGACTCTCTGCCCCCTCACATTCTGGGATATCACTCACTTTTATGAGGAACACATTGTCTTAGGGGCTATTTGCCTGCATTCTCCTCCCCAGAATCTGAGGTGTCCTTCAGGATTCCAGTGGATTCCCACTCGCCTTTTTGAGTTAAAACTCACAGAGCTGATCACTAGGTACTATTTTGCTATTTCCAAGTGTTTGAGGCACACCGAAAGCTTCTAATCTACCACTGGGGGAAAAAAATGCACAATGTTTATCAGAATCCCTGACCTCTGTCCACTAAATGCCGTAGCACATCCTCCCAAGCAGCAACGACCAAAAATGTCCTAGACATTACCAGTGTGCCCTGGGAAGCAAAATTGCCCCAGGTGAATAACTACTGACAGAGGCACCATGGCCTCCCTGTAGCAATGAATGAGCACAGGCACCACTCGGCATTGCTTTCTGAACTCACCACAGATTTCAGCCAGTAATTCTAGAGTTGGATGAAGGAAAGTATAAAATAGATCTAGAACTTCTTGTTATTAATACATGAGAAGGTAAGGATAGGCTCCAATAATAATGGAAATCTGTCAAGAGAACAGAAGAAGCTGCTTAAAGGAGCTCTTGGTAGCCAATTGTGAGATAATCTACACACTGGAATAATAGTGGTAACAGATTATAACTTCTTGAATAAAATAAGAAACCATGAGTTAGATCTGTCGAGAGACAGAAGCTAGGTAGGTAGGTATGTAGATAAACAGACAGATGAGAAAAGCAAGTTTTCCTTACAGTGGAATGAATGCCATTAATAAATACAGAAGAAATGATGAAGTTAGAAAAAAATAGTCACAATAATCATAATAACAACTGATTTAGGAAAGAATTATCATTATATGCTAATGGTAGAAAGTAAAAGTTTAATAAGAA
This sequence comes from Homo sapiens, assembly GCF_000001405.40. Classification (NCBI taxonomy): domain Eukaryota; kingdom Metazoa; phylum Chordata; class Mammalia; order Primates; family Hominidae; genus Homo; species Homo sapiens. The sequence goes on along the minus strand of NC_000020.11, from coordinate 23,699,663 downwards.
GTAGAACATAAAACTATTTTCTAAGTATTGCTCTGTGAAATACTTATTAATTACACAAACAAAAAAAAGTAACTTAAGAGTGGAGAAACCTGGAAGATACTATCTATATCTAGAGATTAATGTTAACATGTATCAGCAATTGGACAATGGTATCCTGGCCTCCTGGAATGATGATATACTGAGGGACACAATGCCACTTCTATAATTTTCATCTGAAAAAAATGCATCACCTGAATCTAATCCACTGACGACCCCAACAGAAAACATTCTTCAAAGTAGCCAGTTATCTTCAAAAATGACAGGATAACAAAGACAAGAAAGAATGAAAAGCGTTTCCAGATTAAAGGAGACTAAGGAAGCTTGGCAAACAAACACAATTGATAAACTGTCTGAACAATAGACTAGATAAAAGGCTGTATCCACACAAGCATCATGATTTTGCTCATTGCACTGAGGTTGTGTTAGAGAATGTCCTTGTCCTTAGGACACACACATGAAAGTATCTGAGGACAAAAGAGGTCATGTCTGCAATTTGCACTCAAATGACTCAGAAAAACCTATAATAGCTTGTACATATAGAAAGAGAAGGAAAAAGCACGAGACAAAATGTTAAGAGTGGGAGAATCTGAGTGTATACAGGAGCTCTTTATATTACTCTTCCCACTTTTTGTAAGTTTGAAATCACTACAAAATAAAAGGTGCAAAAAATAAAAACTCAAAATACAGCAAAGTTCTGCATCGGGATCACCTGAGATACACAGGCCAGTGTTGTCAGCTAGTTGGGAAGTCATGGAAACACCTCCTAACTTCTCAGCCTAGCATACATGTGTAGGGGAAATGGCCAAACCATCACGTGATGAAGCTGCAGGCTGGCTGGTTACTAAGAACACGCTTCACCAGCATCCACACTCTGTACTGTTCCTTAGAGCAGAGAGAGAGTGTGAGGCAGAAGGGACTGGGGCACTGGAGAGGATGCAGGGACAGAGGCTGAGGAGGAAGCGCCCTCCACTTCCCTCAGATGTTGTCACCTCACAAGAGATGGCCACTTTCCCCACCTCATCCTACCTGCACCTCCCTTTGCAGTGCAGGGGGTCACTGTTGTTTCCCAGACCCCTTCTTCTATTTCATCTTGAGTTTTCATCATAAAACCCCATCCTGCACATTGCACACCTTCGCAATTATTTGGCTATGATTCTGATACCATGTGAACCACACTGGGTGGGAGTAGACGTGAATTCTCTATTAGGAAGAACTCAACAATTAATATATAACAAAATGTAGGCCAAAAAAGGCTCTACCAGGCCATACCTTTTGAGCAGCCTGTTTTTATAGAGAATAAACATGGGCCTTTGGAAAGGAGCTTTCCTCATATGGAGGATCCCTTCTAGGGAGCCAGCACTTCCAAGATACCGCAGGTGGAACTCAGGAGACTGAAAAAAATCACCCTTGTTAGCAAAAGTTTAGTCAGCCACTGCCAGCATGAAAGCCACAGGCTTCCTGGAAGTGTGTGCCATGTCACAGCACAGAGCAGAGGGGTTTTCCTAGATTCAAGGGGGTGTGCCAGGATTGATGGACAGCTGTCTCCCTTGCTGGAACAAAACTATACATGCATGCCCCCTCTGCCATGTGGCTAGCAGCAACTCTCTCCAGAAAATGCAGCATAAACCCCCATTGCCTTTGTGCATGGTCATGGGTCTTGCTTGGGTCTTAACAGATGTGACAAGGACAGAGACCTTAACCCTGCAGATGCGAGAGGTGGGTCCTCCTGCTCCCCTCCTCACCATCATGAAGAAAACCTGACCCAAGCAGACACTGCCCCTTAGCATGGGCCCCGGGATGAAGACACAAGGCAAGCCAGACCAGATCTGCTAAGCCCCAGCCCATCTGCAGGCTCCAGAGCGTGACAGGAACAGTTTCTTGCTTTTAGTCCCTAAGATGTTAAGGGTTTTTCCTATGGAAAAGAAACTGACTCATACATGGTTTATTCCATTTTCCGCTGTATGCCTTCTCCACTCTTTTCCCAAATGAACTCTTTACTGCCTCCATGACAACCTACATCCCATAAGTAATTGAGCTGCTGGTTGTAAAGAAACAGAAGCTTTAAAAGTTTCCTTTTGGCAAATCCTAAAAGCAGCCCATATATCAGAGATCCAGGACAGCACTTAACTGTTCCCACATATGAAGAAGCAATCCAGGAGGTCTGTGGGGCACAGCATGCTGGTCCTCCGCACTGCCCAGGTCCTGGCTCCCGACTGTAATTCAAGACAGCACCTCAGTGAGAAAAGGGGAGGATCCCAGTTCCCCCTGTCAAACAGCACCCTAACCCTAAAGTGACATGCTGAAGAGAGGCAAAGGAGAATGCAAACCACCACTGAATGGCTGTTCCATTAGAGAGCAAAACAGAATAATCACAGAGGCTGGAATCCACTTTTAGCTTTTATAATCTGATGCACACGACAAACAACACAAGTAGGACTGGGGACTCCCAGGTTGGCTGCCCTATTTCTTTATGATTATTTCTCAGATATTTAGAACTTTCTCTCTCTTTTTTTATACTTTAAGTTGTAGAGTACATGTACACAACGTGCAGGTTTGTTACATATGTATACATGTGCCATGCAGGTTTGCTGCACCCATTAACTCATCGTTTACATTAGGTATTTCTTCTAATGCTGTCCCTCCCCCATACCCCCACCCCAGGACAGGACCCAGTGTGTGATGTTCCCCACCCTGTGTCCTAGTGTTCTCATTGTTCAATTGGCTCTCTGTTGGTCTGTTATTGGTGCATAGAAATTCTTGTGATTTTTGCACATGGATTTTGTATCCTGAGACTTTGCTGAAGTTGCTTCTCACCTTAAGGAGATTTTGGGTTGAGTCGATGGGGTTTTCTAAATATACAATCATGCCATCTGCAAACAGGGACAATTTGACCTCCTCTTTTCCTAATTGAATACCCTTTCTTTCTTTCTCTTGCCTGATTGCCCTAGCCAGAACTTCCAACACTATGTTGAATAGGAGTGGTGAGAGAGGGCATCCTTGTCTTGTGCCAGTTTTCAAAGGGAATGCTTCCAGTTTTTGCCCATTCAGTATGATATTGGCTGTGGGTTTGTCATAAATAGCTCTTATTATTTTGAGATACGTTCCATCAATACTTACTTTATTGAGACTTTTTAGCATGAAGGGCTGTTGAATTTTGTCAAAGGCCTTTTCTGCATCTATTGAGATAATCATGTGGTTTTTGTCTTTTGGTCTGATTATGTGTTGGATTACATTTATAGATTTGTGTATGTTGAACCAGCCTTGCATCCCAGGGATGAAGCGAACTTGATCTTGGAGGATAAGCTTTTTGATGTGCTGCTGTATTCAGTTTGCCAGTATTTTATTGAGGAGTTTTGCAGCGATGTTCATCAGGGATATTGGTCTAAAATTCTCTTTTTGTGTGTGTGCCTCTACCAGGCTTTGGTATCAGTATGATCCTGACCTCATAAAATGAGTTAAGGAGGATTCCCTCTTTTTCTGTTGTTTGGAATAGTTTCAGAAGGAATGGTACCAGCTCCTCTTTGTACAGCTGGTAGGATTTGGCTGTGAATCTGTCTGGTCATGGACTTTTTTTTGGTTAGTAGGCTATCAATTATTGCCTCAATTTCAGAGCCTGTTATTGGTCTATTCAGCAATTCGACATCTTCCTGGTTTAGTCATGGGAGGGTGTATGTGTCGAGGAATTTATCCATTTCTTCTAGATTTTCTAGTTTATTTGTGTAGAGCTGTTTATAGTATTCTCTGATGGTAGTTTGTATTTCTATGGGATCGGTGGTGATATCCCCTTTATCATTTTTAACTGTGTCTATTGATTCTTCTGTCTTTCCTTCTTTATTAGTCTTGCTAAAGGTCTATCAATTTTGTTGATCTTTTCAAAAAAAAAAACCAGCTCCTGGATTCATTGATTTTTTGAAGGGTTTTTTGTGTCTCTGTCTCCTTCAGTTCTGCTCTGATCTTAATTACTTCTTGCCTTCTAGCTTTTGAATTCTAGCTTTTGAATTTCTTTGCTCTTGCTTCTCTAGAACAAATTCTAGCATTTGAATTTGTTTGCTCTTGCTTCTCTAGTTCTTTTAATTGTGATGTTAGTGTGTGGATTTTAGATCTTTCCTGCTTTCTCTTGTGAGCATTCGGTGCTATAAATTTCTCTCTACACACTGCTTTAAATGTGTCCCAGAGATTCTGGTACGTTGTGTCTTTGTTCTCATTGGTTTCAAAGAATATCTTTATTTCTGCCTTCATTTTATTATTTACCCAGTAGTCATTTAGGAGCAGGTTGTTCAGTTTCCATGTAGTTGTGTGTGGGGAAAAGAAAGAGGGATCAGACTGTTACTGTGTCTATGTGGAAAGAAGTAGCCATAAGAGATTCCATTTTGTTCTGTACTAAAAAAAAATTCTTCTGCCTTGAGATGTTATTAATCTGTAACCCTACCTCCAACTCTGTGCTCCCAGAAACATGTGCTGTGTTGACTCAAGGTTTAATGGATTTAGGGCTATGCAGGATGTGCTTTGTTAAACAAATGCTTGAAGGCAGCATGCTTGTTAAAAGTCATCACCACTACCTAATCTCAAGTACCCAGGGACACAAAACACTGCCGAAGGCCGCAGGGACCTCTGCCTAGGAAAACCAGGTATTGTCCAAGGTTTCTCTCCATGTGAAAGTCTGAAATATGGCCTCGTGGGAAGGGAAAGACCTGACCATCCCCCAGCCCCACACCCATAAAGGGTCTGTGCTGAGGAGGATTAGTGAAAGAGGAAGGCCTCTTTGCAGTTGAGATAAGAGGAAGGCATCTGTCTCCTGCTGGTCCCTAGGCAATGGAATATCTACCTGTAAAACCCAATCGGATGTTCCATCTACTGAGATAGGAGAAAACTGCCTTAAGGCTGGAGGTGACACATGCTGGCGGCAATACTGCTCTTTAATGCACCAGATATGTTTATGTATGTGCACATCAAAGCACAGCACATTTTCTAACCTTGTTTATGACACAGAGACATTTGTTCACATGTTTTCCTGCTGACCCTCTCCTGACTATTACCCTATTGTCCTGCCACATCCCCCTCTTCCGAGATGGTAGAGATAATGATCAATAAATACTGAGGGAACGGAGAGACCTGTGCCAGCTCAGGTCCTCCCTATGCTGAGCACCAGTCCCCTGGGCCCACTTTTCTTTCTCTATACTTTATCCATGTCTCTTTCTTTTCTCAGTCTCTCATCCCACCTGACCAGAAATGTCCACAGGTGTGGAGGGGATGGCCACCCCTTCATCTGGTGCCCAACGTGGGTGCTTTTCTCTAGGGTGAAGGTATGCTCGAGCGTGGTCATTGAGGATAAGTCAATGAGAGAGTCCCAAGTACGTCTACAGTCAGCCTTGCAGTAAGCTTGTACGCTCAGAAGAAGCCAGGGTAACAATGGGGCAAACTAAAAGTAAATATGCCCTTAGCTCAGCTGTATTAAAATTCTTTTAAAAAGAGGGGGAGTTAGAGTCTCTACAAAAAATCTAATCACGCTATTTCGAACAATAGAACAATTCTGCCCGTGGTTTCTAGAACAAGGTACTTTAGATCTAAAAGATTGGGAAAAAATTAGCAAAGAATTAAAACAAGCAAGTAGGGAGGGTAAAATCATTCCACTTACAATATGGAATGATTGGGCCATTATTAAAGTAGCTTTAGAACCGTTTCAAACAGAATTACTAAGCAGAGACATCAAAGGTAGGAGTTTCTAGAAAAACTGACCTAACAATATTGTTGCTAAAGGCAGGAGAAAGCCTTAGACATCAAAAGTAAGGAATGAAGAACTCGATCAGATGCTGAAGGTGGTCAGATACCAAGGGTTGGGGGATTCTTTCTAAACTGACTTAGCAGGATTCTTTCCTAAAACTGGGCCATGCAGCCCTCGCAAGAACAGGAGGTCCAGGGCTGGGGACTAGGGATGAGGACTGGGGAGAAGAAGGCTCAGAGGAGCTTAACTAAGGTTTGGTCAAGGTGAGTCTTGTCGCTGGATCCAGCTCCTCTGTGACAGGAGGAGAGGGCAGGCAGGGCCACAGGAGGGAGCAGGGCTGTCCTGATGGCCTCTGGCTCCAGCTCCAGCACTCAGTGATTGAGTTGAACAGGATTCCAAGCAGGAAGAGGAACCATTCTCCAGGGTCACTGCACTTTGGTAAAGGAATTGATATTTAAGGTTACACAAACAGTGACAGGGAAGTCCCAGCAGTGACCCAAACAGGATAAGAAAGTCTGACCACCCAGAGATGTCGAGGAGATGACTCACCTCCTCAGAGTCATCTGTTTTCCTCATGGCCAGGCCTCTGCAGGCTGCAGCCCAGGGACTCAGACGGATCCCTGGCTGCAGCAACCAGCAGCCCGAGTTCCCGGAGGCCGCCCCTACTCCCCTCCATTCATATGTGGTTCTTCAGTCAGTGAATCTGCACTGACAAACGCTCTTTTTGCAAAATAAATGTTAACTTGCACTCCAGAACCATGAATACCATTCACGTGCTAGTCCCTGAGAGAAAGGATTCTCCTTCTCCCCATGGGGTGCAAAACAATCAGACCTGACACTGGGCTCTGCCCTCTCTCGCCTTTCCTAGCCAGGGCTACCAGCAGGCTTCCCCATGAGTATCACAGTTTCCTAATGATGTGGAAGAGCCAAATGTGTTACCAACATGGGCCCACAGTTTAGAAGCATCCACATGTTCTAGCAGAACCAAATGTGTTACCAACACTGGCTCATAGTTTAGAAGCATCCACGTGTCCACCATGTGTGAGGAGAGGGAGAAAAGAAGGAGGGATGGAGTGAAAGAGACGAGCTTGACCCCAGAGAATTCCAGGCACTCCATAAAGGAGACTCCTGGCCTTCCCATTTGAGAAGTCACCAAATCCTGTGGCTGCTCAGTCCCAGCTCCTACCATAGACCAAACTGTTAGTTGCTCAAAACCCAGATGTGCAGAATCTCAACTCTTGGCCAGCTTGTCCTCACCACTTGAACCTTTAGGTGATGCTTTCTGAGCTTGGCCATTTGTTTATTATAGTATTGTTTAGTGTTCACTTATTATTGGTCATTTATTGCAGAGAACTTCTGCCTGTCACCTAATTTCTCATCCTACTAATTCAGATAATCGGATCAGTAGTCACCATGCAGCCTAGGGGAACACAGCTTTCTCTTTCGTCACCTGGCAGAAGGAAAACATGCCCCCTCCTGGGCAGCTGGACTCCTCCAGGTTACATGGGTGCTGGAGGCCCCAAGCTTGTTCCTCAGTCCATGGTTGCTATCTGGCCCCCTCCTAGTGTGTCCTTAAAACTGTGGACTATAGAAATCAAAGTCTTCTGTCATTTTTTTTGAGATAGGGGTTTCACTGTGTTACACAGGCTGAAATTGAACTTCTAGACTCAAGGAATCTTCCTGACTCACTCTCCTAATTAGCTAGGATTACATGTGCACCATCACACCTGGCTACTCCATCATTTTCAAACATGTTTATACACCGCTACTGAAGTCCGCTCATCTCTGCTGGTCTGAAATCCCAGAAACTATGCTTTAGAAAGTAGCCTCTTTCTCCAGATGCACGACAGACACAACATTTACCTAAGGTCATCAAATATCTGGAGCAGCTGGCCAGCTACCTCAACCTGCCACTTCCTATAACTCCATACTGGACATCGCACTTGTACCTCCTCCTAAGAGCAACCTACATTGGTATCTTTCCTACTGGGATTAGAGAGTTTGCTGCATCAGGACAGCTGACCCTCCCTGCAGTGCATGCCAGAGTCCTGACAGAAGATGACCACTGGTGGTGTCATCACATATGGGGCACAGGTCAGCACTCTGGCCTCCCTCCCTCACACTCCACCCACCAGCACATTCTCGCTATTTGGGTTACCTGCATCTCCTTTCTGATGATTAAAAAAAAAAAAAAAAAAAAAACAAGAGGATTGCTTGACTTTCAGTTTACCCTTTGCACAGCATGTATGTCTTCCTGAGTCTGGACTCCCAGCTGTCCCAGGAAGGTGGGAGACACAGAGGAGAACTAACTCCTACCCTTTGGAGATGACCATTCTGCTCACAAACACCTGGTAAGGGACTTCCCTCTCTTTCCCTTCTCTGGGAATCTCTCCCCATTTCCTGTCTAACTAGGAGGCATATGTAAAGCTCTGTTTGAAGACCTTCCCTCCCTCACCCAGCAGTAAACACCATGGGGACACCTGCTGTATCTGCCAGGCTTCATGGCTATTCTAGGGGTGCTGGATTCACAGTGGGGTGAGATGGTCACCAGGACTCAGGTAACAAGGTTCCCTGTCGTAATACTGAACATGAGCACCCATAAGTAATATGGTTCCTGCTGCCAGGTTCCTGCTGATCCATCCCCAGACATGTCCGAGCCCAGGATGACTCTTGGCCAGCTTGTCCTCATCACTTGCACCTTTACGTGATGCTTTCTGCGCTTGGTCATTTGTTTATTATAGTATTGTTTAGTGTTCTAAACAGGTCTGGGCTGACACTGGCCAACCCTCACCTCCACCACTCCCAAGACAGTCCTCTGGGTGTCCTGCTAAGGCCCAGGGTTTCCTGGAGTTTCTGGCCAAGCCTGCCACCTCCCCATAAGGGCATTTGCCACAGGGTCACCTTCAGGCATGGAGGGTGGGGTTGAGAGAACAACGAGAGCAGCTGTCTGTTCAGAGCCTCCTTCCACCCTCCCCACTCCTGGAGACACATTCCAGCCCAGGCCCACAGCATCCCAAGCTGGGGGCTTTGTCAGCCCACAGGACACCCAACTGACCACATCCTCTCAGTCTGTGGAGAAGGAGAACTCACAGTCTTGGCAATGAAGCAACTCAGGTGCCGCTGGAAAGCCACACTGAGCAAAGGATGAAGACACATCAGGGCTCGCTCTGCAGGACTCCATTCCTGGGAAGCTCAAGGACAGGCGACAAAGGTGTCTACAGGGCCGGATGGGGGCTGCCAGGGTGGGGCGGGCACGAGGGTGGCTGGAGAGGCAGGAGGATACCGTCTGGGGCAAGGCAGATGTCACAGGTCTGGACAAAGTGGTAACACAAGTGTATGCATTTATGAAATCCCCCAGATTGGGCACATACTATTAGGCATTTTATTGTATGTAAATTCTACCTCATTTAAGGCAATTTTTAAAATGCCACGTGAGTCTTCCAAGGAGTGCACAGAGGAAAGGAGCCTGAAGCATGGCTGCCTAGGAGAGAAGCAAGAGAGGCCTGTGGGTTCCCACATTCATCCCGTGGCTGCTGCTCCCTCTCCTGACACCCCCACTGCCTCACAGGGGTCTCCGTGCACCTTCCACCGGTCCTCACCCACAGTTACCGTGAGACTCCAGGTGGTTTCCTCCCTTGCTCACATCCCCTCCAGGAGCTTCCTCTTCCTGGAGCAGGCATGTCCCAACCCCACCTCAGGGCCTTTGCACTGGCTGTTCCCCGCTGCCTGGGGCTGCTCAACCTCTCCAGTCTCATAGAGACCACCCTGACCAGGGTCCAGTGGTCTCTCTCTAGCCCCTGTTCTATTTCACTTCCAACAGAGTGAGTATAACTCCCTGATCCTAATTGTTGATCGTAACCTACCATCCTCTACACACACTGTGTAGGAATTTACTGTGCAGTTCCACAGCCACCAGCCACATGTGCCACAGGACACTTGAAATGGGGCCAGTCCAAAATGATTCCTGGGCTAAGTGTAAAAAATACACAGGGAATTTCAAAGATTTACAAAACCAAAAAAAAAAAACACACATAAACGATCTCATTAATAATTGTTCCCGTTAGCTGAAATAATATTGTGGCTATATTAGGTTAAATAAATATTTTAAACATTACTTTCACCCATTTATTCTCATCTTTTAAAATGCATCTACTAGAAATTTTCAAATGCTTGTGGGTTCATGTCACATCTCTGTGGGCAGCAGCTCTGCAATGTCACCTCTATGGCTCATCATCCAGGTTCCGTCTTCAAGCCCTAGACCTCCTGGCATGGGCAGTAACTGGTGATAGGTTTGTTTATTGAATAATGAGTTATGAAAACAGAAGCCAGTGACCTTTTCCAAAAAGGTTAATTCCCTTAAATTTGGCAAAGAAATTCTCCATATTAGGGTGTGGACAGGGTCTTCTGGAACCTTCTGAAATAACCTCTCTGTTCCAGAGATTCAGAGACCGTGACCAAGTGCTCCTGGAAGCCTCTGATATCTGAAGACCCCGGGAGGCCAAGCCCTGTATTTTTCCCCTTTCTGAGCAAACAGGAAGTCACATTGCTTTCACAGTCAAAGGACCAGTGTCACCTCTGTGGAGACCTGGGTGACTCAAGCTTGGGAGCACTGGGGAAGAGAGGCATGGCTCAGGGAGGCTGCAGTGAGGACTGGAGTGGGGAGGAGGGGGAGATGGAGGAGGAGGCCTGGGAGGGGCAGGGGGAACTTAGGCAGGGAGGGAGCTTGTAGTGGTGGGGGAGTGAAAAGAGAGATGGAGAAAGAGGGGATGGGCAGAAAGAGGAGGAGGAGTCAGGGGCAGGGCATGGAGGTGGGTGGGGCTGGGCTGCCAAAGCAGGATAAATGCACACCTGCCTGCTGGTCTGGGCTCCCTGCCTCGGGCTCTCACCCTCCTCTCCTGCAGCTCCAGCTTTGTGCTCTGCCTCTGAGGAGACCATGGCCCGGCCTCTGTGTACCCTGCTACTCCTGATGGCTACCCTGGCTGGGGCTCTGGCCTCGAGCTCCAAGGAGGAGAATAGGATAATCCCAGGTGGCATCTATGATGCAGACCTCAATGATGAGTGGGTACAGCGTGCCCTTCACTTCGCCATCAGCGAGTACAACAAGGCCACCGAAGATGAGTACTACAGACGCCCGCTGCAGGTGCTGCGAGCCAGGGAGCAGGTGGGTGCTGCCTCCACCCGAGGGGTCCTGAGCCCTAGCCTGGTTTGTTGCCGGACCCCCAAGAGCATTCCAAGCAAATCAACACTGACACATTCATGATCTAATGCTCAGATTCATTCAGCTTTCTCTGACTCTCCGCTGATGCCCTTCATGCCTAAGCATGCTCCCGGTCCATGCACTGCAGACAGTTAAAGGAAGTGCTGCAGCTTCCTTTAACCTGCAGCAGCTGCTGTGTCTGTACCATGACCGTGGCATTTCCCAGCGTCCAGCAGGTGTGGATGGAGACTGTGCTGACTCTGGGTGGGCTTGATGCTGCTCAGGATGAGATCCAGGCGGTGAGGCTCATTCTCCTCCCTGAGTCCTCTCCTCAGGGGCCACATGGGAACCTGGCTCCCTGTTCTGCAGAGCCCTTCTTCCTTCCCCAAGTCATGCCCTTGGGCACAGCCCCTTAGGGCTAGTGGCCTTCACCCTCAGGCAGGCTGACCCACCCCTGCAGGCCAGGATGGCTGAGTCCCTGCTGGGGTGGAGCACGCCTGGCCCTGCCTCTACGAGCTGATGCAGAGTTAGACCTCAGCCAGATGAGGACAGCAGTCACCCAGCAGAGCAGAGGAGGGGTTAGGTCCAGAGTGAGCTTCAGCAGGGCAACTGGGCCCAGCTTGACCTGCATCCCATGGCAGAGCAGCAAATAGTGACACAGCCTTTAGAGCTCCTCCACCTTCTAGAAATTCAAAGGAATCCAGACCAGTCCCGTTTCTCCTCCTACAGCTGTCAGCTGGAGCCCTCACCCTGCACAGGAGGTGCACTCCCTGGTGCCATGGTCCCCGCTGGCCTGCATCTCCCTCTTAAGCATGACAGTAACTTGGAGTGAAGCACAGGGCATTGCAGACCATCAGACCTGGAAGCCTATTTTATACATGGGTAAACTGATACTCGAGGGATCTCAGCAGTTCCTCCTGGTTCCAAAGAGTCCCTCATCCCAGGTTTCTCCACAGCTCTGCCACGTAGTGTCTGGGAGAGGCCCTGTGCAGGGAAAGGGTTCAATTATAATCTGCAATTGTAAGACACTCAGGTGTGCTGCTGACTTGAGAAACGTATCTTGAACCTCACACTTGAAATGGTGGCATCTGGGCGGCCCCATTGACCCAAAATATCTGTGTGTGTGAAGCATCTCATTTCCTACTCTAAGTGAAGTAATAAATCTAGGTTAAATGGAGGGAATAAGATTTTCGTGAGTTAGCTGAAATTTTGTCATCAGACAGCCTTCCTAGAAAAGAGTCAGTGTTCCCTCACCCCTGAGCCACAGGTAGCAGAATTCAATGAATCCTCTTACCCAGCACAGAGAAAACGATGTTTAAGAGCGGGCATGAGGCTCAGCACCCTGCCAGCTGACAGGAAGAGGGGGCTTGTGTGCCTTGTGTTGACATGTGGGCAGCTCACGAAGCCCCCAAGCAAGTCCAGTGACTCAGCCACAGTGAAGTGCCTGTGAGTGCATGAACTGATGGGGGCGCTGTCCGTGCTTCCTGTTTTCTCCTGTGTGCAGACCTTTGGGGGGGTGAATTACTTCTTCGACGTAGAGGTGGGCCGCACCATATGTACCAAGTCCCAGCCCAACTTGGACACCTGTGCCTTCCATGAACAGCCAGAACTGCAGAAGGTACGTTCCTGATGCGGGTCCCGGGCCAGTCATGCACTGCAGAGGGGTGCGTATGTGTCAGCCTCTGTCCTACCCATGTTTGGACGGTGTGTGTGTGCAGGTGGGTATGTGGGGAGCCGTGTATGCATGGATGTGTACGTGTTCATGTACTTATGGGGGGGTGTGCATGTAGGTGTGCATGTGGAAAGGTGCACGTGTGTACACACATGTGCCAGTGTGTGCGGGTAGGTGTATGGAAGCATGTGTGCCTGTGTGTGGGTGTGTGGCGGAAGTATGGGGGTTTGTACATAGATCCATGGGGATGAGGGGTCCAAGTGAGTTTACGTAGTTGCCTATGTGTGTGCAGATGGGGTGGTGAGGGAGGGGGTGATGTGTTTGATTTGCTAGGAAGGCTTTAGCTTGGGAATGGTTACTAGAAGGTCAACTGCCTGCTTTGGGGTGTTGCCTGTTGGACAGGAAGAATCACCTGCGGGGCTGGGTGCTGGGCAGGGAGAAGGGGATCTGTCTAATCCCAGCCTCAGGCACCTGCATGCAGCCAAAGCCACAATCAGATTAGTGGGACCTAGAGGCCTGTTAGCTGGGAAGCCCTGGACCTGCCCGGCTCACCCAACACCAGCCTCTCCAAGAACCTGCTGGTTCTTGTGAGGTCTCCACTCAGGGGAGAGCGGCACTCCCCTTGTTGCCCTTGACCCATGCCCCAGCTCTTTGAGGGGGAGTTGCCCTGCCCTGGGTTCTTCCCTCTGGCCCCTCTTAGTGCTGGCCTGGGTGCTGGAGGTGGAAGGAGCTGGGGGAACTGAGCCACCTCCCCATGTCCTGCACCCTTGGGGCTCCCGAGGCCTTGCCCAGGCTGCTCCTCACAGGGCTGTGATGGGACAGGACACTGCAGGCTGGGGTGGGGGCCCAATGCCACCTGGTGACTTGGAGCCTTGGGAGGGGTAATGGTACAGTCACTACTCATTCTAGTTCAGTGCTCTGGGACTCAGCAGGGGTGGGTGAGGGTGCAGTGTCTCACCTCCATCCTCCTCACCCAGGCTGTGACATCTCATGCCTGGGCATCTTCCCCTTTAACTGTAACCCACACTGATTGGCCCTCTCTCTTCCCTTTCACAGAAACAGTTGTGCTCTTTCGAGATCTACGAAGTTCCCTGGGAGGACAGAATGTCCCTGGTGAATTCCAGGTGTCAAGAAGCCTAGGGGTCTGTGCCAGGCCAGTCACACCGACCACCACCCACTCCCACCCACTGTAGTGCTCCCACCCCTGGACTGGTGGCCCCCACCCTGCGGGAGGCCTCCCCATGTGCCTGTGCCAAGAGACAGACAGAGAAGGCTGCAGGAGTCCTTTGTTGCTCAGCAGGGCGCTCTGCCCTCCCTCCTTCCTTCTTGCTTCTAATAGACCTGGTACATGGTACACACACCCCCACCTCCTGCAATTAAACAGTAGCATCGCCTCCCTCTGAGTTCTTGGCTGTCTGGGGATGTGCACACAGGCAGAGTTTCTGCAGTTCCTTTATGAAGCCTCCTTGTCCTGGTGGTGTGGAGATCACAGGAGTACCTGGGAGCTGATGCGGCCACAGCAAGGCCATCAGGGGAGCTGCTGCCACTTTTGGAGACCTCAGCTTCAGAACAGGGAGAGAGCAGCCAGGGGCTGGAAACCCAAGCCTTCAGCTGCAGCAGCCCCTGGCGAGGGGGTCAGGGAGAGGAGGGGGCCCAGGCAGCTGCCCCAGAAGCTGGGCTGGTGCTTTGGTCTGAGGTCCTGGTCAGACCAGGAGGAGGGGGCTGGTTGTGTCCACAGGCAGGGGCCAGGCCTCGGTGGAGCTCGCCAGGACGTAGATTCCATCTGTGCTTGCAGAGTGGAGCAGACTCCAGGGACTGAGCTGCTCTCATCAGATCCCCTAGACACTAAATAGACAGCGATTGACGTGTAGTTCTTTCCACAGGAGACTTTAGGACCCAACATGGAAACAAAGTCCAAAAGTGTGTGTGTGTGTGTGTGTGTGTGTGTGTGTGTGTGTAACTGATTGGGAAAAATGCCACCCAAACCAAAGATGGGCAGGATCACCCAGAGAAAGCAGAGCCTGCTGTCATCCATCCTGGGAGGGTGTGCCCCAGGCTGGGAGGTTGTCTCCTACGCTAGGAAGCTGTGCCCTAGAAGGGTTTTACACATTCTCATCCAGCCGCCCTTTCTCTAGACTTGGATTTAAAACCAGCACTCAGGTCAGGTTTCTTGGTAGGGATGGAGAAGCTAAAACACAAATGGAAGTGACATGCAGTGGACACTCGATTTTTTTCACAAAGGATGTTTTAATTAATAAATAACATCACCTTAGTGTCAAAACCATTCTGTAGAATAGTGGGTAGTTGCACTCCAAAGAAGAGGCTACAGTCCTAAGAGCCCGCCCACCCTGCATGGCCTTTCCCATTGCCATTTCAGGGCAGAGGGGTGCAGCCCTCAGGGCAGGTGCCTGTGGGAAGGGCTCTCAACTATCTTCCATGCCAAGAGCTGTGTTGACCAAGAGTGGCTGCCATGAACACCGAGGGGGAAATGACAAAGGGGAAACTGCCCAAACAGCCCTGAGGCCAGCACCCCATGTGCCGCACATAGAAAGCCAGGAGGAGAATGATCTGGTAGGGATAGTGGGGAGCACCTCCTTCATTTCCCCTCCACCCCCACGGGATTTAACCAAGGTTTTGGGTTGAAAAAAGTGAAGCAGCGCCCAGGAGGCCATGAGCTGAGGAGAATTGAGTCTGGGTCTCACCCGGTGTAGGGGGGTCGGGGGGTGCACACACTGATTCAGGCTTCTGTTGGAAAAGAGGGGCTGAGAGCAGAACAGCATGTGCCCAGGAATCGTGGTTAGGGGCAAAGTCTTCCCTGCATGGAGATCCTCATGGTTCTCTACCTGGTGGAGGGTCTGTCTTGACATAAGCAACCACCATCCAAGGACACAAGGAAAAGGTGATTTTCTGTAAACCAGTAACTTTTCTGACTTCTCTCTTCCTGGGGAAGTGGAGGGGAAAGTCTGGCTCTGTAGAGGGCTCCCTCCACCATCTCCCTGTGTGTCTGTTCCCTAGGTGGGGAGCAGGGGACAGCGAAGCTTGAAGGTGAGCATGTGGGTCTTTGTCTTCTGCACCAAGCTGAGGATCTGGGCTCTCTCTGGAAGCTACCGGGTTTTGGGAGTAAAAAAGTCTCCTAAGGGTCATGTTTTGGAAATATTGCACCCCTTCTAAGAGTTCCTTTAGCAAAAATAATGTCACATATTCTTGCTAAAAGTGTAAAACCACAGAGGTTAGAAATTCCACCTTCAGCATAGACAAATCACTCTGGAAGGAGAGATAAATCCAATGGAGGCCTGGGAAGCAGGAACAAGTGCGGTCATTCCTTGGGCAGGTGGATTCTCAGCACTATGACCACAGACAACCCAGGTTCCGTGAGGTCTGAGGCTTACATAATTCAGAGGGTTATCTGCATGAAAAATAGCATAATATAACCAATTTGAAACTAAGCACAGAAGTTAGTGTTTATTTAAGAAGAGGAAATAAGTCACAACAAATTACTCATTTTAAAGTCCTAATAAATACAACAATCATCCCAAATTCCAGAAAAATGATATACATCCTAGTGCGATCAGTCATCAAAACTGATTTTGCAGTTAACAGACTCAAGATTATTGGCTTATTGCAAAAAGGGAATAAATTCACATCAAGATATCTGGGATGATTCAAAAAACAAAGCAAAGAGGTTACTATAAGACTGTGGGGAGGGATTTTTGAGGCTGTAGTGATGGACTCAGAGCATGGCAGGCCTCAGTGTAAAGCAGCCAGTGTCAAGTCTCGTCTGCAAAGTGGACCTAGGTCCTGTGTCTTTAGAACCCATAAAGTCCAGCCAGATGTGGAACGTTCCATCCAGAAACCCCTTCTCTGTAGCTCTGTGCTTCTGTGTAAAGGTGGATATAGATCATCCAGGCAGTGGGATGTTCTTCTTACTCATAAGCAAAGTTTCTGACAGCCCCTGACACTAGAGAATAAGGTCTTCCATTGAGTCAGAAAGCAGTCCTCAGCCAAGGAAGAGGCTTCCTGACTTTTCAAACCTGCAGCTTGAGAGAAACATTGTTTCCTGTTCATGATGTCATTGGCTTTGTCCTCATCAGTCCATCCATGCACCTTGCAGATGAAAGGGCAGATTTGCCCTTCCTAAATTTGTGTTCTTTTTACTTGCTAACATAGCATTTTTATTAATTAGCTACTTGACACAGCAGTGTAATAAGTTATTTCTATGTTTTCATAGTCAACTATTGAGTCACAATTTGCCTCATCACATGACATTGATTTTATAATAGAATTTTCTATAAATATAGCAGAAAGGTAAACCAGTCTTTCCACTCAGTTTGATCACTTTAAAATTCTGATAAATACTACAATCATCCAAAATTATGAAATACTACAATCAATCCTACTTGTGAAAATCATGGTTTATAACATTTTCTTTCTGCTTCAAAACTCACATTGGTAATATTATGCAAATTTGTCTGGTTGTTGTCTAATTTGGAAAAGCTTCCAGTTTTCTTTCATGTGAGCACTAAGATTTTAGTACTTTCTAAATTTTCTTGACTTAAGATTGATGATCGTTAAGACTCTATTGACAATGATCACTAATCACAGCATTTTAAAACTCTCATTGTTGTAGTGGGCTTCAAAATTGTGCAAATGTATAATTATATCCTATATTGATTACCTTATGGAATGTGCAGAAAGAGTTTGTCCTGAAAGAAGTATTTCTTCAAGCCATCTTACTGTTGGTCAAAGTTTTACATCTGTGTTGTCTGGAGCTGTCAGATTTCATCAGGATAAGAGGAGGATGGAGGCCAAGTCTGATCCATCGGGTCTGTGTCACCTCACAGGCATACATCCTTGCTGTGAGCAGTTCACTACACAGTTCTGCACCCTACAAATGTGAAAGTCAAGAAATCCTATCTCATTAAATTCCTGTAAAAAATAAAACAATTTGGGTCTCACTTGGGTAAAATGAAAAACGAAATAACATAAAATAAAAACAAACTTCATGATACACTAACTATTGTACATACCATATTAGTGAGTACATTTTCATGAGGATAACACTTTCATTTTTGACTAGGTGTCGAAAGAACCCAATCTTTTGGGGCCTATTTTCAGCATTCTTAAAGACAATAAATTCCAAACAAAATTTCCTATCCCATCAAACTAAGCTTCATAAGCAAAGAAGAAAAAAAAATCTTTTCCAGACAAGCAGTCACTGAGAAAATGTGTTACCACTAGACCAGCTTTACAAGAGATGCTTAAACGAGGTCTAAAGATGGAAATAAGAGAACAACACCTACTGTTGCAAGAATACAGTTAAATGCATAGTTCAGAGACAGTAGATAGCAACAACACAATACATACTACAAGGAAAACAGCTGTCACCTTCATGATAGGATCAAAAACTCACATATAAATATTAACCTTGGGCCGGGCACAGTGGCTCGCACCTGTAATCCCAGCACTTTGGGAGGCTGAGGCGGGTGGATCACAAGGTCAAGAGTTCGAGACCAGCCTGCCCAGCATGGTGAAACCCAGTGTCTACTAAAACTACAAAAAATTAGCTGGGCATGGTGGTGCACACCTATAATCCCAGCTACTTGGGAGGCTGAGGCAGGAGAATCACTTGAACCCAGGAGGCAGAGGTTGCAGTAAGCCGAGATCGTGCCATTGTACTCCAGCCTGGGCAATAGAGCAAGTCTCTGTCTCAAACAAACAAACAAACAAACAAAAAATATTAATCTTGACTATAAACAGCCTAAATGACCCACTTAAAAGGCACAGATTACAAGTTGTATTTAAAAACCCAGACCCATCCATCTGCTGTCTTTGAAAAGATCCATCTCACACATAATGACACCCATAGTCTCAACAAAAAGGGTTGGAGGGAGATCTATCACACAAATAGAAAACACAAAAGGGAGAGGTTTGCTATTTTCACATCAGATGAAACAGACTTTAATCCCAAAACAGCAATTTAGAAAGGACAAAGAAGGGCATTACATGATGACAAAGGGTTCAATTAAACGAGAAGACTTAGTTATTCTTAAACATGTGCACCCAACATTGCAGCCCCTAGATTGATAAACAAGTATGCCCAGGCCAACAAAAAGAATTAGTCACAGAATAATAATGGGGTACTTCAATATCCCAATGGCAGTGTTAGATAGATTATTGACGTAGAAAACTAACAAAGAAATTCTGGATTTAAATTTGATACTTGACCAATTGGACCTAATAGACATCTACAGAATACACCACCCATCAACCACAGAACATACTTTCTTCTCATGGGACCACAGAGCATGCTCTAAGACAGACCACATGCTCAGCCATGAAGCAGGTCTCAATAAATTAAAAAAGGAAAATCATACTAACTGTAATCTCAGACCACAGTGGAATAAAAATAGAAATCAATACCAATAAGACAAAATGAAATAAAAATAGAAATCCATACTAAAGAGAGTTGCTGAAGCCACAATTTTTCCTGAGTGATAGGTACTATGGCCAGGAACAGCTATGCAGTCATGGACTTGTGTGTGGGTGTCATTTCTGGGTGCCCCAGCCTGCCCCCTTTGTCAGTTGGGAGGTGTGTCCCACCAGTTTTGAGCTGCTGGTGTGAATGGGGAGTGTGGTTCATAGCTCCCTTATCTTGCAAATAATTTGGCAGAGCAAAAACACCCCCCCCTCAGGTCCAAGCCTGGGCATATTTCCCAGCATTCAACACTTCCACTTCCTGAAATAAGGGCCTGGCACCCCTCCCATGAACAGAGCTTCTTGCAACAGCCATTTCTCCACTCTGCAGCAAATTTTTTTGTTCCTCACTGAGGGACATATTTCCAGGCATTTGGCCCATCTGCTCACCTAGATTAAGATCCTGGGTCACCCCTCCATTGCTGTGCAGACATCTTGGTGCAGAAGCACCCTCTTCACTCCACAACCAGGCATAATTTCAAGAATTCAGTACACCCCCTCACCTGGATTAGGAGTATAAGTTGCCTTTCCCTTCTAATGCGGAGATCTTAGTGCGTCTTTATTTTCCACTCCTCTCCAGGGCATAGTTCCAAGCACTCAGTGCACCTGCTCTACTGGACTGGAACCCTGAGTCACTTCTCTTGTCCTGTGCAGAAATCTTGGTACAGCAGTGCCGTCTCTGTCTTGCTCAGGGATATTTCCAGGCATGTTGAGTACCCACTTACCTGGAATAGGAACCTGAGCTTCCCCTCCCTTCTCATGCAGAGATCTTGGTGCAGACGCACCCTCTCCACTCCATGCTGGGCACATTCCCAGGCATTTGGAGAACCTTCTCACCTGGATTAGGAGCCTCAGCCACCCCTCCCTTCAGGTGCATAGGTCTTGAATCAGCAGCACCCACTGTGCTGCATGCCTGGACGTATCTTCATGCATGTGGAGTACTCGCTTTTCTAGATTAGGAGGGTAGGTTACCACTCCCTTTCCAGGCAGAGAACACTGGGCAGCAGAGGATTATCCCCTCCATACCCAGGCACATCTCTGGATGTTTTGCAGCTGCCTCTTTATCTGACTTCAGAGATAGTGCTTGCACCTACCACTGGTGGACATGTAGGCATGTCTGCATTCTCTGGCCCAAGCCAGCTTGGTCCCTCAGTCCAGGACTGTACAGGGAGCTCACACCACTGTGCATTCCACAACATAGCCCATTGCCTGAGGCAGCAGAAAGCATCTCGCCATAAACAAAGATCAAGTATATGCCCCATCTGAATCAGCCTTAGCTGGTTCTTATCCATAAGCACCACCCACTGGATTGGAAAATAAATGGCACAATCTAATAGAAAATCTGCTGACAGAAATGCATAGCACTGGAGAATGAGATAAACTTCCTGAGACCTCAGCCATACTGGACATGTAGGAGGCAGTGAACCCACTCATTTCTCCCTTCACCACTACTACAACCAACATCTAAGGAAGCCACCATACAAAGACTACCTATAACCAAGGAACATACACAGAACCTTTGACAATGAAAGCACCCAGAACCAAAGTTGAACCCTACACAGCACACATTATACACATTCTCAAGGGAGAAAAGGAAAAAACAAAAACATCCCTTCCAAATGAAAGTAAATTTAAAAATTAGAAACAGAGATAGCTTTACAGATGAGAAGGAACCAGAGAAAAAATTCCAAAAGTATGGAAAAGCAGAGTGTAACAATACCTCAAAAGGACCACACTAACTCTCCCGCAATGGGTCTTCATGAAAATAATTTTTCTGAAATGCTTGATAAAGAATTTAAAATGCCGATTTTAAAAATGCACAATATAATCCAAGAGAAAATTGAAAACCAAAATAAATCAGAAATACTATTCAAGTATCAAAAAAGATAGATTTTTAAAAACCCAAACAACTACTAGAAATAAAAAATGTATTGGTGAAATTTTGAAATCCAGTTAAAAGTATCAATAGTAGGCTTGACCAAAGCAGAAGAAATTATTTCAGATGTGGAAAGTAGGTCTTTGAAATTAACCCAGTCAGACAAAAATAAAGGAAAAAAATTAATGATTAAACATTTCAAGAAATATGGGACCATATAAAAAGCATGTAAAATTAGGAGTCACACATATTTCAGAGAGAGAACAAAAAGGAAAAAAATAGGAAAATCTATAAATGAGACAAATAAGGTAATTATATAATGATAAAGAAATTTATTGGGGAAGATCTAACAATTCCAAATACATTTGCACCAAACATTAGAACACCTAGATTCATAAAACAAATACTACTACACCTAAAAAAAGAGATAAATACCAATACGGTATTTGTATGGGACTTCAATATCTCACTGACAGAACTAGACAGTTTATTGAGGCAGAAAATCAACCAAAAAATTCTGGAATTAAGTTGAACTCTAGAGCAAATGGACCTAACAGATATTTACAGAATATTCTACCCTACAACTTCAGAATATACAGTCTTCTGGTATATGCATAAAACATTCTCAAAAATTTACCATATGCTAGGCCACAAGGAAAATTTCAATAAATGTAAAAAAATTGAAATCATACCAAATACCTTCTTGAACCACAGTGAAATAAACATACAGATCAACACTAAGAGGAATACTCAAAACTATACAAATACATGAAAATTAAATGATCTGCTTCTGAATGACTGTTGGACCAATGATGAAATTAAAATCGACATTAAAAAAAGTAAATGAATAAAAATAAAGATATAGATTGCAAAAATGTCTTAAAAACAACCAAATCAGTACTAAGAGGGAAATTTATAACATTAACTGCCTACATGAAAAAGATAGAAAGATTTCAAATAAGCAACTTAAGGTTATACCTCAAGAAACCTGAGGAAAAAAAACAAACCACACCCAAGGCTAGTAAAAAAGAAAAAAAGAATAAAAATCAGAAAAGGACTAAATGAAATTGAGACCAAAAAAAAAAAAAAAGAATCAATGAAATGAAGTTGGTTGTTTGAAAAGATCAACAAAATCAATAGACCACTAGCTAGATTAACCAACAAACAAAGAGAGGAGATTCAAACAAGTGCAAGCAGAAGCGATAAAGGTGTCATTACAACTGATACAACAGAAATACAGAAGATTATCAAAGACTACTCTGAGCATCGCTATGTGATCAAATGAGAAAATCTAGAAGAAATAGATGGATTTCTGGAAATATACAATCCCCTAAGTTTCAACCAGGAAGAAAAAGAAATTTTGAACAGACCAATAATGAGTAATAAAATTGAATTAGTAAGAAAAAAAAAAAAAAACTCCCAACAACAACAAAAAAGCCTAGGACCAGATGAGTTCATAGCCAAATTCTATCAGATGTACAAGACAGAACTGCTGCCAATCTTACTGAAACTTTTCCAAAAAGGGAATCTTCTCTATTCTATTCTATGTAGCCAGCATTGCGATGATACCAAAGATAGACAAGGACATAACCAAAAACAACAACAACAAAAAACTACAAACCAATATCTCTAATAAACATAGAAGCAAAAATCTTCAACAAAATGCTACCACACAAAATCCAGCAGCATATCAAAGACATAATACACAAAGATTGAGTGGGTTTTATTCCAGAGATGCAAGATTGATTCAACAGACACAATAAAAAAAATAGGATTCACCACATAAACAGAATTAAAAACAAAAATCATGTGATCATATCAAAAGATTCGGGAAAAGGCATTTAACCAAATGCAGCATCTCTTCATAACAAAGACCCTTACCAAACTAGGCATAGAAGGAACATACCTCAAAACAATAAATGCCATATATGACAAACCCAACGCCAACATCATTCTGAATGAAGAAAAGTTGAAAGCATTTTCCCTAAGAATAGGAATAAGGCAAGGATACCCACTATGACTACTCCTATTCAACATACTACCGGAAGTTCCAGCTAAAGCAATCAGGCAGAAGAAAGAAATAAAGTACATCCAAATTGTAAAAGAGGAAGTCAAATTTTCTGTTTTCTTTTATGTTATGATCTTATACCTAGAAAACCCTAGAGATTCTTCCAAAGACTCTTCGATTTGATAAATTTCTTCATGAAAGTTTCAGGATACAAAATTAATGTACAAAAATCAGTAGCATTTCTACATAACAATAATGACCAAGCTGAGAACAAAATCAAGAACTCAATCCAATTCATAATAGCTACAAAAAGTAATAAAATACCTAGAAACACATTTAACCAAGGAGGTGAAAGATCTCTACAAAGAGAACTACAAAATCCTGAAGAAAGAAATAATAGATGGCACAAAGAAATTTTAAAAATCCCATGCTTATAGATTGGGAGAATCAATATCATTAAAATGACCATACTGCCCAAGCTATCTACAGATTCAGTTAAATTACTATCATACTACCAATGTCATTCTTCATAGAATTAGAAAAAAAAATCCTAAAATTCATATGAAACCAAGAAAAGATCATGAATACCCAAAGTAATGCTAAGCAAAGAGAATAAAATTGGAGATATCATATTATATTGCAAGGCTGTAGTAACCAAAACAGCACGGTCATGTTATAGAAATAGACACATACTGAAAAATAAAGCCACACAGCTACAGTCAACTGATTTCTGACAAACTTGACAAAATTATATAAAGGGAAATCACATTCTATTCAATAAATGGTGCTGGGATAATTGCTGAGCCATATGTAGATTCATGAAACTGGCCTCTTACCTTCCATCACATACAAAAATTAACTCAAGGTGGATTAAAGACTTAAATGTAAGAACTGAAACTATAAAAATCTTAGAAGACAACCTAGGAAAAACTCTTCTAACTATTGATCTAGGCAAAGAATTTCTGATGAAGTCCTCAAAGTAAAATACAACAAAAACCAAAACAGAGAAATGGGATTTAATAAAACTAAAAAGCTTCTGCACAGCGAAAGAAATAATTATCAGTAAACAAACAACCTACAGAATGGGAGAAAAGATTTGCCAACGGTGTGTCTGACAAAGAGCTAATTTCCAGACTCTACAAGGAACTCAAACAACTCAACGAGAAAAACAAGAATAACCCCATTAAAAAGTGGGCATAGGGTATGAACAGACATTTTTAAATAAAAGACATACAAATGGCAAACTTATGAAAATGCTTAACATAATTAAATATCAGAGAAATGAAAATTAAAGCCACAATGCCATACCATCTTATACTAGTCACAATGGCTGTTATTAAGGAGTCAAAAAATAGCCAAGTGCAGTGGTTCATGCTTGTCATCACAGTATTTTGAGAGGCTGAGGTGGGTGGATCACTTGAGCTCAGGCATTCAAGATAAGCCTCGGCAACATAGTGAGACCTTGTCTCAACAAACAAGAAAAAAAAAATATCCAGGTGTGGTGGTGTGGGCCTGCAGTCCTTGCTACTCAGGAGGCAGAGCCAGGAGGATGCCTTGAGCCCAAGAGGTTGGGGCTGCAGTGACCTATGATCATGCCACTGCACTTCAGCCTGGGCAACAGAGGGAGACCCTGTCTCAAAAAAGGTCAAAAAACAAGATGTTGGTATGTAATTAGTATGACCTCTATAGAAAACAGTATGGTAATTTCTAGAAAACTAAAAATAGAACTACCCTTCAATCCAGCAATTCCACTACTGCCTATGTACCCCCCAAAAAGAAAGAAATCATTATATAAAAAAGCCTTCTGCATTTGTATATTTATTGTATCACAATTCAGAATAGCAAAGTTGTGAAATCAACCTAAGTGTCCATCAACACATCATTGAATAAAACAATCTGGTAGATATATACCATGGAATACTATTCAGCCATAAAAGTGAATGAAATTATGACTTTTGCAGCAATGTGTATGGAGCTGGAGGGCATTATCCTTAGTGAAATGACTCAGAAACAGAAAATCAAGAACTGCACATTCCCACTTATACGTGGGCGCTAAACCATGGACATGGACTTACTGAGTTGAATGATAGACATTGGAGGCTCCAAACGGTGGGAGGATAGAATGAGGGTGAAAGTGAAATGCTGCCTATCGGGTTCAATGTATCTTATTTGGGTAGTTGTACATTAAAAGCTCAGATTTCACCTCTACACAATATATCCATGTAACACAACTGCACCTGTACCCCTAAACCCATCAAAAATCTTTAAAAAATTTAGTTTTAAATAAATATATTTTAAATACCATACATCCTATAATTCAACAATGTATAGCCGATCATTAGCCACTGGTATTTCTGTCTACCAATGAGAATTACTGATCAACAACTTTTGTAATCATGCCTTCTCTTCATTTGTACTTTTTATTCCTTAAAATCTTGAGTTTCTTTTTTGTTCTACAGAGCAGTCCCCAAGGCAACTTGAAAGTGTGTCCTGTGCTCCACTTTTGCTTGATCTCTGTGCTTAAATAAATTCTCTTTCGACTGGAAAAAAGAATTAAGAGAAATGAATGAATGAATGAATACAAAAATAATTTCAAAACTAACTGAACAGTGTACACAGAAGCCTAACACAAGACTCTTAATGTTTATCTTATAATTAGTTATTAAAGTCTCTTCTTGTTTTCTTTTTCTGAATATAGAAGATCAAAGTGAAACCAATAGGTATACAGACAATACTTGGCTGTAAATCTATGAAATGTATGTTGACTAATTATACCTTTTTAAATGAGGAGAATTATACAGAACAAAAGGCCAAAGTATAGCCTATAGTAGACAGGCAATAAATATTTGTATTTAGTGGAAAATAAATAAAACTCCGTTTTACAAAAAGCATGGGATGTCCTATAAAATTAATGGAAGATACTCCTTCCCTTTCAAAAATAAAACAAAGTTTTAAAAGCGAAGAAAATTCTAAAGAAATTATAAAGATTGCACGCGCTTGGTTCCTAGTTTATTGCTTTTCCTCCTTACATATCTTCTTCCTCTCTGTTTAATTCTCTTTCTCCTTCTCTTGCTCTTAGTAAATAATCAAATGTTTCTGCCCTCATTTTATCTATATCTTGATTGTCAAAACCAGAACACATACCTATAAGGCAAGCACAACGGGTAGGAACACAGTGTCCAATCTTAAGAAAATATCTTAATCTTTCTCAGTCTCATTTCTCTTCTCTTGAAATGGTGGCATCAGTCAGGATGAGCTGGGTTATGCTGTGGTAACAAAAAAAGTATGAGGGACTTAAGACAGCAACATACCATTCCATTATTGTGACTGCTATTTGTATAGATGCACTGCATGTGTGTTGGGGGTGCTGAACTATGTTGTGCTCACTCTGGACCCCAAGATGATGGAGAAGACACCCTCACAATGGTATCAGTGGCCAAGGCAATGAGCACCAGCTTTCCCCAAGTGCAACTGGAAGTAACAGATGCCACTTATTCTTCTATTATATTGACCAAAGCAGGTCATGACTACAACAAACTCAAAGGAAGGGGAAGGACAATCCTGTCTTGTACCCATAAGAAACAG
This sequence comes from Homo sapiens, assembly GCF_000001405.40. Classification (NCBI taxonomy): domain Eukaryota; kingdom Metazoa; phylum Chordata; class Mammalia; order Primates; family Hominidae; genus Homo; species Homo sapiens. The sequence continues at coordinate 23,673,090 of NC_000020.11, read as the reverse complement.
AAGCACTCAAGGGACAGCCCTAATGACTACCACAAATGCCCACTCAATCACACCAGGCAGATGTCTGTGCTGCCCACAGCACCGGGGTACCAGGCAAGCAAGAGCACAGCTCAGATCCCACTTTGTCCCTGCTCACCACCTCTGCTTCCCCAGACATTTTGGACATAGTGGACCTGAAACCAAATAATAGAAGTATAATAAAATATAGTGACCTCACAGGGGGGATGGCTCACGCCTATAATCCCAGCACTTTGGGAGGCCAAGGCAGGTGGATCACTTGATGTCAGGAGTTTGAGACCAGCCTGGCCAACGTAGTGAAACCATGTCTCTACTAAAAATTCAAAAATTAGCCAGGCATGGTAGCGCATACCTGCAGTCCCAGCTACTTGGAAGGCTGAGGCAGGAGAATCACTTGAATCCAGGAGGCGGAAATCGCGCCACTGCACTGAGAGATCGCGCCACTGTACTGCAGCCTGGATGACACAGTGAGACTCCGTCTCGAAAAAAAAAAAAATATATATATATATATATATATATGTATACAGTATCCTAAAAATGCCTTAAAGTACACAGAAAAACATTTTACCCAGCTTCGGGCAGTAAAGCATCACCTAGGCAGAGTACCTTGATGATCATTTGTGTTTTCACCCACCAAGTTCACCAAGATGCCAAGATTATTTTGCCCTGAACCCACTTGGAACTGCCTGGGTGCTGGCATGTGGTGTTGGGTTGCCTCTCTTACCCAATTCCTTGTTCCATGGAAGGGAATGAGCTTCATAGCACCAGTGATTCATTTTCACCTTTACCTTATTTTACTTTTGGGCCTCCAAGCTAATGATTACAATTTTCCTTGTCTCTCATTTCTTTTATAGACATTTTCACTTTTCTGTGTGATTTTTTTTAAATGACATAAAGCTATTTGCTTTCTGTTTCTGCAACTTTTATAAAATGTTTCTCTTTTAATTACTCAAGAGGATTTGTCCATAAATTAAAGTTGCTAAACAAAGATTTATGGAAAATTTTCAGACTTGTCATAAAATGGGCCTAATTGTGTCCTCCTCCTGTATTATTGAGCATGTGCTCTGTGGTAGACACTCGATTGGGTGCTGGATAACTCGAGGAGGAAGATCTGAGTCTTCCACCATCAATGGGTGTCAGGTCTGCTAGACAGGGAAGTGGAAATCAGAGGAGAGAATAGGGCACTGGAGAGCACAGAGCAAGGCACCAAACCCATAGAGAGGCTAGGGGAGGAGGACAAGCTGCCTACATTCCTGGGTCCTTTCTACCTCAGCATCAATCAGCCCACTTTCCATTTGCCAGCATCTGTAACCATTTACCTGTACAAATAGCCCAAGTAAGTGCAAGATAACTAATTCCCTGGCACAGTCTCCAGCAACGACTGACACCACCTGACACGTCAAACACAATCTGCCAGACGTTCCCAGCAGAAATGAGCCACATAGCAGTCAGTAGCCTGACAGCTCACACTCATAGTATTGACCACCTTCTCATCCCTGTTTCATTTCCTCACTGTCCTAGTAGTGTACCCAGGGATTGCCTTCCAAATAAGCCACTTGCAATTGAATTCTGATTACAAGGACTCCCTCTGGGTAGCCCGATCTAGACAGTCATCTTTATGGAGAATGTAATTTCTGTGGAATCACAAAAGTTGAAGAGGAATCAATGAGGTGACATAGGGGAAGGGAATTCCAAAACAGGGAGTCTGGGCCAAGACACGTGGGTGTGAATAAGTGTCAAGTTCCATATGAGGTGGGATGACCCTGGAGTTTCAGAGGTTTCAAACACTGAGCTCCAGCTCAAAAGCTATCTAACTGGGCCCACCATGGAATTTGCCAAGTATCCAAAGGTGTTGAGGACTGGGGACTGCTGGGAGATCTAACCTCATGCCAAAAGCATGAAACCAGACTGCACGGGTTAAAAGCCTGGTTCTTCCACTTATAAGCTGTGCGATTTTGTAGTACTTGCCTCTCTGTGGTTCAATTTCTTCATCTGTAAAATGGAGACAGTAATAGTAACTACTAAGCAGTTATGTGATGCTATAATAAATTATTGAATGTTATGTTCATTGTAAGGTGACGTTATTATTATTAGCTAGTTTTTGTTTGTGATTCTCTCAGCGATCTCTGAAAGGCACATCACGTGGGGAAGGAGACTCAGTCCTTGCTCACCAGGACCTCATGGACTAGTGGGGGACAGAAATACACACACAAGTAAGAAAGACCATGAGAGGAGGAGGATAAATGCCTATAGTGAATATAAAAGTGCTGTAGGAGACCAAAATCAAAAGGTTCACACCTGGTTACATGGATCAGAGAAGGATTTATAGAAAAGGTTTATGTAGACCTGAACTTGGGAAGCATGTTATATTTGAAGAGGCAAAGATCTATGGTGGATGGGGAGCTACAGTGCACTTTCCAGAAGGGCAAATTCATATAAGCTTGGACAGGATGTGTCTGAGAACGTCAAGGAAGTCCAGCTTCTCTAGAGGCCAAGCCACATGATGGGCAAAAGCTGAAGGGAAGCCACAGAGGGCAGGTTTCCAGGGCTTCATGTGGCAGGGGATGTGGCTTTCAGAACATTTGAGAACCAGAGAAACAGAATCTAAGGGTGCAGACCAGTGGACCAGTGAGGACATCACTGTGGATGTCCAGACCAGACCTATCTAGAAAGGATCCAGCAATGTGGGAGATGAGAAATAAAATAAGTCTTCTCTTTTATTGATTTCAAAATAGTTCTGAGAATAGAAGGCAGGTTATCATACTCTTCTATCGTGTTACAAAGCCAATTGCCACCTTATTTTTCTGTATAAAATATAGAATCAGAATGACTGTATAATCACACGAGGTTGATAAAGGGCAGAACACAATGTCCAATGCAGAGTAACTGCTGACACCTGGCAGTGACAGTGAAAATGATGATGGTGATGATGACGGTATTGTGGAGATGGAGATGGTGATCGTGGTGAAGATGCTAATGATGATGCTATAGCAGCAGTGGTGATTGTGGTGATGATGATAGTAATGGTGGTGATAGTGACGGTGATGATGGGGATTGTAGTGGTCACGTTGCTGATAATGGTCATAGCGTGATGATGGTAGTGATGATGGTGGTGATAATGTTGGTGATGGTGGTGGTAGTGGTTATGATGTGGCAAAAGTGAGAATGGTGACAGCAGTGGCAGTAATGGTGATGGCGGTGATGATAATGGAGAAGGTGATGCTGACGATAATGATGATGGCGGTGAAAGCGGTGGTGATTATGGTGATGATGATGGTAATGAAGATAGTGATGTGGTGATGATGGTGGTTATGGTGGTCATGTTGATACTGGTAATGGTAGTCATGATGATGATGGTGTTACGGATGAGGATTACCATGGTGATTGTGGTGGTGATGGTGATGGCAATGGTGGTGGTGATGGTAGTGATGGTGGTGATGGTAATGGTGGTGGTTGTGGTGATAGTGGTGATGGTGATGTTAGTAGTAATAGTGATGGCAATGGCAATAGTGTTGATAATGATGGTGATGGTGGTGATGGTAATGGTGGTTGACAGTGATGGTACTAGTGGTGATGGGGGTGTTGATGATAATGGGGATAATGGTGCTTATGTTGCTGAGTATGTTAATGGTGAGGTTGGTGGAGATAGTGATGGTGACACTAGTGATGATGTTTACAACAGTGGTGATAACAGTGATGCTGATGGGACAGTGGTGATTGTGGTGATGATAATGATGATTGCTTGGATGGAGATGGTGGTGATATTATGTTTTATGGGAGAGGATGAAGCTATTTGGAGCGGAATGTAAGCACCAGGCCTGAGCAGGTACCAGTAAGAGAGTTCCACTGTCTAGAGATTTATCAGATCGGGACTAAGGTGAATCTTCTCCCTAGACACCTCATCGTGGATGGAAAACTGTGTCTGTCACAAATGGATCACGTGTCCCTGTTAACCACAAGAACAAAAGTAGATTTTCCCTGGCATTCACACCTCTGACCTCCAGAAGGGACCATGAGCAAGAAGGAGATGGGAGATGGGTAGCTTTAGTAAAGGGGGAGGGGAGGAAGAGGGCCAACAGTAATAACAGCGGAAGAGGGAAGAGTGAAAGAGAGGAAAGAAACCAGTCTTGTCCACAGAGGTGTCCACATGTTCATCACCCACCCTGAGAGAGTCCTTGTCTTCTGAGAGGGTCCGTTCTGGGCCTGTCCAGCAGGGCCGTGGGGACAGCTGCAGGAAAAGGAGGCTATGCCATCTACTGGCCATTGCTCTGATCAATAAAACCCTGCACACCCCTGTAGCCCAGAGCAGCAAGAACAGAGCCAAGCAGAGGGGCCTCTGCAGAACCCATACAGCACTCAGGGAGTGTTTAGTTAGTAGAGCTTCTTCCTTCAATGCAGATCCTATGTCGACCCCAGGGCCACCTTCAGAGCCTGCTCCCCAGGGTGAAGCTGGAGTAAAAGGCACCTGAGGGGCTGGTCATCCATGGGTGAATGCTGCCCTCTATTGGTCATTGTGGTGAAGTGGAGGATGCCGGGATTTACAGGGCAGGTGGCTGGGGGCACAGGAATTGCCCTGTAGCTTTGTGGTTTATCTGCCACCTTGGAGGATTCTCTTCATGATCTCTTCATCTTCACATGTCATATTTCAACATATTGTCACCTTCTTTATCGTGGGGTAGGAAGACTGCCGCTCTGCGAGACTCTTCCCACCTTAGTTCCTGTCAGAAGCCCTCCATCTCTCAGAGGTCAGCCACCCACCCTCTCTGCGAAATCTGACACAGCCCAGGATCTCTCTCAGACACCTTCCAAGCCATGGGTTATAGACTCTGGGTTCCTGTAATCCATGCTTTTTTAGATTAAGAATTGCTAATGTTAATTTTCCAAATATGGTTGGCAAAGATTAAAATTGACTATCACTAATTCATAATGGAAAACCATGTGGTACTGCCCCAAATGAAGTCCATGATCAAAATTGAGAGGTGCCCTCCCCTGCACTCTCGTAAAACCTGAACCTCTAAGCTGGATCCACGGGGTGGCATTTGAGATCCACAGTCCTACATGCATAACGCCCCAACACTCTATGAGGACGGCTCTGGATTCCTCCCCAAAGCCCCAGCCCTGACAATCTGCTCATCCTCACCTCTGCCTTGGCTGAGTAACCATCCTGTGACTTACTCAGGCCTGGGCTGGAGTTCTGTTCTTTCCTCCTCACTGCGCCCTCAACCCAGCCCTCAGCAAGTCCTGCCCCGCCACCTCTCATAGGCATCCTGAGTCTCCTGTGCTCCAACTCCCGGCCACGGCACAGGCCCAGGTCACTGTCCTCTCTTTCCTGAGCAACTGCAATGTCCTCCTGACTGTTCTCCACCCTCCCATTCTCACCAACTAGAAGCCTGTTCCTTCCCTGTGGCCATGCCAGCCTTCTAATAATATAAAAGGTGTCTTGTCATGTCCTGGTAAAAGCTTTCAAAGGCTTCTCATTTCACTTGGAGTAAAATAGAAATTCTTCAGCACGGTGTGCAAGGCATGGCAGGAATTGATATCTGCTCATCCACCAAACCCAGTCTGCTTACCTCTCCTGCCAGCCGGTTCCTCACTCAATTCAGGAGCTTCCACAGGTTAGGATCATTTCCAGCTAGGGGTCGGTTTATGATTTTCTTTGCATTAAACACCATTCTTGCTGGCTTTCTGCAGCTGGCTCTTTCTCCTCCTTAAAAGTCTAGCTCACATGTTATTTCCTCAAATCGCTCCTTCCTGATCATTCTCTGCAGTTAGAATTTGGCTTGGCCACCAGTTCGTTTAAGGCAATATTGTATCCATCTCATTCTCTGTAATGTGTCTGTGCTTCTCACAATCTGTGGAATGTGGAGGACACTCAGTGTGCATACTGGATGAACATGCCTTTATGGGTGTGTCAGAGACTTTCCCAGTGTGGATAAGATGATTTCATATGGATACCTTGCTAGCAGCCCCATGAGGTGACAATGACTCTAAGACGACTTGTTAGAACTGCCATTTCAATGGCTAGAGTTTTAATTACTTTTGGATCTTTTGAAAAACAGTAAAATCTTAAAAGGAAATATCAAAATGCAACTGGGGAAGGATAAGAAATGACCCTGGGGAGGGTGGCAGGAAGCACAAGCTGTCCCAGAGGAAGAGTCCTGGAAACCAGCCAGCAGAGCCCCCACCAGCAATACTGTCAGCCTTTCTCCAGGGCTTCTCTGTGCCGACCAATTTGGCAAGAACCTCTTACACATCATCATTTTGTTCTTCACTTATTCCCAAAACATAGAGAGATTCTTTTTCTGATGAGAAGATAATTCCTAGCACACAACAGGCACACCATAACCTTATTTTGACTGAATGCGTGGAGGCATCCCACGTCCACTCTTAAGGAGAGGAGATCGCTGGAGAGTTCCAAGATTCCAGGCAGAGCTCAGCAGTGTTGAGATCACAGTGTGGGGTCTGACACTTTTTGTTGCAGTTTCCTTGTCTGAAAAATGTGGAAAACATATTTTATAAAGATTGCTGGAGAATCCATTCATTCGCTCAACTAATTCCTTACTGAGTCCAGTGCTAGGGCTGAGACCACAGCATTGAGCAAGTAGACAGTGTGCCATGTGCATGGAACAAAGGAAGCAGAGAGGCACAGGCATGGCAGCTGATAGACATCCCCTTCTTTCCTTCTAGGCCTGTGATTCTCACCAGAAGAGGGTGCCTTGGAGTAGGTTGAGCCCACTGGAAGGAAGCACAGGAGGTAAAGTGAGTGCATCTTCAATGTGATGCTACCCTAGGAAAATGCCATGGTGCTGCTGAACTACGACAGTGATAACAAATGCTGCAGTGGGAACCCAGAGACCTCAGAGAAGAGCGATGAGGGCTTCCGGGGGAACACAAGAGCTGTTGAATGGAGTGAGCCATCAGGGGACCCGTAGTGGGCAGCTCTCAGGCTCCTGAGGGATTGGTGCCTTGTTCAGGTGCATGCACACACACAATCTCAAACACACATACACAGTCTCATGCAATAGTGTACTACTACAGAGAAAACCTGCTGTATAAATATTTCTCAGTAATGAATTTCCGCAAAAGCATGAAACTCTTTATGTTCATGGAAAATTCTAGAAAAACTCCTTGCAGGGTGCAAAAGATCTAAAACAGTGTTTGCAAACTGTTGCACACAGCACAAATGTGGCTATGAGTTAATATATATTGCTAATTACATTTTCAAAGATTCCCTGAAGAATACATTGAAATTATACTGTATACAAAAGCCTCCATTCAGAGATACCAATGCACATTAGAATATTCATTAAAACAAAAAATACTTGCAATGAGAATCTGATTCATTCTCTTCCAACTTTCCTAGACGATTCTGTTCCTCACACCCTTTGTGTTTTGCGGGGAAGGGCTAACATGTATCAGCAACCATGAGAAAGAGTGTCCTGTGAAGATAAATTGGGAAACACTGATCTAGAATAATGTTTCACCTTCTGTGAGTTCTAGTACAGAGAAAGCAAGTAAATATATTGATGATAATGGAACTAAGATTTATAAATGTCCAAGAAAAGAGCCACAACTATAGAAAGGAGGGGACTGGAAAGAATCTCATTGCATTGGGTTTGGTGTCAATATTAACTCAGAGTTTTTAATACGTAAATAGGTAATAGAACAATAGCTATCTACACGTGGGTAAGTTTCTGTGTGTATTTTGTAGCACTGACCAACAGACAAGGCCAAGAACAAGGTTCCTCTACTTCTGCACTGTGGCCATGTGAGACCTAGGAAATGTCCTATGCATTGCAGAATGTTGATCAGCATCCCTGCCCTCTCTCCCTAAATGCCAGTAGCACCTGCCTTACAAATTGGAACAACCAAACACATCCCTAGACATTACCAAATGTGCCCTGGGAAGCAAAATTGCCCCAGGTTGAGAATCTCTGACTGAGGCCTCACGGCATTCCAGGAGTGGTGAGTACAGGCAGCACGCGGGAATTGCTTTCTGCATTCACTGCAGATTCCAACCACTGATTTTCACCTTGGATCAGAGAAAGTAAAACATAAATCTAGGACTTCTTGTTATATCAGAAAGTAAGGATAAGCTCAAATAATGATGGAAATATGTCAAGAGGACACAGGAAGCAGCTTAAAGGGGCTCCCACTAGCCTATTCTGAGATAATTTTAACATTCTAATAAACAAGAGCAATACATTCTAACTCACTGAGTAAAATAAGAAACCATGAGTGGGATAGATCTATAGCAAAATAGATGACTAACAGATAGATGGATAGGTAGGTAAAAGAGAAAAGTGTTTCCTTGCAGTAGAATGAATGCCATTTATAAGTATGTTTTAAAAACGAAGTTAGGAATACAATTTGAAAGCAATCATAATAACAATTGATTCGAAGAGGAATTATTATTGTATGCTAAAGCTAGAAAGCAAAAGTGAAAACTTTATAAGTAAGACATAAATACATATTTCAAAGTATTGCTCAGTGAAATAATTCCTAATTATAAAGGAGAGAAGAGTAAACCATACTGTGGAGAGATCTGTCAGATACCATCTGAACCTAGAGATCAAAGTTAGTGTCTGTCAGCCATGGGACAGCGATGTTATGGCCTCCTGGTAGGAGGTACTGAGGGACACAAGATCACATCTACAATTCTTCTCTGAAAATCTGCATAGCCTGAATCTCATCCATTGACAAAGCCCAGTTGAGGACATTCCATGAAATCGCCAGTTATCTTCAAAAATGACAAGATTACAAAGATAAGAAAGACTGAGAAACGGTTTCAGATCAGAGGAGACTGAGGCGGCCTGACAATGACACACAGTTGATGAATTGCATGGATGACAGATTAGACGACAATGTGGACCCATGCTAGTGCTGTGATTCCTCTCACTGCACTGAGGCTGTGCTGGAGAATGTCCTTGGCCTTAGGGGACACAGATGAGAATGTCTAGGGACAAAAGGAGTCACACCTGCAGCTTGCTCTGAAATGGCTCAGGAAAAGCTGTAACAGTGCATACACATATAGAAAGAGGGAAAAGCGCGCGAGACACAATGTGAGGAGTGGGAGGGTCTGGGTGTGTACAGGAGCTCTTTATATTACTCTTGCTGCTTTTTGTAAGTTTGAAGTCACTTCAAAACTACAATAAAAAAGTTTATTATTACTTCTTTTCTAATAAATATAGAAAAATAAAATTGCTTCATTTTTTCTATATTTATTAATGGCATTCTTTTTACTCCAAGGAAGAACTTTTCTCCTTTATCTGTATCTATCTTTCCATCTCTCTATTTGTTAATCATCTATTTATCCACAGATCTAGAAGATTCATGGTTTCTTATTTTATTCAATGAATTGTAATCTATTACTATCATTTATTTGAATGTTTAAATTTTCTCAGAGTTGACTAGTAGAGCCCCTTTAAGCTGCTTCCTGTGTCCTCCTGACATACTTCCATCATCTTTTTATCTTTTACAAAAAATTAAAAATTAAAAATACAGCAAAGTGCTGCCTCAGCACTGAGACCCCAGCCCCACCCAGCACACACAGGCCTGTGTGCTCAGCTTGTTGGAAAGTCCCGGCTCATGCTTCCCATCCTAGCATGGACTTCCAGCCAAGCCACAGTACCATGAAGCTACAGGCCAGCTGGTTACTACGGATGTGTTTCACCAGCGTCCACACCCTGTACTGTTCCTTGGAGCAGAGAAACGGGGTGTGAGACGGCAGGGACTAGGGCACTGAAGAGAATGCATGGGCAGAGACTGAGGAAGGAGCTCCCTCTGCTTCCCCCAGATGTGTTGCCTCACAAGGGACAGCCACGTTCCCCACCACTCACTCTACCTGCACCTCCCTCTGCAGCACAGGGGGGTCACTACTGTTTCACAGCCTCCTTCTTCTGTTTCCTCCTGGGTTTTCACCATAAGCCCCCTCTCCCACATGCACACCCCCACCAGGATGGGCCTGTGAGTCTGGTACCACATTGCCAGCAATGGATAGAGGTGGGAATGGAGGTAGAAAGGGGTAAGTTCTTCATCCAGAGTAACACAGTAATCAACAGATCACAAACTATAGGCCTAAAAAGGACTCTCGGAAGCCATGGCCTTTGACCTGCTCATTTTATAGAGAAGAAAGAGAGAGGTCCTGAAAAGGGAGCTGTCCACACTTGGAGGACTCCTGAGAAGCCAACACTTCCCAGAAAAATCCCAGGATGGAACAAAGGAGACAGAGAAAAGTCAGCCTAGGTAGTAGTTCAGCCAACCACTGCCAGCACGAAATCCACCTGCTTCCTGGGCGCATATATGCCATGTCACAACAGTGTTTTTCCAAGATTCATGGGGGTGTGACAAGATGGATGGACAGCTGGCTCCCTCGCTGGAACTAAAGTATACATCCATGCCCTGTGCCATGCAGCTAGCAGCGCCTCTTTCCAGAAAATGCAGAGTAGACCCCCATTGCCATTGTGCATGGTCATGGGTCTTGCTTGGCCTATAGGATGTTAACACATGGGACAAGCGCAGAGACCTTAACCCTGCGTGTGTGAGAGGCTGGTCCTCCTGCTCCCGTCTGAGCCTCCATGAGAAGAACCTGGCCCAGACAGGCACCACCCCTTCAGCATGGACCCCAGCATGAAGACACAAGCCAAGCCAGCACCAGACCCACTGACCCCCAGCCCATGTGCAGGCGGCAGAGCATGACAGGTATAGCTTGTTGCTGTCAGCCCCCGAGATGCTAAGGTTTTTCCTAGGGAACAGCAGCTGACTAATGCATGAGTTATCCCATTTTCCATGGTGCATCTTCTCCACTCTTATTCCAAGTGAACCCTTGGCTGCCCCCATAACAATCTGTGTTCCGTAACAAGTACTAAAGATGGTTGTTACAAGGACTAGAAACAAGAGCTTTAAATATTTCCTTCTGGTCCTTCGCGGTGGCTCACGCCTGTAATCCCAGCACTTTGGGAGGCAGAGGTGGAAGAATGGCTTGAGCCCAGGAGTTTGAGATCAGCCTGGGCAACATAGCAAGACATTGTTTCTACTAAAAATTTAAAAAATTAGTGCAGCATGGTAGTGCACACCTCTAGTTCCAGCTACTAGAAAGGCTGAGGTGGGAGGATCACTTAAGTCTGGGAGGTCAAAGCTGCAGTGAGACGTGATTGTGCCACTGCACTGCAGCCCAGGAGGCAGAGCGAGCCCCTGTCTCCAAATAAATAAATAGTCTCCTTTTGGCAAATCCTAACAGCTACCCATCTCTCGGATTCAGAGGACAGCATTTAACTCTCTTCAGGCAGATGAATACCTGTGCTTTTGTCCTCTGTCTGCTATCCTCAGCCCTCCGCTTCCTCAGCTCTGCTCATCAAACACTCTTTGTTTTATGAATGATGTATTGCCCAATTCTAGCCTCTAAACCAAAGCCAATAAAGACCTTTAAACGGGATGTGTTGTAATCTTTTCTTCTGACACCTTGTAGGTATGGATATGACTTGGGGACTTTGTCCAAGGTCTCCAGCACACACAGGGAGCTATTGTCCTCACATATCCCAAGAGACTTCTGGTGTTGCTTTAAGTGGACTATTTTATTCTCTTCAGAGGACCTAAGCATTTAGGAGAAACAAGATGGGGAAAAGAAGGTGAGTTCAAAATTAAAACCAAGAAAAAAAGTTGATTTTTACCATGACCGCAAACACAAGAATCCCACAGCAGGGCTGTTGCAGAGGAGTGTTTAAAGTCCCCATTTAAAATCATATAATGTGTAAACCAGATCAGAGATAACTGAAATTAAAATGAAATTGCAAATCAGAAGTACACCCTTCTCAGCTCTACTTACTTCCTTCTCTGGGCCTCCAGTGTCCAATGTCATTGGAGGGTCCCTCCACAATTGCAACTGTCCGGGATGAACAGAGATGGGCAGGAGACTCGCTTCCCACGGTTCCAATGCCTGAGAGACCACAGAAAAATAGCCAGAGCAGTGTGGGCTATGTGAGGTGTGCAAAACCTATCAGGCCCAGAGAGACGTGAGTGTGGGACTTTAGTCATGTCCTTCCTACGCATGGCTGGGGGCAATTGTTTAAAGGCATTCTATTCCTGATGACCTGTCTCACCCATTATCTTCCCCATCCTGGAAAAATGTATAGCCAATTTACAGCATATGTTATCTTAATGTAAATTCTTGGTAAACAATTTAGAAATGGCCTTTTTTTCTTTAAAAACTCACTTGCAACTGCTGCTAATTGGAGCATATCTTCAGGGCAACTTTAATCTATGCAACCAAGTTGCAGTTTTTACATTTGGGCCATATAACCATTCTACTTGTATTAATTTTGCCTGAGTTTTTTCTTTTCCATCCCCACCTTTGGCTTGTCAGGGGTGATGTAATCATAACTCTCCGTGAGGCTGAGCCACAGCTGGAGTCGAATTTGATCACGTGGAAGGATCAAGTTCTGGGTTCATATCAGGTCTCAGGGCAGCCAATTCTAAGAAGTCCTGAATTCCGGAGGCCCTGTGAAGCCTCTTTCCATCCAGCTCGCAATGGAGACAAATCTCAAAGCTTCCATAGTTTTCCTAAGCCCTTATCTTGTTCAGTTTCTTCATTCCCACAATCCAAGCTCGTCTGAGGACTTGCTTTGCCCAAGCCTAAGATTCAGACGTTTATATAAGGACAGGCAGGAAGCCAGAGGCCAGAGAATGGAGGAGGGCAGGCCAGGTGGAAAAGGCCATGTAAAAGTGGCCTCTCCCCCAGCTGGGGGCACAGCCCACACTGAGAAAGCCCAGCCCAGCTGGACTTTTATGAGGGTATGTATGTCTCTGTGTGTGTATGAGTATGTCTGTGTGTGTGTCTGTGTGTGTGTGTTTATGTGTATATGTGCATATGTGTATGTATGTCTGTATGTGTGTATGCCTGTGTGTGTATGAGTGTGTGTATATGTATGTGTCTGTATCTGTGGGTCTGTGTGTGTATGTGTGTGCACGTGTGTATGTATGTGTATGTGTGTGTGTGTGTGTGCATGTGTATACATATGTGTGTGTGAATGTGTCTATATATGTGTGTGTTTGTATGTCTGTGTGTAGATGAGTGTATGAGTGTATGTGTGCATGTGTGTGTGTGTATGTATTTGTGTGTATGTCTGTATGTGTATGTCTATGTGTGTGTGATGGTTAATATTGAGTGTCAACTTGATTGGATTGAAGGATGCAAAGTACTGTTCTTGGGTGTGTCTGTAAGGGTGTTGCCAAAGGAGATTAACATTTCAGTGGGTGGACTGGGAAAGGCAGACCCACCCTTAATCTGGGTGGGCACCATCTAATCAGCTGCCAGCGAGACCAGAATAAAAGCAGGCAGAAGAATGTGGAAAGACTAGACTGACTTAGCCTCCTGGCCTACATCTTTCTCCTGTGCTGGATGTTTCCTGCCCTCAAACATCGGACCCAAAGTTCTTCAGCTTTGGGACCCTTGGACCTTTGGCCACAGACTTAAGTCTGCAGTCGGCTCCCCTACTTTTGAGGTTTTGGGACTCAAACTGGCTTCCTTACTCCTCAACTTGCAGATGGCCTATTGTGGGACCTCGCCTTGTGATCGTGTGAGTCAATTCTCCTTAATAAACTCCCCTTTAGATACACATCTAGCCTATTAGTTCTGTCCCTCTAGAGAACCCTAATACAGTGTGTATGTATGTGGTTTGTGTATGCGTGTATATACGTGTATGTGTGTGTCTGTGTGTATGTCTGTGTGTGTGTGTGTCTGTGTGTGTGTCTGTGTGTGGCAGGCCAGGTCTCACTAACGGCTGAACAGGCAGGCCTCTGTAACAACTGTTTCAGCACTGACTAAGTGGTTAAGTTAAATATTAAAAGCCTAGAGAGCCAGTCCCCTTATACAAAGGCTGGAATGTAACAAAAGCCCAAGAGTTTTGCCCAGGCCTTTCCTGGGCCTTGAAGTATGACAAGATAACGAAGGAATTCTCAACAGGACCCATTTAAGATTAAACAAGTTTTTACTGGGGTCTGAAGAAACTCCGCAGACCTCCACAAACAAGTTTGCTGGGGTCTGAAGGAACTCCCCAAACCTCCATGATTTAGCAGGAGATAAAATAAGGGTAATCACCCCAGCACCTGGACCCAGCTAGATTAAGTAAATTTACTGAGGCGCCAAAGGAAGGTCTTCAGGACTCAGACCTCAGTTATAGATTAGAAGAAGTTAATCACTTATGTCTTTAAGTGATTGCACACTTACATGTAGACATACAGCTTAGAAGTTATATAAGCTCTGGAAAACTTTGTGATTTTGAGTTGGTCTGGCGATATTTTCCTTGCCTTCTTTCTCCCCGTACCTGGTTACAGAAATAAACTCTATTCTTTCTCAGTTCATCTGCATCTCGTTATTGGGCTGAGAGAATAAGTAGCTCCACCCTTGGCTTGACCTGGAAACGTGTGTGTGTGTGTGTGTGTGTGTGTGTGCATATGTCTGTGTGTATGTGTCTGTGTGTATATGTGTATGTGTCTGTGTGTCTCTCTGTGTGTGTGTGGCCTTAACTCCATGCCCAAACACCATTTCCTAAACTACTAACTCTAACAGGGCTGTAGGAAGTTCCAGAAATTCCTTCAATTACTCATCAAGCAATGGAGCCATTTTGTGTTGTATTCTGGCATTAAAGGTGTTAGCCTCTTAATTTTTATTTTTACACAACTAAGTTCCAGGTAAAATTTTTATTTTCACACAAGTTCCAGTAAGTGGTAATTAACTGTTCGCCTTCATGACAAGATCATTTGGCCCACGCTGCTTGTACTATTAATGCAATCCTTGCACCAAAGTGATGAGTTGGAAAGGTAAAACTTGCAATAAGTGCCAGGGTACTCTCCTCTTCTGTTTTATTTGTCAGCTTTAAAATCCTTGGGCATTTCTGTGGCATCTATTTGTCAATGTCAGTGAGCAGTTAAGTTTCCCTAGAAGATACCTGATCACACATCAGAGAATGTTATGATGATGTGATTGGTTGGTATGCCCGATACTATCTGCAGAGGAAATCCTGATTAATTAATTATCAGGATGCCCAGCAGCTAACTTGGGGGTATTCATGATCTTCTGTTAATGAAAGCACACTATGGCTAACCTTTGAAGACACAGATTCTCCTTGCACAGCTACCCTCTTGGACTTAGTATATCTGGGTCTCAAGCAGACAGAGCCACGCCTTGCTGGACATAAGACATCCAGCAAAGTAATACTTCATTGGAAAAGATACTTATTAGGTTATGTAATACACACTCAAATAATGCTCTAGGAATCACACACCAAATGACATGAAGTTGTGTTCTAAATATACTTATGATGGCAGTAATGTTATTTTATTATGCTAAAAATTATTGAGAATCCCAGAAGTTCCTGAATCAGCAGTTAGGAATCGAAAAAGAAAGGAAATTAATCAGTGCTGTCTTTTATACCTGTAATGGGATTTTTTTTAAAGGTGAGAAGCATGGTACATTCCAGGGTGCTTGACAACAAATAAATAAAACCAAGCCTAATTGACTTAGGAGAAAAAAAGATTCATTTGAAAAGAAGCGAGGTGGTTCACAAACCTATGGGAACCTAGATAACGAGGCTTGGCAAGTGAGCGCAGACTGAGTGGGCATGCCGCTGCAGCAGGACCAAGGTCACACCTCACACCTCCCTGGTGAGCAAGCTGCAGCCCTGCCACCTAGCGCCATGGGTGAGGGACAGCTCTCAGGCCCTCCAACACCACAGCCTTGCACGTGGACATGGCATTTCCCCTCTCCTAGCCCACTGTCCCGTCTCTTTATGTAATCCATTCCCAATTTAAAATCCAGAATTGGAATATCTGATTGGTTGACCCGAAGATAGGTGTCATGCCCTACCTTCTGGGACCAGGAAGACAAGGCGTCTGGCTTCTTCAGCTTCCGTACAGGGGAAGCTCTGACTTTTTCCACAACATGCAAAAGGGGGGATCTCAAAGAAGAAGCCCGTTTAGACATGACTTGGCCCCCCAAAATTAAACATTAAAGCTGCAAATGTCCAGTCCAGAAAATTAAAGTAAAATGTTACATTTGGCTAAGGATCTAAAATATTAAAGATTCCTTCACAAGCGTAAGTTTGTAGAAAGGTCACTGGGCTGCTGTGAAAGGGTTGTTTTTTCTCAATGTATTTCCAAGAGATAACTAGGACGGCACCTTTAAAATAACTGGAGGCTTCAGAGTCATTAGTAATTCTAAGGCATTACTTTCGTGCTATCATACGAAACATAGGCACACATTCTGTGTTGTGGAGTAGCCGAATAGATTATTCACTTCTGCTTGTTAAGGGTTGCAGCTAACATGTAACTGGACATTTCGCCCACTAGAACTCAACTGTAGCCATGTATTCCCATTTACCGTACCTGTTAATGCCGGGTAGCCAAGCAAGAAAACTAGTAAATCTCCCAACGGGAAGCACTCCAGACCTCAGGGGCTGAGGGAAGAGCTGACTCAGCACCAGCAGTGCCGCTGCTCAGCCTGGTGCCTGCCCTCCACAGCCCTGACCTCAGAGCGGTCCCCAGACCAGCAACATCAGCATCCCTGGGAGCATCAGAAATGCAGAGCTCAGGCCCGCCCCGGAGCTACCGAATCAGAACCTCCATTTTACACACCCCTCAGCTCAGAGCTTGTTTCTCCCTGGATTCCATGGCCCTGTGCTGCTGGCAGCCCGGGGTTAGGGCATTTCGTTGTCACCTGGCGACGGTGAAGCCTGGTTTCCTCCAGAGAGATTGTGAGTACATGGGACTCCACATAGCGTTTTTCCCTGAGTTACATAATTTCCCCTCCCCTTCTGTGGGATTTATCTCCAAAGAAGCCCTCCAGGGCCAAGTGGCCAAAGGGAGGGGAAGTGCCTGCCCTTGCTTGGGGAGCTCCCAGCCCCTCCCGGGGAGGCCTTTCTGCCGAACTCCGAACTCCGAGTTGTAGGACCTCTCTCCTGCTGGTGCCCTCCTCCGCCCAGACTGCCCAGCCGCTGGTGAGCACAGGGCAGGGCCTGCCCACCCTCGGCCGGTCCTTCGCGTGCTCCAGGCTTGGCAGGGGGAAGTGAAAGAGGGAAGGAAAAGAACTGAACTTCCTCCCGAGGGGTGGGAGAGGTCTGGCCCTTTTCCAGTCTCTCAGTGAGGAAGTGAAAAGAAGGCAACACCGGCCCTCTCAATGCAGCCCAGGAAGCGAGGGGGCTGAGGGAACCCCTCCAGTCCTCAGGGGGAGCCCTGCCTGACGGGCTGGCATCCCTGCAGCCCCAGCAGCCAAGTCCGGATCACCTATGTGGGGGTGCGGGGGTGGGTGTCAGGCTGGGCACCAAATGGGCGTGCGTGGGGTTCGAAGCAGAGGAGAAACAAAAGCCTATGTCAATGCCGTTTTACAAAAGTGTTGTGTATTTAGCCAATTCCGGGCTGAGTCCTGGACCAAGCCCCATGTTCCGGTTTCTGCAGCACAGCAAGGCCTTTTCTAACATATTCCAGATGCTGCTCTCCATCCAAGTGAAGTGGCAATGGTGCCAGCCTGAGATTTCTGCCCTGAGTTTTAAGTACGAGAGTGTGGGCTGACAATAAACTCCTTTATTCTACCCTCTTCTGTTCTCATAAGGAGAAATTTAAATTCTGGAAGAGATGAAGCTTGCATTTACCCAGGCCTGTTAATGAAGAATGTTGGACTAAATTTTGAGAATTCAGACTGCTTAAGAAATTTGCTTCAGAATCCCCAAAGGATTCTGCAAGGAGCTAGAAAGAACATTTTCTAACATCAGTTACTTGTTTTAATAAACTCCTTCGGGGTAAGATTTTGATTCCCACCACTGATCATATCATTAAAAAGTGTATTCTCTGCACTAACTTCTTCTTCTCCTTGAAGTATCACCACCAAAACCCTGAGCATGTTTTGTCATTGATTTAGCTCTTCTGATCTTAGGACTTGAGTTTAATGTCACTGAGAAGCAAGTGTAAGCTGAGGGTTACATAAACGATTGCCAGAATATCTGGATGCTTACAAATAAAGATAGGCCAGGTTATTTTCCTGTTATTTGTACCGCAGTTGGCAAAGCAAACACGAGGGCCTCCCTCATTCCTCAGGCTCTGGCTTGATGCATGTGGGGTTCCTGGTTTTGCAGGGGTCCCTCCCTTCCCAGTTCCCCTATCTGCCTCCTCCTGGGTCTTCTAGACCCCTGTTTCTGCACTTGGCACACTTCCCACTTCTGCAGAAAAGGAACAGACTTGGTTTGCATCCCCTTTCTGCCTAACTGTGAAGGATGTGCTTGTCTTCAGTTTTCTGTTTTAATATTTATAAGACCGGGGAAATGTCACCTGGGGTTGTTTGAAGGTTAAATGAGGCAGCACATATAAGAGGACCGGGTGCAGGTAAATAGCAAGTTAGCTTAAAAACCTTTGTTTTTCTGCCCCACCCTCCATTCCTGCCTCTACCTCTTTATTCCCAGCCTTGCCCAATCCAAGTCCTCCCCACTCCCTTGCCCTCCATCAGGACCTCTTTTCACTAGTTCTCACAGTCTCGGGGTGATGTGGAATTAAATTTCCTGAACACTATGGTGGCTATGTTAGAAAGAAACCTACATAATAATAGGATGACCTTTCTGCCACAGCTCTCCTGGCCCCATATCTCCACACAGCCCTTGGACTCTTGCCTGGCCAGCGGGATTTGGGTCAGCACAACCAGAGGGTGGGAATGGAGACTTCTGACTTGCAAATTATGAGTAACATTTGCTGAGAGTTTGGCTTCTCAACACAGCCAGGTAGCCAACTGAGACCATGATTGGATGCATGTTGGAATTTGCTGCAGTGCTGGTCTCTATTACCCACCTGCCCTGGGGCTTAGAGAAGCCTCGCCTTCTGTAATGTGCATGTGATACACGTCTGAACTTGTGAGCCATGCCTTCTGGGATTTTCACAGGATTTGCAGCTAAGACTCAGCACATGGTGTTTTTCTTGTGAAAATGAAAACATTTGGTAAGATGTGGGTGTGTGTATTCTTAATATCTTAGTGCAATTGTTCTGTTTTAGAGACTTGGATCCAGGCAGTGCCTCATAGCCCCAGCTTAACAGCTGCTCCAAGGAGCACCTGAATTTACCTGCTACCTGTGCTTCTTGCTTTTCAGCTCAAGCAGGGCTTGGTGGGATCCCAAAGAAAACCTCCAGGTCTGCCCTGGTAGGGAATTAAAATAAATGCACAGCAGAATTTTCCCCCATCCTTGACTGCTAAATCTTTGATGTGACTTTTAGACTGAGGAGAGATTAGTCCCTTGTCTCATGGAGCTTGTGCTTTGACCTTTTAATCCATGGCCCTTGACAACTTCCTGTCTGACTCTAGAATCACCTGTGCAGGTTGAAAGCGATGAATGCCTGGGCCTCCCCGCAAGGAGTTAAAGCAGAAACCCTGGGGGAGGTGCCTGGCATAGCTCCCCACAGGAGTCTGCTCTGTGACTGGGGTGAGACCCTCTAGGGCATGGTCAGCCATGGGCAGTCTCCATGTGGCCTCCCTTGATCTGACACTGGAGGGGAGGAAGGAGAGGGTCCCGGGGCCACAGAGTGGAGGAAGGGTGGCCACCACTGCAGAATAAGAGAGCACAGATGGCAGAGAATGGGTGAGGGCCAAAGGGAAAGTAGAGGGAGGAGAGGCCCACAGTGCCTAAGAAGATCAAATCCTGAAGTGAGGAGTTCGAGACCAGCCTGGCCAACATGGTGAAACCCTGTCTCTAAAATACAAAAATTAGTCGGGTGTGGTGGCAAGCACCTGTTGTCCCAGCTACTTAGGAGGCTGAGGTAGGAGAATCACTTGAACCTGGAAGGTTGCAGTGAGTTGAGATCACCCCATGGCACTCCAGTCTGGGCAGCACAGTGAGACTCCATCTCAAAAAAGATCAAGTTCTCCCTCACCATAGTGCTGGAGGAGCAGCAGCCCTTGGAGTTCAGCTCAGCAGCATGGTCACCATAGGGAGGCAGGGCCTGGGCCTGGGTCGTGTGTGGGGGCCTTGGACTGGCCCAGAGTCAGCTACTGGCTCGCCCCTTCAGGGGCTCCTTCCTGACTCCCCTCCAGGGCTGAGATGCCCAGGCACAAGCTGCCACCAGCCCTCTGAAGGACACAGATCTCAGGCTTCTGACTTTGAACTGTTGCCTGGACCCACTTCCAGCCACCAGCCAGCACAGTTAAAGCCTGTAGACTTTGACAGCTAAAACGGAAGGCTGCCATTTTCCATAAGACCTTCAGGTCTTAAAAAGAGGTGTCCTAACAAAACATGCCCAGAATACCTTATATCTTGCTCAGGAAAAAGGAAGTGCACAAAATATTTTGTAGACAGGGATATACCACCACCTCCCTTGAAGCCCAGTGTTTTGGGACTCTGTGTTAGGAAGGAAGAGCCTTCCCTAACAGCCTGCTGCAGGCTGAATCAAAGAACACATTTAAAAGCCTGGAAGCAACCACAGAACAATAACATACTTGAATGGAGTCATCAGTAGACACTAAAACCACTGGGGGGAGTGACTGGTGCACAGGGTATTTTATAATGTCTCCAAGCATCTCCCCATAGGTCACTTATTAACAATAAGTATGGAGAAACTTATGGAGAAACCTGCAGACACTGCCTTAAATAATAATCAACATCAAGTCACCAGTAACAGGACAAACTCACATCCTGGGCCTCCTGATGTGATGCACTGAGGAGGACACAGCCTCACCCAGGCAAAGCTTCTGTCAAAAGAGTTGGCCTCAAGTCTAATCATCAAGAAACAAAAAGACTCAAATTTATAAGGTTATAAATTATGTAAAATATTATTATAAAAACAACTGTTCTGTATTCCTCAAAAATTGTCAATGACATGGAGGACAAAAACAGGACAACTGTTGTTCCCATGCACGTTCATTAAAGCAACATGATACAAAATGCAAAGTGAGATCCTGGATTTGATCCAGGAGCAGATGGGAAAATGTTGGAATGGATATCTTGGGGATAACTGGATAAATTTTTAAAAGAACTACTATTAGATAATTGTGTATTGGTGTTAAATCTCCTAAATCTGATAATTACGTGACAACAAGTACCAAAAAGCCTTTTCTTCAGAAGAACTTCTTTCTTTTTTATTCTTTTTTTTTTGGGGGGGGGGCGGGGTGGAGTTTCGCTCTTTGTTGCCCAGGCTGGAGTGCAATGGCTCGATCTCGGCTCACTGCAAACTCTGCCTCCTGGGTTCAAGCGATTATCCTGCCTCAGCCTCCTGAGTAGCTGGGATTACAGGTGCCTGCCACTACACCTGGCTAATTTTTTGTATTTTTAGTAGAAATGGGGTTTCACCTTGTTGGCCAGGCTGGTCTTGAACCCCTGACCTCAGGTGATCCATCCACCTTGGCCTCCCAATGTACTGGGATTACAGGCGTGAGCCACTGCACCAAGCTAGAACTTCTTTCTTAGGCAGAAGTATTTAGGGGTAAAAAGCCATAATATCTACAACTTACCCTCTAATACGTATATGTGTGTGTGTGTATATATATGTATATATATATATGTAAAAATATTTATAATATATGTATGTATATATAAAATAGAGAGAAGCAAATGCTAAAGTTGGCATATGGATGTGTATCACTCAGGGTTCAACCTCTCTCTTACGAGGTCTGTAAGTTGGTATATGGTATTAATCTTAAATTAATACCATATACCAACTTACAGACCTCGTAAGAGAGATATATTAAGAGATATACTGGCATATTTCATTTTATTATCCTTTGCTGACATTGCATTTTTTACAAATTGGAAGTTTGTGGCAACCCAGAGAGGAGCAAGTCTATTGGCACCATTTTTCCAAGAGCATGTACTCACTTTATGTGTCTGTGTTACACCTTTGTAATTCTCACAATATTTCAAACATTTTTATCATGATTATATCTGCTATGATGATCTGTGATCAATGATGTTTGATGTTACTATTGTAATTGTTTTGGGGTGCCATGAGCAGCACCCACATAAGACTGCAAACTTAATCTATGTGTGCTGACTGCTCCACTAACCAACCATTCTCCCATCTCTCTCCCTCTCCTCGGGCCTCTCTATTCCCTGAGACACAACAATATTAAAATTGGGCCAATTAGGCTGGGCACAGTGGTTCATGCCTTTAATCATAGCACTTTGGGAGGCCAAGGCGGGCAGATCACTTGAGGTCAGGAGTTCAACACCAGCCTGGCCAACATGGTGAAACCACATCTCTATTAAAAATACAAAAATTAGCCTGGCGTGGTGGCACACACCTGTAATTCCAGTTGCTTGGGAGGCTGAGACAGGAGAATTTCTTGTGCCTGGGAGGCAGAGGTTGCAGGAGTGGAGATCAAGCCATTGCACTCCAGCCTGGGTGACAGAGTGAGACTCCATCTCTGGAAAAAAAAGAAAAAAAGAAAGAAAGAAAAAAAAATAGGCCAATTCATAACCCTACATTGGCCTCTAAGTGTTTAAGTGAAAGGAAGAGTTGCACCATCTCTTCCACCATCTCTCACTTTAAACGAAAATCTAGAACTGATTTAAGCTTTGCAAGGAAGGCATGTTGAAAGCCAAGACAGGCCAAAAGCTATGTCTCTTGTGCCAAAGAGCCTAGTTATGAATAAAAAGCAAAAATTCTTGAAAGCAATTAAAGACGTTACTCCAGTGAACCTGCAAATAGCAAGAAAGTGAAATAGGCCTGGTGCAATGGCTCACACCTGTAATCCCAGCACTTTGGGAGGCTGAGGCAGGAGGATCACTTAAGCCCAGGAGTTCAAGACCAGGCTGGACAACAAAGTGAGACTTTGTCTCTACAAAAAATAAAAACAATTAGCCAGATGCAGTGATGTGCATCTGTAGTCCCAGCAACCCATGAAGCTAAAGCAATAGGATTGAGCTCAGAAGTTCAAGGTTGCAGTGAACTATGATTGCATCACTGCACTCCAGCCTGGGTGACAAAACAAGACCCTGTCTCAAAAAAAAGTGAAATAACCTTATTGCTGATATGGAGAAAGTATGAATGGTCTGAATAGAAGATCAAACCAACCACAGCATTCCCTTTAGCCAAAGCCTAATTTAGAACAAGAACCTAACTCTCTTCTATGAAGGCTGGAAGAGGTTATAAAGCTGCAGAAGTTTGAAGCTAGCAGAGATTGGCTTATGACATTTAAGAAAGGAAGCCATCTCCATAACGTAAAAGTGCAAGGTGAAGCAGCAAGTGCTGATGTAGAAGCTGCAGCAAGCTATCCAGAAGATCTAGCTAAGATCATTGATGAAGTTGCCTACACTAAACAACAGATTTTCAATGTCGAAGAAATAGCCTTCTATTGAAAGAAGTTACCACCTTCTTTTGTAGCTAGAGAGGAAAAGTCAAAGCCTGTTTTCAAAACTTCAAAGGACAGGCTGACTCTCTTGTTAGGAGCTAATGCAGCTGGTGACTTTAAGTTGAAGCCAATGTTCATTTACCGTTTCAAAAATCCTACAACCCTTACTAATTATGATAAATCTGTGCTCTACAGATAAAACAAAGATAGCATTTCTGTTCACAGCATAGTTTACTGAGTATTTTAAGCCCAATTTTGAGGCCTACTGCTCAGAAAAAAAAAAAATCCTTAAAAAAAATCACTGCTCATTGACAATGCACCTGGTTACGCAAGAGCTCTGATGGAGATGTGCAAGGAGATTAATTTTGTTTTCATGCTTGCTATCACAAAATCCACTCTGCAGCCCATAGATCCTGGAGTAATTTTGATTTTCATGTTTTATTATTTAAGAGATCCATTTAATATGGCTACAGCTGGCATAGATAGTGATTCCTCTGATGGATCAAGGAAAAGTGCATTGAAACCTTCTGGAAAGGATTATCCATTCTAAATGCTATTAAGAACATTTGCAATTTATGGGAGGAGG
Organism: Homo sapiens; assembly: GCF_000001405.40. Classification (NCBI taxonomy): domain Eukaryota; kingdom Metazoa; phylum Chordata; class Mammalia; order Primates; family Hominidae; genus Homo; species Homo sapiens. The sequence goes on along the minus strand of NC_000020.11, from coordinate 23,649,175 downwards.
TCAAAATATCAACATTAGCAGAAGTTTGGAAAAAGTTGATTACAGCACTCATAAATTACTTTGGGGGACTCAAGACTTTAGCAGAGGAAGTAATTGCAGATATGGTAGAAAGAGAAAGAGAACAATAATTACAAGTGGACAATTAATAATTGCAAAGACATGGAACTAACCTAAGTACCCATTGATCAACGAGTGGATAAAGAAAATGTGGTACCATAGAATACTACTCAGCCATAAAAAAGAATGAAATCATGTCTTTTGCAGCAACTTTGATGGAGCTGGAGGCCATTATGCTAAGTGAAGTAAGTTAGGAAAAGAAAACCAAATACTGCATGTTCTAACTCATAAATGGAAGCTAAGCTATGGGTATGTAAAAGCATAAGGAGTGATATGATGGATTTTGGAGACTCAGAAATGGGAGGCTGGGATGGGGGGTGAAGGATAAAAAACTACGTATTGGGTACAATGTACACTACTCAGGTGATGGGTGCACTAAAATCTCAGAATTCACCCTATATAATTCATCCAGGAACTGTTTTATTACTATATTACTACATAATTCATCCATCCACTCATTCAACCAAAAACCTATTGTATTCCAAAAGCTATTGAAATAATAATGCAAATAAATAAAAACTTATTGAAAAGTAGAGCCGAAGATGGGACTGGATTGCTGCAATCGTATGATAACACTTGAACAGATGAGGAGCTGCTTCTTGTGGATGAGCAAAGAGAGCCGTTTTTTGAGATGGAATCGACTCCTGTTGAAGATGTTGTGAAAATTGTTGAAATGACAACAAAGGATTTAAACTATTATGTAAACTTAGATGATAAAGCAGTGACAAGGTTTGAGAGGACTGACTCCAATTTTGGAAGAAGTTCTATTGTGGGTAAAATGCTATCAAACAGCATCTCATGCTACAGAGAAATCTCTCTTTTTTTTTTTTTTTTTTTTTTTGAGACGGAGTCTCATTCTGTCACCCAGGCAGGAGTGCAGTGGCATGATCTCGGCTCACTGCAACCTCCGCCTCCCAGGTTCAAGTGATTCTCCTGCCTCGGCCTCCCAAGTAGCTGGGACTACAGGCCTGTGCCATCACGCCTGGCTAATTTTTTTTTTTTTTTTTTGTATTTTTAATAGAGACAGGGTTTTGCCATGCCACGTTGACCAGGCTGGTCTTGAAATCCTAACCTCAAGTGAGCCGCACCCCCTCAGCCTCCCAAAGTGCTGGGATTACAGGCATGACCCACCGTGCCGGGCCTACAGAGAAGTCTTTGGTGAAAGGGAGAGTCAATCAATGTGCCAAACTTCATTGTTGTCTTATCTTAAGAAATTGCCACAGCCACCCCAACCTTTACAACCACCACTCTGATCAACTAGCAGCCATTGGATTGAAGGAAGACTGTCCACCAGCAGAAAGATTTTAACTCACTGAAGGCTCAGATGATTTTTAGCATTTTTTACCAATAAAGTATTTTTAAACAAAGGTATATATATTGTTTTTAGATATAATGTTATTTCAAACTTAATAGACTACAGTATAGTGTAAACATAACTTTTACATGTACTTGAAATGAAAAAGTATGTGTGACTCACTTTATTGCAAAATTCACTTTACTGTGGTGGTCTGAAACAGAACCCGCAATATCTCCAAGGCATGCCTTGTTGTAAGCCATCGGCTTATGCAGTGGTGGTAGCTGGCAGGAACAAAAAAGGTAGATCCTCAGGAAGGGCAGCTGGGGCTCTCAGATACAAACTGACACTGCTGTCCACAGTCACAATTTCTTCCTCCTCAGGGAAACTGAGTTCTGTTTTTAGGGCCTTTGGACTGATTGCATCAAGTCCACCCAGGTCATCTAGAATAATCTCCCTTCCTTAAACTCAACTGATTGTTAACTTTAATCACTTCTGCAAACTACTTTGACAACAACACTTACATTAGTGTTTGACTGAAAACCTGGGGACTATAGTCTACCCAAGATGACAAATAAAACTGACCATCTCTTTTTGCAACTTTTCTGTAAATTGGAAATCTTTCAAAATACAGTCTTGGGGCCAGGCATGGTGGTTCGCACCTGTAATCCCAGCAATTTGGGAGGCTGAGACAGGTGAACTGCTTGAGCCCAGGAGTTTGAAACCAGCTTGGGCAACATGGCAAAACCTCATCTCTACAAAAAAAAAATACAGAATCAGCTGGATATGGTGGCGTGCACCTGTAATCCCAGCTACTTAGGAGGCTGAGGTGGGAGGATCACTTGAGCTCTGGAGGTAGAGATTGCAGTGGGCCGAGATGGTGCCATTGCACTCTAGCCTGGGTGACAGAGTGAGATCTTATCTCAAAAAGTAAAAGTAAAAAATGCAGTCTCAAACACTCTGCTACTACTTTCCTTTCTCAAGTGCCGGTAAGTGAAGGACATTGCAGCAGAGGAGTCTGAGGGATCCTAACTACCCATTCCTTGCAGTTTCAGAATTCTGTCCCTGTGGTTACTACAGCTGCAATTTAAGGAACAGAATTATTTTTCTTTACCAGCCTTTATGACCAACTGCCATGCCTCAGGCACCTGACACAGTGCTTCTCAAACTTGCCTATGAATCACTTTGGGTCTTGTTCTTCAGGAAGGAAAACAATATAAATCAAAAATTTGTTCCACATGAAGAAAACGAGAGCATTAGAGAAGGAATAAATGAAGGTAAAATAAGATTTTTCATTTTTATTGTTTATTTTTCTTTCACTCCTGCAAGCTAACTTGAACCAGGTTAATGCATTGGACATATATGTTAGAATGATACATTCATTCTCTTCCCCCAGATAAAACTTCTCTATGCTTTAATTTTATACTGTTTTCTTTGGCCCATATTCTAGCCTTCCCAAATAGCTATTTTCCACTTATTTCCTCTTTATCTTAAAAATCACCACGAGTGCTTCATGTACAGGCACGTGGCCACAACTACTCTAGTTACAAGCATGCAGGTGTTACACTGTGTGTCCAAGGATGTTTGGGCCCACTTAGGGACCCCACAGGCAAGGAGTCATGGTCTAGGAGGGGACTCAGGCTAACACTCATTCTTCTTTTCATAAAATCCTTCTCCTTGGATAAATTAGACATAAATTAACCATTACCTGCCTGACATTGGATGTTTCTGGTTCTACTTCCACTGGCTCTACGTTTCCTTGTTTTGAGGCTGACCTTTATAGAAAGAGTGAAGGAGGTGAGGAAGAGAACCACAGATCTGCAGGTGTAGGAATCAGTTTGTGCAAAGGCCCTGAGGCAGGAGTATGCTTCATACCTTCCAGGAGCAGCAAGAAGAGCAGTATGACAGGAGGTCAGAATATGGCAGGCAGATCATGAGGGCTCTGTGGACCCATTGGGAGGTCTTTGGTTTTACTCTGAGTGAGAATTGAAACCATTAGAACTTCACCCTTCGGCACAGCAGCCACAGGCCTCATGTGGCTATTTTAAACTTAAGCTAATGAATATTCAGTAAAATCACAAATGTGCCAGCCACATCTCAGTGCTCAAGAGCCACATGTGGTCTGAGAATTTTGAACAGAAGAGTGGCATGATTTGATTAAGGTTGTAAAAGGAGCCCTAGGCTTCAGAGATGAGCATGGGCTGCTGGGGCTACCCGTCAGATGCTGCCTACAGCTGGCGGTGGTCTGGCCCAGTGGTGGCCATGAAAGTAAAGGCAGTGAACAGATCATCTAGATGTGTTTTGAAGGTGGAACCGGCAACATTTCCTGATAAATCAGATGTGAGAAGAGAAGTTGGTGAAGGGGGACTCCAGGTTTTTGGCTTGAGCAACCAGAAAGGTGGAGCAGCCCTTACTGAGCAGGAGAGGCTGGGAGCGAGGGAGATGGAGGGGTGGGCCCAACGTACAGCTGAAGGCCTGGGTGGCCTGAGGGGTCTGGAGCCATCCAGGAGAAGGGCACTGAGATGGACTTGGAGGTTCATCAGGAGTTCATGCTGGAGACATCCATGCTAGAGACATGGGTGCAGCATTGGTGTTAAAGCCCCAGATGTGCCTCAGGAGACCCCCAGGGTTGGAGCCACGGCACTAGCGTCTGCACCTTTTAGTGTCGTGTGATGACCTGCACCACGCTGTGTTGAAATAGCTGTTTAGATGGCTTTCTCCTTACAGACCCAGGACTTCTTGAAAGCACAAATGGAACTTTTACCTCGTTAAAGTCAGAATCTCACATCATAGGTGTTCAATGAATATTTACTAAACTAAGTGAAAGAATGAAAAAGGTAACACCTTTTATAAACGATCAGTAAGAACAAGATGGGTCTACCATGATGTGATTCAGGTGCAAACGATGCCTAGAAAGAGCACTGCCCTTTAGGTAGGACCACCCATGGTCTCAGGCCCAGCATGACAACTGAGGACAGTTACACTCACCAACATTCACACCTAAGATAAAGCGCAGAATGCTGCAGTTGGACCACTAGAACTGCCTCGTGGCTAGTTGGACCTGACTGAGGCAGGTGTATCTCTCTGAAGAGCTATTGGCAGTCTTTTTTGAGATTCATTAAAAAAAAAAATAGATAAATAACTTTGTAGGCCCAGACTCAAAAGTTTCACTTCTAGGAAGAAAACAACCTATGCACCAAAATTTTTTTTTTCTGTAGGAGTGTGTATCACAGTATTAGTCATTCTAGAAAAAAAAATTTGAAATAGCCTAAAAGTCTATCATTAGCAAAAAAATTAAAAACTAAACTATGGAATACTCAGAATAGGAAATGAAACAAAACTTTCAAAGATGATTTAACAACATGAAAAATGCTCATGACATAATGAAGTTTAAAAAAGCAACATGAAATTATAACCACCACATGATCTCAGTTTGGTGAAAATGCACACATGCACATGCAAGAAGTGTGCACACACAAACCCACATGCACACATGTGTACACACGCAGGCATATGCACAGAAGCACGTGCACACAAACTCACATGCACACATGTACACGTGTACACACGCAGGCACACGCACAAAAGCGTGCGCACACAAACTCACATGCACACATGTAATTTATCTTTCTTACACTTTTATTCATTTTCTTATTCATTTTATAATAAGCATGTACTAATTTGATTCTAAAAATACAAGAACTTTTATTTTCAAATATGGAGTAGAGTTGGAGAAATCTGTTCGTTGTCTTAGAAAATTGGGTTTTGCTCCATTGATGGTGACACTTTTTCCCCCTTCTAGATTCTGCTTGAAGCAAAAAGTGAAAGTAACCTTAGGAGAAAGAGAAAGATGAAAGAGGAGGAGCAGGGAGAGTAGGGGTAAGGCAGGGCAGCTGGTCCAGATTAGAAAGGAGAAAGGGGAAGTAGCGGCAAAAACTCCGAGTGCTCGAGAGCTGCCTCCTCACTACAGCAAATGCTGCCTGAAATCCAGGGCTGCGAGTGTCAGGAGCCTCATGTGTGGCAATCAAAGACTGATGTATGAATATACTGTTTAACATGGATACATCTCAAAAACATCATGCTGAGTGAAAAATGGCAAGCGTAAAAGTCTACATGATGTAAAAGTTTGTCGACATGCGCTTCTGCAATAAACAAAACTCATCAATAGTAAATGAAGCATTGGTGCAGTGGCTGTCTCAGAAGTGAGGCCCCCAATTGACTGGAAAAGGGGACACGGGGACTTTCTGGGGGTGATCATGCTCTGTATCTGACAGAGGGTGACTTCGTCAAAATTTAGTTAATGTATGCTTCAGATTCGTGCATTTCACTATAGGTACATTTTATAACAAATGAAAAAGGTATAAATAAATGATGAGCTCTAGTTAATGATACGCATACTAACACGTGTTTAGGAGTGGAGTATACTAATGTCTGCAACCTACTACAAAATGCATTTTTAAAAAGACAGATTGAGGATGCTTAGACGGACAGAGCAGTAGATAGGTGAGATTAAAAAAGAAGTCTAATATTAATGACAGAATCATGGCAGTGGGTAGATAGGTGTTTGCTGTAAAATTACTCTAACTTTGATGAATGTTTAAATATTTTCATAATAAAATATTCGGGGAAACACATGCCACAGCCCCACAGCCCCACCTTACCCTACACCCATCCCTTTCCCATCACCCCCGCTCAATCTGCACTCTTCCCATTTTTTGTTTGCTTTTAGTCCTCCAAGCCCCTTACTCTTACTTGGCAACAGGATTTTCTGGTAGGGCAGAGTTTTGGCCTGGCTGGCTTCTACTGTTAAAAAAAATATTCTGTAGACACTTATTAAAATGGTAATGGAGACTTGATTCAAGACCGTCGCGCTGGGGGTCAACACCGTCGCAATAAGAGAGAGACAGAGCTCAACCCTGAACACAACAAGAATAAGTGGGATTTACAGCCAAGGAACATGGCGTGGAGGGGTGGTGTTAGCAGGTGGAAAGTTACTAAGCAGACATCAAGGGAAGAGAGTGCTGGCTTAACTAACCTAGCAGGATTCTGACAAGATGCAGCAGGAGGCCTGGGGCTCCAGCTCCAGCACCCAGTGAGTCAGCTTAGCAGGATCCTGGGCAGGAACAGGAACCACTCTCCCGGGTCACTGAACTCTGCTAAGGGAACTGATATTCAAGGCTGCAGAAACACTAAGAGGGGAATGTTACAAGAACGTGGGTCTAGAAAGTAAACTGACCACTCAGAGATGCCAAAGGGATTGCTCAACCCCCTCAGAGCCATCTGTTTTCTTCGTGGCCAGGCCTCTGCAGGGAGTCAGGTGGAGCCCTGGCAGCACCAGCCAGCAGCCTGTGTCCCTGGAGGCCTCTCTCTCTCTCCCTTCCACTCAGATGTGGTTCTTCAGTCACTGGCTCTGCTCTGGTGAATGCACTCCTTGAGAAAATAAATGTTAACCCTGTAATCCAAAATGATGAGCGCCGTTTACACATTTGCTCCTGAGCAGAAATGTCCCAAGGATTCTCATCCCCCCATGAAGTGCAAAATGGGCCGCAGACACCGGGCTCTGCCCTTTCTCGCCTCAGTCTGCAAGGCTGCCAGCAGGCTTCCCAGTGCGGATCAGTTTCCTAATGATGTGGCTTCATCTCTATTGGAGCCAAATGCATTACCAATGTTGGCCTACGGTCTAGAAGCATCTGCATTTCCTCCATCGTTGGGGAGAGAGAGGGGAGAAGGAGGGAGCCTGTGTGTAAGGGACAGGCTTGACCCCAGAGGACTCCGGGCACTCCATAAGGAAGGCTCCTGGGCTTTGCCTTTGAGAGGCTACCAAAACCCGTGGCTGCTCAGTCCAAGCTCCCTCTATAGACACCGAGTGATAATTGCTCAAAACCCAAAGTGCAGAATCTCAACTCTTGGCCAACTTGATTTAACCACTTGCACCTTTAGGTGCTGTTTATGTGTTTGGTCATTTATTTATTATAGCATTGTTTAGTGTTGTTATTATTGCTTATTTATTATAGAGAATTTCTGCCATTTACCTAATTTCTCACTCTACTAATTCAGATGATGAGATCAATAGTCAAAAAGGCAGCCTGGGAGACCACGGCTTTCTCTTTCATCACCTGGCAGAAGGGAAATATGCCCCCTCCTGGGCAGCTGGACTCCTCCAAGTACATGGGTGCTGGAGGCCCCAGGCTCAGTCCTAGGTCCATTGTTTCTCTCTGTGTCTCTGTAGCATGTCTTTGAAGCTGTAGGCTGCTCTGTTACTTTTAATCGTGTTTAAACATCATCACTGATGCCCAGGCACAACAGTTTACAAGGCAGTCTACCTCTCCAGACACATGACCACAGAGAAGGCAAAACATTTGCTCAAGGTCACCAAATATCAGGAGCAGCTGCCCAGCTACTGTAACCTTTCACTTCCTATTACAGCATACTGAACACGGCTCCTGCAGCTCCTGAGAGCACCCTACACTGGTGTCTGTCCTACAAGGGTTAGAGAGGTCGCTGCATCAGGCCAGCTGACCCTCCCTGCAGCATGTGCCTGCAGGGCACGTCCTGACAGAGGATGACCACCGGCGGTGGAATCACATACAGGGAAATAGGCCAGCACTTCAGCTCCCACCTCACACCCCACCTACCACCATGCTCCTGCTATTTGGGTGACCTGCACGTCCTTCCTAATGACAAAAGACAGGGGATTTGTGTGTATTTCAGCTTACCCTCTGCACAACACATCCTCTTGAGACTAGAGCCCCAGTGGCCAGGGAAGGTGGGAGCCACAGAGAAGAACCAACTCCCACACTTGGGAGATGACCATTCTGCTCACAAGCACCTGGCCAGGGGCTGCCCTCTCTTTCCCTTCTCTGAAAATCTCTCCCCATTTCCTGTCTAACTAGGAGGCATATGCGCAACCCTGTTTGAAGACCTTCCTTCCCTCACCCAGCAGTAAACACCATCTGGGCCACCTGCTGTATCTGCTGGGGTGCATGGCTTTTCTAGGGACGCTGGATTGACAGTGGGGTGAGATGGTCACTGGGCCTCGGGTAACAAGGTCCCCTGTCCCACCACTGAACATGAGCATCCATGAGTAATATTGTTCCCGCTGCCGGGTTCCTGCTGATCCAGCCCCAGCCATGGCGGAGCCCCAGGATCACAGCAGGTCTGGGCTGACCCTGGCTGACCCTCACCTCCACCACTCCCAGGAGAGTCCTCTGGGTGCCCTGCAAAGGCCCAGAGTTTTCTGGTGTTTCTGGCAAAGCTGCCACCTCGCCATAAGGGCATTTGCCACAGGGTCACCTTCAGGCATGGAGGGTGGGGTTGAGAGAACAAAGGGAGCAGCTGTCTGTTCAGAGCCTCCTTTCCACCCTCGCCACTCCTGGAGTCACATTCCAGCCCAGGTCCGCAGCATCCCAAGCTGGGGACTTTGTCACCCCACAGGGCACCCAGCTGATCAGGTCCTCTCAGTCTGGGGAGAAGAACTCACAATCCTGGCAATGAAGGAACTCAGGGCCCACTGGAAAGCCACACTGAGCAAAGGACAAAGACACACCCAGGCTTGCTCTGCAGGACTCCATTTCTGGGAAGCTCAAGGACAGGCGACAAACGAGTCTATAGGGCAGGATGGGGGCTGCCAGGGCAGGATGGGCATGAGGGTGAGCTGCAGAGGCAGGAGGACACACCGTCTGGGGCAAGGCAGATGTCACAGGTCTGGACAAAGTGGTAACACGGGTATATGCGTTAATGAAATCCCCCAGATTAGACATTTTGTTGTCTATAAATTCTACCTCACTCACAGTGATGTTCTAAACTCAGGTGAGTTTTCCAAGCAGTGCAGAGGACCAGCGCCAGCAGCATGACGCCCAGAGGGGAGGAGCAAGAGACACCCGTGGGCTCCCACATTCATCCTGTGGCTGCTGCTCCCTCTCCTGACACCCCCACTGCCTGCCAATGGGTCTCACTGCACCTTCCACCCGGCCCCACCCACAGTTACCATGAGACTCCAGATCGTTCCCTTCCCTGCTCACACTCCCTCCAGGAGCTTCCTCTTCCTGGAGCAGGCATGCCCAGCCCCGCCTCAGGGCCTTTGCACTGGCCCTTCCCGCTGCCTGGGGCTGTTTCCTGTCTAGGCAGGGCTTCTCACCTTTCCAGTCTCATAGAGTCCTCCCTGACCAGGTCCAGTGGCATCATCTCTCTCTATCCCATACTCTCACTTCCAACAGAGAGACTAATTTCCTGATATTAATTATTGATCACTATTCGCCATCCTCCCACACACCCTAATGCTGGGCTGTGCAGTGCCACAGCCACCAGCCACATGTGGCCACAGGGTGCTTGAAATGGGGCCAGTACAATTGACACCCACATACACAGGGAATTTCAAAGACTCAGTACACACACCCAAAATAAAATAACCTATGTTATTAATGATTCTTCTTATGTGTTGAAATAATATTTTGGATATATTAGGTTAAGTAAGAAATATTATAAACATTACCTTCACCTGTTTCTTTTTTACTTTTTGAAATGTGTCTCCCAGAAAGTTTTAAATTGCTCCTGGGTTCGTGTCACATTTCTGTCTGGCAGCAGCCCTGCAATGTAGTGTCCATGGCTCGGTCACCCAGGCTCCGTCTCTAGCTCCTAGACTACCTGGTGCAGGGGGAAGCTGGTGAAAAGTCTGTTTACTGAATAATGAGTTGTGAAAGGAGAACCCAGAGTTTTTTACTCAAATAAAGGTTAATTCTTCTGTTTGAAAAGTTCCCTAGCACAGGGCATGGCCTGAGTCTCCTGTGGCCTCTGGAATCACACCTCTGCCTTAGTGATTTCTAGACCTTGACCAAATGCTCACGGATACTCAGGACCTCTGAAGACTCCGGAAGGCCGAGACCTCTATCTTTCCCTTTTCTGAGGAAATGAAGCTAGGGGGTCGTATGCTTTTAGGGCCCAGGGGGCCTTGACACCTCTCTGGAGGGCAGGGTGACCTAAGCTTGGGAGGAGGGACAGGTCTTTGGGAAGAGATGGAGCTGAGGGGGTGGAGTGGGTAGAAGGGGGGCATAGGTGTGGAAGGGGTGGGGGAAGAGGGGCCAGGAGTGGGGTGAGAAGAGGGGAAAGAAGAGGATAGGAGGGACAGGGACAGGGAGAGGCCAGGAATGGGTAGGAAGGGAAGACAGAGGAGGGGCGGGACGAGGGAGGGGCGATGAAGAGGGGCCGAGCTGGGGTGGGGGCGAAGTGGGAGCAAGGACAGGAGTGGAGGAGGGAGATGAGGGGCATGGGAGGCGGTGTCTGGGGGTTGAAAGGGGAAAGGGACAGAGGAGAAGGAGCCTGAAGAGTGGCGGCATGGAGGGGCCCGAAGTGGGGAGGTGGGAATGGTCGGATGGATGGGGAGGAATGGGGAGGATAGGAGAGGCAGGGGAGGCTGGAAGACAGTAGGAGAGGAGGGGGAGGGGAGGGGAGGGGATGGATGGGAATGGATAGGGAAGGCCAGGGAGACTGGGGGGCCAGGGGAGGAGGGGAGGGAGAGGGGAGGCGGGAAGGGAGAGGAGAGGCCGGGAGGGGCTGGGAGGGGAGGGAAGGGGATGGATGGGGAAGGACAGGGAAGCCTGGAGGGGCAGGGGAGGCTGGGATGGGAGGAGACTGATAGGGAGGGACCTGGAGGCGGGGAGAGGCAGGGGAGGCGGGGAGAGGCAGGGGAGGCGGGGAGGGAGAAGGGAGGTGGGAGGGACGAGGCGTTCCGGAAAAGGGAGTGCAGGCCGCGGTGGGGTGGGGCGGCGAAGGCCGGAAGGGATAAAACCGCAGTCGCCGGCCTCGCGGGGCTCACGGCCTCGCCTCGGTATCGCAGCGGGTCCTCTCTATCTAGCTCCAGCCTCTCGCCTGCGCCCCACTCCCCGCGTCCCGCGTCCTAGCCGACCATGGCCGGGCCCCTGCGCGCCCCGCTGCTCCTGCTGGCCATCCTGGCCGTGGCCCTGGCCGTGAGCCCCGCGGCCGGCTCCAGTCCCGGCAAGCCGCCGCGCCTAGTGGGAGGCCCCATGGACGCCAGCGTGGAGGAGGAGGGTGTGCGGCGTGCACTGGACTTTGCCGTCGGCGAGTACAACAAAGCCAGCAACGACATGTACCACAGCCGCGCGCTGCAGGTGGTGCGCGCCCGCAAGCAGGTGCGTGCCGCCCCCCGCAGGGTCCGAAGCCCCGGCCCCGCCGTCCCAGCCTCCCCCCGCGCTGCTCCCGGACCCCGTGCTGCTCCTCTCCGGCGCCTGGGCTTCTCACCCGGACCCTGTTCCCGGTCTTCGCTGTCACCCCCGAGCCCTTGGCGGGCGTGTCCGGGAATGCCCTGAGTCTGGCCTGGCCTGGAACCGCACGGACACGTCAGGTCCGCGCCCGGCGCCTAAGATCAGCTTCCAGGAGCCAGCTCGAGCTGCGCCGCAGCGCGGGGGCAGGCACAGGACGTCCCACACAGCTCTGTCCCGACCTCCTGGGACGCTGGGCTCCGGGTGCGCTGCTGAATACGCAGGAGAAGGAAAAACAGAGCCCCTCATCTGGCTGCCTCCTTGTTCTTCCACCAAATAATTTTTAAGCACTTTTGTTTCTTTTAACTTTTTATTCTCCCGTAATTTCAGACTTACAGAGCAGCTGCAAAATAGCACAGGGCATCCCTGTAGATCTTTCACCCAGATCCCTCAGATGTTAGCACAGATGTTAACATTTTGCCCTGTTTGTTCCCCCCAGCTCACTTTCCGAATGTGAATATGGGTGTGTGTATATGTACTGTATATGCATTTTTTGCCTGAATCTTTTGAAAGTAAACACTTCAGTGTGTTTTTCCTAAAAACAAGGGCAATATCGCACATAATCACTATTCCATTTTGAAAATCAGCACTGACACATTCATGATCTAATGCTCAGACTCATTCAGCTTTCCCTGTCTGTTGACGGCCTTCGTGCCCTAGGACGCTCCTGGGCCATGAGTGCATGAGTTCAGCCCTGTCCTGTCCCCTCGGCCTCTTTTAACCTGCAGCAGCAGCTGGGTCTGTGCCACGACCGTGCCATTTCCCAGGGTCTAGCAGGTGTGGATGGAGACTATGCTGACTCTGGGTGGGCTTGATGCTGCTCAAGATGAGATCTAGGCCATGCGGCTCATCCTCCTCCCAGAATACTCTCCGCAGGGGCCACACGTGAGCCTGGCACCTTGTCCTGCAGAGCCCTGCTTCCCTCCCCAAGTCACACCCCTGGGCACAGTCCCCTAGGACTAGCGGCCTTCACCCTCAGGCCGGCTGACCACCCCCTACATCCCAGGGCAGCTGAGTCCCTGCTGGGGTGGAGCATGCCTGACCCTGCCTCTATCAGCTGATGCAGAGTTAGACCTCAGCCAGATGAAGACACCCAGCAGACCGGAGTAGGGGGTCGGATCGGGAGGGAGCTTCAGTAGGGCTACCAGGCCCAGCTTGACCTGCATCCCATGGCAGAGCAGCGAACAGTGACACAGACTTTAGAGCTCCTCCACCTTCTCTTGGAAATTCAGAGGAGTCCAGACCAGCCGCGTTTCTCCCGCAGCCGTCAGCTGGGGCCCTCTCCCTGCACAGGAGGGCCATTCCCTGGTGTAGGGTCCCCGCTGGCCTGCACCTCTCTCTCACTGGGAGTGAAGCATGGGGCATTGTAGATCGTTGGGCCCTGGAGCCTATTTTACAGAGGAGCAGACTGACACCAGAGGGATCACAGGCCTTGCTTGTGCTTCTACAGGACTTGTGTGTGGTTCCACAGGGCAAGGTCTAGCACCCTGGTCCCAGGGTCCCTCATCCCATGCTTCTCCACAGTTCTGACAAGTCATGTTTTGGGGCGGCACTGTGCAGGGAAAGCATTCAGTTCTCTTCTGAAGTTGCAACCCTAAGACATGCAGGTGTGTGACTCACTTTAGAAATATTGCCTTGAAAATCACACCTGGAATGGAAGCACGTGGGAAGCAATGTTTATTGGCCTAAAACATCAATGTATGTGAGCATCTCATCTCCTAGTGAGAAATGAGGAAAAATACCTCTGGGTTAAATGGCAGGAATGAGATGCTCTGTGGACTGAATGCCAGGAACTGGAAGTTTGCCGAAATTTCATCATCACATGAGAACCTTCCTAGAATAGATCCAGTGTCCCTGCCCCCTGGGTCATAGGTAGCGGAATTCAGTTAATCCTTGGCATTGGCATAGAGAAACAAGTTACCGGGGAGGCCTGGGGCATGGCATCCCTGCCAGCTGGCAGGAGGAGGTGGCTTGTGTGCCTTGCAGGTGACAATGTGGGCAGCTCATGAAGGTAGGCTTGAAGCCCCAGGCAAGCCCAGTGACCCGGTCACAGTGAAGTGCCTGTGTGTGTAAGAAACTGACAGAACGTGCTGTCCCTGCCTCCTGCTCTTTCACATGTGTAGATCGTAGCTGGGGTGAACTACTTCTTGGACGTGGAGCTGGGCCGAACCACGTGTACCAAGACCCAGCCCAACTTGGACAACTGCCCCTTCCATGACCAGCCACATCTGAAAAGGGTATGTGCCTTATATGGGTCCAGGGCCAGTCATACACTGCAGAGGGGTGTGTGTGTGTGTGTGTGTGTGTGATGCACATGTTCTGCAGGGTACGTGTGCATGTGCCTGAGTGTGTGTACACGTGGAGATGCATATGTGTTTCCAAGTATAGGTTTGTGTGGGGAAGTGCACGTGAGTGTGTGCAAGTGGGTGTGTGGATGTGTTGGGGAAGTGTGGGGGTTTATGCATGGATAGGTGTGGGTGTGTGAGTATATGTGTGTGCACATATGTGTGGGGGTGTCTGTGCACATACATTCACATACATGGGGGTTTCTGTGAACATACATGCTGTATTATGAGGAATTACCTGCCCTGTGTGTGTGTGTGCATGTGGGTAGATAGATGTATGAGGGAGTATGTGGATTCATGCATAGATCCGTATGGGTGAAGGTTAGGGTGAGTTCATGTAGATGCCTATGTGTGTGCATGTAGACGGGGTGGTGTGGAGAGGAGTGATGAATTTGATTTGCTAAGAGGGCTTTAGCTTGGGATTGGGGTACTGGGAGCTCCACCCTATGTGCTTTGGAGTGTTGCCTACTGGACTGCAGGAAGCAGCTGCAGGGCTGGGTGCTGGGCAGGGAGAAAGGGCTCTGTCTAATCCCAGCCTTAGGCACCTGCCCACAGCCACGGCCATGCTGAGCAGATTAGAGGGTAGTAGAGGCCTGTTAGCAGCCAAACCCTCAGACCTGCCCCAGCTCACCCAACACCAGCTTCTCCAAGGACCCAGGATTTCTTGTGACGTCTCTGCTCAGGGGAGAGCCACACTCTCCTTGTCATCTCCTCACCACCCCATGTGCTATGACTTGGAATTTCCAGTTCCCTGGGTTCTTCCCTCTCGCCCTTCATAGTGCTGGCCTGAGGGCTGGAGGTGGAAGGAGCTGGGGGCAGTGAGCTGCCTCCCCCTGCCCTGTACCCTTAGGGCTCCCGAGGCCTTGCACAGGCTGCTCCTCACAGGGCTGTGCTGGGGCAGGAATCCTGCAGGCTGGGGTGGGGGCCCAGTGCCACCAGGTAGAGTTGGAGCCCTGGGAGAGGGATGGAGCAGTCACTGCCCAGTCCAGCGGTGCTCTGGGATCAGCGGGGGTGGGTGGAGGGGTAGATAAGGGCCCAGTGTTTCACCTCCATCCTTCTTCACTCCCACTCTGATGTCCCGTGCCTGGGCATCTTCTGCTTTGAACTGTAACCCACACTGATTGTCCCCTCTGTTTCCTTTCACAGAAAGCATTCTGCTCTTTCCAGATCTACGCTGTGCCTTGGCAGGGCACAATGACCTTGTCGAAATCCACCTGTCAGGACGCCTAGGGGTCTGTACCGGGCTGGCCTGTGCCTATCACCTCTTATGCACACCTCCCACCCCCTGTATTCCCACCCCTGGACTGGTGGCCCCTGCCTTGGGGAAGGTCTCCCCATGTGCCTGCACCAGGAGACAGACAGAGAAGGCAGCAGGCGGCCTTTGTTGCTCAGCAAGGGGCTCTGCCCTCCCTCCTTCCTTCTTGCTTCTCATAGCCCCGGTGTGCGGTGCATACACCCCCACCTCCTGCAATAAAATAGTAGCATCGGCTCCCTCTGAGTTCTTGGCTGTCTGGGGATGTGCACACAGGCAGGGTTTCCGCAGTTCCTTTATGAAGCCTCCTTGTCCTGCTGGTGTGAAGATGAGAGGAGTACCTGGGAGCTGACGCGGCCACAGCAAGGCCATCAGGCAAGCTGCTGCTATAGGAGTCCTGAGTCTCAGAGCAGGGAGAGCAGCCAGGGGCTGGGAAACAAGGCATTGAGCCACAGCAGCCCCTGGTGAGGGGGTCAGGGAGAGGAGGGGCCCAAGCTGCTGCCCCCAGAAGCTGGGCTGGTGATTTGGTCTGAGCTGCTGGTCAGACCAGGAGGAGGGAGCTGGCTGTGTCCATAGACAGGGGCCAGGCCTCGGTGGAGCTCGCCAGGTCATAGATTCCATCTGTGCTTGCAGAGTTGAGCAGACCCCAGGGACTGAGCTGCTCTCATCAAATCCCCTAGACACTAAATAGTGATCAATGCGTGCTTCTTTCCAAGAGACTTAGGCCCCTACGTGGAAACAAAGTCCAAAAAGCCTGTCTGTGTAACTGAGCAGGAGAAACGCCAGCCAGACCAGAGACCAGCAAGATCACAGAGAAAGTGGCACCTGCTGTCATCCATCCTGGGAGGCTGTGTCCTCCCAGAGTTTTACAGGCTCATAGCCACCAGCCCTTTCTCTGGACTTGGATTTAAAACAAGTTGTTAGTCCAGCTTCATGGTAGGGATGAAGTTAAAGCACAAATGAGACCGACAATGCAGTGGACTCTTCTTTTTCCAAGGAGGATTAAGAGAGAACATTCCCTTCATGTCAGCATTATCCTATAGAATAGTGGATCTTTGTGCCACAAGCAGGAGGCTACAGTCCTAAGACACAGCCCACCCTGCACAGTCCTTCCCTTTGCCATTTTAGGACAGGGGTGCAGCCCTTACAGCCAGTGCTGCTGGGGCAGGCCTCCCAGGTACCTTCCAACCTCGGAGCTGCACTGACCCCCTCTTTTGGCTGCTGCCATGAACACTGAAGGTGAAATGATGAAGGAAAATCCACCCCAGTAGCGCCAAGGCCAGCACCCCACATGCTGTCCCTGCAAAGTCAGAGCAGGGGACACGGCAGGGAGAGTGGGGAGCGTCTGCTTCCTTTTCCTCTCCACCCTGACTTGCTTTAACAGGGTCTTTGGGGTGAGGGAAGTGTAGCACCCCCTAGGATGCCATGAGCTGAGGAGATTTGAGTCTGGGCCTCACCCTGCTGGGGGTGGGTGGTCTTAGTCACTCAGTTTTCTGTGGGGGGTTGGGGGATAGAAGTGGTGGTTGTGGTCAGTGGTAAAGGGTCCCTGCAGGGAGGTGCTCCTGGTTTTCTACCTCGGTGAAGGATCTTTGACACAGGCAACCTCCATCCAGGCACCCAGTGGAAACGGACAGCTGACCATATAGCCCAGTGCCTTTTCTGACACACTTCTTCCTTGGGGAAGTTGAGGTTGGGGGCGGGCTGTGCACAGGGCTCCCCAGCCTCCCTGTGTGTCTGCTTCCTTCCCTGCCCTCCGCCCGGTGGCCCCATGGCCCACAGCCCACAGGGAAGCAGGTTGGTGCCACCCCTGCCTCCCCTCCGCAGCCGGCGGGCCTGTAAATGCCTCCCTTGGGCCCCCATGAGGCCAGTGAGCCAGAAGCCCCTCTGACCCAGAGGTCACTGTGACCAGCACATCCTGGAGAGGAGGCCTCGCCCTTGCACCTTTCATCTGCAAGAGTTACTTTTACATTTATTTTAAATGTTGATTTAAGTATATACTTCATCTACAGTTATCCATATAAATAGATTCATTACAGGGCCTGGCTCTGAATAAACACAGTAAGTTGGAGAGGCTTTTTCATTGATCTGGTTCTACACTGGTGGCTTTATAACATAGTGCTTTGACACCTCTTGCATTGTGTTGCTGGTGACCATTGGGGTGGGATCAGGAAGGGCCCAGTAGCTTCTGAGCTCCCTAGCATTCTTGTCCTGAAGGAAGCCAGCCTTTGCAGAAGGATCCCTCTCCCCAGGACGGTCAGGCTGGCGGGGTGTTCCTCGATGGCAAGCCTGCAGACACCTACCCTCAAAGGCCCAGGGAGCTGAGAGGCCGAAGAGAGGCTGACAAGTCTAGTTTCTTAGAAAGAAAGTTGTAATAGGGACCTGGGAACAGAAGCCGTGTCCTGCGTGGCTGCAAGACAGTGGATCGCCACCCCATTACCCCCAGACCCTGGGCTTCTGTGCCATAGGGGAAAAGGTATAGGAGCTTCAGAAGGAATTTACCTAAGGGCTGGATTTACAGTAAACAGCAGATGAAATAGAAATCTTAGAAGCATTGATGGGACTGAGGCTCAGCATTGGCATCCAAGATGGAGTCTCCACAGGAGACCGCCCAGAGCCGCTCCAGCTGACACCCACAGCAGATTTCCATAACCATAGGTCAGTTTCAGGATCTCAGTCCTAAATCTGGCTTGTTCTTTTCCATTTTTTTAATTACTCCATTTTAAATATAATATTTTTGTATCTTTTAGGTAATATTTTTATATCTTTATTCTTTATTCCCCCAAAATTTTGTTTTCTAAATGTATTTCTTCCTCCAAATGAAACTGTTTTTTCAGGTTCAATAAGTAGAAATATTATGTTTTTTTAGGAAAAAAAATTGACAACGTTTAACATTTGAGCCTTTCATTTTAGAATACCATGCATCTTGCAATACCTTCCTGCTTTTCTGATGGTATTCAGTAGAATAAATTTTATGCATCTTTCATATTTTCTGTGAAATTTATTCCTGGATATTTTATATTTTGGTCAGGGATATTTCCAAGTATTGTACCTCTAGTCTTTACTGATAGACTAGTTAATAGTTCAATAGAAGACTATTGAGTTTGCCTTTTTTTTTTTTTTTAACTCTGCCTTGGTGGTTTATTATTTATGGACTTAGAGGCTTGGGATGTTGCCACCCATGTGGCTGTGAGAGACAGAGGAGAGCTGGCTTATGATTGGCTGACGGGAGTGACCTTGGACTAGGCCACAAGCCTCCCTAAAAGATGTAGAGAGAGCAAATCGCCAGCCCTGTCCCATAACTCCAGGGCGAAGCTGGAGAGACGAGGCCCAGGAAGACAGCAGCTAGTCACCCCTTCCTCTCCTTATGCTCTGCTGTGCTGTCTGAGTTCACTGCTCAAAGACACAACACTGAGAAGCCATGAACACAATGGTGACTAAAATAGGGAACAGACATTCCTTTAATTACCCATACCTGCTCTCACCCTTGGTGCTGGGATGCCAAGTGGGTCACTTCCAAATCCTGTCACCTGAGGCTTATGGGGTCGAGTCAGATGTGCTCAGGCCACTGTGACATCAGCTGGGGCTCTGGCTCCCTTGAGACCAGGTCAGGCTCATCTGAACTCTAGTCTCAAGCTTGGCTGTACATGGCGTCACTGGGGAGCCTGGCTGCACATGGCAATCCCATGATCCCAGTCGGAAAAGTTGATCGTGTTCTGGGATGGGACGTGGACATTGGATGTTTAAATACTCCTCCCATTGCTTCCCCAAGGAACCACTGGACTATAACTCAATTAGAGTCCTGGTCAAAGTCCAGTTGCTCCTAAAACATCTGCAAATTGCAGCAGGTAAAGATAGTCTCATGGTCACATCTGCCTGTGGACACACTTTCCGTGCCAGGTATCTCTGCAAACGTGTAGCCCTTGATTTCCAGTAAATGAAACTCAACAAAGCAAAAGCAAACGGAAATTCCTTCCACCAAAGCTTTGTTTGGGGCAATGAAATTTGTCGGTGATTTCAGGAAATCACCTCCTGCCCTGTGGAACAGTAACCCCCACTTCCTCAAACCCAGCACTGGGTATTTCTGTCCTTGAAATGCCCTTGGCTTCCCTCCCAAAGGTAGTTGCCACTTGACCTTCACATTCCACCCCCTCCCCCCCCCACCAGTCACTGGCCTGATTGTTCCCCTGCCTGCTCTTCGCCGTGGCATTCCCCATCTGTCCACGCATCCTCTCCACTGAGTCCCTCAGCAAGTCCAAAGGCTCCTTTGTGGGGTAGAACCACTCAGCTCTTTGTAGACTTCCCCACACCCATCAAGGTGCTTATAAACCAAAGGCCTTCCTAGTGAACAGGACCACCTTCTTTGTGAGGGACTTGAGATCACTAATAGCAACAGTTATTTATTTATCTATTTATTTTACCCAAATCCAGGACCCTGATGAAAAGACTGAGGAAAATGCTGCCTTTCCTGAATGGCTACCAGGCAGGGAATGATGCTGGGAAGTGTTTACCCCACAGGCTCTGTGCCTTCTCTGACTGGGCAGCTCATGCTGTATGCATGGAGGCATCATTACCAAACACACCTCTGAGGCCAGCGGCCAGCGTCTGACTCACAAGCCATGACTGCCCCACCTTCTTACAACAACAATAGCAGTTTCCCCGTGAGGATTCACCCCTCCTCCCCTCTCACTCCGCCTTTTTCCAGGGAAGCTGACTCTACCCTTTGGACCACAGCTTGGAGCACTTGACCCTGGCTAAGCTGGTCAGGGCAGCGGGTCTCCCTCCCCTGAAGCCTCATGATTGGCATGAGGACAACACGTGACCTATGTGTGGCTGCCCAGGACCCACATAGGCTTAACGGTGGGATTTTGTTTGACTGTGTGATAAGTGGGTTCTTCCTTCCCTGCTGAGTGTGAAGATAAAAAAGACTTGAGGTCTGGGGCCCACTTGGAGCCTGTTTGAGAATGAAGCCAAGTTATGGGAAGCAACAAAACTGAAGAGACAGCAAGGAAACCAGGCCTGGTGGTGCACTCCCAGCTATTCTGGAGGCTGACGCGGGAGGACTGCGTGAGCTCAGCAGTTTGAGGCTGCAATGAGCCATGATTTCACTACTGAACTCCAGCCTGGGCAAAAGAGCGAGACCCTGTGTCTCAGAAAAAGAGAGAGAGAAACAGAGAGCAAGGAGCAGGTGGGTTATAATGGAGTCCCTGCACCAAGCAGAGCCTGATGCCCGCCCTTGCTCTGAACTTCCTAGTTATGTGAACCAACCACCAGGCCAGTTGGGTTGGGTTTCCAGCCCTGTGCTCTTGTCTGTCCTCACTGACAGACAAAAATAACTCATCAGTCGGTTCTCAGACCCACAGTCCCATGACATTTCTTGACTGTTTCAGAAGTAATGCCTCAAGGACCAGCTTGCAGAAAGTGGAGGACCTGCCCCCTGGACCTTACAAGTAGCAGGCCACTCTTAAAAATGCAAGGACCACAGATGTCACCATGACTGAAAAATAGAGGCTGGCCCTGCCTCTGAAGATGCTGCAATGGACTTGTGTTCAAGGAGAAATTGGCTGTAACTTCCCTTATTGAGATATAATCGGGCTCATCGTTAAGCTGTGGTCAGCCAGAAGTGTAGCTGTGCCCCTGGGATTGAAATCAGCAATCAATCTGGACATCCTTTTTCTATCTTCATGAGGCACCTCCCCAGTACCAACCAAATTTCTTGGGGATCCCCCGGGACTTCTCATAAATGGAATTGATTTGAACTCAGGAAACCCTCAAATAGGCCAGAACAACTCACTAATTAAATTCATCCCCTCCCAAAAACAAAAACAAAAACAAAAAAAAACAACACACATGATAGGAAAAAAATTTTGCAAATTATATATCTGATATAGAACTTGTATTCAGAACATATAATGAACTCTTACAACTCAATAAGACTGGTAACCCAATTAAAAATTCTTTTTAAAAAAACCAATTTAAAAATAAAGGCAAATAACCTAATTTTTATATAACTCAAAGTTTTTAAAGAAACAAACCAATTTAAAAGTTCCAAAGGATTTGAATAAACGTTTTTCCAAAGAAGATATGTAAATAGCCAATAAACGCATAAAAACGTGCATAACACCATTAGCTATTAGGAAAAGGCAAATCAAAACCACAGTAAAAAGCAGCTTCAAAGCCACTACATGGTTGTGGTCAAAGAGACCACAAATAACAAATTGGAATCTTTATACATAGCTGGTGGGAATGTAAAATGGTGCAGCTGCTTTGGAAAACAGTTTCACAAGTTTTCAAAAGGTTAGACCTACCATATAACCTAGCAACTCTACTCATATTTATATGTCAGCTACAAATAAAAACATTAAGTTCACCAAAATATTTACACATGAAAGTTCATAGCATCATTATTAAAATCAGAAAAAAATATATTAAAAAAAACCTCAAATGTCCATCAACTGACGAATGGATAATCAAGATATAGTGTTAGTCTATTCATACAATGGAAAATGAACGGGCATAAAAGAGAATGACATGACCCGTGCTACAATGTGGAGCAATCTTGAAAATGTGCTAAGTGAAAGAAGCCAGCAAGCCATGCTGAAACAAGTCAGCATTCATACAATATGATTCAATTTATATGAAATACCCAGAACAGAAAAATGTATAGAGACAGGCTGTAGATTAGTGGTTGTCTAGGGCTGGGGGCAATAGAAGGCAGAGTGACTGCTAATAGGAAGTTTCCTTGGAGGGATCATGAAAATGTTCTAAAATCAGATTATACGTCCATTTGCACAATTTTGTGAATATACTCGGAACCACTGAATTGTATACTTTAAGTGGGTGAGGTATGTGAAAATTAAATGTCAGTAAAGCTGTTTAAAAAAGTTTCATCCCAAAGCTACATTTTACCTAAGGCAAATGTTTACTACCGCTTCTCTTTCAGTCCCAAATAATTTCCAGCCATATGTTCCAGTCAAGCCTCGACAAAATTAAACAACACCACAACTTACTCCAGTTACAAGCCAATGTGCAAATGCCCCAAACTTGACCATAAATTTACCACCCAACCCCCATCGTCTCATTCCCAGGAAAAACTAAACACAAGATCAACTCCCCTTGCAAGTTGAAGTCCTGACATTGAAGTCTAAAGAAATCACAGCCCACAATAAAATTCTTAAAGTGTACAAACAATTCTTCTCAAATTCTTATTTGGCTCAGTCTCAGGCTCTCAGCCACTGAGATCCCCCAGCCTTAGTGCATGCGTGACAGGTGACAGTGCAGTGCCTGTAGCCCATTTCTCACAGTGATTGGATGTATTTTTTAAAGGTAGAGAATCCCAAAGTGCAGTTCCTGGACCAGCAGCAGCAGCACCACCAGAGATCTTGTAAGAGATGCAAGTTCTTAGGCCACACCCCAGCCTGTTGAATTAGAAACCCTGGGGCGTGGCCCAAGAATGTGTGTTCACAAGCTGTGAGACAAAGTAGTAAACATGAGAAGCAGTGTGTGCTCATGCCTACTTGCAGTGAAATTTTGGAAAGTCCTTGATTCTTTCCTTGTGTTCAAGCCCCACTCCTTTCCTCTTCTTACGCAGTCACTGCATTTTGCCCAAGGGATACCCTAAGGAAGGATATAAATCAGTCACTTCCAGTCTGCTCAAGTCATGTGATGTTGAACAGGTCTTGTTTATTCTCTCACCCTGAGTGGGATAACTGTTTTCCATCAGAATGAGCACTGACCTGAGACACCGGTGACTGACTCCCCTTTGGTAGGTCCCACCTCTGCTCATCCTCTCTTATTTTCCTTGAGTTTATCAAGCACGTCCTCTTGAAGCTGAATCAAACCTGTATCTTCACCTACAGTGTCCGCATCACCTGAGAAACCACCAGTGGAGCTTCGATGATTTCACGTTGGTGAAGTTGGTCAGAAGACCTGGCCCAGTTGCTAAGACTGTGGTCCTCATTCCTGGGGGCACAGAATGAGGCTGGATAAGGAAGGTTAGGGGGCCATACTGGCTCATCCGCTTGTGTGAAGCCCTGTGGGCTCACTTCTCAGTGGGCTCCTTTCACTTGCATCCTTACGTGTCAGCATCTAACTCTTTTGCAAGGTAAGCAGTCCTACACGGTACCAGCCAACCGCCAGAGTCTTAAGTTCCTGATACTCAACGCAGCTGGGAAAGAGAACAAAAGCCCCTTGTTCATGAAGTAGCTTCCCTAATCTCCAGCCAATCAGCTCCAAAGCCCAAGAAGATATTAGCTACAAATTCCTACTTTGAGGGGAGTGGAGGGCTAAGAACTTCTCTGGGGTCCCACCTATGCAAGTAGGCTGAAGGTTTGGCTTATAGTGTCATTTCCCTCATCTTAATAGTAAAAAACACATTCCTAGGTGGAGATTTTATGTGCTGATGATGCACGTGATGCATGTTAGAGCACATAGATGCTGAGTGCATGTGTCAACCGCAAGTCCACCTTTGCATACTTGACCTCACCAGTATTTTATGAATGTGAATGAACAGCTCCCATAAAGGGAATTTCCCTTACGGCACTAGCTGCTGTTTCTTCTGAGCAGCCCCCTCTGCCTCTCAGAATGTAGCTGTTGCTTTGCAACAGACTTCTTTGCCTACTGTTACTTTGGACTTGCTCTCAAATTATTTTGTGTGGCGAAGTCAAGAACCTGAACCAACAACTATAAGAATCACCTGGATGCATTGAATGGATGCTGGTTCACAAGCCCCATCCAGACAACTAAAGTCACACGCCGCAGGTGATTCTAACAGTTGTAGGAAGCAAACCTTCAACTGTTCTTACTGGGAGTCCTCTTTGTGCAGACCTAAGAGGCTCCCCGCAGATGCCAGTAGCTCCCTGGATCCTACCTGCACCCCACCAACCCCCCGAGGTGTCATTCTGGCCTGTCCTCTGAGACCACTCTACTCTCCATCAGTGAGATGCCTTTGGCCCCATTCACTCTTTCTTTGTTTCTTTGTTTCTTTCTTTGTTTCTTTCTTTCTTTCTTTCTTTCTTTCTTTCTTTCTTTCTTTCTTTCTTTCTTTCTTTCTTTCTTTTTCTTTCCTTCTTTCTTTCTCTTTCTTTCTTTCGTTCTTTCATTCTTCCTTTTTTAGGCATAAGAATTTTGTTTTGTTTGTTTTTATTTGTACAAATTTATGGGGCACATGTGAAATTTTGTTGCATTTATATAAATGCATAGTGATTAGGTCAGACTGTTTAGGGAGTCCATCACCAGAATACAATACATTTTTGTTTAACTATAGTCACCCTACTCTGCTATCAAACATCAGATGTGTTTCTTCTATCTAACTGTACATTTGTACCCTGTAACCCACTTCTCTTCATCCTCCCCCTTCAGTGACTCACCCTTCCCAGTCTCTGGTATCTATCTTTCCACTCTCTGCTTCCATGTGATCAGACTTTTTAGCTCCCACATATAAGTGAGAACATGCGGTATTTGTCTTTTTGTGTCTGGCTAATTTCACTTTAGATAGTCCCAGTCAGTGTTTTCTAATTCAGCAATAGCTCACGTGTCTCTCACTTTTTCAGTGGCCCCTGCAAGAGAAATTGAATCAAGGTTCGTCCTCATCTCCCTCTCTGCCAGCCTTCAGAACCACATTGTGCTTTGTATCAAATTGGTCCCAGTCCTTAAGTTCATAGGGAAGTCTGTCTCTTCTTGCTGAATTAGTCAGTGTATTGATATGGTTTGGCTGTGTCCACACTCAAATCTCATCTTGAATTGTAATCTCCATAATCCCCGTGTTGAGGGAGGGACCTGGTGGGAGGTGATTGGACCATGGGTGCAGTTTTCCCCATGCTATCTTTATGATGGTGAGTTCTCATGCAATCTAATGGTTTTGTAAATGTTTGACAGTTTCTTCTTTACATACACTGTCTCCTGCTGCTGTGTGAAGAACATCCTTGCTTCCCCTTCACCTTCTGCCATGGTCATAAGTTTCTTGAGGCTTCCTCAGCCACGTGGAACTGTGAGTCAATTAAAACTCTTTCCTTTATAAATTACCCAGTCTCAGGTATTTCTTTATAGCAGTGTGAGAACAGACTAATACATGTATCAACTTGGTTTCTCCAGAGAAACAGAGCCAACAGGATATATATACGCACACACATCTATATATATATAAAGAGATTGTACCAATAGGATATATATTATGTGCACATAAATATACAATTATACATATATAACATGAAATGTATACATATATATTATGTACATATATTAAGATATATTTATATTTATTAAGAGAATGTGTGTGTGTGTGTGTATATATATATATATATATACACACACATATATATGTAAAAAGATTTATTTTAAGGAATCTGTTTATGTGATTGTGGGGCCTGGCAAGTCCAGGATTTGTCAGGCAGGCAGGATATGTTACAGTCTAAAACAGACTTCATTCTTCTTCTGGAAATCTCAGTTTTTGCCCTTAAGTCCTTCAACTAATTGAATGGAGTCCAGCCACATTATCTAAGGTTATTTTCTTCACTGAAAATCAACCGATTGTACATGTTAACAATATCTACAAAACACCCTCATGACAACACACAGATTGGTGCTTCACCAAACAACTGGCACCATGGCCTAGCCAAGTTGGCACAAAAAATTTAGCCATCACAGCTGGTTTTCCTCTCTCGTTTTTACTTTTTCTCTGTTCCTGTTTTGAAAGTGAAACTGAAGCATGTTTTCCAAAATGCTCTCGTTCCTGCTTAATTTCCCAAGCAAATATGATTCATGGGAACAGAATGTCCAAAGCACGGGCCCTTCCATTCATCTTCCCAGCCTTTAGCTTTTCAGTGATACCACTGGGATGAGAATAAATTCTCTTCATAAGAAAAGCAGGGTATGGGCAATGGAGCTCAAAGCCTCTGTGGCTGCAGTCCTTTGCTCTCATCTCCCTGGCCAGAGATGACTCACTCGGCCACACCCAGCTGCCAAGAGGCTGGGAACTGGTCTCCTGGGGGATGATACTGGGCAAAATCACAGCTCAGTAGTGCTATTGTTAAAGAAAGGAGAGGGAGCAGATGGGCCCAACTTTTATTCACATAAGTAAAAATATGAGAGTGTCTCTGCTTTCTATAGTCTGTAAGTTATACTTCATTGTCCATGAAACGAAACAGAACTGACGTTATGTGAATGCAAAATGCATTTCCACTTTTTATTAAAAAGTCCAAAAAAAAAAAAAAACAGATACTGCTGAGAATGCAGAGAAGTAGGAATGCTTTTACACTGTTGGTGGAAATGTAAATTAGTTCAATGACTGTGGAAGACAGAGTGGTGATTCCTCAAAGATTTAGAACCAGAAATACCGTTTGACTCAGCAATCCCATTACTGGTTATATACCCAAAGGAATATAAATCATTCTATTATAAAGATACATGCACTCATATGTTCATTGTGGCACAATAGCAAAGACATGGAATCAACCCAAATGCCCATCAATGATAGATTGGATAAAGAATGGTACATATACACGATGGAATACTGTGCAGCCATAAAAAGGAATGAGATCATGTCCTTTGCAGAGACATGGGTGAAGCTGGAAGCCATTCTCCTCAGCAAACTAATGCAGGAACAGAAAACCAAACACCACATATTCTCACTTATAAGTGGGAGCTGAATAATGAGAACACATGGACACAGGGAGGGTAACAACACACACTGGGGCCAGTTGGGGGAAGGTGGGATGGGGAGAGCATTAGGGAAAAGAGCTGATGCATGCTGGGCTTAATACCTAGGTAATGGGTTGTCAGGTGCAGCAAACCACCATGACACATGTTTACCTATGTAACAAATCTGCACATACCTGTACCCTGGAACTTAAAAAATAATAATAAAATAATTTTTAAAAAAGAACCTGCCCTTATGATCCAATAACCTCCCACCAGGTCCCTCCTCCAACACTGAGGATCACAACTCAACAGATTTGGGTGGGGACACAGAGCCAAACCATATCAATAATAATATAAAATCAAAAAGGGCACTAGCACTATCAGCAGAATGAAAAGGCAACCCACAGAAAAGGAGAAAATATCTGCAAAATTACATATCTGACAAGTGGTTAGTATCCAAAATATATAAGGAACTCCTACAACTTGACAACAAAAACAGAGCAAACAACATGACCAAAGATGGGCAATAGGCTTGAATCGATATTTCTGCAAAGATACATGCATGCATGGCCAGTACACACATGAAAAGCTACTCGACATCACTCATCATTAGGGAAACACAAATCAAGGCCATAGTGAGATACCCTGTTACACCCACGAAGGTGGCTGTAATTAAGAATGTGTAAAAATTAGTACTCTTCTTCACTGCTGGTGGGAATGTAAAATGGTGCAGCTACTGTGGAAAACTTACAATAGTTCCTCAAAGAATTAAAAATAGAATTACTGGTCGCTGCCAAGATGGCTGAATACGAATAGCTTTGGTCTGCAGCTCCCAGCGAGATTGACGCAAAAGATGGGTGATTTCTGCATTTCCAACTGAGATTCCTGGTTCATCTCATTGGGACTGGTTGGACAGGGGGTGCAGCCCATGGAGAGCAAGCTGAAGCAGGGTAGGGCGTCACCTCACCCGGGAAGCACAAGGGGTCAGGGGATTTCCCTTTCTTATCCAAGGGAAGCCGTGACAGACTGTACCTGGAGGAATGGTACACCCCTGTCCAAATAATGCACTTCTCCTATGGTCTTCGCACCCGGCAGACCAGGAGATTCCCTCCCATGCCTGGCTAGGTGAGTCCCACACCCACAGAGCCTTGCTCACTGCTAGCACAACAGTCTGAGATCGACCTGCGGAGCTGCAGCCTGGCAGGGGGAGGGGCATCTGCCATTGCTGAGGCTTGAGTAGGTAAACAAAGTGGCCAGGAAGCTCGAACTGGGCAGAGGCCACCACAGCTCAGCAAGGCCTACTGCCTCTCTGGACTCCACCTCTGTGGGCAGGGCATAGCTGAACCAAAGGCAGCAGAAAACTTCTGCAGACTTAAACGTCCCTGTCTGACAGTTCTGAAGAGAGCAGTGGTTCTTCCAGCACAGTGTTCAAGCTCTGAGAATGGACAGATTGCCCCCTCAAGTGGGTCCCTAATCCCCGTGTAGCCTGACTGGGAGACACCTCCCAGTAGGGGCCGACAGACACCTCATACAGGTAGGTGCCCTTCTGGGATGAAGCTTCCAGAGGAAAGATCAGACAGCAATATTTGCTGTTCTGCAGCCTCTGCTGGTGATACCTAGGCAAACACGGTCTGGAGTGGACCTCCAGCAAACTCCAACAGACCTGCAGCTGAGGGGCCTGACTGTTAGAAGGAAAACTAACAAATAGAAAGGAATAGCATCAACATCAATGAAAAGGACATCCACACCAAAACCCCATCTGTAGGTCACCAACATCAAAGACCAAAGGTAGATAAAACCACAAAGATGGGGAGAAACCAGAGCAGAAAAGCTGAAAATTCCAAAAACCAGAGCGTCTCTTCTCCTCCAAGGGATTGCAGCTCCTCGCCAGCAACAGAACAAAAATGGACGGAGTTTAACAAGTTGACAGAAGTAGGCTTCAGAAGGTCGGTAATAACAAACATATCTGAGCTAAAGGAGCATGTTTCAACCCATTGCAAGGAAGCTAAAAACTTTGAAAAAAGGTTAGACAAATGGCTAACTAGAATAAACAGTGCAGAGAAGACCTTAAATGACCTGATGGAGCTGAAAACCACAGCACGAGAATTTCATGACACATGCAAAAGCTTCAATAGCTGATTCGATTAAGTGGAAGAAAGGATATCAGTGATTGAAAGTCAAATTAATAAAATAAAATGAGAAGACAAGATTAGAGAAAAAAGAGTGAAAAGAAATGAACAAAACCTCCAAGAAATATGGGACTATGTGAAAAGACCAAATCTACATTTGATTGGTGTACCTGAAAGTGATGGGGAGAATGGAACCAACTTAGAAAACACTCTTCAGCATATTATACAGGAGAGCTTCCCCAACCTAGAAAGGCAGACCAACATTCAAACTCAGGAAATACAGAGAACACCACAAAGATACTCCTCGAGAAGAGCAACCCAATTGTCAGATTCACCAAGGTTGAAATGAAGGAAAAAATGTTAAGGGCAGCCAGAGAGAAAGGTTGGGTTACCCACAAAGGGAAGCCCATCAGACTAACAGTGGACCTCTCAGCAGAAACCCTACAAGCCAGAAGAAAGTGGGAGCCAATATTCAACATTCTTAAATAAAAGAATTTTCAACCCAGAATTTCATATCCAGCCAAACTAAGCTTCATAAGTGAAGGACAAATAAAATCCTTTATAGACAAGCAAATGCTGAGAGATTTTGTCACCACCAGGCCTGCCTTACAAGAGCTCCTGAAGGAAGCACAAAACATGGAAAGGAACAACTGGTACCAGACACTGCAAAAACATGCCAAATTGTAAAGACCATCAAGGCTAGGAAGAAACTGCATCAATTAACATGCAAAATAACCAGCTAACATCATAATGGATCAAATTCACACATAACAATATTAATCTTAAATGTAAATGGGCTAAATGCCCCAATAAAAAGACACAGACTGGCAAATTGGATCAAGAGTCAAGACCCACTAATGTGCTGTATTCAGGAGACCCATCTCACATGCAGAGACACACATAGGCTCAAAATAAAGGCGTGAAGGAAGATCTACCAAGCAAAGGGAAAGCAAAAAAAAAAAAAGCAGGAGTTGCAATCCTAGTCTCTGATAAAACAGACTTTGAACCCACAAAGATCAAAAGAGACAAAGAAGGCCATTACATAATGGTAAAAGGATCAATTCAACAAAAAGAGTTAACTATCCTAAATATATATGCACCCAATACAGGAGCACCCAGATTCATAAAGCAAGTCCTTAGAGACCTACAAAGAGACTTAGACTCCCACACAATAATAATGGGAGACTTTAACACCCCACTGTCAATATAAGACAGATCAATGAGACAGAATGTTAACAAGGATATCCAGGACTTGAACTCAGCTCTGCACCAAGCAGACCTAATAGACATCTACAGAACTCTCCACCCCAAATCAACAGAATATACATTCTTCTCAGCACCACATCACACTTATTCAAAAATTGACCATATAGTTGGGAGTAAAGCACTCCTCAGCAAATGTAAAAGAACGGAAATCACAACAAACTGTCTCTCACACCACAGTGCAATCAAATTAGAACTCAGGATTAAGAAACTCACTCAAAACCACACAACTACATGGAAACTGAACAACGTGCTCCTGAATGACTACTGAGTAAATAATGAAATGAAGGCAGAAATAAAGATGTTCTTTGAAACCAATGAGAACAAAGACACAACGTGCCAGAATCTCTGGGACATATTTAAAGCGTGTGTAGAGGGAAATTTATAGCACTAAATGCTCACAAGAGAAAGCAGGAAAGATCTAAAAATGACACCCTAACATCACAAGTAAAAGAACTAGAAAAGCAAGAGCAAACAAATTCAAAAGCTAGCAGAAGGCAAGAAATAACTGAGATCAGAGGAGAAATGAAGGAGATAGAGACACAAAAATCCCTTCAAAAAATCAGTGAATCCAGGAGCTGTTTTTTTTAATATCAACAAAATTGATAGACTGCTAGCAAGGCTAATAAAGAAAAAAAGAGAGAAGAATCAAATAGATGTTATAAAAAATGGTAAAGGGGATATCACCACCGATCCCATGGAAATACAAACTACCATCAGAAAATACTATAAACACCTCTATGCAAATAAACTAGAAAATCTAGAATAAATGGATAAATTCCTGGACACATACACCCTCCCAAGTCTAAACCAGGAGGAAGTTGAATCTCTGAATAGACTAATAACAGGTTCTGAAATTGAGGCAATAATTAATAGCCTACCAACCAGAAAAGTTCAGAACCAGATGGATTCACAGCTGAGTTCTACCAGAGGTACAAAGAGGAGCTGGTACCATTCCTTCTGAAACTATTCCTATCAATAGAAAAAGAGGGAATCCTCCCTAACTCATTTTATGAAGCCAGCATCATCCTGATACCAAAGCCTGGCAGAGACACAACAAAAAAAGATAATTTTAGACCAATATCCCTGTTGAACATCGATGCAAAAATCCTCAAGAAAATACTGGCAAACTGAATCCAGCAGCACATCCAAAAGCTTATCCACCAAGATCAAGTTGGCTTCATCCACGGGATGCAAGGCTGGTTCAACATATGCAAATCAATAAACGTAATACATCACATAAACAGAACTAATGACAAAAACCACATGATTATCTCAATAGATGCAGAAAAGGCCTTCAACAAAATTCAACAGCACTTCATGCTAAAAACTCTCAATAAACTAGGTATTGATGGAATCTATCTCAAAATAATAAGAGCTATTTATGACAAACCCACGGCCAATATCATAATCAATGGGCAAACACTGGAAGCATTCCTTTTGAAAACCGACACAAGGCAAGGATGCCCTCTCTCACCACTCCTATTCAACATAGTGTTGGAAGTTCTGGCCAGGGCAATCAGGCAAGAGAAAGAAATAAAGGGTATTCAATTAGGAAATGAGGAAGTCAAATTGTCCCTGTTTGCAGATGACATGATTTTACATTTAGAAAACCCCATCATCTCAGCCCGAAAGCTGATGAGCAACTTCTGCAAAGTCTCAGGAAACAAAAATCAATGTGCAAAAATCACAAGCATTCCCATATACCAATAACAGACAAACAGAGAGCCAAGTCATGAGTGAAATACCATTCACAATTGCTAAAAAGAGAATAAAATATCTAGGAATCCAACTTACAAGGGACATGAAGGACCTCTTCAAGGAGAACTACAAACCACTGTTCAAGGAAATAAAAGAGGATACAAACAAATGGAAGAACATTCCATGCTCATGGGTAGGAAGAATCAATATCGTGAAAATGGCCTTACTGCCCAAGGTAATTTATAGATTCAATGCCATCCCCATCAAGCTACCAATGACTTTCTTCACAGAATTGGAAAAAACCACTTTAAAGTTTATATGGAACCAAAAAAGAGCCTGCATTGCCAAGACAATCCTAAGCAAAAACATCAAAGCTGGAAGCATTGTGTTACCTGATGTCAAACTATACTACAAGGCTACAGTAACCTAAACAGCATGGTACTGATACCAAAACATATAGACCAGGGGAACAGAATAGAGGCCTCAGAAATAACACCACACATCTACAACCATCTGATCTTTGACAAACCTGACAAAAACAAGCAATGGGGAAAGGATTCCCTATTTAATAAATGGTGCTGGGAAAACTGGCTAGCCATATATAGAAAGCTGAAACTGGATCCCTTCCTTATACCTTATACAAAAATTAACTCAAGATGGATTAAAGACTTAAATGTTAGACCTAAAACCATAAAAGCCCTAGAAGAAAACCTAGGCAATACCATTCAGGACTTAGGCATGGGAAAAGACTTCATGACTAAAACACCAAAAGCAATGGCAACAAAAGCCAAAATAGACAAATGGGATCTAATTAAACTAAAGAGCTTCTGCACAGCAAAAGAAACTATCATCAGAGTGAACAGGCAACCTACAGAATGGGAGAAAATTTTTGCAATCTACCCATCTGACAAATGGCTAAAGTCCAGAATCTGCAAAGAACTTAAACAAATTTACAAGCAAAAAAACAAAGAACCCCATCAACAAGTGGGCAAAGGATATGAACAGACACTTCTCAAAAGAAGACATTTATGCATCCAACAGACACATGGAAAAATGCTCATCATCACTGGTCATCAGAGAATTGCAAATCAAAACCACAATGAGATACTATCTCACACCAGTTAGAATGGTGATCATGAAAAGGTCAGGAAACAACAGATGCTGGAGAGGATGTGGAGAAATAGGAACGCTTTTACTTTGTTGGTGGGGGTGTAAATTAGTTCAACAATTGTGGAAGACAGTGCGGTGATTCTTCAAGGATCTAGAACTAGAAATACCATTTGACCCAGCGATCCCATTACTGGGTATATACCCAAAGGATTATAAATCATGCTACTTATAAAGACACATGCACACGTATGTTAATTGTGGCACTATTCACAATAGAAAGACTTGGAACCAACCCAAAGGTCCACCAATGATAGACTGATTTAAAAAATGTGTCACATATACACCATGGAATACTATGCAGCCATAAAAATGGATGAGTTCAGGTCCTTTGTAGGGACATGGATGAAACTGGAAACCATCATTCTCAGCAAACTATCACAAAGACAGAAAAGCAAACACCGTATGTTCTTACTCATAGGTGGGAATTGAACAATGGGAACACATGGACATAGGGTGGGGAACATTACACACCAGGGTCTGTCAGGGGGTGGGGGACTGGGGGAGGGATAGCATTAGGAGAAATACCTAATGTAAATGTCGAATTGATGGGATCCAAAAACCCATCAGCAAACCAACATGGCACATGTATACCTATGTAACCTATGTAACAAACTTGCACGTTGTGCACATATGCCCTAGAACTTAAAGTATAACAAAAATAAAAATAAAAATAGAATTACTGTTTGATTCAAATTCTACTTCTGGATATATACCCAAAAGAAGCGAAAGCAGGGACTCAAACATAATATTTGCACATCCATGTCCATAGCCAAAAGGTGGAACCAACTCAAGCGTTTATTGACGGATGATGAGTGGATTTACAGAATGTACTATACACATACAACAGAATATTATTTAGCCTTATAAAGGAAGGAAATCCTGACATTTGCTGCAACATGAATGGACCTTGAAGACATTATGCTAAGTGAAATATGCCAGTCACAAAAAAATAAATACTGTCTGATTTCATACATATGAGGTAACTCGAATAGTCAAATTTATAGTGACAAAAAGTAGAATCGTGGTTTACAGGGGCTGGGGGTAAGGATAATGGTACTTATTGTTTAATGGGACAGAGCTTCAGTTTGGGAAGATGAAAATGCTCTAGATGGATGCTGGTGATGGCGGCTCAACAATGTGAATGTACTTAATGCCACTGAAGTATAAACTTTAAAATGGTTAAAATGGTAAGTTTTTTATTATGTACATTTTACCACCGAAAAACCCTTTACATTAGGTTAAATTACTTTTTCCCTCAGAGTATTTCTTGCATCTGTCACATCCTTTTCAGTAGTCACAGGCACAGAAGTCTCATTTTATGCCAGAAAGAATTTCCTGAAGGGCAAGGTCATTACCCATTACCAACATTCGAACAGGCAGGGCCTTCTAGTGGAAACCATCAGGGTTTGCAGCACAGATTTACCCCCCAGGCAATAGACCCCACTGTCTTCCTGCAGGGTCCCGCTGATCTAGGATCCAAAGGAGTCCCAGTGAGAGCCAGGACCAGTGCTGGGCTCTTCCAGTGAGAGAAGCGCTTTCAGTTCTCAGAAGCAACCAGAGCTTGGGAGAGGCAAGGTGCAGGCAGAATGCGCTGATGGGCAGGTGTGAATGCAGTAAGTGACTGAAGCCCTGCTCTGTGTTGCCTTTGCTAGGGATGCATTCACTGAATCAGAGGATCCTGGGCCAGGAGAGCTCAGAAAGACCTTTGGATCAACCACTCAGTGGTTACCGAAGGCCAGCCTGCAGAAGGTGCCATGGCTGTTAAAGATCCGGTTCCCAGGCCTCACTGCAGACACTGAGTCCATGAGGTAAGGCTTCAGAATTCATATAAACATCTATAGATTAAGCTCCCCAAGTGGCTTAGATGGGCAGTCAGATTTGAGAATTGTTGGTTCTGGCAAGGAAAGACAAACAAGTCCACTGGAAGTATTAATAATTTATAATCTGTAGTTGGAGGATTTAAGCTTGAATCCTCTAGGGCTCTATGGTCTCTCTGTTGCCAAATAGCCTTTGTCTGTCTCTTCCAGGACCCAAGCCAACATGGAGGCCAGCCACACTTCCAGGACTCTGATACCCTTCTAAGGACAAAGTAAAATACAAAAGGCTCTGGGGCAGAGCCCACTTGACCCAGGGCTGAGTTTAGTGCTCTAAAGTTCCTCCAAGGAGTCTTTGTTGTTTATGTTTTGTTTTTTGGGGTGTGTGTGTGTGTGTGCATGTGTGTGTGTGTATGCAAACCAGGGTGAGTAAGCATTGCTGTGAATTCAGTTTTTCTGAAGCAATCTTGCAATCTCATGAGAATGTGAAAGCCCTGTAGAAAAATATCCTGAAACAGAGTGGGGAACGCAGAGATGGGGTACAGGCTGGGGAGCCCTGCAGGCACATTCTGCAGCCTAGAATTTGACTTCAAAGACTCTAGCCTTAAGCTCTTGAAATGTGTGGCAGTGGATGAAGTATCCCCCATGATTATCTTAGACCATTTAATCCGGTAAACCTAAAAACAAGTGCCACAAATTACTTCCCACATGACCCACTGGATTTTCTAGGAGCTTTCCTCTCCTCCCACCTGCTTCTCATCTGAGTGTCCATGGTGGAGCACCCCCTAAGGAGCAAGTCCTCTCACCTCACCCAATCCTCTTACCCCTGGCCCCCAACCCACATCACCCTTTTGGGCCTGAAAGACTCTGAATTCAAGAGGATGCAAAAAAAGCTAAAAAAAAAATAAAAACATTATTTTATTATTATCAAAGTACTGTCTGCACATGATAGAAATTGCAGATGAGCTTAAGACAAAAATCCAAGTGTCCGTCTGCTCGGAGCTTCTGTTTCAGTCCTAAAGAGCAGGTTGCTATGTTCCAGTTCTCCTGGCATCTTACCTCACAACTTCTCTAGACCGTAGGCCTACCCAACAATAACTGCATTTGCCTATTTCAAAGAATATGTGTCTGGCCTCTGATGTGAAAGATGGCAATCGACCTATCCGGGTACAACCCCACCTCCAATATTTGGCATTTAGATTTAAATATTGATATAGGTTATCTTTTATCTTGAACCACTATATATGGATGTTGGAGAAATAGATCCCAAATCTAATCCCTTAGCCTAAAATCACATGGATTGTGGTGAGGCTTAAGGAAGATATTAACGTGTCAAGAATCACTGATGTGTCTGGAAAAGTAAAGAAGGTGGAAAATAGACTGAATCGGTTTTTGTCCCCCAAAAGGAAGTATTATCTCTGGCATGGATTTACTGCTTAAGGTTTCAAAATAAGTGCCAGTGTTGGAGATTTGAGGTTGATCTCTAAATAACACTTATTGAAGAAGTGGAAAATTTGGCTGAATCAAAGGAAAACTATTGCAAGAAAGCCAAAAGGACTCTGAATGGAATCAGTTCCAGGAGAAAGCAGCCGTTGTCCATGCCTGGACAACCACTAAAGAAGGCAGAAAGAACACGTTTGTCAAATTGGCCAAGTCTAAAGAGAATGTTTTCAAAGAAGTAGAGGTAAACTTTGCCCAAAAGTGTCAAAATGAAAAGTATTGAGAACACTGTGATCAGTGTGCATGAAGTGGTCAGAGGCAAGACAGCCCCAAATACCCTCTACAGAAAGGCTCACAGTGACAAGGGGCCATTGTGACAGAAATTAGAGTGGTTGGAACAAAAGGTTTTGAGGGTCTCAGCTGATGATTACATTTGGCACTTATCCCTGATTTTATTTTAAAATAAAACTTGCTCCCAATAGAGAAGAAGAGGAGCCCGGATGCTGTTTTGACTTCAGAATGAGGATGGGGGATAGTGGGTCTTCTAACAGCAAACGGTCAAATCATACTGTAAGGGGTCACACAGTGTCACTGTATATGATCTCTCAGCTAAACTTGATCCAAAACCATAGGTGAGGAAAGGGGGCTTAGGAATACTGAGGTGCACCAGGTTTCCCAGCTACAAGGCAGAACACAAGGACGTGAGCCCAAGCATCTCAACACTTTAAAATGAAGCTTGGGAACGTGAGTTTGGTTGTCAGAGCCTTTCGAAGAGATAATCATTATATTTAATTATCCAGAAGATACTCTCTTGAGTTCTGATCCCAACCTGACTTGGACCAAAAGTCTAAACTCAAAGCCAAACAGTAAAATGCAATCCCATTTCCATGCCCTGTCTACACTGTCCCAGAGAACCTGGTAATTGCTGACAAGCCATAGAATCCTCTGCTCCTCCTTTTTGCCTGCCTACCCCTGGTGGGAGCTTGGACATTTGGGTCCCTCCTCATCTCCTCTGCCACTTGACTGCTGAGAAGGTTGTCATCAACAAGCCTGGCTCATGAGGGATGTTCCCCCCAGAACTGGTGATGAGAATGAGCAGCACAAACACCATCTCCTGAGGGCCTGGTCCTGCTGGGCCTCCTGCCAGTGCCTTCCATACATCTCCCCATTCATCTTCATGACAGCTCCATGAAGGAGAAATCACAAGAGTCCAATTGCACGGTTGTGGAAACAGAAGCTCACATAAAGTAGAAATGTGCCCCCAGGAAATGCAACTAGTAAAAGGTGCAAATGAGACCTGAACTCACATGTGCCCAACTC
Organism: Homo sapiens; assembly: GCF_000001405.40. Taxonomy (NCBI): domain Eukaryota; kingdom Metazoa; phylum Chordata; class Mammalia; order Primates; family Hominidae; genus Homo; species Homo sapiens. The sequence goes on along the minus strand of NC_000020.11, from coordinate 23,611,422 downwards.
CAAAGACCTCCTCAACTACTGCTTTGCCTCCTTCCGTGGAGTCTATAAACCATACAAGTCATCTAAAGACTCCAGCCTCTACAAATGGAGCCAATAACAGTACTATTTCCTTGCAATCAGTCAAGATTGCCCCACTTATCCTGTCTCCAGTTCTGCACTCCCGCCTCTCAGTGATAGACACCTGGTTCCTCCCGTTACTCTTCAGGACAAGTGCTTGTCTGCATCAAAAAGGTAATTTCAACTTCCCAGGAAGACAAGCTGCCCGCAAGAACAAATCTCATGTTTCCAAAGAATGAAGGAAGGGCACGGTGAGCTTGCAGGGTGAGGTGCTTGTGACGATAACAGTAGCATCAATAATCATGGCCAATACATGAAGCTTTTCCGAAAAGCTGGGATCCAAAATCAGACTATATGCCCCAAAGAGAGGATGTTAGTGCAAAGCAGCAGCCCGATGATGGGAGGGTGTGGCAGGGAGTCAGGGGCTAGAACCAGGGAGCAGACCCATCTATTCTAGCAGGTAGGGCCCAGGAAGTGTGCCTAGGTCTGGGAAGTGCCCAAGAATTTTTCTTCCTTTCCTGGCCAAGATCAAACAATGACCTTCTTAGCTCAGGCCTGTGCCTCCTTCATACAGCCAGTACAATAGAAAAGAGGCTCAAAGGCAACCAGCCTTTTGGGGAAAGGGGACTACGATAGAAATGCTGTTGGAATCAGAGGGTGGAGAATGAACTGCTCCATCGTCAATGCTGGAAAAGCCAGCTGTGCACGCAGGTGGTGGGGCAGACGATCGATCCTGGGATTCCAACCTCACACCACACACACTTAGCCTCCAGTTGGATCGCACACATAAATGTGAAAAGCAAAAGAAAGAACATGGTGAAACAGAACATAGAAGAGCATAGGAAAGGATTGTTGAAATGAAAATTACAAAAGCACATACCCTAAACAAAACATTGATACATTAAACCGTCTTCAATTTTTAAGAAAAATCTATATGGTGAAAGAAATCAGGTTGCACGTGGTGGCTCATGCCTGTAATCCTCGTACTTTGGGAGGCCAAGGAGAGAGGATCACTTGAGCCCAGGAGTTCAAGACCAGCCTAAGCAACATAGTGAGACCTCCGTCTCAAAAAAGAATAAAGAAAAGAAAATCATCAGCACAGCTATCCCTAATAAAACTGAAAGGAGGTGATCTCATATGTCTGCAATTTTCTTTCTGGTGCTGACCCTAGAGAAGCTGTCATACTTGTGCACATGAAAACCAGGACAAAAGTGCCCGTTGCAACCCCAATTTAAGAGGAAATGAGTGGAATCAACCCAGTGTAAAATCAAGTCAGTAGAGAATGCTTTAATAAACCACTGTCTGTTAGTTTTCATCACAAGCACCTGACCCTATAAGCTCCACCCTATTTCACCATTCCCAATTAAATCAGGAAGGACTTAATTAACTACAGTCATTCAGGTCAAGGTCCCAGTGAATAAAGCAAAACAGTGGTAATGAAGGAGCTAGAGCGACAAGTGTCAACACAGGTGATGCTCACAAATATGATTTCAGTAAAGGCATAAAGTGGTAAGACATACAGTCATTATTTATGCAAAATGTTAAAAACGTAAAACGTAATGATATATACCATTTTTGGCTGAACTGTTACTATGTGAGGCTTAAAGGAGTCAATGAGCGCCTAAGGCAGTGCCCAGCAGGAGTGAGGCTTATGAAAGAATTCTAGCATTGTCAGCATCCTGAGAGAGAAAGCAACACCAGCTTGTTTAAGCCACTGGTATTTGGAGTTTCTATTATGTTGAAACCTACATTTCACTTAGTAAAAGTGGAATTGTAGGCTGAGGCATGAGGATCACTTGAGGCCAGGAGTTCGAGAACATCTTGGGCAACATAGTGAGACTCCATCTCTACAGAAAATTTTAAAAATAAAAAAGAAGTGGTATTATGACATTTTTGTACTGTTTTAAATTTAAATTAACTTACAGTTTTTTAAAAACTAAAGTACTTATGAAAGAAAACAATGGGCTGCGTTGGATGGGAGAGGCTTCCGTCGGGAGCACAGCAGAAGCTGAGGAAACGCCCACTGAGGAGCGAAGGCAGGTGTGTTCGGCAAAGGCCAGCAAACAGGAGGGCTGCTGAGGGTGACTGGGGCAGCACTTCCTCTTCAGAGCAAAGCTCCTGGGCCCAGGGCAGCACCCCCGACTTAGCCAGGGTGAGGGACCTGCTGGACCCACAGGAAGGAGAAGAAACAGCCCATGGGCCTTCCGATTTGCATGTGGTACGAATGACCCCTGATTTAGGCCTCTATATTTACCGGTAATGTTTGTATTTTTATTTCTCCTTTTGTCATTTTTTAATTCAATCATTATTCCTCTTTCTCAGTTTAAATTTGCCATAAGTCTATATGAGATTAATTCCTTAAATTATAAAAACTCAAAGTCAGCTGAAGACTGAGCTAAGAAGAACCCCCCAGGTGGAAAACCTGGAGGAGGGGAGGGAGGAGTGGAGGGGGCTCTGGAATTCCCTGGCAGCACCCCCACCCAGCCCCGCTCACCCCCCTGCCCCGAGCTGCCCCTTTGATGATTGCTATGACAGCAATCACTGGATCACTCACTCTGCTCTGAGTCCGGGCTTCTCCCTGCCCCTGCTGTCTTCCTTTGATCTCCTGGACACCACCTTGTTTTCCAGCACACGGAAACCCCTGGGAATGCTGGCTTGTCTGGGGAGTCTCCTAGGGAAATGCCAAGCAGGGGGAATGGGGAGGGTCCCGAGGAAGTGATCCCAAAGCCCAGCAGGCGATCCTGAAACTGGCAGGCCCCGCTGAGCCTGGCCCAGCTTGAAACAGGCAGTGAGCAAGGTCGCACGGGACCTTTAGAGCATGTGGCTGAGTAGGCCGGGCAGTGAGGGACATGAGTCCGACCCCGGGGAGAGCACTCAGCTGGAGGGTCTGCGGGAGCTGGGGAGAGCGTCCTGTGTCCCGAAGAGTCACTGGGCTTCCCCTCGTCCACCGCCTCATGTTCAGCTTCACAGAAAAGGGCCAGTGGCTTGGTCCTGGTCGTTGCCAGCATTCTCTAATCATTCAAAGGAATGCGTTCAGAAATACAGGGCCTCGTTTCTGGAAAAGCAGGTCCATTTCAGTGAGGAGTTACTGGGACCTTCCTATGAGACCACATGGGTGTTCGGTGCCAGTGCCAGCAACACAAAGAGAGCACCAGACAAGTCCCGGTGGCCCCAGAGACAGACAGGCCAACGAGTGCCCAGGAAGAAGCTGAGTGAGACAGAACTCTTGCAAGGGGACTCAGGAGAGAAAGCCTCCCAGACCTGAGACCTGGGGATAGCCCTGCAGAGAGCTGTGAGCTGTGCCTGTGGGCTGGCCAGCCAGCCCCTCCGGGCCGTCCGGTTTCACTCTGGCCTCGGCAACATGTTGACCCACGTCTTCGGGGCTCCTCAGCCTGGAGCCCACATGTATTTCTCTTTACCTGGCTATGTCTTGATATTCCCGTCTCTCTCCACCTGGGAAGTGAGGCCATCCCAGGCCACTGGGGATTCAACAAGAAAATAGACACACTTGTAAGGGTCCATGGTGTCTGTACACCCGTGGTCTCACATCTGGGTGTGGGGATCCCTGTCCCCTCCTTGGCTGCACAGTGAGGACAGAGCTGGTGCCCAGGACCCTAAACCACTGCTCATGTAAGAGTGAGTGTGGGCACTCCCTTGGAGCACATGTGGGTATCGGCCCTCAGAATGGTGGGGGAGCCACTGGCAATTGGCAGGATGCCCCAAGTTTGTCAGCCGCTGAACTTACAAGGTGAGAGTGACCTCCATGGGCATTGCAGGCCTCTCTCAGGACACTCGCAACCTATTCCAGGCATCAGGATTCTAGTTCTCACAGCACCTTATGGCCTGCTCATCCCAAAACCCACAAAGGCATTTCCGCCCTCACTGACACCCCCTTCCTACCCCTACGTGCACCATCACTCTCCAGCTAAGAAACCACATTAGTTACGCTTCAGCTGCAGTTCCAGTGAACTCAACGCCATCAGAGAAAGGATACAGACTCCTTGGGTGATGTTTTTGGCACATCTGGCTGCTTTCCTGGAATTGTCACATTGAGTTGCTTTTTCTTTGCAAACAGGGTCTAGAAACAAACTCTTATTCTTTATCACCAGGCATGCTGTCTAAGCCTGTCCCCCATCCTGTGTGCCCCACAAAAGCCATTCTCATCCCCTGACCTCCATGCCCCTCAAGCTGAGTTACTTCTCATATGTGGTTTGGTCTGTATGCACTTCCCAGGAAGTATTCTGAACCTGCACCACTCAAAGTATGGTTCTGAGACCGGGAACACAACCATCCTCTGGAAGCTGGTGAGAAATGTAGTTTCCCTGGCCCTGCTCACAGCTACTGGGTCAGAATCTTTGGGTGGGGAAACTAGGAACTTGCTTTTTAACGTGACATCAGGGGATGCTGGTTGCTTCTGAAGTTTACAAGGAGCTACGGATAAACATCAAAGGCATATTTCACAGGGACAAAGCTTAAGTCTGGTCTGTGAAGAGTGCATTATTCAGTCTTTTGAGAGCCCCATTTGCGGTTGGAGTTGGAGGCTATGTGGGTCTTGGTCGAGAACTCAGAATCTCCACCCACAAACTGTGCCGCAGAGTGCTGTGCCGGCTGTGGCCACAGGAGGGAACCCGTGACAACCTAATGGGTGCACTTCAGCCATCCCTGAGGGCATCTTCGTCTTTCTGGTTCTCCACTGCTCCAATTGCAAGCGGCCACCCGTCCTGGAAACACCTTTGAGGAATAGGGGCAGCCATAACTAGCCAGGCCCCTAGTACCAGCACTTGGCAGCGCGTCCCTGGGCTGGGAAGCTGCATTTAGGGAGGTGCAGAGAACAGGGTTGGGGGCTCCTGCTCTTGATTTCCTCAACCTCTGCCCACGACCCCCAGGCTGGTGCCCCCCTCCCGAGACCCTCGGGGGAGCAGACACCTGCAGGACATCCCGCCAATCCTCCCGGGCTCCCCGCCTCTCTCTCAAGAGGCCCAGTGCTTTCTCGGGGCGCTGTACCTGCTCACCCATGATACTAGCATCCACTGTCATCCCTTTCCATCCTTTTGTCTCTGCCTTTCCACCTAACCTCCCCCTCCCAGCCCACCCCCACTGCTGAGTCCAGGGCTCACCTTCCACTCATACCTCTCACACTTGTGTTCCTGTGCCGGGCTCTGACTCTGGGGCGCCCAGTAGAGGTCTCCTTTAGCCTGCGGAGGTGCTGGGGCAGCTGGGGCTGGGCCTCATGTTCAGGGCACTATCTCTCCCATTGCTAGTCTTTTCCAACCCACCTGCCTGGGTGCTGTTCCTCTCCCCTAAACAGGAGATGATTTAAACGCCTTTGGAAGAAGGGAGGCCATGTGTGGGAGAGACAGGGTGTAACTGCAGAGGTGAGGCCTGGAGGGAGGAGTTTCTGCCCCAGCAGGTGAATTTAAAGGCCAGACCTGAGCCCTGGAAGGCTCCAGTGGACGCCAGGGATCTGAAGGGCAAAGGCAAGGGCTGCTGGAGCCTGCATCATGTCGAGTCCGCAGAGGAGGAAGGCTATGCCCTGGGCACTGTCACTGCTTCTCATGGGCTTCCAGCTCCTGGTGACTTATGCCTGGTGTTCTGAAGAGGAAATGGGTGGTAATAATAAAATAGTCCAGGATCCTATGTTCCTCGCCACAGTGGAGTTTGCCTTGAACACTTTCAACGTGCAGAGCAAGGAGGAGCATGCCTACAGGCTGTTGCGCGTCCTGAGTTCATGGAGGGAGGATAGCATGGACAGAAAGGTTGGTGACCACATCCTCTTCTGGCCTGTCCTTCTCCATCTGCCCCTAAGTGAGGGACCAAGATGTCTAGTCTAGGAGACTTGGTTCACCATCAGCAGTCCATAGTCAGGTAGTCCACAACCAATTACGGTAGTTTTAGTTTTGGAAAACATTGAACTTAAAATTTTTTTTAAATTAGGTAAATGTCTATTCACATGCAAAATATATTTTTCAATCTTCATGATTTTTAAGACATTGTATAACTGAAGAGTGACTTCAAAATAAGGACTTCTAAGGAGATGAAGCTGACAAGAAGAGAAAATAACCAAAGAGACTGATAAACATTTCCAGGTCATAAAATGAAAATGGAAAAGCAAGGACACACAGAGGGAGAGAGAGAGAGAGACAGAGAGAGACAGACAGACAGAGAGAGAGAGACAGAGAGAGAGAGAGACAGGCAGACAGAGAGAGAACAGTGAGAATTCGAGGGCAATAAAGAACACCATCAGCCCTGAGAGGCCACCGTGAAAGGTTAGTTCTCTGATCTCCACCTTCTCTGGGCTCCTTGCTCTGTCTGCACTTAATGAACTGAAGGCCAATTTACACTCTTCCTCAATGGACCTTTATCCTAAAATGCTTGCCTTTTTGATGAAATCATTAAATGTGGTCAGGAATGCACAGTTCATCTGGGCTTCAGGCATGAACAATTAAAATGCCCTCCTAGTGGAGAACTTCTGGTTTAGAGAGAGAAGGAGCATTGCTCTTCCTTTCTCAGCACCAAGAGCCTGAAAGAAAGGCAGAGGGACTCTAGTACCGCACAGAGCTTAAGCTCTGGAAAGACTCTGTGCAAGGCTCTGGCTGGTTCTCTGCCTCCTGGGGTGGATTCCTCACTGCCATCCTCAGGATTCCAATGCTGGTACAGAGGAATTTTCCTCCTTGCTCATTTGCTGCCTCCTCTCAGGAGAATTAAAAGCCTGATGCAACCCTCAGAGGGGCATCTGGTCCAGTAATGGTGGCTGCTAATATTCATGCTGGAACCTTGGAAGTCTCAGAGATTGAGATTGGCCAGGCCTCATGCTTCTGCTTTCCCAGTGCTTTGCTTGATTCTCCAAGACCTCAGTGTAAGCCTCCATTCTTAATACCGTTAGAATAAAATCTAAGCTCCTTACTATGGTCTATAAGTCCTAAATGACAGTAAGTCCTAAAAGCTTTCCACATGGCTTCCTGGATATGGCAATCCCAGCATCAGTTTGGGGGCTGGGAAGAATAGATGGGTGAGAGGGAGGCTATGGAGTGGAATTAAATAGAATGGAGTGGGAAGGAGGGCAAGGAGAACTTCAGCATGCACTTTGCAATAGGGCAGATGGTATTTCTTGAACCCATTTTCCCAGGGTGTGTGCCTGTGTGTAGTGGGAGCGCTGTGTGTCATTCTTCTTGCTGGAGGTCACTTGGAAGGTTTGACAACACACTGTAGATGAGGCTCCCTCTGTCCCAGGGCTGAAGTTACCCTGAAAACTCTTGGAGATCCAACACCCTCCCGGACATGTGGCTCTGTCCTCTGGGAATGCAGCTGCAAGATCAGATGCCTACTGAGAGTGAAGCTGGAGTCTCACCGTGGGAAATGGGGGTGGGTGGAGGTGGATAATGTGTTAGTGGGGTCTGACTCAGCCTGCATCCTCCCCAGACCCACCATGCCCACCTGCTTTTTGCTCTTAACTCCTCAGTCTAGAGAAGATCCCCTGGGTTTCACCTCCAGTGAGCTGATGCCAGGCCCATGGGCAAGCTCTCAAATGCAGTAAAGTGTTGGGGCCTCTCCTACTCAAATGGCATCTTCACTAGTAGCTACTTAGGGGCAGGAAGACGGTGCATCCACTTTAATCTTCTTTTGTCCAACAGTGGCGAGGTAAGATGGTGTTCTCCATGAATCTGCAACTGCGCCAAACCGTATGTAGGAAATTTGAAGATGACATTGACAACTGCCCTTTTCAAGAAAGCCTGGAGCTGAACAACGTAAGACAGGGCATCAGCTTTCCTCAGGTCCACAGCTGTGGATGCTGCATGGGGTGTGGTGTGGGCACAGGAGCAGCTGACAAAGCCATTCCGAGGGACAAAGGGAAGTGAGCCCACAGCAGGCTGTACCAGGCTGCCCTGCTTGTGCCTTAGTGGGAAGCCCAGTGAGGCATTAAGCCCAGGGGTTCACTTTCAGGCCCCTGGCCAATCTGAGTTTCCTGATTCTGCCCTCTGACACCATTGCAGCTGCCTGCACCTGGGCCACATGGCCTTCAGAACCTTCTCTCTGGTCTTCCTCCCCACTTCTTCCCTGCCTTCTAGAGAAAGAGCCTGGAGACAATGGTGACAATGTCTGTGGGTACTTTTCTCAGGGTTTCCCTACCCTGCCCTAGACCCAAAAGTGGTGGAGGCTGAGAAGAAGCCCCACTGCCCTCGCTCCTAGGCCCTGCTGAGCTGCAGCACCTGCTCTAGGGGACGAGCTCCAAGCAAAGCCTGGCTCTGGGAAAACTTCCCATTCTTAGTCAACCCCCTTATTGTAAGATTAACAAATAGGTAACTAATTGCCTAAGTCTGGGAACTGCTTCCACTGGGACAAAACATTCTCCTGCTGCTCTTGGATGCAGGGATCACACCAGGACAGCCTGGGGTTCCCCTGAGGGGCACGGGCTGGAGGAGGAGGCATGGCACAAGTGACCCTGGCTAAGGAGGGAGGGAGCCTCAAATCACGTTGTAGTTCAGGATTGGCCTCAGGCTCAGGCTAGACCTGAAGGCCAGAGCCACGTGGCACAATTGCTGGCCCCAGGAATGGGCAAGGTGGAGATGGAACCTGTGTTGAGGGCAGATGCCACAAGATTCCCGAACCTCCCCAAACCCCGCCCTACTGTCTCTTCCTGTTTGTTCCCTCGGACCTTCAGCTGCTTCTTCACTGTTGAAACCATGCCCTGGAAGACATATTTTGAACTCCTGAACAAGACCTGCTCAGAGGGGCTCTCCTGAGTGGAAGCCACTCACATGCCTGGCCACATGCTGCCCCCTCCCCCGTGGACACCAGCTGTTCCCAGGAGTTGACATATCAGTGGCTGAGCAGCTCCGTGCATATTTGTTCTCTTATTTTGCAAGTGTCTGAGGTTTTATGACTTGGCATTTTAGAAAATCCTCACTGTCCAGGTTCCTCAAGTAGAATAGGTCATTAAACATCAGCATTTGCAGAAGCTTCCTGTGCCATGTTCTGGAGGGAGGGGGCTGAGCAGTTGATGGAGTTCCTCTCAGAAGGGCAGCCTATTTGCATCTGTGTCAGTGGGGTCCTCCCTCCCTTAAGACCTCATAAGCCAGCTTCCAGGTGGCACAACCAAGATAAGTCTGAGCTGCTGTCTCCATGCTCGTGGCTGATGATGACCCATGTGGCCAGAGGTAAAATGTCTGTGATCTTGCAGGACACCCAATGTGCACAACTGAGCAAGACAGGGCCTCTGGGTCCCACTCAGCACATGTGGCCTCTGTTCTCAAGGGGTGGCTCACACACCTTTCCTGGTTCGTGGAAGGTTGGTGGGAAGAGGAAGGACTTCTAGCCTCACCCTTATAAAGCTGTCCTGGCATCTGGAGCAGCAGCATCTTCTGAAAGAATCTTAGAAATGTCCAACTTCAGGGCCTCTGACCTTTGGAAAATGCATCTGCGCTCTTACAAATCCCCAGGGATGCAGAAATCCCCTGAAAATGCAGGATTTGCAGGAATGCACACCCCCAGGGGATGCAGTGTGAGAGGCACGGGCAGACTAGATGCTACCAAGACATTGCCCAAATCACCTAAACCAGGGTTTGGCAAAAAAATTTTCTGAAGAAGCCAGAGAGTAACTATTCTGGCCTTTGTGGGCAGATGGTCTCTCTCAGCTACTCAGAATTGCTGTCGTATCTTGAAAGGAGCAATAGCCAATGTGCAAACATGTAAGAGTGGTTGTGTTCCAATAAGTGTTTATTTACACAAACAGGCAGTGAGCTGCTTGGGCCTCAGGCCATAGTTACCAGTCTCTGATGCTAAGAGCTCCTCTGGACCCTGGTGCCCCTGAGACACACCATGCTACCAGCTCCCACGCCAGGCACCTGTATCTCCCCCAGCTTCACTCAGGGGTTGATCTGTGCAAATGAGCTCCATCAGCAGAGCAGGTGCACCCTGCAGGTGTGGGAAAGGTCACATCTGAGAGTCACATTCTGTCACTGGAAGTGAGCAGGTATATGTCCCAGTCTCCCCAGCCTCAGGGCACCCAATTCAGGGTTGAATTTCTGCATTTGCCTCCCAGCAGGATATACCCCTATGGTCCACAGTCTGGCCTCGAGAAAGAAACCATCACATCCTCCAGCTAAAAATTAAATAAAGTACTCTTTCTGGACAAGACTTAAGTTTCTTCTCCATGAAGATGCCTTCAGCATTTATCTGTAGTTACTTGTGAACTTCAAAGGGACTAGAATACCCTGAAGGCAAGTTCTAAATACCCTAAACCTAAGTTCTTATTCTCCCTATCCCCCAGGAATCTGAACCACTAGGTCTGGGCAGGGCCAGGGAATTTGCATGTCTCACCACCTCTCCTGGGACGGACCTGCTCCTGGTACCCAGACCACACTTGGAATGGTGCAGGTTCAGAAGCCATCATTGCGGGGTGCATGCAGACCAAACCACAAGTGAGAAGTAACTCACCTCAAAGGGCATTGGGATGAGGCTGAGAATGGCTTCTTCATTGCACGCTGAATTGGGGAAGGGGTCAGAACACTATGCCTGATTGTAAAGAAAAAGGAGAGTTTCTAGACCCCAGGCAACAGGACGGTGCCTCTGGAGAAGAGAGAGGCTGCACTGGCCCTGACAGCCTGGCCCTCTGCACTGCAGCTCCTCAGAGCTGGAGCTTATATTTAGTCAGTTCCCATAATTAATTGTTTAAATTTTTCTACTTTTTTGTATTATGAAAAGTGGTATGATGAATGCTTCTTTTATATTTATCGCTGTGTATATATGGTTATTGCTTTCTTATAGGCAATGTGCTCAGAGATTAAACTATTGCCCAATATTTTCATTAAAATTTCTTAAGAATTTTTAATAAACATTATTACAATGTCCTCTATTAAAGCAAGTAATAGGTCATTATCATGAGGTTGCTTTTGTACCTGGAGCTCTTTCATAAGCAAACCAAAACTTAACTTGGAGGCATTTCTCATGGCTGACTTACAAATTAAAATCTAGCATCAATCAACCACAAACAGGCAGCCAGTTAGTTATATAACTAGGGACCTCTGATCACAAGATACCCAAATAAGGCAAACACCTAGGACCAGGAACATCACCATTCCCTGTGTGCTGGTTAGAAATGCAATTTTCCTGGCCCCACTCACACCTACTTGGTCAGTGTCTTGGGAAGTGGGGTGGCTAAAACTTGGGTTTTAACATCCGTTCAGGGGATTCTGGTCTCTCTGAAGTTTACAAGTGCCTGCAGATAAATATTGACATCATTACACCTATCATTACATCATGCCCAAATAAGGTAGACATCTAGCTAAGCCAATCAGGTAACTTCTTGACTTTGCTCCCTTGTTCAGCCTGGGAAACCTTGCTGTTTATGCTACTAGAGAAAAACTTTCTCAATCTTTTCCAGTTTTGAGTGTTGCCCAGTTCATGAATTCTTCTTTGCCCAAATAAACTCTATTGAATTCATTTTGTTTAAAGTTTTTCTTTAACAATTTAGTGTCAGATGTGGAATCCTAAGGCAAACTCCAGCTGCATCTAAGAAAACCTACTACCCAGCAAAGGCACCAACTGAGCCACGGTGCTCTCTTGCTGCAATTGGAAAGTGGGGGTGAGTTTCCTTTCAAATAGGAGCTCCAGAAACTTGCATTTTGACCTCTCCAACTTTATTTGCACATTTCCTTAGCCAGTCTCCATTCAGAATCAGATTGAATCCAATAAATAGCAGAACTGAGACCAGTTAGAGCCCTCAGGTAGGTACTTTCTGAAAATTGATTTCTCCAAAGAAAGGAGCCTGGGACTCCACTTGCTGGGATACTGGCTAATTTTATGTATGATAATTAGGGACCACGAACCTTTATATTTTTGGACAAACAAGTTAACCTTGCTAAGAATAATTTAGGATGACAGCATTCACATGGGGAAGTTTTAATTTTGGCAACATTGTTCATTTGCAAGGTGCAATAGAAAAGAATCCAAAATACCTAAAAACAATACCACCATCATCACTAACAAACAGGCCATTCACTGTTGCTTACCCCCTAGTTTTCACTACAAATTCAAGCTAATAGTAGTTAAGAGTTATAACTAACATATGGTAATTAATGCTAGAAATAATAAGAGAACCAACTCCACATGTAAGAATAGTAAGACAAGTTTTAGGTAGGGGAAGCTACGAGATATAAAGGATGTGTTTTTCTTTAAGAAAAAAGTAATTTTTTTAACCTAAAGTAGAATGGCTGGTTGTTCCACAATGGAAAAGAGAAAGCAAATAGGACAAAACCAAATTGATATAAAAGAAGTTGTAGAAGGTTTGTGGAAAGAAATCTTGGGAAATATTTCATGTGTGATAAAGTTTGATAAGATTTGAAAGAAATTATTTATAATTTGTTTGATTATTCATATCAAAAGTACACTGATGTAACACTAGAATTTGGCCTCCTATGTTAAAATGACAAGGATATCTTGAATTATTGGACTGCCCTAATATGAGATTGTGAAAGATGTTTTTTAGCCTTTTAAGAATTCTAGCTAGGAAACAAAGACTGTGTCTTAGCAAAACAATTTACTATGCTTCATGTTGTCTTTTGTCAAGTCTTTAGTTACTTTAGAAAACCAAAACCTCTCTATTAAAAGAGGCAAGGTTTTCACTATAACAATGTAACTTTCTGTATTTGCCTTTAAAATCTATTCATCATCATCTTGAGTAACAACACTTTGTCACAGTGACTTCATATCCTATTTAATCAAGTATTCAAGCCTTAATATTTTTGACCACTTCCCCAAATCAAATTGTTTTTCTGCTTTTTTTATTTTTTTCTTCTTTTTTTAATTTTTTTAAATTTTTTAAAAATTTATATCCCAAATCAAATTCTAAATTAAGTCTTGTGACCTTAAACTAACTTTGGGAGTTTCCAGCTGACCCATGTCACATCTCAAAACAGTCTTTTTTCTCTCCTTACAAATAATGATAAACGAAATAGGCTTATTTGATATGTTAAATTCTGTAAGAAGTACTGTCAAATAATAAAAACCTCAGGTGGAATATTTCCACCACTAGCTGGACCATTTGAGCACTTACAGTTGAACTTCATTCAATTGCCACTCTCAGTGGGATATCAACATGTTCTTACAAAAATCTATGTGTTCTCTGGTTGTATAGAAGCTTTCCCATGCAGGAAGGCTAATACTATAATAGTTAGGTAGAACGTTTTTAGAAAATGTGTTTCCTTTATGAGGAATTCCTGAGTAAATCTCCAGCAATAGAAATACTAACACAGTTAAATAAGGTATTACACGAACAATGGCATTACCATTATTTCTACCATACTTAATTTTAAAGGGAGAAAGGGCAAATAGCATTTTAAGACTGAAATTGGAAAAGCTAATCAATCAACAAGACTTTCTTGGCCAAATGTATTACTATCAGTTTTGGTGGCAATCAGATCCACTCCTACAAGAAAACACAAATTAATATTTCATGAACTTGTTACCAGAAGACCTATGCACCTAATAAGAGAGCCTTATGTATCTCCTGATTTTATAAATTCCAACATGAGTCAGCGTTATAAATTTTACTGCATGATTTCAAAGTATATTTTCATCAAGTAAAAGGAGCCTTACATGACCTACCAACTAATGACAACCAGACCTTTCGTAATCTAGAACCCAGAGACTGGGTCTTTTAAAAATGACACCAGAAAAAGACTGTGCCTAAACCCCACTGGAAATGACCATACCAAGTTCTTCTCAGTATCCACACTTCAGCAAAACTTAAGGGCCTTGAGACTTGGGTCCACAGGTCCCCTTCAAACTCTTGTAGCTGCGCATCCATTGATGATTCCAAGGTGAAACTGCACAGTGTGGTTCTCCCCAGAAGCAGATAACATTCTAGATGTAGACAGCTTTCCCAAGATCATGAATCAAGACTTCTCTTAATGTCATCATAAAATAATTGTTCCTTTCTTTCTTTTCCCTGTGCATTCTTTTTGTGTATGAGTGGCAGAATAATGCTATGATCAGGATCTCCCAATCAATAGCTTCAGCAAGAATCATAACTGAATGTTGGAGATGTCATGCTAAACTTAAATTCTTACATGATTTTAGAGATCCTCTAGTTCACCCTGTAACAAATTTTACTGATATTCCTAGTGTGACTGCCTGTTGGAACTGCATATGTGGATTATACTTTAAGACTCATATGTTCAGATTTCTTGTTTAAATCTAACAGTAGACAGAACCTCTAGTGAGGATTTTACAGTGAACTCTTGCCAGAAACTGAATTTAAAAACCAAAGGGAAAGATTATGCAACAGTTTATAGATACATTCATAACCCAAATCCCCTAATTGTGGGTAGCCTTCAGCCATGTGGTAATACAATAAACTAGCCTTGGATGAGTAATACTCATGCTTATCTTCCGGTGGCCACTTACACACAAAGCACCCCACAGGGAACTATCTGTTGTGCCCCTCCAGGATATATTTTTATCTGTAGAAGATTTAATAATCAACCATAAGAATGAGCAAATCCAGGCTTTGATAAATGAGAAATAAAATGTGCATTGAGGATTTCAACAGTACAACTCTTACTCCATAACTGTCTGGAAACTAAGCCTTGGTCAACACCCTTTAATTTGCATTGTAGAATAACAAAGAATTTGCCAGCAGGCATATATCCCCCTAAATTGGCATCTTGTGGTAGAATACTCCTTTCGTGTACTAACACAAATATAAATGAGGTGATGAGACATATGTTGCAAACATATAGCTGACTACTGTAAAGGCTATAATGCCACAGCCTCCTCCAAATTATCTTGCTAAAGTTGTTTTAGTTCACAGTATTGCTTTGGAATACCTCTTTGCTGAACAGGGAGGGGGGTGTGAGATAGCTGTCACTGTCTGCTGCACTTAAATAAATACGTCTGGTATAGGAGAAACTCAGTTGCAAGAAATCAACTAGTAAGGCACTTGTTTAAAACAAGTACATTTTTCTTTTGGCTCATTCTTTAATTTATTTGACTTTAATTGATTTGGGTCATGGTGGCCTTGGTTATAGAGCATACTTTAGCCTCAGTATTTCCCTCCTGATGGTAAGATTAGTCTTCTTGGTGCACTGTGTCCTCTTGAGACTTAAATGTTTGTGTGGAGCCACCTACTCTTTGTCAAACAACATCACCCCAGTTAGAGTAACAAAAACATGAAGAACAACAGAAAGAATTATTCAGTTAGCCTGGCGTCTTATGAATACCATACTGAGACCAACTAAGTCCATTATAATCATGACAGAGAGCAGAGTTAATGCCCAAAGTTTTGGTCAACCTCTCATGATTGTTAAAGCAAATAAGAAGGCCATTAGCTTGAGGTTGTCTCTGTACTGTAGCTCTTATGTAAGCAAACTGATGCTTACCTTGGAGGCATTACTTGTAACTGACATCTAAAAAAACAAACCTAGCCTCAGTCAGTCACAAACAGTCAAACCAGCCAATTGCTTATATAACTAGACATCTCCCAGTACATGATTCCCAAATGAGGCAAACGCCTAGGGCCTCCCACCACACCATGCCCAGGCAAAGCGAATGCCTAGCTCTAGCTAATCAGCTAATTTCTATATTTTGCTCCCATGTTCAGCTTACAAAAGTTTGCTGCTAATGTTACTAGAGCAGAGGGGTCTAAGCACTTTTTACTTTTGATTGCTACCCAATTTGTGAATTGTTCTTTGCTGTTAAGTTTAAACAGCAAAGAACTGTTAAATTTATTTTGTCTAAAGTTTTTGTTTTAATACTTTTGCAATTGATTTTGAGCATTGGGTTTTCAAATTCCTGTGTTCTTGATAAACCTCACTCCACCTTGGCTGGCCCAGAAGTTAAGGAAGTAAGTAATTTTCTGAGAAGTCCATAGCCCACTTGCTCCCTTCCCACCACTGCCACACACCTGCTTACCCACTGTGGATCCCTCTCCATTCTTGCTGCAGGTAGATTGCTCTTACGTTATCCCTCAAACTGATCTTAACCTTTATTTATTCTAAAACTTCAATTCTATTTGATTCTACCCATTCATGTGTCTAATGTTATTATCCAGAGATTCTTTTTTTTTTATTATTATACTTTAAGTTTTAGGGTACATATGCACATTGTGCAGGTTATTTACATATGTATACATGTGCCATGCTGGTGCGCTGCACCCACTAACTCATCATCTAGCATTAGGTATATCTCCCAATGCTATCCCTCCCCCCTCCCCCCACGACTGTGATATTCCCCTTCCTGTGTCCATGTGATCTCATTGTTCAATTCCCACCTATGAGTGAGAATATGTGGTGTTTGGTTTTTTGTTCTTGCGATAGTTTACTGAGAATGATGGTTTCCAATTTCATCCATGTCCCTACAAAGGACATGAACTCATCATTTTTTATGGCTGCATAGTATTCCATGGTGTATATGTGCCACATTTTCTTAATCCAGTCTATCATTGATGGACATTTGGGTTAGTTCCAAGTCTTTGCTATTGTGAATAATGCCACAATAAACATACGTGTGCATGTGTCTTTATAGCAGCATGATTTATAGTCCTTTGGGTATATACCCAGTAATGGGATGGCTGGGTCAAATGGTATTTCTAGTTCTAGATCCCTGAGGAATCGCCACACTGACTTCCACAATGGTTGAACTAGTTTACAGTCCCACCAACAGTGTAAAAGTGTTCCTATTTCTCCACATCCTCTCCAGCACCTGTTGTTTCCTGACTTTTTAATGATTGCCATTCTAACTGGTGTGAGATGATATCTCATAGTGGTTTTGATTTGCATTTCTCTGATGGCCAGTGATGATGAGCATTTTTTCATGTGTTTTTTGGCTGCATAAATGTCTTCTTTTGAGAAGTGTCTGTTCATGTCCTTCGCCCACTTTTTGATGGGGTTGTTTGTTTTTTTCTTGTAAATTTGTTTGAGTTCATTGTAGATTCTGGATATTAGCCCTTTGTCAGATGAGTAGGTTGCGAAAATTTTCTCCCATGTTGTAGGTTGCCTGTTCACTCTGATGGTAGTTTCTTTTGCTGTGCAGAAGCTCTTTAGTTTAATTAGATCCCATTTTGTCAATTTTGGCTTTTGTTGCCATTGCTTTTGGTGTTTTGGACATGAAGTCCTTGCCCACGCCTATGTCCTGAATGGTAATGCCTAGGTTTTCTTCTAGGGTTTTTATGGTTTTAGGTCTAACGTTTAAGTCTTTAATCCATCTTGAATTGATTTTTGTATAAGGTGTAAGGAAGGGATCCAGTTTCAGCTTTCTACATATGGCTAGCCAGTTTTCCCAGCACCGTTTATTAAATAGGGAATCCTTTCCCCATTGCTTGTTTTTCTCAGGTTTGTCAAAGATCAGATAGTTGTAGGTATGCGGCGTTATTTCTGAGGGCTCTGTTCTGTTCCATTGATCTATATCTCTGTTTGGTACCAGTACCATGCTGTTTTGGTTACTGTAGCCTTGTAGTATAGTTTGAAGTCAGGTATTGTGATGCCTCCAGCTTTGTTCTTTTGGCTTAGGGTTGACTTGGCGATGCGGGCTCTTTTTTGGTTCCATATGAACTTTAAAGTAGTTTTTTCCAATTCTGTGAAGAAAGTCATTGGTAGCTTGATGGGGATGGCATTGAATCTGTAAATTACCTTGGGCAGTATGGCCATTTTCACGATATTGATTCTTCCTACCCATGAGCATGGAATGTTCTTCCATTTGTTTGTATCCTCTTTTATTTCCTTGAGCAGTGGTTTGTAGTTCTCCTTGAAGAGGTCCTTCACATCCCTTGTAAGTTGGATTCCTAGGTATTTTATTCTCTTTGAAGCAATTGTGAATGGGAGTTCACTCATGATTTGGCTCTCTGTTTGTCTGTTGTTGGTGTATAAGAATGCTTGTGATTTTTGTACATTGATTTTGTATCCTGAGACTTTGCTGAAGTTGCTTATCAGCTTAAGGAGATTTTGGGCTGAGACGATGGGGTTTTCTAGATAAACAATCATGTCATCTGCAAACAGGGACAATTTGACTTCCTCTTTTCCTAATTGAATACCCTTTATTTCCTTCTCCTGCCTGATTGCCCTGGCCAGAACTTCCAACACTATGTTGAATAGGAGTGGTGAGAGAGGGCATCCCTGTCTTGTGCCAGTTTTCAAAGGGAATGCTTCCAGTTTTTGCCCATTCAGTATGATATTGGCTGTGGGTTTGTCATAGATAGCTCTTATTATTTTGAAATACGTCCCATCAATACCTAATTTATTGAGAGTTTTTAGCATGAAGGGTTGTTGAATTTTGTCAAAGGCTTTTTCTGCATCTATTGAGATAATCATGTGGTTTTTGTCTTTGGCTCTGTTTATATGCTGGATTACATTTATTGATTTGCGTATATTGAACCAGCCTTGCATCCCAGGGATGAAGCCCACTTGATCACCGTGGATAAGCTTTTTGATGTGCTGCTGGATTCGGTTTGCCAGTATTTTATTGAGGATTTTTGCATCAATGTTCATCAAGGATATTGGTCTAAAATTCTCTCTTTTGGTTGTGTCTCTGCCCGGCTTTGGTATCAGAATGATGCTGGCCTCATAAAATGAGTTAGGGAGGATTCCCTCTTTTTCTATTGATTGGAATAGTTTCAGAAGGAATGGTACCAGTTCCTCCTTGTACCTCTGGTAGAATTCGGCTGTGAATCCATCTGGTCCTGGACTCTTTTTGGTTGGTAAACTATTGATTATTGCCACAATTTCAGATCCTGTTATTGGTCTATTCAGAGATTCAACTTCTTCCTGGTTTAGTCTTGGGAGAGTGTATGTGTCGAGGAATGTATCCATTTCTTCTAGATTTTCTAGTTTATTTGCGTAGAGGTGTTTGTAGTATTCTCTGATGGTAGTTTGTATTTCTGTGGGATCGGTGGTGATATCCCCTTTATCATTTTTTATTGTGTCTATTTGATTCTTCTCTCTTTTTTTCTTTATTAGTCTTGCTAGCGGTCTATCAATTTTGTTGATCCTTTCAAAAAACCAGCTCCTGGATTCATTGATTTTTTGAAGGGTTTTTTGTGTCTCTATTTCCTTCAGTTCTGCTCTGATTTTGGTTATTTCTTGCCTTCTGCTAGCTTTTGAATGTGTTTGCTCTTGCTTTTCTAGTTCTTTTAATTGTGATGTTAGGGTGTCAATTTTGGATCTTTCCTGCTTTCTCTTGTGGGCATTTAGTGCTATAAATTTCCCTCTACACACTGCTTTGAATGTGTCCCAGAGATTCTGGTATGTTGTGTCTTTGTTCTCATTGGTTTCAAAGAACATCTTTATTTCTGCCTTCATTTCGTTATGTACCCAGTAGTCATTCAGGAGCAGGTTGTTCAGTTTCCATGTAGTTGAGCGGCTTTGAGTGAGATTCTTAATCCTGAGTTCTAGTTTGATTGCACTGTGGTCTGAGAGATAGTATGTTATAATTTCTGTTCTTTTACATTTGCTGAGGAGAGCTTTACTTCCAACTATGTGGTCAATTTTGGAATAGGTGTGGTGTGGTGCTGAAAAAAATGTATATTCTGTTGATTTGGGGTGGACAGTTCTGTAGATGTCTATTAGGTCTGCTTGGTGCAGAGCTGAGTTCAATTCCTGGGTATCCTTGTTGACTTTCTGTCTCATTGATCTGTCTAATGTTGACATTGGGTGTTAAAGTCTCCCATTATTAATGTGTGGGAGTCTAAGTCTCTTTGTAGGTCACTCAGGACTTGCTTTATGTATCTGGGTGCTCCTGTATTGGGTGCATATATATTTAGGATAGTTAGCTCCTCTTGTTGAATTGATCCCTTTACCATTATGTAATGGCCTTCTTTGTCTCTTTTGATCTTTGTTGGTTTAAAGTCTGTTTTATCAGAGACTAGGATTGCAACCCCTGCCTTTTTTTGTTTTCCATTTGCCTGGTAGATCTTCCTCCATCCTTTTATTTTGAGCCTATGTGTGTCTCTGCACGTGAGATGGGTTTCCTGAATACAGCACACTGATGGGTCTTGACTCTTTATCCAACTTGCCAGTCTGTGTCTTTTAATTGGAGAATTTAGTCCATTTACATTTAAAGTTAATATTGTTATGTGTGAATTTGATCCTGTCATTATGATGTTAGCTGGTGATTTTGCTCGTTAGTTGATGCAGTTTCTTCCTAGTCTCGATGGTCTTTACATTTTGGCATGATTTTGCAGTGGCTGGTACTGGTTGTTCCTTTCCATGTTTAGCACTTCCTTCAGGAGCTCTTTTAGGGCAGGCCTGGTGTGACAAAATCTCTCAGCATTTGCTTGTCTATAAAGTATTTTATTTCTCCTTCACTTATGAAGCTTAGTTTGGCTGGATATGAAATTCTGGGTTGAAAATTCTTTTCTTTAAGAATGTTGAATATTGGCCCCCACTCTCTTCTGGCTTGTAGGGTTTCTGCTGAGAGATCCGCTGTTAGTCTGATGGGCTTCCCTTTGAGGGTAACCCGACCTTTCTCTCTGGTTGCCCTTAACATTTTTTCCTTCATTTCAACTTTGGTGAATCTGACAATTATGTGTCTTGGAGTTGCTCTTCTCAAGGAGTATCTTTGTGGCGTTCTCTGTATTTCCTGAATCTGAACGTTGGCCTGCCTTGCTAGATTGGGGAAGATCTCCTGGATAATATCCTGCAGAGTGTTTTCCAACTTGGTTCCATTCTCCGCATCACTTTCAGGTACACCAATCAGACGTAGATTTGGTCTTTTCACATAGTCCCATATTTCTTGGAGGCTTTGCTCATTTATTTTTATTCTTTTTTCTCTAAACTTCCCTTCTCGCTTCATTTCATTCATTTCATCTTCCATTGCTGATACCCTTTCTTCCAGTTGATCGCATCGGCTCCTGAGGCTTCTGCATTCTTCACGTAGTTCTCGAGCCTTGGTTTTCAGCTCCATCAGCTCCTTTAAGCACTTCTCTGTATTGGTTATTCTAGTTATACATTCTTATAAATTTTTTTCAAAGTTTTCAACTTCTTTGCCTTTGGTTTGAATGTCCTCCCGTAGCTCAGAGTAATTTGATCGTCTGAAGCCTTCTCTCAGCTCGTCAAAATCATTCTCCATCCAGCTTTGTTCCGTTGCTGGTGAGGAACTGCATTCCTTTGGAGGAGGAGAGGCGCTCTGCGTTTTAGAGTTTCGAGTTTTTCTGTTCTGTTTTTTCCCCATCTTTGTGGTTTTATCTACTTTTGGTCTTTGATGATGGTGATGTACAGATGGGTTTTCGGTGTGGATGTCCTTTCTGTTTGTTAGTTTCCCTTCTAACAGACAGGACCCTCAGCTGCAGGTCTGTTGGAATACCCTGCCGTGTGAGGTGTCAGTGTGCCCCTGCTGGGGGGTGCCTCCCAGTTAGGCTGCTCGGGGGTCAGGGGTCAGGGACCCACTTGAGGAGGCAGTCTGCCCGTTCTCAGATCTCCAGCTGCGTGCTGGGAGAACCACTGCTCTCTTCAAAGCTGTCAGACAGGGACATTTAAGTCTGCAGAGGTTACTGCTGTCTTTTTGTTTGTCTGTGCCCTGCCCCCAGAGGTGGAGCCTACAGAGGCAGGCAGGCCTCCTTGAGCTGTGGTGGGCTCCACCCAGTTCGAGCTTCCTGGTGCTTTGTTTACCTAATCAAGCCTGGGCAATGGCGGGCGCCCCTCCCCCAGCCTCGCTGCCGCCTTGCAGTTTGATCTCAGACTGCTGTGCTAGCAATCAGCGAGATTCCGTGGGCGTAGGACCCTCCGAGCCAGGTGTGGGATATAGTCTCGTGGTGTGCCGTTTTTTAAGCCGGTCTGAAAAGCGCAATATTCGGGTGGGAGTGACCCGATTTTCCAGGTGCGTCCGTCACCCCTTTCTTTGACTCGGAAAGGGAACTCCCTGACCCCTTGCGCTTCCCAGGTGAGGCGATGCCTCGCCCTGCTTCGGCTCGCGCACGGTGCGCGCACCCACTGGCCTGCGCCCACTGTCTGGCACTCCCTAGTGAGATGAACCCGGTACCTCAGATGGAAATGCAGAAATCACCCGTCTTCTGCATCGCTCACGCTGGGAGCTGTAGACCGGAGCTGTTCCTATTCGGCCATCTTGGCTCGAGAGTCCTATCCAGAGATTCTTAGTCTCTTCTGGGAATTGGTGGAAGTCACCCAGACACAAGACACAGAGCTAGAACCACCGACAGCTGGGATGTGGTCCCTGTGAATATATACTGACAGCCACTTCTCCTCCTCAGGATCCACCTCATCTGCCTTTGCTCTGTCTCGAGAAGAGAGGCACAGGAAGTGTGGAAGTCCCTACCCAAGTTTTCCACATTGTTGTTACTTTGTGTTCAGTCCTATAATGTCCCCAGGGCTATGTTTCATCCCTGACACACTGGGAAAGGTGAGGAATATGTCCAGATGTCTCCCTAGCAGACAAGGAAGTGGTTGCAGTACAGAATAAGGAAGTGCATATCTAACACATTTTTGAACAGATTTATATTTAGTATTCTCTTCTACTATTTCATTTGATTTCAGCTGTAGCCATTTGAAGGCAGCCAAGCAAAAATTGTCATCTCCATGTAAATGAGGCAGAGACAGAGGATGAGGGACTAGGAGATGGAGGATGCAGACCTGGATGAGAACTCACATTTCCAGAGAAGGAGGAAACTTGTGACACTACACTACAATCTATGCTCCTTTTCCTTCCTGGGGCTGAGGCCCAGGGATGCTACTGACTAGGTGTTCCCAGCATGTCCCTGGCTTGGCCTCTGGCACAGGATTTACTTGCAGACCCACCTTGTGACCATACACAGCATTCATGGCTGCGATTCCCTGATTCTTCACTATAAAAATTCCAGAAAGAGAAGTGACCAGGAGGCCAACTTCAGGAGTAGGAATTGATGGTAAGTGTGAGAGAGGAGAGATCTTTCCAAAGCAACAGAGCCCTCAATGCTAGCCCTGTCTGCATGCAAAATCCAAGCACGCAGTTCAAGTCATGCACTGCTTTGAACCCTGGAGATATATTTGTAGCCAGGAAAAATCCTATATTTCGTGAATATTCCTTTCTAGGAGGTATAGAAAACTGTTAAAAGACCCACACATGTAACTTGAGTCAGGCAGGAATTAGTGCATCCTCCCAAGGGCCAGTGCCTTGGAGTGGGCTCCTCTCCCCTTGCTTCATGAAGGAGGGAGCCAGGACAACCCCCACAGTGGGCTCACTCCCCATGAGACCCTGTCCTGGGAGCTGCCTCAGAAATAGTTCTTGAATGAAATGAGTGGGGTGGATTGTTTGGAAGACACTTGTTGGAATCACTGTGGATAAAGCACCTCCTCTGAGCTTCCTTCTGCTGATGGAGTCAGGGTCAAGAGAAGGACCAAGGGTGGGAGCAGACAGGGGAGGTGGTGGGAGGGTCTCAGAGGAAAATCTGCTCAAGTCTGGAGCAAGGCACGGCAGGGCTGTGTGGGTTCCAGAGGCCAGATGGGACAAAGTGCAGCAGCTGTGCCTACCTCAGTGCTGGCAGGCCGCAG
Source organism: Homo sapiens (assembly GCF_000001405.40). Lineage (NCBI taxonomy): Eukaryota > Metazoa > Chordata > Mammalia > Primates > Hominidae > Homo > Homo sapiens. The sequence continues at coordinate 23,587,894 of NC_000020.11, read as the reverse complement.
GGAGGTCTCCAGGCCTGGCTCTCCCCTCTGCTTTGCCTGAACGCCTATGATCGAGGGGCCACCCTCCCAGCACATCTATGGAGGACAAGTCCCAAGACGATGGTCCAAACGCACCACAGGTCTTGTGTTGGGTCCCCCCAGGCTGACCCTGAAACACAGACTGGTGGGTGCAGGTAGTTTATTTGGAGGTGATCCCAGGGGACACATGTGAGAAAGGGAGACAGAGAAGGGGAAACGCAAGGTGTCTGTTATCAATGGGTCACACTGGGGCCGGGGGTGTTTATTCTGCTGGGGAGCTCTGAGAACCATGTGACATGCACCTCTGAATTGGATGCCCAGAGGCTGGGAGACTGGGACATTCACCTGCCTCCCTCCTGAAGAAGGAGTGTGACTCTCAGACTTGACCTTTCCCACACCACAGGGGTGTACCTGCTCTGCTGGAGGAGCTCCAATTACACGGAGAAAGCCACTAGCCAATCTGGGCACGTCGCAGGTGCATGAGTTGGGAGCTACCCATGTACTGGTACTTGGGATACCAGCGGCAGCTGCACTCAGAAGGCCTGTTAGGTCAGGGGTTGGCAACCATGACCCGAGGGCCAAAAGCAGCCCAGTCTGCTTGTCTCCATGTGTAGACAAAGTCTTGTTGGGACACGACTGCTCTTATTTGTTTATGCACTGTCTATGCTTCTTTCAACATACAAAGGCAGTGCTGGGTAGCTGAGAAAGTGACTATAAGCCTACAAAGACCAAAATAGTTACTCCTTAAATTTTTACAGAGAATGCATGCCGAAGCCTGATCTGGGAGATGTGGACAGGGTGTCCACAGCTGCTGGCTATTCTCAGCTAACACATTAGGTATACATGCACTCTGAGCATTAGTGCAAATGTCACATGGGCTGTGTGGGATTCCCGAGTCCCTGTCCTGCTCCATGTGCACATCCCGTGCGCTGGGAGGCCACCCTCACTGCCCCTCTGCAGCCTGCAAGGGGCCCTGAGATGGCGGCTCAGACGCACCTTAGCTGTGCCTCTGGAAGCCACTCAGGAGGCCCAACAGGGAATAAAAACTTACCCCTGAGAGCCCACGAGGCTGCCCTGCTGAGAATAACTCCATCAACTGCCCAGGCCCCTCTCTCCAGGACACTAGCACACAAAGCTTCTGGAAATGCTGATGTTTAATGACCTATATTCTACATGAGGAACCTGGAGAAGTGTGGAATTTACTTTGACAGCATCTGCATGCCCCGTCATGAATCCAAGGGAATTGTAAATTGAAAAGAACAAACAAATATGGAGCTGGTCAGCTACAGCAGAGCCACCTTTGGAGAACTGCCAGTGTCCACAGAGGTGAGGGCAGCCTGAGCCTGGGCCTGTGGGTGAGAAGCAATCAGGGGAACCCCTCTGAGCAGGTCTTGTTCAGGAGCTCACACTGCATTACCCAGGGCTGGGTCCTAAAAGTGAAGAAGCAGGTGAGCATCTGGGAGGGAAAGCATGGGCGAGGCACTGGGGACAGGGGGCTCAGGAAGCTCATGGCTCCCACTCTGAGCAAAGGATCAATATCCACCTTGCACATTTCCCAAGCTGTCAGTTGAATGCGGCTCTCATCCTCATGTGGGGCCATCCAGCCCCACTCCTGGGACATTTCTTAGCTGCTTCCAGATCTGGGGCTCCCTCTTCACTCAAGGTAACCTGTGTTAGGACCCACTTCCCAGACAGTGGCCTCCTGGGACTCCACAGGCTGGCCTGTGTGATTCATACCCCCAAGAGCACAAAAGTCACTTTGTCTCCCCAGAGCTGCTCTCAGATGTAGGCCAATGTTTAACCTATTAGTTAATCCTTTGATGAGGGGGCCCACCTGTCCTAGGTAGGCTGTCCCCAGAGCTGGGCTTCCCCTTGTCCCCTGTCCCTATCCTCTGGAGCAGGCATTACAGCTCAGCAGGGGCCAGGGCAGGACGAGGGAGGGAGGGCAGTGGGGTCCCTCCTCAGCCTCCACCTGCCTCAGGCTCTGGATTAGGGGAGGGGGACCCTGAGAACTGCACACTCAGAAAGAGGTGATATTGGATCCCCACCACGCTCTTTCTTCAGAAGGCAGACGAAGACTGGGGAGGAAGACCAGAGAGGAAACAGCCTCTACTCAGGCTTAGGAGACTGGGACCCCAGGCGGACAAGAGCAGTCTGAAGGCCATGTGCCCTGGGTACAGGCCACTGCAGTGGCATGACAGGGCAGAGTCAGGAAACTCAGATTGGCCGGGAGCCTACAAGTGGACCCGTGGCTGCCTTCCCCTCTGCACTCCCCACTAAGGCAAAAGCAGGGCAGCCTGGTAGAGGCTGCTGCAGGCTAACTCCTCTAAGTCTCTTTGTCAGCTGCACCTGTGCCCATACCACACCCTATGTGGCATCCACAGCTGTGTCCAGGAGGGAAGATGTTGCCCTGTCTTACATCGTTCAGCTCTGTGCTTTCTTGGAAAGGGCAGTTATCAATGTTGTCTTCAAATTTCCCACACCTAGTTCTCCCCAGCAGTAGCTCCATTGAGAATACGGTCTTGGACTCTATCTAATGTACAGAGAGATTACAGTGAACACGCCCCTCTTTCTGCACCTAAATACCTGAAAGTGAAGATGCTGTCATTGTAGGGAGAGGCCCAAACATGCTACTGCATTAGGGAGCTCACTCATGGGCCTGGCATCAGTTCACTGGAGGTAAAATCTGGGGAACCTTCTCCAGATTAAGGAATTAAGAGCAAAGAGCAGGTGTGTATGGTGGGTCCTGGGGCAGACACAGGCTGAGTCAGACCCCACTAATGTATCCCCTGTCTCCAGCTTCACCTCCACCTCTCCCACGATGAGACACAGCTTCACTCTCAGCAGGCATCTGATCCTGCAACTGCATTCCCAGAGGATGGCGCCACATGCCCGGGAGGGTGTTGGATCTCCAAGAGTTTTCAGGGTAACCTCAGCCCTGGGACAGAGGGAGCCTCATCTACAGCATATTGTCAAAACTTTCACCTGACCTCCAGCAAGAAAAATGACACACAGTGCTCCCATTACACACAGGCACACATCCTTGGGACAATGGCTTCAAGAAATAACATCTGCCCCATTGCAAAATGCACTTTGAAATTTTCCTTGCTCTTCTTTCCACTCAATTCTATTTCTTTCCATTCCATATCCTCCTTCCTCATTCATACATTCTTATCAAACCCCACACTGACTCAGGGACTGCCAGATTCAGGAAGCCACGTGGAAGGCTCCAGCCCAGAGAGCAGGGGGCAGAGAACCAGCCAGGGCATTGCACAGAGTCTTTCCAGAGGCTTAAGCTCTGTGCAGGGTTGGAGTCCCTCTGCCCTTCTTGCAGGATCTTAGTGCTGAAGGAGGAAGAGCAATCCGACTTCTCCCTCCTAACCAAAAGTGCTCCATTGGGAGATCATTTTCATTGTCCATACCTGCAGCCCAGATAAACAGTGCATTCCTGATTGCATTCTGTAGTGACTTGATTAAAAGAAAATCATTTAGGATTGAAAGCTGTGGTCTGAGAAAGAGTGTAAAAAACCCTTCAGTTCATTAAGTGCAGACCCACCAAGGAGCTCAGAGCAGGTGGAAATCAGAGAAGAGGAACTGACCGCACAGCAGCCTCTCAGGACTGATGGGGGTTCCTTATTGCTTCTGAATCTGCATCTCTCACTCTCTCTCTCACTCTGTCTCCAGTTTTCCCATTTTTCTAAGTATCTGTTGTCATTTTATGTCTTTGACATAAAATTTGAAGTACTTCTCAATCTGTCTTTATGGACATTTTTAGTCCATATATTTTTTTTAACTCAGTAGCTTCATCTCTTTAGTAGTCCTTATTTTGAAGTCATTCTTCAGTTGAATGTCATAGAAAAGATGAAGATTGAAAAAATGTTTTAAGCACTATTAATTAGATTTGAATAAGTTCTTAGATGTTTCAAAGTAAAATGTTTTCTAAAAACTTAAAATTACTAAACTAGATATTATACCTTACTATACTATAGACCTCAAATTTTACCTTGTTATGGACTACAAATGATAAACCAGGACTCCTTAATTAGACACCACACCCCTATCCATTATTGGTAGCAAGTAAGGGAGGGCTGGGAAGGAAAGGATGTGGTTACCAACCTTCTTCCTCTAGGAACTCAGAACATGCACCAGCTTGTAGGCATATGAGTCCATGCTCTGCAGGTGGAATGTGTGTGACACACACATTCCACCATGGCAGGGAAGTATTCAGCCATGAGTATTTGGTCTACATTGTTCTTGTGTTTTTTGGCAGAGTCAGGAAAGAAGAGAGAGGAAAGGAAAAAGAGATAAAGAAATAAAAATATTAGTAATGAAAAAGGGCAGACCTCTAGAGACATAGAATATAAATTAATATGCATATGAAAACACCATGCACAGAAAATACATTTTAGACTAAACCTCCAATCATGATACATAAAATAATAAACTGATAAATTATTTCTTATCAAAATTAAAAGCTTTTGCTCAGTGAAAACCCATGTGAGGAGGATGGAAAGACAAACTACAGAGTGGGAGAAAATATTTGCAAATCATATATCCATCAGACAACTAGTATCTAGTATATGTAATAAACTCTCAAAACTCAACAGTAAAAAAGTTGGTTGTGGCACATGTTCTCATTCACAAGTAGGAATTGAACAATGAGAACACATGGACACAGGGAGAGGAACATCACACACCAGGGCCAGTCAGGGGGTGGGGGGCAAGGGGAGGGAGAACATTAGGACAAATACCTAATGCATGCAGGGTTTAAAACCTAGATGACGAGTTGATGGGTGCAGCAAACCACCATGGTACATGTATATCTGTGTAACAAAACTGTATGTTCTGCACGTGTATCACAGGACGTAAAGCATAATAAATAAATAAGAAAAACCAAATCCTGATTTTGAGATCTATCCATATTGTTACTTATAAACCTAATAAATTTATTTAAACAGCTAAAACAAAATCTGTGATGGATCATCATGGCAGACAGGAGACAGGACTAGATTACAGCTCTGAACAGAGCAGCGTGTGGAAGCTCACGCTGTGAATTCTAGCTCCAGATTGACTGCAAGAACAATCCAGCAATCCCAAGAGGATCCACAGACCCTCTCAAAGAAGCAAATTGCTCCTGCAGGACCCAGGAGACACCTCAAATACTATGAGTGCTCCAACTGCAAAAGTGGGAAAGGGAAACCCTCCTCTCTTGAACTCACACCCCCAATGGAGAAACTGAAGGTCTGTTGGTGAGATAAGTTTCCTACCTTACCTGGGGCTGAGTCAATTTAGAGAGCAGAGTGAAATACAGGGGTAGAGGAAGCAGCAGAAAGACCCTGGGAGCTTGTTGGGCCCCCCAAGTAGGACATTCCTGCCTGACACCACAGGGATCCACTGGGAAGACTGCCAGAAGAGTGGTGGGGCAAGACTCCATAGGAAGAAGGAAATCTCTAGCTGAACTGTGTAACAATTTGAATGGGTGAGAAGCCTCCTGGCCAGAACTCAGGAAAGGGTGCAAATCCGGTGTGTAGACTCCACAGGCAAGGGAAGAACCAAGCCCTTTTCTTTCACAGCCTGGAGGTGAGTAGCCTGGGGCAAGTTCTCAAGCTCATTTTGCCCACCACCTAGAAACAGACTTGGGGCTATTGTGGGGGTTACAGTGGGAGTGAGACCAGCCCTTCAGTTTGCGTGGGAGCTGGGTGAGGCCTGTGACTGCCGGCTTTCCCCCACTTCCCTGACAACCTGCATGACTCAGCAAAGGCAGCCAATAATCCTCCTAGGTACACAACTCCAGTGACCTGGGAGTCTAACCTCCATCCCCAACAGCAGCCGCAGCAAGACCCGCCCAAGGACAGTCTGAGCGCAGACACGCCTAGCCCCGCCCCCACCTGATGGCCCTTCCCTACCCACCCTGGTGGAGGAAGACAAAGGGCCTATACTCTTGGGAGTTCTAGGGCCCTGCCCACCGCTGGTCCCTCTCCACACTACTATAGCTGATGCTTTCTGGAAAGCGCCACCTCTCTGCAGATGGCCAATCAGCACAAAAATAGAGCATTAAACCACTAAATCTAACAACCCTCACAGAGTCCAATGTACCCCCACCCCCACCACTTCTACCAGAGCAGGTGATGATATCCACGGCTGAAAGACCCATAGACAGTTCACATCACAGGACTCTGTGTAGACAACCCCAGTACCAGCCCAGAGCTTGGTAGACTCGCTGGGTGGCTAGACCTAGAAGAGAGACAACAAACACTGCATTTCGGCTCACAGGAACAAACACTTCCCTCTTTTATGGGAAAAGAGGGGAGGGCTACATCAAGTGAACACCCTGTGGGACAAAATAATCTGGACAACAGCCATCAACCCTAGACCTTCCCTCTGATAGAGCCTACCCAAATGAGAAGAAATCAGAAAACCAACCCTGGTAATATGACAAAACAAGGCTCTTTAACACTCCCCCTAAAATCACACTAGTTCACCAGCAATGGATCCAAACTAAGAAGAAATACATGATTTATCTGAAAAAGAATTCTGGAATTCAGTTATTAAGCTAATTGGAAAGGCACCAGAGAAAAGAGAAGCCCAATGCAAGGAAATCCAAAAAACAATACAAGAAGTCAAGGGAGAAATATTCAAGAAAATAGATAGTTTAAAGAAAAAACAATAAAAGATTTTGGAAACTTTGGACACCCTCTTAGAAATGTGAAATGCTCTGGAAAGTCTCATCAACAAAATTAAACTAGTAGGAAAAAGAAATTCAGAGCTCGAAGAAAAGGTCTTAGAATTAACCCAATCCAACAAAGACACAGACAAAAGAATAAGAAAATATAAACAAACACTCCAAGAAGTCTGGGATAATGTTAAATGACCAAACCTAAGAATAATTGATGTTCCTGAGGAAGAAGAGAATTCTAAAAACTTGGAAAACATATTTTGGGGAATAATTGAGAAAAACTTCCCTGGCCTTCCTAGAAACCTAGACATCCAAATACAAGAAGCACAAATAACACCTAGGAAATTCATTATTCAAAAAAGATACTTGCACACGCATGTTTATAGCAGCACAATGCACAATTACAAAATAGTGGAACCAACCCAAATGCCCATCAATCAATAAGTGGATAAAGAAACTGTGGTATATATATGCAATAGAATATTACTCAGCGATAAAAAAGACTGAATTAACAGCATTTGCAGTGACCTGGATGAGATTGGAGACTATTTATTCTAAGTAAAGTAACTCAGGAATGGAAAACCCAACATCGTATGTTCTCACGGACATGTGGGAGCTCAGCTATGAGGACACAAAGGCATAAGAATGATACAATGGACTTTGGAGACTTGGGGGGAAGAGTGAGAAGGGGATGAGGGGTAAAACACTGCAAATATGGTGCAGTGTTTACTGCTCAGGTGATGGGTACACCAATATCTCACAAATCACCACTAAAGAACTTACTCATGTAACCAGATATCACCTGTACCCCAATAACTTATGGAAAAAATACAAAATATATATAAATAAAAAATAAAAAGAACTTAAGAGCTCAAAGACAGAGCTTTCAAATTAACCCAATCAGACAAGGACAAAAAAAAAATTAAAGAACAAGGCTTCAAGAAACTTTGGATTATATTAAGTGGCCAAACCTAAAAACTACTGGTGTTCCTGAAGAGGAGGAGAAATCTAAAAGTCTAGAAAACTTATTTGAGAGACTATGTGAAAAAAACTTACCTGCCCTTGCTAGAGATCTAGACATCCAAATACAAGAAGATAAAATAACACCTGAAAAAAATCATCACAAAAAGATTATCACCTAGCACATAGTCATCAGGTTATATAAAGTCAAGATGAAGGAAATAATCTTAAGAACTGTGACAAAAAGCCATCAGGTAACCAATAAAGGAAAACCTATCAGATTAACAGTAGATTTCTCAGCAGAAACCTTACATGCCAGAAGGCACTGGGGTCCTATCTTTAGCCTCCTGAAACAAAATAATTGTCAGCCAAGAATTTTGTATCCAAAAAACTAAGCTTCACAAATGAAGGAGAAATAAAATCTTTTTTGCATAAACAAATGCTGAGAGAATTTGCCACTACCAAGCCAGTACTACAAGAAATGCTAAAAGGTATTCTAAATCTTGAAAGAAAAACTTGAAATACACCAAAATAGAACCTGATTATAGCATAAATCTCAGAGGGCCTATAAAGCAATAACACAATAAAAAAATCAAGGTACTTAGGCAATAACTAGCATAATGAACAGAACAGGACCTCCCATCTCAATACCAACACTGAATGTGAATGAACTAAATGTTCCACTTAAAAGATACAGAATGGCAGAATGAATAAAAATCCACCAACCGAGTACCTGCTGTCTTCAAGAGACTCACCTAACACATAAGGACTTAAACAAACTTAAGGTAAAGGGGTGGAAGAAGATATTACATGCAAATGAAAACCAAAAGCGAGCAGGAATAGCTTGTACCAAACAAAACAGACTTGAAAGCAAGAATCGTGAAAAAAGGCAAAGAAGGACATTATATAATGATAAAAGGATTAATCCAATAGGAAAATATCACAATCCTAAATATATATGCATCTAACATGGGAGTTCCCAAATTATCAAACAATTACTGCTAGACCTAAGAAATGAGATAGCAACACAATAACAGTGGGGAACTCCAGTACTCCACTGACAGCACTAGACAGGTCATCAAGCCAGAAAGTCAACAAAGAGAAAATGGGCTTAAACTATACCTTCCAACAAATGAACCTAACAGATTTTAACAGAACACTCTACCCAAAAACTTCATAATATACATTCTCTTCATCAGCACATGGAACATTCTCCAAGACAGAACACATGCTAGGTCACAGAACAAGTCTTAATAAATTTGAGAAAATCAAAATTATATCAAGTGTCCTCTCAGATCACAGTGGAATATAACTGGAAAGTAAATCCAAAAGAAACTCTCAAAACTATAAAAATATATGGAAATTAAATAATCTGCACTTCATTAGGTAAATGATGAAACCAAGATGGAAATTTTAAGATTCTTTGAACTGAATAATAGTGACACAACTTATCAAAACCTCTGGGATACAGCAAAAGTGGTGCTAAAAGGAAAGTTCATACCATTAAATGCCTACATCAAAAAGTCTGAAAGAGAACAAATAAACAATCTAAGGTCACACCTCAAGGAAATAGAGAAACAAGAACAAACCAAACCCAAACCCAGAAGAATAAAATAAATAACAAAGATCAGAGCAGAACTAAATGAAATTGAAGCAAACAAAAAATACAAAAGATAAATGATGCAAAAAGCTGCTTGTTTGAAAAGATAAAATTGATGAGCCATTAATGACATTAACCAAGAAAAGATGAGAAGGTCCAAAAAGCTCAATTAGAAATAAAATGAGAGCTATTACAACCACTATACAGAAATACAAAAGATCATTCAAGGCTAATATGAACACCTTTATGCACACAAACTACAAAATCTAGAGGAGATGGATAAATTCCCGGAAACATACAATCCTCCTAGATTAAATCAGGAAGAAATGGAAACTTTGAACAGACCAATAACAAGTAGCGAGATTGAAACAGTAATGAAAATAATTGCCAATGAAAAAAAAATTCAGGACCAGATGGATTCACAGCTGAACTCTATCAGACATTCAAAGAATAATTGGTACCAATCTTACGGAAACTATTCCAAAAGAAAGAGAAAGTGGCAAACCTTCCTAAATCATTCTGTAAAGCCAGTATCACCCTAATACCAAAACCAGGAAAGGACATAACAAAAAAACAAAACTACAGACCAATATCTCTGATGAACAGAGTTGCAAAAATCCTCAACAAAATACTAGCTAACCAAATCCAAATCCAGTGGCATTTAAAAAAGATAATACCCATAATAAGCCGGTTACCACTCCTTAGTTCCATATTTATGCTATGAGGAGGTTCTATAGGTGAAAGATCTCTACAAAGAAATACCAGGGATGCAGGGATGATTTAACATACACAAGTCAATAAATGTGATACACCACATAAACAGAATTACAAATGAAAATCATATGATCATCTCAATAGATGCAGAAAAACACATTTGACAAAATTCACCATCTTTTTATGATTAAAGCCCTCAGCACAATCGGCCTAGAAGGGACAAGGTAATGAGAACTATCTATCACAAACCCACAGTCAACATTATACTGAATGGGGAAAAGTTGAGAAATGCTTCCCCGTTGCTTAAGGGGAGCATTTCCCCTGAGAACTGGAACAAGACAAGGATGCCCACTTATATCACTTCTATTCAACATAGTATTGGAAGTCCTAGCCAAAGCAATCAGACAAGAGAAACAAGTAAAGGGCATCCAAATTGGTAAAGAGGAAGTCAAATTGTTGCTGTTCACTGATTATATGACTGTATATCTGGAAAACTCTAAAGATTCATCTAAAAAGACCCTAGATGTGATAAATTTGGTAAAGTTCCAAGACAGAAAATCATTGTACACAAATCAGTAGCATTGCTATACACCAAGAAAGACCATGCTTAGAATCAAATAATGAATTCTATCCCTTTTATAACAGTTGCAAAAATATAAAATACTTATGAATATACCCAGCCAAGGAAGTGAAAGAACTCTACAAGAAAAAATGCAAAACACTACTGAAAGAAATCATTGATGACACAGACAAGTGGAAACACATCCCATGCTCATGGAAGGGTAGAATCAATATTATGAAAATGATCATACTGTTAAAAGCAATCTACGGATTCAATGTAGTTCCCACCAAAACACCATCATCATTCTTCATAGAACTACAAAAAAAATTGTAACATGCATATGGAACCAAAAAAGAGGCCACATAGCCAAAGCAAGACTAAGCAAAAAGAAAGAATCTGGCAGCATCACATTACCCAACTTCAAGTTATACTACAAGGCTATAGTTACCAAAATGGCATGGTACTCATATAAAAATAGGCACGTAGACCAATGGAAGTGAATAGTGAACTCAGAAATAAAGCCAAATACTTACAGCCAACTAATTTTTGACAAAGGTTTTTACTTTATATACACAAAATATATATAAAGTAGATAAAGTACACCCTATTCAGGAAATGGTGCTGGGATAATTGGCAAGCCACATGTAGAAGAATGAAACAGGATCCTCATCTCTCACCTTATACAAAAATCAACTCTAGATAGTTCAAAGACTGAAATCTAAGACTTGAAACCATAAAAATTCCAGAAGATAACACTGGAAAAATTCTTCTAGACATTGGCTTAGGCAAAGAGTTCATGACCAAGAACCTAAATGCAAATGCAACAGAAACAAAAATAAATAGATGGGACCTAATTAAACTAAATTAAACTAACAAGCTTCTGCACAGCAAAAGAAATAATTAGCAGAATAAATAGAAAACCCACAGACTGGGAGAAAATGTTCACAAACTGTGCATCTGATAAAGAACTAATATCCAGAATCTATGAAGAACTCAAACAAATCAGCAAGACAAAAGCAAAAAACCCCATCAAAAAGTGGTCAAAGGACATGAATAGACAATTCTCAAAAGAAGATATACAAATGGCCAATAAACATATGAAAAAAATGCTCAATATCACTAATTATCAGAGAAATGCAAATCAAAACTACAGTATGATACCACCTTACATCTGCAAGGATGGGCAAAATTAAAAAATAAAAAAAAAATAGATGTTGGCATGGATGCAGTGAAAAGGGACCACCTTTACACTGCTGGTTAGAATGTAAACTAGTAAAACTACTATGAAAAACAGTATGAAGATTTCTTAAAGAGCTAAAAGTAGAACTACCATTTGATCCAGCAATTCCACTCCTGAGTGTCAACACAGAGGAAAGGAAGTCATTATATGAAAAAGAGACTTGCATATGCATGTTTGTAGCAGCACAATTCACAATTGCAAAAAATATCTAAGAAGCCTAAATGTCCATCAGCCAATTAGTGGAAAAAGAAAATGTGGTACATATAGACCTTGAATTACTACTCAGCCATAAAAAGGAATGAAATAATGGTATTTGCAGCAACCTGGATAAAATTGGAGACTGTTATTCTAAGTTAAGTAACTCAGGAACGGAAAACCAAGTATCACATGTTCTCATTTATAAGTGGGAGCTAAGCTATGAGGATGCAAAGGCATAAGAATAATATAAGGGACTTTGGGAAGTTGGGGGAAGGGTGAGAGGAGGGTGAAGGATAAAAGACTACACACTGGGTACAGGGTACACTGCTTGGGTGATGGGTACAGCAACATCTCAGAAATCACCAATAAAGAACTTATCCATGTAAACCAAAACCACCTGTTCCCCAAAAACTATTGAAATAAAATTTTTAAAACAAGAAATCATAACAGACATTTTTCCAAATCAAGGGAAAGATAAATATCCAGGTTAAAGAAGGTCAGATCACCAAACAGATTTGACCCAAATGACACATCTCAAAGCATATAATAATCAAATACTCAAATGTCAAGGACAAAGAGAGGATTCTAGAAACAGCAAAATAAAAGAAGAAAGGAAAAAAAAACCATAAAGGAGCTCCAATTTGTCTGGCAACAGACTTCTCAGCAAAAACCATACAGGCCAGGAGGAAGTGGGATTACATATTCAAAGGGCTGAAGGGAAATAACTGCCAAATAAAAATACTGTAATCAGCAAATATTTCCTTCAAACATGAAGAAGAGATAAAGCATTTCCCAAACAAAAGTTGAGAAAATCCTTAACCATTAGACCCATCTTAAAAGAAATGCTAAATTGATGTATTTGATCTGAAGAGAAAGGATGATAACATGCAAAAAGAAAGCTATTGGAGATATAAAACTCACTGGTAAAAGTAAATATATAGACAATTCAGAGTATTTTAATACTGTAATTGTGCTGAGTAATCTACTCATATATCTGGTATGAGGAAAAAAAAGATAAATCTATCAAAAATTATTACAGCAACCTGTTAAGAGATAGGCAATAAAAAAGATATAAATTAAGACAACAAAAAGTCAAAACGGGGAGTTGATGGAGTTAAATTGTAGAGTTTTTAGTCTTTCCTTTGTTTCTTTTCTTTTCTTTGTGATCAAAGTTAAGTTCTCATCTGTTTAAAGTAACTTGTTATATGTATAAGAGAATCTTTTGGAATCCTCAAGGTAACCACAAAGCAGAAACCTACAATAGATACACTAAGAATAAAAAGCAACAAATGAAAAGATACTACGAGAGGAAATTACTTAACCACAAGTGAATACAGTAAGAAAGAATGAAAGAGAGGAGTTACAAAACAATGAAAAACACATAATAAATTTGCAGCAGTAAGTCCATACCTGTCAATAATAACATTAAATGTAAGTAGACTAACTTATTCAACTAAAAGATATAGAGTGACTGAATGGATAAAGGATAAAGACCCAACTATATTTTGCCTACAAGAAACTCATTTCACCTGTAAGGACACAGTCTGAAAGTGAAGGGATGGAAAAAGATCTTCCACACAAATGAAAACCATAAAAAGAGCAGAAGTAGGGCTGGGCATGGTGGCTCACACCCGTAATCCCAGCACTCTGGGAGGCTGAGGTGGGTGGATCACGAGGTCAGAAGATCAAGACCATCCCGGATAACATGGTGAAACCCCGTCTCTACTAGAAATACAAAAAAATAGCCAGGTGTGGTGGCAGGTGCCTGTAGTCCCAGCTACTCAGGAGGCTGAGGCAGGAGAATGGCATGAACCTGGGAGGCAGAGTTTGCAGTGAGCTAAGATTGCTCCACTGCACTCCAGCCTGGGCGACAGAGTGAGACTCCATCTCAAAAAAAAAAAAAAAAAAAAAAAAAAAAAGAGCAGAAGTAGCTAAGCTTACACAAGATAAAATATATTTTAAGTCAAAGACTGTAAAAAAGAGAAAAAGGAGTTTACTATATAAAGATAAAGGGGTGAATTCAACAAAAGGAATAACAACTATAAATATCTATGCTTCCAGCATTGGATATCCCAAGCATATAATGCAAACATTAATAGATATAAAGCCACAGAGATAGACTACAATAAAATAATAGTAGAGAACTTTAATACCCCTTTCAGTAAGATGAAAGATGAGCCAGAAAAAATCAGAAAGATGAGCCAGACAGAATCAACAAAAATATTCAAAGTTAAAAGACACTCTAGAGTACCAAGTAGACCTAATTGATGTTTAGAGAACATTTAATCCAACTGCTACAGAATACACATTCTTATCAGCACATGAAACATTCTCCAGGATAGGCCATATGTTAGGCCTCAAAAAAAATCTCAATAAATTTCAAAAAGTTGAAATCATATCAAGTGCCTTTTCTGACCACAATGGAATAAAACTAGAAATCAATAACAAGAGGAACTTTGGAAATTATATAAACACATGGAAGTTAAGCAACATTTCTAAAGGATCATTGATCAATAAAGAAATTAATACAGAAGTTTAAAAATTACTTAAAACAAATTAAAATGGAAACACAACATATCAAAATCTACAGCTAAGGGAGTTCTAAGAGGCAAGTTTATAACAATAAATGCCTATACCAAAAATGTATTAAGATTTCAAATATTTCAACCTAATAATGCAGCTCAAGAAATTAGAAAAGCAGAAATAAACCAAATCCAAAATTAGTAGAAGGAAAGAAGTAACAAATATCAGAATTGAGAATTTAAAAAATATAAAAGACTAACAAAACAATAAGTTATTCTTTTGAAAAGATAAAATCAGCAAACCTTTATCTAGAGTAAGGAAAAAAGAGAGAATGCTCAAAAAAATATAATCAGAAACAAAAACAGAGACATAACAATTGATAATACAAAAATGTAAAGGATTGTTAGAGACTATTAGGAACAAATATATGGCAAAAAACCTAGGGGAAGTGAATACATTCCTGGATACATATAACATACCAAGAAGAACCAAGAAAAAACAGAAAACCTAAACAGATCAGCAATGAGTAAGAAGATCAAAGCAGTACTAAAAAGTCTCCCATCAAAGAAAGCCTAGGTCCTAATAGCTTCACTGCTGAATTCTACCAAACATGTAAAGAAGTACTATCAATTCTATTCAAACTATTTCAGAAAATAAAAAAGAACAGAATACTTCCAAACTCATTCTACAAAGCCAACATTACTCTGACGCCAAAACCAGTTCAGGGTACAATAAAACAATAAAAACCTACAGGCCAATACCCCTGGTGAACATAGGAGCAAAAAAAAAAAAAGAAAAAAAATCCTCAACAAAGTACTAGCAAATGAAAATACAACAACACGTAAAAAAAATCATTCACCATCACCAAATGGGATCCACTCCAGGGATGCAAGGATGGGTCAACATATGCAAATTAGTAAATATGACACATCACATTAACAAAATCAAAGACAAAAACCATATGGTCATTTCAATAGATGCTGAAAAAACATTAGACAAAAATCATACATCTTTTCATGATAAAAGCTCTCAACACAACAGGCTTAAAGGAACATACCTCAAAATGAAGGCCAAAATAAAGGCTGTGGGTTTGTTATATATTTCTTTCCTTTAATATCTGGAACAAGACTTCCACCACTTTTATTCAATGTAGTACTCAAAGTCCCGACCAGAGCAACTGGGCAAGAGAAAGAAATAATGGGCATCCACATTGGAAAGGAAGAAGTTAAATTATCCTTGTTCACAGATGACATGTTATGATATTTGGGAAAAGCTAAAGACTTTGTCAAAAAACTATTAAAACTGCTAAATGAATTCAGTTAAGTTGAAAACACAAAATCAATGTACAAAGATCAGTAGCACTAACATACACCAACAGTGAACAAACTGAAAAAGAAATCAAGAATGCAATCAAATTTACAGTAGCTACAAAAATATAAAATAATTAGAAATAAATTTACCTCAAGAAGTAAAAGATGTCTACAAAAAAACTATAAAGCATTAATGAAATAAACGGAAGAGGAAATTAAAAACTGGAAAGATATTTATGCTCATAAATTGGAAGAATTAATGTTGTTAAAATGTCAATACTAACCAAAGCTATCTACAATTTCAATGCAATCCTTATTCAAAATGTCAATGACATTCTTCACAGAAAAGGACAAAAAAAATATCCGAAAATATGTATAATACCACAAAAGACCTCAAATAGCCAGGGAAATCCTTAGCAAAAATAACAAGGCGGGGGACATCAAAATATACCTGACTTCAAATTGTAGTACAATGATACAGTAACCGAACAGCATGGCACTGGCATAAAAACAGACACATACACCAATGGAACAGAATGGAGAACCCAAAAATAAATCCACATGTTCACAGCCACCTCATTTTCAACAAAGACGCCAAGAAAACCCATTGGAAAAGGAACAGTCTCTTCAATAAATGCTGCTGGAAAAACTGGATGATCATAATGCGGAAAAGTGAAGCTAGACCACTACCTCTCACTATATATACATTAAAAAAAACACTATATATATAAAACACTATATATATAAAAAAAACAAAAATTGATTAAACGCTTAAATTTAAGATCTGAAACTATGAAACTTCTAGAAGTATTGGGAAAACATTTCAGGACATTGGTGTGGGCAGACTTTTTAGGTAAGAACTCAAAATCATGGCAACAAAAACAAAAATAAACAAACAGGATTACATCAAGCTGAAAAGGCATTGCACCACAAAGAAAACTGTAAATGGGGCTTACTTTCAGGTCCCTTTGTATGCCTTATAATTTTTTTTGGAAAACTGGTTATTTAAATATTAAATTGTGTTAACTCCAGGAGTCTGAGTCTGCTTTCTCCCTAAGATTTGTTGTTGCTTGCTGTGGATTGTAGTTGTGTCTTTGTTTAGTGACTTTTCTAAACTATTTCTGTGAAGAGTGTGTTACTTGTTACATGTGGTCAAAGTCACTAAACAACTGTAACAACAACAACAACACCCTTCCAAAACTAGCCCACTTGGTGTGTGTATTGGGGCACACCTTCAATGCGTAGGCCACTCACACCTCTGTCCTAGCCAAGGTTCCTTGCTTGTGCTGAGATTGGAAGTCAGGCAGAGATGCAAGCTCAGGGTCACCTCAGGTCTTTCTTGACCTATCTCTTGTCTTTGAAAAGACCTAAGACACATCTATGAGATATAACTATGTCAATTTGCACCATTATTTTTGTTGTTATTATGTCATTTTCCAATCTCAGTTTTTAGGGAACCCATGAGAAGTTTTCATTCTTGTGTAACTCATGCAGTGGTAAGGAATCCTGCAGTGCTGGCTTCTGCTTCACAATTATAAGCAAGACTTTGCCAAGTGAAAAGGAAAGTGTGAATCTTGTGTCATGGATCCCTTGACTTGTGAGTTGTGTTTGATTGAAAATCTTTCTCATGTGAAAATCTTTCACAACCCAGTAGATCTCACAAATAATTTTGCAAATAGTTGTGTGGTTGAGCTGTTTGTTTGCCAAGGTTAAATAAATATGAGAAGAATGGGTCAGCTGGGTGTGATCCAGAAGACCAGTGACATTTCGACAGTGCAATGGGGGCTGGACACAGTAGCTCATGCCTGTAATCCCAGCACATTAGGAGGCTGAGGTGGGAGGACCACTTGAGGCCAGGAAAGTTCGAGACCAGCTTGGCCTACATGGCAAAACCCCATCTCTACTAAAAACACAAAGAATTAGCCGGGCATGGTGCAACACGCCTGTAATCTCAGCTACTCAGGAGGCTGAGGCAGGAGAATCTCTTGAACCTGGGAGGCGGAGGTTGCAGCAGTGAGCCAAGATCACACCACCGCACTCAAGCCTGGGCAACAGAGATTCCGTCAAAAAAAAAAAAAAAAACAACCCATGAAACAACGCAATGGGCCAGATTTCACCTGTTATCATTGCTAATCAGGACACAGGTTTCAGCTACTCTGTGTCACCCACTTCCTGGAGTCAAGGCAGAAGATCAAGATGCACATGGCTCCTGGGCAGCAGCTCCCCACACACTAGCTACTTTCTTCTGTCTGTGATGGGTGAAGTCTCCTGTGAGGAGACACTCGGGACCACCCCAGTGTTGGGTCAGGCAGCATGACTCTCTTCACCTGCAGCTGTCTTGACCTGGCCAGTGCTGTGCTAGTGTGGACAGATGCAGTGATGCTCTTCCCAGGCCTGGCCCTGCTGTGATCTGGGAACATGGTATGGGACACAGTCAGAACAGTTCTTGTAGAATCAGTCTCCCTGACTTGGGACTGAACTTTCTATTCTGTTATCTGGCAACAATGCTAGGTTCTTGCCTATATTGCAGCACCATAGTCTTCTCAGCCAAACTCAAAGCTCTCACTTTTGCATACTTCACCTGTCCTGCACTATTTAATGTTCATTCTTACAGCAACAAAATATTATTATTTCCTCTTTCAGGTTAGTTATTGCCAGGAAATTGATTTAAAAGTAACCACCTAGTATCACCTAAGTGCTGGCAAAATAGCTCACTCTAGAACACCAAGAAGGATGGTCAGATGGAGACAAAAATGATCAAGGGGCTGAAGAATGGTCCAACCTCTATCTCACTGAGGCAGAAACATGTGATCTCCCAGAGAAGTGTTTAAAAATTTGGTCTAGAATGATATTCCAGTCTAATAAAACATGAGTGTGTGTGGTGGGGCTGCAGATGTAGGGCGGTGGGCCCTGTAGAAACCTTGGCTCTGGCTCAGCTGGAACCAGGGCTGACAAGGTTTAGAAATGCAAGCAGGGCTGGGCTGGGCATGACCAGGCTGGGGCCTCAGGACTTGGGTCTCTGTCTTTCCTGCCCTTTTCTCACAATACTCATTGTCCATCCCAGGTCAAAATGGTTGATAAAAATTGCCATTTATTTTTTTCATTTTTTCCCTTGGTTCACAGAGTACAACTGTTGAGGTATTATACAACAAAAGAACAAACTGATATCTTAGTTATTTTTCTGAACAACGGAGATCCTCTCTTCGACGGGGTGAAGGAGGGGAGAGTGAGAGTCGAGATGTCCCCAGGTCTTATCTCAGTTCGCTGTGGGAGGCGAAGGCACAGAATCATCCAAGGACACCAAGCACCTGAGGACAACCAGAACCTGTGGGTTCTGAAGGAGCAGCCTTCAAAGCTAGTGGCAGAGGGTAGCTCCCCTCCTGCCTGTGGCTTGTGCTGGCCTAGAGAGTATAGGGCAGAAGGATGGCAGATGAGTGACTCCACATCCAGAGCTGCCTCCCTTTAATCCAGGATCCTGTCCTTCCTGTCCTGTAGGAGTGCCTGTTGCCAGTGTGGGGTGAGACAAGTTTGTCCCACAGGGCTGTCTGAGCAGATAAGATTAAGGGCTGGGTCTGTGCTCAATTAACTCCTGTGGGCACGGGGGCTGGGAAGAGCAAAGTCAGCGGTGCCTACAGTCAGCACCATGCTGGGCCTGCCGTGGAAGGGAGGTCTGTCCTGGGCGCTGCTGCTGCTTCTCTTAGGCTCCCAGATCCTGCTGATCTATGCCTGGCATTTCCACGAGCAAAGGGACTGTGATGAACACAATGTCATGGCTCGTTACCTCCCTGCCACAGTGGAGTTTGCTGTCCACACATTCAACCAACAGAGCAAGGACTACTATGCCTACAGACTGGGGCACATCTTGAATTCCTGGAAGGAGCAGGTTGGTGACCACGTACCCTCCTGCCCTGGCATCTGGCATGTGCTGCTCAGTGAAAAATGGGAGTGGGGTGGGGACAGGGGGTCTTATTGAAGAGTCTTGTTCACCAGTTGTAGTCCATACTTAAGAAAATACAAGGTAGTTTAGTTAGTTTTTGATTTTGAAAACATCTAAGTTAGAAATTTCAAATAATTTGATCCTAATCAACTCTCATGAAAAACATATTGTTTAATCTCCATCTTTTTATGACATTATTTAACTGAAGAATGACTTCAAAATGAGGACTACCAAGAAAATGAAGATACGGAATAAGGAAAAGGGCTGAACAGAAAATGTGAATAGAGAGAAATTGAGAAATACTTCCAAAAAATGTAATAAAAAAGAGATAATTTAAAAAATGAAAATTAAAAAAGAGAACAGTAAGGGTTCAGGAGCAATAAGAAACCCCCACCAGTCCCAAAAGACCTCTGGGTGGTCAGTTCCTCTTTGCTGATTTCCAACTTCTCTGAGCTCCTTGGTGTGTCTGCACTTAATAAACTGAAGACTGTTTCACACTCTTCCTCAGACCACAGGTCTTAATCCTAAATGTTCTCCTTTTAATGAAGTCACTACAGAATGCAATCAGGAATGCACAGTTCATCTGTGCTGTAGGCATGAACAATGAAAATAGTCACCAAGTTGAGGACTTTTTTTTTTTTTTTTTTTTGAGATGGAATCTTGCTCTGTCACCCAGGCTAGAGTACAGTGGCGTCATCTCCGCTCACTGCAAGATCCGCCTCCCAGGTTCAAGTGATTCTCCTGCCTCAGCCTCCCAAATAACTGGGATTACAGGCACCCGCCAGATGCCTGGTTAATTTTTTGTATTTTTAGTAGAGACAGGGTTTCACTATGTTGGCCAGGCTGGTCTTGAACTCCTGACCTCATGATCTGCCCACCTCGGCCTCCCAAAGTGCTGGGATTACAGGCATGAGCCACTGCACCCAGCTAAGTTGAGGACTTCTAGTTGGGTAGAGAGGCAAAAATGCTCTTCCTACCTCATTACTGAAACCTTGCAAGAAGAGCAAAAGGACCCCAACCCTGCACCAAGCTTCAGCCTCTGGAAAGACCCTGTGCAAGGCCCTGGCTGGTTCTCTGACCCCTGCTCTCTGGGCTGGAGCCTGCCACGTGGGTTCCTGGATGTGACAATTCCAGAGTCAGTTTTGGAGTTGGGGAAATGGACGGATAGGGAGAAAGGAGATGGAATGAAGTGAAACTGAAAGGAGTGAGAAGATCAAGGTGCACTTTGCAATAGGGCAGATGGTGTTTCTTTCTTTCTTTCTTTCTTTTGATATGGAGTCTCACCCTGTCAACCAGGCTGGAGTGCAATGGCACAATCTCAGCTCCCTGCAACCTCTGCCTCCCGGGTTCAAACAATTCTCCTGCCTCAGCCTCCCTCCCGAGTAGCTGGGATTACAAGCACCTGCCACCATGCCCAGCTAACTTTTGTATTTTTAGTAGAGATGGGTTTTCACCATGTTGGCCAGGCTGGTCTCGAACTCCCGACCTCATTATTCACCCACCCCAGCCTCCAAAAGTGCTGGGATTACAGGTGTGAGCCACCACACCCGGCCCCAGATGGTGTTTCTTGAAGCCATTGTCCCAAGGATGTATGCCTGTGTGTAGTGGGAGTGCTGGGTGGCATTCTTGCATTTTTTTTTTCCTCAGGTCAGGTGGAAGGTTTGACAACATGCCCTAGATGAGGCTCCCTCTGTCCCAGGGCTGAGGTTACCCTGAAAGCTCTTGGAGAGCCAAACCCCTCCCCAGGCACATAGCGCCATCCTCTGGAAATGCAGCTGCAGGTTCAGACACTGACTGAGAGTGAAACTGGGGTCTCACCATGGGAGAGTGGGAAGTGCATCTGGAAATAGGGATACATTCATGGGTGTCTGCCCTGGGGCCACCATGCCCATCCGCTTTTTGTTCTTAACTGCCCAATCTAAAGAAGATCTCCTGATGCCAGGCCCATGGGCAAGCTCCCTAATGGAGGAGAATGTTGGGACTTCTCCTACACAAATGACATCTTCACCAGCAGCTACTTAGGGGCAACAAGGAGGGTGTGTTCACATTAATCTCTCTGTGTGCAATAGGTGGAGTCCAAGACTGTATTCTCAATGGAGCTACTGCTGGGGAGAACTAGGTGTGGGAAATTTGAAGACGACATTGACAACTGCCATTTCCAAGAAAGCACAGAGCTGAACAATGTAAGACAGGACACCAGCTTCCCTCCTGGATACAGCTGTGGATGCCACATGGGGTGTGGTGTGGGCACAGGTGCAACTGACAAAGAGACTTAGAGGAGTGAGCCTGCAGCAGCCTCTACCAGGCTGCCCTGCTTGTGCCTTAGTGGGGAGCGCAGAGGGGCAGGCAGCTAGGGGTCCACTTGCAGGCTCCTGGCCAATCTGAGTTTATCAACTCTGCCCTGTCATGCCACTGCAGCTGCCTGCACCCAGGGCACATGGCCTTCAGACTGCTCTTTCCCCCTGGGGTCCCAGTCTCCTGGGTCCAGTAAGAAGTGGTCCCCTCTCTGGTCTTCCTCCCCTGCCTTCTGGAAGAACCTGGGATCTGACATCACCTCTGTCTGTGGATGCAGTTCTCAGGGTTTCCTTACCCTCCCCTAGACCCAAAAGTGGTAGAGGCTGAGAAGGAGCCCCACTACCCTCCCTCCCAGGCCCTGAGCTGAGCTGCAGCACCTGCTCTAGGGGACAAGCTCCAAGTAAAGCCTGGCTCTGGGAAAACTCTTCCTATGCTTAATCAACACCCTTATTGTAATATTAAAAAATAGGTAGCTGATTGCTTAAATCTGGGAACTGCTTCCACTGGGACAATGCATTCTCCTGCTGCTCTTGGGTGCAGGGATCACACCAGGACAGCCCGGGGTTCCCCTGAGGGCCACTGCTAGGGAGTGGGGAACATTGCACAGGCGCCCCTGGGTCAGAAAAGAGTTGCAGTTCAGCTCAAATCTCCAGAACAGCCCAGGACTCAGGCTTGGGGGCAGCACATGATAGCCAGAGGCCCCGTCTTCCCACTGCTTGACCTGGGAAAGGGCAATGTGGAGAGGAAGCCATTGTTCAGAGCTTGAGCCATGAGCTTCCTGAGCCTCCCTCACCCACTGTCCCTTCCTGTGCTTGTTCTCTCAGACTTTCACCTGCTTCTTCACCATCAGCACCAGGCCCTGGATGACTCAGTTCAGCCTCCTGAACAAGACCTGCTTGGAGGGATTCCACTGAGTGAAACCCACTCACAGGCTTGTCCATGTGCTGCTCCCACATTCCGTGGACATCAGCACTACTCTCCTGAGGACTCTTCAGTGGCTGAGCAGCTTTGGACTTGTTTGTTATCCTATTTTGCATGTGTTTGAGATCTCAGATCAGTGTTTTAGAAAATCCACACATCTTGAGCCTAATCATGTAGTGTAGATCATTAAACATCAGCATTTTAAGAAACTTTGTGTGCTGTAGTTCTCGATAAAAGGGGCTGGGTGTTTGATGGAGTTATTCTCACCAGGGCAGACAAGTAGGATCTGGGTAGATGGACTCCTGAGCCAGCTCCAGGTGGCACAAGTGGTACATCTGAGCTGCTGTCTCAGGGATCACGGCCAATAACCCACGTGGCCAGAGGTGCAATGACTATCTCCTCTCAGGCACCTCATGTGCCTGGATAAGCTCAGACATGGTGTTGGGCTCCCCTGGTCTTGTGGCCTCTTCTCTTGAAGAGTGGCTCACATGCCTTTCCTGATCCTCAGCATGTTGGTGGGCAGAAGAAAGACTTCTAGGCTCACCCTCGTAAAATGGTCCTGATGTGTGAGGCAGCAGCATCTTTGGAAAATCTCTTAGAAATGTTGAACCTCAGGGCCTCCCCGCCTTTGGAAAATAAGTCTGCATTCTCGCAAATCCCCAGGGGTTCATGAACCTGGATAACAACATAAGAAACATGAAAGAACAGCATCAAGTAGGATGGAAGTTATATAAGATATGAAGGTATAGGATTTGTTTAAGAAACAAATCAAGACCAAGATACTTTCTCCCAGAGGAGAGGGATTTCCCAGTATGGGATGTGCAGATGCATGGGAGAGGTAGGAAGGGAGTGAGAGGGCTTCAGACTTAGCAGAGGATTAACTAACTGCTTAACTTCTGAACCAGCCTAGGTAGAATGAAAACCTTCAGGAATATAGGAATTAAATTGCCCACTTTTCAAGTTAAATTACATAGGACATTTTCACAATGTTTATTATAATAAAAATCCTTGGAGTGATGTCAATAAGGTGGCAGAATAGAAACTTTCCACATTCATCCCTTCTCAAATACCTCAATTTGAACCTAACTATACATAAAATATCCTCACAGGAGCTCATCAAACCAAGTGTCAGATTGCAACACTTGGGTAGCACAGAAATAAGACTAAAACATTGAAGAGTGCAGTAAGGAGAGTTTTATACAACCCACATCACCTTTCCTCTCACTCCAGGCTATACACTGTGGACAGAAACATCCCCTACTTGAAGGAAGGAGAGGGAGTATTGAACTTTGCCTCAGACCTCAACACTGCACCTACCACAGTAAAACCAGTGCCAGGCAGTCCCACAGGACCCCAGCCTTCAGGCTGGCACCATGGTCCAAGGCTACAGCCCCACCCCAACACAAAGACAGCTATTGTGGTCCCAGATTTCAGGCCAATCCCAGCACTAGGCTAGCTCCTACAGATACAGGCTCCAGGCTGGCTCCTCAGAGCCAGCCTTCAGGTCTAACCCAGCACCTGTCCAGTTTCTAAAACCCTTGAATTCAGGTCAGCACCAGAAGACTGAGCATACAAGCCTGCATATACTCAAGACCATCCCCTGTGATCCTGTGCTCCAGTAAACCCAAAGATCAGGCCTATCTCAAAAGTTTCCACTGCCAGTCCAGCCTCTGCAAACCCAGGTTCTAGGATTTCCCTTGCACACCCAGGTTCCAGGCCAGCCCACACAGTCCCAGGACCCAGGCCTGTACCCACACATTCAGCCTTCAGGATGACAACAGATCTGAACCAGGCCCTGTGTCCCAAGCTCCAAGCCAGTCCTCATGAATCTAGCCTCCAGGTCAGCATGCACACATCCAGCCTTCAGCCTGGCTTCTGTAGCCCTATGCACCAGACCAGACCTTGCAGACCCAGGTTATAAGACTCCCCTGCATTACACTGCCCCAGGACCCAGGCTGGTCCCCAGAGCACCAGGCTCCAGTGGACCCAAGATCCAGACATGTTTCAGTGTACCCTGGGTCCAGAACCACACCAGTAGACTCCTGCACAAGCTTTCCCTGTGGACCAAGGCTCAAGAACCACCCCTGTGGACTCAGTCTCCAGGACAGCTTCTGAAAACTGAGGACCCAGACCTATAGCCATGGACCCTGGCTCTTGGATTTCCCCAGGGCTAGGCTAGAATCTGTACACTCAGGCTCCAGTTCCATCACAGACACCACGCCCATCCCAGCACCTGGCTGGACACTGCAGACACAGACTCAGGACTTCCCCAGTGCCAAGTCAGCCAGGATTCAGGCTTGCCCAGTTAATTCAACTTCCTGCCCAACCACATGGAAAAAGGCTATAGAACCATCACTGCAGACCCAATCAACAGGTCAATCCTGGTGAACCCAGGCTGCAGGCCCAACCCTATAGAACCAAGCACCAGGTGAGCCTGCCCAAGAACTCCAGCAACAAGCTTACCATGGACCATACCAGATGCCTGCCCAGAATTCTGGACAGGATGATTGGTGAAGGGCTTTTCCTGTCAAAGTCAGTCTATATTGGAACAAGTGCCTACTTGAAATGCACAGTCACCTACACATGGCCATAAGGATTACAAACAATCAGGGAAACATGACACTACCATAAAAATAAAGCACCAGTAAGTTACCCTAAAAAAATGGAGATTTACAAATGTCTGACAAAAAATTCAAAGTAATTATATTTCAATGGTCAGTGAGCTACAAGAGAATATCAAAATATACATAAATAAAATCAGTAAAAGTGAACACAGACAAAATTATAAGATCAAAAAAGAGAGAAACCACAAAAAAGAATCACACAAATTCTGGAGCTAAAGACACAATGAACTAAACTGAAAAATTTATTCAAATAACTTCAACAGTAGACTTGATTAACCAGAAGAAAGGATCAGTGAGATTAAGACCAGGTCATTTGAAATTACCCTGTGAGAGAAACAAAACAAAACGCACAAAAAGAGTAAATAAATTCTACAGGAATTATAAAAAACTATCAAGCAAACCAATGAATGCAATACAGGTGTCCCAGAAGGAATACAGAAAAAGAAGAGGCAGGAAACATCTTTAAGTAAATAATG
Organism: Homo sapiens; assembly: GCF_000001405.40. Taxonomy (NCBI): domain Eukaryota; kingdom Metazoa; phylum Chordata; class Mammalia; order Primates; family Hominidae; genus Homo; species Homo sapiens. Next base: position 23,561,840 of record NC_000020.11, on the reverse strand, counting down.
GCAGAAAATTTTTCAAATCTGGAGCTATAAATTAACATACAGATTCAGGAAGCCCAAATAACCCTAAATAGATTAAATATAATGTGACTTTTACCAATGCATTATAATACAATTTTCAACTGCCAAAGGCAAAGAGAATTTTGAAAGCAGCAAGAAAATATCAACTTGTCACATACAAGAGAATCTTTATAAGATTATCCTCTGATTTCTCAGCAGAGACCTGAAAAGCCAGGACAAATCTGAATGATACATTAAATAAACTGAAATAATTTTTTTAATTGCAAACCGATGATACTATACCCAACAAATCTGTCATTCAGAAATGAAGAACAAATAAGAATTTTCCCAGACAAATTAAACTGTGGCAGTTCATCACTACTAGACCTGCTTTAAAAGAAATGCTGGCCTGGCATGGTGGCTCACACCTGTAATCCCAGCATTTTGGGAGGGCGAGGTGGGAGGATCATGAGGTCAGGAGTTTGAGACCAGCCTGGCCAACATAGTACTGAAATACAAAAATTAACTTGGCGTGTTGGCAGGTGCCTGTAATCCCAGCTACTCTGGAGGCTGAGGCAGGAGAATTTCTTGAATGCAGGAGGCAGAGGTGGAGGTTGCAGTGAGCCGAGATCACACCACTGCACTACAGCCTGGGCAACAAGAGTAAGACTCTGTAAAAGAAAAAGAAAGAAAGAAGAAAGAAAGAAAGAAAGAAAGAAAGAAAGAAAGAAAGAAAGAAAGAAAGAAAGAAGGAAAGAAGGAAAGAAGGAAAGAAGGAAAGAAGGAAAGAAGGAAAGAAGGAAAGAAGGAAAGAAGGAAAGAAGGAAGGAAGGAAGGAAGGAAGGAAGGAAGGAAGGAAGGAAGGAAGGAAGGAAGGAAAGAAGGAAAGAAAGAAAGAAAGAAAGAAAGAAAGAAAGAAAGAAAGAAAGAGAAAGGAATGCTGAAGAACATTAGGGAATAAAAATCTCCCTAGTGAAACTAAGTACATACTGACATTCAGAATACTCTAATACTATAACGGTAATTTGCAAATCTCTTATATCTTCTGTATGAAGATTTTAGGACAAAACTCTTTGAAATAATAGTAGCCACAATGATTTGTTAAGGCAGTGGTCCCCAACTTTTTGGCACCAGGGACCTGTTTCATAGGAGACAATTTTTCCATGGACTGGGGGGTAGAGGGTACGGGATGGTTTTGGTAGGAATTTGTTCCACCCCAGCTCACCAGGCATTAGTTAGATTCTCATAAGGAGCATGTAACCTAGATCCCTCTCACGTGCAGTTCACACTCCTATGAGAATCTAATGCCACTGCTGACCTTACAGAAGGCAAAGCTCAGGTAGTAATGCTTGCTCAGCCACTGCTCACCTCCTGCTGTGTAGCCTGGTTCCTAAAAGGCCACGGACCAGTACCAGTCTCCAGTCCAGGGGTTGGGGAACCTTGTGTTATGGGATATACATATTAAAAGATGTAAACTGTGACATCAAAATGATAAAATGTTGGGAGAAGAGTGTAGAGTTTTTCAGTGTAATTGAAGTTAAGTTATTGTTGGTCCAGCATAGCCTGTTTTAACTATAACATATTTTGTGTAAGCCTCATGGTACCGAAAGCAAAAACCTATAGTAGATAAAGAAAATATTAGAAGTAAAAATTCAAGCCAGGCACGATGGCTCATGCCTGTAATCCCAGCACTTTGGGAGGCCAAGGCAGACAGATCACGAGGTCAGGAAATCGAGACCATCCTGGCTAACACGGTGAAACCCTGTCTCTACTAAAAATACAAAAAATTAGCCAGGCATGGTGGCGGGCACCTGTAGTCCCAGCTACTTGGGAGGCTGAGGCAGGAGAATGGCATGAACCCGGGAGGCAGAGCTTGCAGTGAGCTGAGATCACGCCACTGCATTCCAGCCTGGGCGACAGAGCGAGACTCTATCTCAAAAAAAAAAAAAAAAAAAGAAAAGAAATTCAAAGCGTACTACTACATAAAATCATCTAATCACAAAGGAAGAAAACAAGAGAGGAAGAATGATAAAAATCTACATAACAGCCAGAAAACAATTATCAAAAGGGCAGTAGTAAGTCCTTACATATCAATGGTTACCTTGAATATGAATAGATTATAATCTTTAATCAAAAGACATGGAATGGCTGAATGGATAAACAAATAAGATCCATGTCTATGCTGCTTACAAGAGATTCATTTTACCTTAAGTGTATGAATAGGTTGAAAGTAAAGGGATGAAAAAAGATATTCTATGCAAACAAATCAAAAGAGAGCAGAGATACCTATACCATATCAGATAAAATAAACTTTAAGTCAAAAATACTTAAATAAGACAAAGAAGATCCTTATAATAAAAGAACTGATTCATTAGGAGTATATAAGAATTATAAATGCAAATACACCAGACATCTATCTGAGCACCTAAACATATAATTCAAGAGTTAATAGATTTAAAGGGAGAAGTAGACTGCAAAACAATAAGAGTAGGGAACTTCTGTATTCTACTTCCCACTATGAGCAGATTATCCAGACAGACAACAATAAAGAAACATTATAATTTAACTATTCCCTGGACCAAATGACCTCACGGATATGTACAAAACATTCCAGCCACCAGAAGTGGAATATACGTTACTTTCAATTGCACAAACAACAATCTCCAGATACATTTTACAATAGGCAAAAAAATTTTCAAATTTAAGAAGAATGAAATCATATCAAGTGTCCTTTCTGACCACAATGGTATGAATCTACAAATCAATAATAGAAAGATTTTTTTTAAATTTACAAATAATGTGAAAATTTAAAGACGTGCTTCTGAATAATCAATGGGTAAATTAATAAATTAAAAGGAAAATTTGAAATTATCTTGAGACAAACAAAAATAAAAACACAACATACCAAAACTTATAGAATGCAGCAAAAAGTGGTTCTAAGAAGGAAATTTATAGCAACAAAAGTCTATATCAAATAAGAAAAAAAACTCAAATAAACATCCTAATATTGCACCTCAAGATGCCAGAAAAAGAAAAACCAGACACCACAAAAACACACCTAAGTACATAGGCCATTGACACTGTAAAGCAAATACACAATCAAGTCTGCATGATAAACAGCTAACAACATAATTGCAGGATCACATCCACACATATAAATATTAACCTTGAATGTCAACAGGCTAAATGCCCCAATTATAAAGGCACAGAGTAGCAAATTGGATAAAAAAGCAATACCCAATGGTATGCTGTCTTCTAGAGACCTATCTCACATGCAATAACACCAATAGGCTGAAAATAAAGGGTTGGAGAAAAATCTATCAAGCAAACAGAAATCAGAAGAAAGGAGGGGTTACTAGTCTAATTTCAGACAAAACAGACTTTAAAGCAGCAACATTCAAAAAAAAACAAAGAAGGGCATTACATCATGTTAAAAGATTAAATTCAACAAGAAGACCTAACTATCCTAAATATATATGCACCCAACACAGGAGCACCCAAATTCATAAGACAAGTTATTAGAGACATACAAAAAGACTTACATAACCACACAATGATAGTGGGAGACTTCAAAATCCATTTGACAGTATTATACAGATCATCAAGGCAGAAAACTAATAAAGATATTCAGGACCTGAACTCAACTGTCAACCAAATAGACCTAACAGATATCTGCAGAATTCTCCACCCCAAAAAACCAGAACATACATTTTTCTCATCTGCACATGGATATACTCTAAAATTGACCACAAAATTGCCATAAAACAATTCTCAACATATTGAAAAAACCAAAATCATACCAACCACACTCTCAAACCACAGTGCAATAAAAATAGAAATCAATACTAAGATCACTCAAAACCATACAATTAGATGAAAATTAACCAACCTGCTCCTGAATGACTTTTGGGTAAACAATGAAATTAAGGCAGAAGTCAAGAAATTCTTTGAAACTAGTGAGAACAAAGATACAACATACTAGAATCTCTGGGACACAGCTAAAGCAGTGTTAAGAGGAAAGTTTATAGCACTAAACATCCCAATCAAAAAGTTAGAAAGATGTCAAATTAACAAGCTAACATCACACCTAGAGGAACTAGAAAAACAAGAGCAAACCAATCCCAAAGCTAGCAGAAAACAAAAAATAACCAAAATCAGAGCTAAACTGAATGAAATTGAGATGTGAATTACACAATCAGAAATGACAAAGAGGACATTACCTACAACTCCACAGGAATACAAAAAGCCCTCCAAGACTACTACAAACACCTCTATGTACACAAACTAGAAAACCTAGAAGAAATGAATAAATTCCTGGAAACAGACAACCTCCCAATATCAAACCAGGAAGAAATTGAATCCCTGAACAGACCAATAACAAGTTCCAAACTTGAGTCAGTAAAGAAAGCCGACCAATGAGGAAAAGCCTGGGACCAAACAGATTCACAGCTGAATTCTACCAGATGTATAAAGAAGAGCTGGTACCATTTCCACCGAAACTATTCCAAAACATTGAAGAAGAGAGCCTCCTCCCTAACTCATTCTATGAGTCCAGCATCATTCTGATAACAAAACCTGGAAGAAACCCAACAAAAAAGGAAAACTTCAGGCCAATATCTTTGATGAACATAGATGCAAAAATCCCCAACAAAATACTAGTAAACCAAATCTGGCAGTACATCAAAAAGCTAGTCCATCACACTTAAGTAGGCTTTATCCCTGGGATGCAAGTTTGATTCAACATACACAAAGTGGTGGATGTAATTCATCACATAAACAGAACAAAAAATATATAAACCCAAATGATTATCTCAATATATGCAAAAGAGGCTTTCAATAGAACCCAACATCCATTCACGTTAAAAACTCTCAATAAAATAGGATTGAAGGAACATAGCTTAAGATAATAAAAGCAATATATGACAAACCCACAGCCAACATCATACCGAATGGGCAAAAGCTGGAAGCATTCCCCTTGAAAACCAGCATAAGACAAGGATTCCCTCTCTCTCACTCCTATTCAACATAGTGTGGGAAGTTCTGGCCAGAGCAATCAGGCAAGAGAAAGAAATAAAGGGCATCCAAATAGGAAGAGAGGAAGGCAAACCATCCCTGTTTGCAGATGACATGATTTTATATCTAGACAATCCCATAGTCCAAAAGCTCCTTCAGCTGATAAACAACTTTAGCAAAGTTTCAGGATACAAAATCAATGTACAAAAATCACTAGCATTTCTATACACCAACAAGAGCTAAGCCAGGAGCCAAATCAGGAACACAATCCCATTCACAATTGCCATAAAAAGAATAAAATACCTAGGAATACAGCTAGGATCTACATTGTAGATCTCTACAATGAGAACTACAAAACAATTCTCAAAGAAATGAGAGATGACCCAAACAAATGGAAAAATATTCCATGCTCATGAATAGGAAGAATCAATATTAATAAAATGGCCGAACTGCCCAAAGTAATTTACAGATTTAATGCTATTCCCGACAAACTACCAAAGACATAATTCTCAGCACTAGAAAAAACTATTTTAAAATTAATATGAAACCAAAACAGAGCCTGAATAGCCAAGGCAATTTTAAGCAAAAAGAACAAAGCTGGAGTCATCATGTTACCCAATGTTAAACTATGCTACAGGGCTACAGTAATCAAAACAGCATAGTACTAGTACAAGGACAGACACATAGACCATTGGAACAGAATAGAGAGCGCAGAAATAGGGTCACACAGGTGTGTGACCTCCAGTCATCTGATCTTCAACAAACCTGAAAAAAAACAAGTAATGGAAAAAGGACCCCCTATTCAATAAAAGGTGTTGGGATAACTAGTTAGCCATATGCGGAAGATTGAATCTGGACCCCTTCCTTACACCATATACAAAAATCAACTCAAGATGTATTAAAGACTTACATGTAAAACTCAAAACTATAAAAACCCTGAAAGACAATGTCGGCAATACCATTCTGGACATAGGAACTAGCAAAGATTTCATGATGAAGACACAAAAGCATAGGCAACAAAAGCAAAAATTGACAAATCGGATCTAATTAAACTGAAGGGCTTCTGCCCCACAAAAGAAACTATCAACAGAGTAAACACACAGCCTACAGAATGGGAGAAAATTTTTGCAAACTATGCATTGGACAAAGGTCTAATAGCCAAAATCTATAAGGAACTTAAACAAATTTACAAGAAAAAAATGCATAACCCCATTAAAAAGTGGGCAAAGGCCATGAAGAGACACTTATCTAAAGAAGACATACATGTGGCCAACAAGCATATGAAAAAATGCTCAGCATCTCTAATCATTAGAGAAATGCAAATCAAAACCACAATGAGATACCATCTCACACCAGTCAGAATGGCTATTACCAAAAAGTAAAAAAAAAACAAAACAGATCCTGGCAAGGTTGTAGAGAAAAGAGAGCACTTATACACTGCCGGTAGGGATGTAAATTAGTTCAGCCATTGTGGAAAGCAATTTGGTGAATTCTCAAAGAACTCAAAGCAGAATTACCATTCAACCCAGAAACCTTATTATTGGGTATACAGACAAAGGAATATAAACCATAAAGATATATGCACGTGTATGTTCATCACAACACTATTTACAATAGCAAAGACAGGGAATCAACCTAAATGTCCATGAACAGTAGACTGGATAAAGACAATATGGTACATATAAAGTAAATAATACTACCCAGCCATAAAAAAGAATAAGATCATGTCCTTTGTAGCAACATGGATGGAGCTGGAGGCCATTATCCTAAGCAAACTAACACAGACACAGAAAACCAAATACTACATGTTCTCCCCTATAAGTGAGAACTGAGTACACATCAACACAAAGAAAGGAATAAGGGCCTAGTTGAGGGTGGAGGGTGGAAGGCCAGGGAAGAGTGAGGATAAAAAAAATACCTATCAGGTACTGTGCTTATTACTTTCGTGATGAAACAGTCTGTACACCAAACCCCTTAACAGGCAAATTAGCTATAAAACAAACCTGTCCATGTACCCCTGAACCTAAAATAAAAGTTAAAAAAGAAAACAAAATGAGATACTATCTCACACTGGTCAGATTGGCTATGATTAATATTTAAAAGTCAACAAATAACAGATGTTGGTGAAGCTGCAGAGAAAGGGAACACTTACACACTGTTGGTGGAAATGTAAATTAGTTCAGCCACTGTGGAGAGCAACTGGAGATTTCTCAAAGAACTAAAAATAGAATGACCATTCCACCCAGCAATCCCATTACTGGATATACACCCAAAGGAAAATAAATCATTCTACCAAGAAGACACATACACTCTCTGTTCATTGCAGCACTATTTACCATAGCAAAGACATGGAATAAACCAAATTGCCCATCAGCAGTGTATTTGGTAAAGAAAACGTGGTACATACACACCATGGAATACTACACAGCCATAAAAAAAGAACAAAATTATATCCCTTGCAGGAACATGGATGAAGCTAGTGGCCATTATGCTAAGTGAATTAATACAGAAACAGAAAACCACATACAGTATATTCTCACTTATAGGTGGGAGCTAAAGATAAATACTAGAAACTAGTAGGGTGGGGAGGGAGGGGGGTGAGGGTTAAAAAAATTAACTATTGGGTACTATGCTCACTACCTGGGTGATAGGATCAATCATACCTCAAACCTCATCATCACACAATATACCCATGTAACAAACCTGTACATGTACCCTCCTGAATCTAAAATAGAATGTTAAATTACAAAAAAAAAAGGAGGGGGGCAATGTGTATTAGTAACCACTCATCTTTTTTTTTTTTTTTTTTTTTTGAGACAGGGTCTCACTCTTTTGCCCAGGCTGGAGTGCACTGGTGTGATCATGGCTCACTGCAGCCTCCATCTCCATCTCTTGGGGTCTAGCGATCCTCCTGCCTGAGCCTCCCAAATAGCTGGTACTACAGGTACACACCAGCATGCGCAGTTAATTTTTGTCTATTTTGTAGCAATGGGTTTTTTTTAATGTTGTCCATGCTGGTCTTGAGCTCCTGAGCTCAAGCTACCCTCCCCCGTGGGCCTCCCAAAGTGCTGGAATTATAGGTGTGAGCCACTGCACCCAGCCACCACTCATCTTCCAAACAACTTTGTGGGGGTCATTTTCATAACCAGCTCAGACCCTAGGCCAGTAGATGGTGGCACATCTCTGGGCTGTGAGGCTGCCCTCAGGGAGGTACAGACTGCTTGGCTGGGGGCTCCTGCCTCCAGATTCCCTCAAGCCACCCATCCTGGCACCATCCTCCACAGAACTTGTTCTGTTCTAGAACTCCATGGGAGCTGGAGAGCACCATGGGATGGGGCTGCCCTGCTAATGCCAGCCCTCTCCCCTGTCAATGTTCAGCACAGAGACAGCACAGAGGCCCACGATGAAGACTCAAAGCTCCTGCCATCAAGGAATCAGGTTTCTTGTGAAGAAAGAGCCTGGCGACCCATGAGAGCCAGGCAGTGGGAGAGACCTTCAGGGGATGTTGGAGTGAGAGCTTACACATTAGGGAGCAGCCAATTACATCATCCTCAGTAAGTACAGTGCACCCAAACCCCACCAGCTATGCCTTAAGTGTTGTTTTGCCAATATCCCTGTAATACAATTAACACTTTAATTTCATAATTAACAGATCATTCCTTTAAAAATTATATTCTATGCACAGCAACGTAAATATATTTAAACAATAGTGAACTGTACACTTAAAATTGTTAAGATTGTAAATGTTATGTTTATTTTGCTACAATTTAAACATACTTTATATTAGGTAAAGAAATTTACAGGCAACTACTGAAGTAGACTAGTTAACTGTATCTGTCAATTCTGCTGTATCCTTTATAACATGTAGGCTTCTGTAAGCCAGCTTCCAGGAGACATATTAAACCCTCCCAACATGGTTGTGGAAGTGCCATATTCCCTGCAACATTGTCATTTGTTCTGTTGTATTTGCATGCAGATTCATCACTATTATGGCTTCTTGATGGATTTTTTTCTTTATGATCATATAACCTGCATTTACATTGCTGTGCATGCTCTCAGCCCAAGGTCAAATCATGTACCAAGTCACTACTGCAATAAGAAGATTCTTTTCCTTGCTCTTTGACTAGTGATGTATGTGAAAGAATTGGACAAAGGCCTGTAAATGTAAACTACAGATTCCTGTACTTGGCCACGATACTCTTGTTGGGGAGCGGGGGTGAGTTTATTCACCTGTTCCCACAATGGAGAGAAATCTGACTTGAACAAATGATGATTCTGTGACTCAGAAAGAAAAATAGACTCTATATGAAGATCAAGGAGATGCACAGTACATGGCGCAGATGGGTAGGGTGCTCCAGGTGGGTGAGGAGAGTGCGAGGGAGGACCCAGGTGGGGCTCTGGAGAGAGCACGGGAAGGAAGCCAGACTGTGCCTGTCTCCAGGGCCCCTGCACGCCCTCCCTCTGAGCCCCTTTCTGCAGGAATTTCCTGTGCCTTGGCCTCCTTCATCTGTGCTCCCCTCTGGAGAGATATGCAGGTGCATTTAGTCATCACAGTGGTGAGAATACCTCCCAGAGTCTGCACTTTGTTGTCAGCCTCAGTGGCAGTGCTGAGCCCTGCCTTCATTCCTTCCCCAGGCTGTGGTCCAGGCCTGAACACTGGGGAGAAATGTCAAATGTGCAAGGTCCCCATGTACCCTCAGCAGAGATAAGGAAAGGAATTGCCAGTGCAGAACAATTGCCAATCTAAGCATACAGCTTTGTGATTATCACAGCACTTTGACTCCATGAGGGCAATTTGTCCAGTAAGCAACAAGCCTCTGGAGGCTGGATGGACAATGCTATGCCCATCTGAGGAGTGGACAAGGGAGGCCCAGAAAGCTCAGGGAAGGGTGAAGGTGCAGAATCAGCTCCTGGCACAGCTGGACTGGGTCTCAGGTCTCCAAGGCTAGGACCACCCTTCCACCCCTACCCCCAACTCTCTGCATCTCCAGGAGAACTCAGGTGAATTCATTAAGTTCTGCCAGCTGCTGGAAGGGACAACAAGGATCTCAGGGGGTGGAACCATGAAATGGCATTTGTCACTCATGACTTAGGGCTGAGAGGGTCAGCCAGAGGGTGAGGACTGTGCTGGAGGAAACTCTGCTGAGACCCACTCCTGTGAGTACCATCCACAGACTCAGAGTCCCACCTGGATGCTCCCTCCATTCTGCAGGCCTGGGAAGGAAGGGTATGCACCAGCTCATGGGAGTAGCCTCACCTTGGGCACATTGTCCTTCATGGCCACCACATCCAAGGTCAGAGCTCAGCACAGGCCACATCTATGTCCAGCTATGCTCAGGAGAAAGTGACCTGGTGCTGAATGCATGGCATTGTTTCTGTCCCAAGCCCCCTCCTCTATCCCTGACTTCCAGCAGTGTGGGGTTCCTAGGACCATCCCCCAACTTAGCCAAACTTGTATCTCCAGTGGCTGAATCCAGCTGCAAGTACCTGTACTAATCTTTCTCACATTCTTAGTCGGGAGGGTGCTGTGCCAGTGCAGCAGGTCCTAAGCTTTAAAGCAGCCATGAAGGATGCCCAAGAGCAGTCTTCACCCTCAGCCCCAGGGCCCCAGAGCATCAGGTTGCTGATACTTAGGCAGGTGCTGTGGAGCCTTCCTATGAGTCCCCATGCAGCCATGCCTTCTGTTCACTCACAGCACTTTTACTCCTGGCAGCTCCTCCTTTTAGTCCTTGACCCATCTGGTTTTGTTTCCCCACCCCACTGGCATGTCCAGGGATCACCTTCCACTCACACCTCTTGTACTTCTATTCTTATTTCAGGGACTGACCCTGGGACACCCGAGGAAGTGGGTGCTCTCCTCTAGCCCACTGAGGCACTAGGGAGCAGTGGTGGCTGGACCTCATGCCCTGCTCTTGCCCACTGGGGTCCCTTATCTTTCTAACCCACCCCCATGGTTGCTGTTACTTCTCCCTGAACAAGAGATGATTGAAACAGCTTTGTCTGGAGGAGGCGAAGCCACATTTGGGAGGGACAGATTATAATGCCAGAGATGAGGCCTGGAGGGAGGAGTTTCCACCTGAGCTCAAGAGTTTAAGGGCCAGAACTGTGTGCAGTAGGCTCCTGTGGGAGTCCAGGCTGGGAAGGCTGGAGGTTAGGAGTGCTTCCTGTGCCCTGCGCCATGTGGAGTCTGCCGCCGAGCAGGGCTCTGTCCTGTGCGCCACTGCTGCTTCTCTTCAGCTTCCAGTTCCTGGTTACCTATGCTTGGCGTTTCCAAGAGGAAGAGGAGTGGAATGACCAAAAACAAATTGCTGTTTATCTCCCTCCCACCCTGGAGTTTGCCGTGTACACATTCAACAAGCAGAGCAAGGACTGGTATGCCTACAAGCTGGTGCCTGTCCTGGCTTCCTGGAAGGAGCAGGTTGATGAGCACATCCTTTTCTGCACTAGTGTCCAGCACAGGCTGCTGAGTGATGGGCAGGGGTGGCAGCGTGTGGGGCAGGGCTTAACCAGGACTCCTGGTTCACCATTTGTAGTCTAAACTTGTATAAAATACAACCTCAGAAATTTGCTTTTTGTCTTTATGAAAGATACACATTATAATTTTTTTGAGTCCAGATCTACTCAACGCTAGATATAGTATTCAACCTCCATGATTGTTATGGCATCACTTAACTGAAGAATGACCTCAAAATAAGGAAAACTGAGAAAATGATGCATCAGGTGAGGAAATGGGTCACACAAAAAAACGTCCACAGACAGAAACTGAGAAACATTTCAAAGAAATTAAAAAAGAGATAATTAGGAAAAGAGACAATCAGAGTAAAAGAAAGGGAAGAGAGAGACAGAGACAAATAGACAGAAAGAGACAGAGAGACAGAGAGACAAAGAGAGCTGATAATTCAGAAGTAAAAAAGAAGCACCATCGGCCCTGAGAGGCCGCTGTGAAGTCAGTTCTTCTCTGATTTCCACCTGCTCTGGGCTCCTCCCTGCATCTACACTTAATGAGTTGAATGTTGTGTTACACTCTTCCACAGTCCATGGTCCTTAATCCTAAAATGTTCTCCTTTTAATGGAATCATTAAATGATTCAGGAATGTGCCATTCATCTGGGCTGCAGGCACAAACAATTAAAATGCCCTCCTAGTGGAGAACGTATGGTTTAGAGGGAGAAGGAGCATTGCTCTTCCTCTGTCGGCACCAAGAACCTGAAAGAAGGGTAGAGGGACCCCAGTGCCGCACAGAGCTTAAGCTCTGGAAAGACTCTGTGCAAGGTCCTGGCTGGATGGGGAGGGAGTCTATGGAGTGGAATGACATAGAATGGAGTGGGAAGGAGAGCAAGGAGAACCTCAGAGTGCACTTTGCAATAGGGCAGACGGTGTTTCTTAAAGCCGTTGTCCCAAGGGTGTGTCCCTGTGTGTAGTGGGAGCACTGGGTAGCATTCTTGCATTCCTCTTGCTGGAGGTCAGGTGGAAGGTTGGACAACACACTCTAGATGAGGCTCCCCTTGCCCCAGGGCTGAGGTTACCCTGAAAACTGATGGAGAGCTAACACCTTCCCGAGCATGCAGCACATGTCTTCTGAAAATGCAGCTGCAGGCTCACATGCCTGCTGAGTGAAGCCGGGTCTCATCATGGGAGACAGGGAGGTGAAGCTGGAGATACAGGATGCATTAATAGGGTTTGACAGCCTGTGTCTGTCCCAGGACACACCACACATATTTGCTGTTTGCTCTTAACTCCTCAGTCTAGAGAAGGTCTCCTGGGTTTTACCTCCAGTGACCTGATGCCAGGCCCATGCGCGAGCTCCCTAGTGGAGGAGAGTGTTGCAGCCTCTTCCTACAAGGTCGCATTTTCACAAGGAGTTACCTATGAGCAACTCAAAGAGTCTGTCCACTTTAATCTTTTTTATTCAACAGGGTTATGATAAGATGACATTCTCCATGAATCTGCAACTGGGCAGAACCATGTGTGGGAAATTTGAAGATGACATTGACAACTGCCCTTTTCAAGAGAGCCCAGAGCTGAACAATGTAAGACAAGACACCAGCTTCCCTCCTGGATACAGCTGTGGATGCCGCATGGGGTGTGGTGCGGACACAGGTACAGCTGACAAAGAGACTTAGAGGAGTGAGCCTGCAGCAGCCTCTACCAGGCTACCTTGCTTGTGCCTTAGTGGCGAGCACAGAGGGGCAGGCAGCCAGGGGTCCACTTGCAGTCTCCTGGCCAGTTTGAGTTTCCTGACTCTGCCATGTCACGCCACTACAGCTGCTTGTACCCAGGGCACATGGCCTTCAGACTGCTCTTGCCCCCTAGGGTCCTAGTCTCCTAGGCCTGAGTAGAGACTCTTTCCTCTCTGGTCTTCCTCCCCAGCCTTCCTCTGCCTTTTGAAGAAAGAGCCTGGTGGGGATCCGACATCACCTCTCTCTGAGTGTGCAGTTCTCAGGGTCCCCCTCCCCTAATCCAGAGCCTGAGGCAGGTGGAGGCTGAGGAGGGACCCCACTGCCCTCCCTCCCTGGTCCTGTCCTGGCTCCTGCTGAGCTGCAGTACCTGCTCTGGGGACAAGGACATAATGAACCCTGACACTGTGCACAACACATCTAGCATTACTCCATCCCCTTATCAGAGGATTAGTTAATAGGTTAAGTACTTGTTTAAATCTGAGAGCAGCTCCCTCTGGAATGGAGTGTGCCATGCTGTTCTTGGAGGATGAAAGACACTAGACAGCCTGGGTTTCCCCTGGAGGCTGCTGGCTAGGGAGGAGGGTGCTACTACAGGTGTTCCTTGGTCAGGAGGGAGCCACAGATCACCCTGAAAGTCTGGAACAGCCCAGAACTCAGGCTGGAGGGCCACACTTGGGGTCCAGAGCCCAGCCCTGGGAATGGGCAAGATTGAGATGGAACCTGTGTTGATAGCAGAAGCCACAAGCTTCTGCATCCCAAGCCCCCACACACTGTCCCTTCCTGTGCTTGCTCCCTCAGACCTGCACCTGCTTCTTCACCATTGGAATAGAGCCCTGGAGGACACGGTTTGACCTCTGGAACAAGACGTGCTCAGGCGGGCATTCCTGAGTGGGTCCTAGCCACGGGCCTGGCCACCTGCTGTCCTCTCCTTTCCAGCATGTCGGCAGTTCCTCAACATGGCCCTTCAGTGCCTGAGCAGCTCTGTGCTTGTGTGTTCTTACTTTCCATGTGTTAGGAGTTCATGCTCAGGTATTTTAGAAATTCTTCATTGTCTAAGTTCATCATGTAGTATACATCTTAACAATTAGCATTTTAAGAAGCTTTGTGTGCCATGATTCTGGACGAAGGGGCTTGGGCAGTTGATGGAGTTATTCTCAGCAGGGCAGCCTCCTGGCCTCTCAGGGGTAAGTTTTTCTCCCTTATTGGGCCTCCTGAGCCACTTCCAGAGGCACAGCTAAGGTGCGTCTGAGCTGCTATCTCAGGGCCCCTTGCAGGTTGCAGAGGGGCAGTGAGGGTGGCCTCCCAGGGTATCAGATGTGCACACGGAGCAGGACAGGGACTCGGGATCCCACATAACAAATGTGACATTGGCATTAATGCTCAGGGTGCATGTATACCTAGTGTGTTAGCTGAGAATAGCCAGCAGCTATGGACACCCTGTCCACATCTCCCAGATCAGGCTTCAGCATGTATTTTCTGTAAAGATTTAAGGAGTAACTATTTTGATCTTGTAGGCCATTTAGTCACTTTCTCAGCTACCCAGCACAGCCTTTGTAAGTTGAAAGCAGCCATAGTCAATGCATAAACAAATAAGAGCAGTCCTGTCCCAACAAGACTTTGTTTACACATGGAGACAACCAGACTGGGCTGCATTTGGTCCTCGGGCCATGGTTGCCAACTCCTAAGGTCAAGTCTGAGAGCCACGCTCCATCTTCAGAAGTGAGGCAGGTGAATGTCCCAGTCTCCCAGCCTCCTGGCACCCGATTCAGAGTGTGTGTCACATGGTTCTCAGAGCTCCCCAGCAGAATAAACACCCCCGGCCCCAGTGTAACCCATCGATAACAGACACATTGTGTTTCCCCTTCTCTGTCTCCCTTTCTCACATGTGCCTCCTGGGATCATCTCCAAATAAACTACCTGCACCCACCAGTCTGCGTTTCAGGGTCAGCCTGGGGGGACCTAACACAGACCTGTGGTGCGTTTGGACCATCGTCTTGGGACGTACCCTCCATAGAAGTGCTGGGAGGGTGGTCCCTAGATCATGGGCATTCAGGCAAGGCAGAGTGGGGAGCCAGGCCCGGAGACCTCCCTGCGGCCTGCCAGCACTGAGGTAGACACAGCTGCTGCACTTTGTCCCATCTGGTGCGTGGGTCTCTGGAACCCACACAGCCCTGCACTGCCTTGTTCCAGACTTGAACAGATTTTCCTTTGAGACCCTCCCACCACCTCCCCTGTCTGCTCCCACCCTTGGTCCTTCTCTTGACCCTGACTCCATCAGCAGAAGGAAGCTCAGAGAAGGCGCTTTATCCACAGTGCCTCCTGCGGATCCAAAGAATCCACCCTACTCATTCCATTTGAGAACCATTTCTGAGACAGCTCCCAGGACAGGGTCTCATGGGGAGTGAGCTCACTGAGGTGATGGGGTGTCCTGGCTCAGGACCCTTTTGGAGCACAGCCGTCCTTCATGGAGCAAGGGGAGAGGAGCCCACTCTAAGGCACTGGCTCCTGGGAGGATGCACTAATTCCTGCCTGACTCAGACTACATGTATGGGTCTTTAACAGTTTTCTGCATCCCTAAGAAATGGACATCCACAATTTCTGGGACATGTGTTGATTTCTATTGTATTTCCAGACTCATGATGCATGACATGACCCAGGTGCACAGGCCTAATTAGAGGACAGGAGTCGCATTGCAGGCCCTGTTCCTTTGGAAAGACCTCTCCTAGCTTGCCTTGCCTGTCTGCACTTGCTCCTGGAGACAGCTATACTTCTCCTCCTTCGGGAATTTGTGCAGTGAAGAATCAGGAAACTGGGTTCATAGATGTTGAGTGTAGCCATGAGGTGGGCCCCTGAGCAAATTTTGTGCCAGAGGCTAAGGCCAGAGACATGCTGGGAACATCTGGTCAGTAGCATCCCTGGACCCCAACCCCAGGAAGGAAAAGGGGCACAGATTGTAGTGTAGTGTCACTAGCTTCCTCCTTCCCCAGAAATGTGAGTTCTTATTTAACCCTGCACCCCTCAGCTCCTAATCTGTCATCTGCTGTCCCTGAGTCATTTATATAAAGATGGCAACCTCTGCTTGGCTGTCCTCAAATGGTTACAGCTGAAGTCAAAAGTGGCAGTAGAAGAAAACACTAAGTATAAATTAGTTCCAAAATATGCTACATATACACTACTTTATTCTACCTTGTGGCCACTTTCCCATCTGCTGGAGGACATGTGGATACTTTCCTCATTTTTCTCAGGGGGTCAGGGCTGGGACACAGCCTTGGGGAGATTGACCATAATAATGAACACAAAGTGATGAGGAAAATGTGAGGTTTTTGCAGACTCCCCAAACCTCTCTCCTTGAGGCAGAGGAAGGGAAGATGGGGTGGAGCCTGGGGAGGGCAGGGAACTGCCGGGATACATACACAAGGAAACATCTCAGCTGTCAGTCCTGGCCCTGTATGTGGTCTCAGGACAACTCCCACTCACTCCAAATCTCCACTTCAGGTCCCAAGACCCAGAGTCCCTCATGTCCACATACCTCCTGTGAGTTGGAGTTCTGGTTCTTCCCTGGCCCCTGCTGAGCCCAGGAAAGGAACTGTCCTCTTCTGTTTGTGCTGCTATAACAGAATAACACAGGCTGGTTAATTTACAGGAAACAGAAATTTATTTTTCACAGCTCTAGAGGTTGGGAAGCCCAGGACCAAGGTGCCAGCATCTTGTGAGGGCCTCCCTGCTGTGTCCTCACGTGGTAGAAGGTGGAAGGGCAAGCTACACTGCATGAAGCCTCTTTGATATATGTCTGTGTCCTTCCTGGTGTGGCCAAGGCTAACACGGCCTTGGTAGAGAAGGAGACAATTTAGAGGTGTCTCAGGAGCCTCTATGTCCACACATTCCATTTCCTTTCATGCTCATATAAAAATATTGCTGTTAGTCAATAAACTCAAAAATTCCATGAGTCAGTGAAACTGTCTTGATCTTAATTCTTCATCCTGACTCTGACTCAGTGGGTCAACAGAGGCCAGATGGTTTTGAAGAGCTAAACCTGAACCCATGCACAGATCACATTAACAAAACTGACCTTAGATGTGGGCAGTAGGGTTTGGTATGCCCTAAGACAACATGGGGTATGAGTATGATGGAAACAAGCAGCCCGGGACATGTGAAGACCCAGGTCCCTCCAATGTTCAATCACACTGTCAGGGCTCAGCAAAGAACACCTTCCTCCATGGGCTGCTCATGAGACCACATAGGGCTGGCCAGCTCAGGCCAAGAAGCAAGGGAGACCAAGTCCCCCAGATGGACAGGTTGCATACCCACGGAGCTTGGGGATGAAGGCGAGGGTAGATGAGAGAGATGTGTCCTCAGGTGCTGCAGCTAGTAGCATAGGGATCCCATTCCTGAGGCAGGGAGAGAATGGAACAAGAACTGCTCTGACAGTGTCCCCACAACCCTGCCAGCACATGGGAAAGAAAGGGGCCCAGGGTTGTGCGGGGCCATGAAGAACGCCACTTCACCTGCCCGCCACCCAAGAGCTCAACTGCTGGCAGATGTTAGAGAGTGCAGGTTGAGGACTGACCTCTTACCTTTTTTTCTTTATTTCTGAAATTCCTGTTTAAGGACCTGAGGAATCATGCCTTGCAAACCATAAAATTTCATCAAAAAGGTCCTTTCTGACCCAGTACATTGTGACTTGTTTTCCAACCTGACTCTGGCATGGCATCACCTGACAGATAGTAGAGCCCCTTAGCATTCCTTTCTACTGACTCCATGTTTTAGACAAAGCTTAACTTTTTCTACCAATTTCAAACTAAAGAATCCCTAAACCCACCTAAAACTTGTAAGCCAATGCCTTGAGATGTCCCACCTTTTGGGACCAAACCAATATATACCTTCCATGTATTGATTTATAATTTTACCTGCAACTCCTGGCTCCATGACATGCTTCAAACTAACCTGTAACCGGACCACCTCAGCCACACTTTCTCAGGACCTCTTGAGACTGTGTTTCCCTTTCTTGGTCACTCATATGGCTCAGAATAAACCTCTTTAAATATTTTGGCAGAATTTGGTTTTTCCGTTGTCAAGGTAAAGGGTATCCTGATTTCTGATCTCAGCCAGGCAAGCCCCTGGGGGTCTCAGGGTGCCATTTACAGTAGATCTGGGTTCCACTATCAAGTTGGCTCCTCCAGAAGCTGACTTGGAGACAAAAAATTCAAGTACAAGTGGCTTATTTAGAAATGATTCCAGAAAGGCAGTTGAAAAGTGGAAATAGTAAGGGGCAGAAGCAGCACGGATAGTGAGATTAGCAATATGGATAGCTAGGGCTCAGTCTTGCAGGACACTCCTCAGTGACTGGGTAGACACAACTTGGCGTTATATCCCAGGGGATAAAAGGCCAGGATGTTTATCCTCCAAATTCTATCATTGGCTGAGGGCTCCTCTCAAGGGTATTACCCACTGGCACTCCAGCCTGCCCTTCATTGGCAGAGAAAGCCATTAGGCAGAGAGGCTCAGAAGGTTGCAGTCAGCCCTGTCGGAGAAGAGCCCTCAAGGACAGCTGTCATGCAGGTGGCCTCTGAGCATCACCATCCTTCCGTCATGTGTCTAAGTTAGAATCTGACCCTGTATTACTACTGGTTATTACACAATATTGTCTCCTTGCCCCAGCCTGCACATTGGTGCTGCTGTCTAAGCATCAGGATTTCAAAAGTGCCTCTTTACGGTCATGGTATCACCTTAGTCCACTCTCCATACACATGCATGCGCACACATGCACACATGTGTACACACTGTAGTGGCTGGCCTCCCAGATGGCCTCCAGTGACCCTAATCTCTATCTTTATGTCGTTGTGTAGTCCACACTGAGCCAGGGCTGTTCTGGGTTGAGTCTAGTTTACAAAGGATACAGTGGCTTCCATCTTGGTCTCTGGGAACACTGTGTCTGGAACAAGTCATCCAGGATACCAAGCTGACGTACAGTCTTGTGGAGAAGCCACGTGGAGAACAGAGACCTCAGTCAATAACCATTATCAACCTGCAGGCATGGGAGTGAGCTACCTTGGAAAGGATTCTCCAGAGTCCATCAAACCTTTAAATAATGGCAGCACAGTCAATATCAGAGTGTAACCCAATGAGATGTGACAACCAGAGCTGCCCAGTCTGGCCATCCAGAGATGCCTGACTCACAGACACCATGAGACATATAAATCAATTGCTTGAGCCATTAAGTGACCAGGTGACTTGTCATACAGCATTAACTGATACATCTAACTGTGAGCACACACTTATGCACAGACATGCACACGTGTGCATACACACAAACACACACACACACACGAATGTAGTCTTCTCTCCCTGCATCATTAACTTTTCTGCTTCAATTCAAAACCAATGAAAATCTCTAAATGGCCCAGCTGTCTCTCTGGTTGGATCTGGTTAAAACTAACTTTCTAAGCTAACAGGCTGTGTCTTCCAAAAAGTCCTGGGAAGGGAGATTTCCGTAGAAATCCATGGACGGAAACTCTCAAGGCAGCCAGACTCTCAGAGCCTTACAGAGAGTGCCAGCATGCTTGAAGCAATTGAGGGCTGGGTCCTCTGGTTATCTAGAAAGATTTGTCCATGAAAAGTAATTTGTACTCAGAGTTGGGTGAGGTGTAGAAACCACTTCCATTTATTGCAGCAGATTATCCCAGCTAGTAGGGGAAGTATCCAGCAAGAATAGGCTATGCAATGCTGTCAAAACACATCATGGATTTTCAACATCAGCCCATGAAGAACACACAAAAATGCAAAAAGGCCAAACAAATGAAGTTAATGGGTTAACTGTGTTGTTCTAGTTCTTGCAAGTGTCTTTGCTTCTTCTTTAAAATGGAAATGAGTGTGGCAGAACACACTAGAAGATAACTACATATCTTTGCATTGTTTCTTCAGCATGGTGAGTTCAAATTTCCATGGTTTAGATGCAACAATAAAAGTACAAAAAACCACCTGAAAGAGACAAAAAGAATAGTCAGTTTCTATTTTAAAAAGAAGGAAACAAAAGCAGAAGTTCCTATTTCCAGGCAGGAGTTAGATTCAGCAGGGCTAATCTGTCTGAGTCAGCCACGCCTCATCAGAAAACAGAGGATCCAGCCCCCTCACCAGAGGAGTCCTCATCAGTTCACCTCTTGTGATCTGAGCCATCATGGGTGTGGCTTTATTCACTCCAGGAGAGCAAGGATCAGAGCCCAAGGACAGGTTATTATTGGAAAATCCCCATCTCCAGCCCTGACTCTCATCCAGCCACATGGACTCCCTGTAGCCTACAGAGACCCCATGCTGCACAGACAGTCCTACCCAGGGAATGCAACATTGCAAGAATATTACCAGGTCCTGCACCCCTTGGGGAAATAAAAATGTGCCAGCAACCAAGGAGGAAAGCTTGCAGCTGTAGGGCTGGAAGGAAACAAGTAGCTCTCATACCAGAGTCCTGCAGAACATGTGGGTTTCAGGATCCATGCATGGGAATGAGAACACTGTTTCCCTCCTCTCTCCTAAAATCTTCATTTAGAATAAAAATATAAAGTAAGAATACTTCTATGAAGTCAGTGTAAACTTGAATGATAGCATCAAGTAGAGAAGAAGTTGTGTAAGATATAAAGGTGTAGGAACAGTTTTGGGGAGAAAATAGGACACGCCACCAGCAACCCAGACAGTGCCTTGCAGAACTGAGTCCAGGCTTCTGCACCTGGGCGGGAGGGGGAATCCAGGGACGAGGGAGCCTGTGTGTGCCAGTGGTGCAAACAGAGAGAGTGGGCATCAGGTTTGCCAGAGAGGTGACTAAGTAATTGCTTAACTTCCGGACCAGCCAAGGTAGACAGAAAACAATCAGGAAACAGAGGACCTGAATAACCCAATTATCAAGATCAACCCTAGAGGATATTTTAGCAATGTATATTAAAATTTTTAAGAGGTGAAAAAATATTGGATGACTAATTCCATTTCTGAGAACCTTGCCTAGAAGGAAACAAAAATCAGACATAACACATATAGAAATAAGACTATTCATTATAGCCCTGTCCATAGTAGCTAAAAATTAGGGAAAATCTTAATCAATTCTCAGGAATTGGCTAAATAATATATGGAAGCATCATAAAATAATATCAAATGGTTGCATTACATGATGCTCTCTAATAATTTTACAGTTTTGGAAATGCTTAGGTTTTATTATTAAATAAAAATCTAGATCATGAAACAGTATTCATCAGGGTCTCAATTACAAAAAATATAAACATAAAATATTTTTAAACTAAAATACATACCAATATATTTACAGTGGTAAGATTTACATAAGGTTATTAACAGATGATTTGAAAAAGCTTAATATTTTTGAAAATTTCCAAATTTTTTACATTGAATGAATCAGGCCAATAACTATTTAATATTGTTTTAAAATTTATTTTCCAAGGATCCCAGATATCCACACTTTCTTCCTTTCTAAATACCAATAAATAAACCAAGAAAACAGAGAAAGTCCAACCTATAAGAGCTTTATGAAACAGGAAAGGACCCCATGCAAGGACAGAGACAGATAAAAATCTCCACATGATAAATAGATGTGGGCAAGTGGAAAAAAGTTTATTGAGTGCCATGTACTCAAGATAGAGGATGCAATCATAAGAGAAAACAAAGACAGCAAACCACCTCCCAACCTCTCAAACCCAAAGCCATCCTGATTTTCCTCCTCTCACGCTCCATGGCTAATCAATCAGCAAATTCTAAACAAACTTTCATAGACCCAGAATCTGAGCACCTCCCCAACCTAACCAACATCATCTCTCATTTGAGGTATCTCAACAGACTAATAATGGACTCATATGGCTCTCACATCTCCACCCCTGCCCCTGTGCTAAATTTTCTCCATTTGTCCCCCGAGGTCTGCACTCCTCCTATCTCTACCTGGCTTGTCTTGGAAGACTGACCTCCATGGGCTGCTCCAGTGGGCACCCTTGCCCTCTCACCTCCATGGGCTACTCCAATGAGCACCCTTGCCCTCTGACCTCCATGGGCTGCTCCAACGGGCACCCTTGCCCTCTGACCTCCATGGGCAACTCCCATGGGCACCCTTGCCCTCTGACCTCCCTGGGCAGCTCCAGTGGGCACCCTTACCCTCTGACCTCCATGGGCAGCTCCAGTTGGCACCTTTACCCTCTGACCTCCATGGACTACACCGGTGGGCCCCTCACCTTCTGACCTCTATGGGCTGCTCCAATGGCACCCTTACCCTCTGTCCTCCACAGACTACACCAATGTGCACCGTTACCCTCTGACCTCCACAGGCTGCTCCAATGGGCACATTTGCCCTCTGACCTCTGTGGGTTGCTCCAATGGACATCCTTATCCTCTGACTTCTCTGGACCATGCCAGTGGGCACCCTTGCTCTATGACCACCATGGACAGTGTCAGTGGGCCCCTTCTGGCTTCCAGTTGAGTTTGGCCAAGGAAGGATAAAATCAGAAAAGTGGGAAGCAGGAGGAGGGTGAGGTCAGGGAGTCACAGCAGGTTGGCTGTGTTCCTCCATCTAAGGCTGTGGCCCCAACAGGAGCTGCCTTATTGCTCCCAAAAAGGATATTAAAAAGCAAGTCCTATAAATAAAAAACAAAACAAAACAGAAATTCCAAAATGTATGTAAATTTTGAAAAGCACACAAAATTCTTTTACATAGGCAAAAGTTTTTAAACATAGGTAGAAATGTTACCCACCAATGATAGAAGAGTGGTTATCTTTGAGGGGGGAGCATAATAGATGTGTAACATTTTACTTTTTAAAATAAATAATAATACCCATTAGGATGGCTATTACCAAAAAGTCAAGAGATAATGAATGTTGGTGAGGGTGTGGCGAGAAGAGAGCCCTTGTACACTGTTTCTGGGAAGGTAAACTGGCGCAGCCATTATGAAAAACTGTATGGAGGTTCCTGAAGAAATTAAAAATAGAATTACCATATGACTCAGCAATCCCTCTGGAAATAAAATCATCACCTCATAAAGATATCTGCACTCCTATGTTCGTTGCAACACTATTCACAATACCCAGCATGTGGAAACAACCTAAGTGCCCATCAACGGATGGATAAAGAAGATGCAGTACACACACACAATGAAATATTATTCAGCCTTAAAGAAGAAGGGGATCCTGTCATTGGCCACATGGATGAACCTGGAGGATGTTGTACTAAGTGAAACAAGCCAGACACGGAAAGAAATATATTGCATGATCACACTTACACGTAGAATCTGAAAAAAAAAAAAAAAAAAAAGAGAGAGCCAAATATACAGAGAGAGGATAAAGTAATGGTTACCCGCAGAGCGGGTTGTAGGGGGTTGGGAGATGTAGGCTAGAAGCTACAAATTAGCAGATATAGGATGAGGTTTAATGTACATCATGAGTTAATTAAATTATACTATATTTGGAATTTCTGCTAGATGACTAGATTTAGTTGTTCATGTCACAAAATGCAAAATTATGTGAGATTATAGATATGTTATTTTACTTCACTATGGTAACTTTACTATCTGTATGAATCACATACTACCATGTGATATATTTTAAATATACCCAATAAAATTTATTTTTAAAAATAAATAAAAATAAATTTTAAAAAATAGATATCTAAAATTAATGTAATAAAATGATAATAGTTGTAAAATTTGTGTGGTAGGCAGATGGGCATTTGATATATCATTCTTAGTACTTCCTTGAATTTCTGAAATATTACTTAATTTAAAATTATTTCTAATCTTTTATAAGAATTCAATCTCTAGATTTAGCCATCTGCTTGCACTTGGCATTCTGCTATGATGTCTGCTCTTCATTAAAATATGAGGAATTTTTTTTTTTTTTTTTGAGATGGAGTCTCGCTCTGTGGCCCAGGCTGGAGTGCACTGGCGTGATCTTGGCTCACTATAACATCTGCTTCCCAGGTTCAAGAGATTCTTCTGCCTCAGCCTCCTGAGTAGCTGAGACTACAGTCATATGCCACTATGCACAGCTAATTTTTGTATTTTTAGTAGAGACAGGGTTTCAGCCTGTTGACCAGGCTGGTCTTGAACTCCTGACCTCAGGTGATCTGCCCACCTTGGCCTCCCAAAGTGCTGGGATTACAGGCGTAAGCCACCACGCCTGGCCTAAATATGAGGATATTTTTAATTGGCATTATGTCTGAGCAGTTTTTGCCAATCACTTATCTGCCACTATTTCCACCTGTCCGTGTCTTGTGCCTGCTTCGGGTATTTAGTAAATAGATGAAAAAATACACAGGGCACAGAAATATGCATATATAAGGGTTTTCAATGCAGTTTCATTTATGAAAGAAAAAATTTGGAAATAATTTCAATGAGAAGATTACCAAGACAAATGTAAAAAAAAAGGAAGTTATATCAAAAAACACACGTCAGCAGTTATTTAAATAAAAAGGGAAAGAGAAAAAAGACTGTGTCATTTTTGTAAGTTTATAGCAAAATTATCTTAAAGCTGTCCACACAAATGATCCCAGTGGAAACTCCTTGGCAGGGGGCAGAATTGGGGCATCATCCAGGAGTCCAAGGGGCATGACCTCACTGTTATCCCATATATTTTTATGAGAATATACTTTTAGAAAATATTTATATACATTTTAAAATATCAAATTTAAATCTGAAATGTATCCCTGTTTAGTCAACTACGAGGAGAGTAAGGGACTTTTTTATTAAGCCTGTCTCCTCTGTGATGAACTTGCCTTTGTGACAGTCTCCATCTGAAAACAGCCTGGCCTGGCTGGGGCTGTCCCCCATCTTGGCCTGAAGCAGCAGCAGCCTGGACCTCTGAGACTATGGGGAGCATGCAGGGCCATTGGGCTGGAGTCTTGGGACTGTTCCAGAGCCTTGTAGGACTTCCATGCAGCAGCTGGACTAGTGGAATTGAGACAGGAATACTACAGGGTGGTTGCAGGAGAATAGAACATTCCAGGCAGCAGTTTTGCATGACTAGCAAAAGGAAACTGTTGAAATAGCTGCAGAAGCTAGGGGCTGATGATACCCTGAAAACCAGGGTGTGGACCAAGCTGGCTAAGACTGACTGGACCCAACATGGCACTGGATTTGACCTAAGTTTCACCTAGGACTTCATTATGTGCTCATTAACATATTAAATACACACCCATCAGCACCATGGAGCTCTGGGAACACCCATATTTGGTGTAAAAATGGGTGGCACCGGTCCAAGAAATCTCCATCTTTTTCCAGGAATTTTCATGAATATTCCAGACTTTGGTTAAAGAAACCCATAAAGGTAGGAGCACCAAACCCTCTTGCACATGACTCTCTCTCTCAAGTACATACCCACACTCCCCACGTCTTGAGTGTGTTCTTTTTGCTTTGCAACAAATCTCTGTATTTTCACTATTTTCAAACTTATCCTTGAATTCCTTCTCATGAAGGTGTCAAGAGCCCGGGCACCATCCAGGGTCAACGTCCCGCTGGCATTTGGAGACCTCCCCTAGCCCACTGGTATCAGAATCAGCCAAGAAGCATTGCTTCCAACATCCTCTGCTTCAAAGCAATCACAGGCTTGTGGAATCCCAGCAGGAGAGGAATGGTCTTTCAAGGACTGCAGTGGAGGAAGGTCATGCTGTACCTTCTACTGGGTCAGGACCCCTCAGCAAAGGGTGCCGGAGTTGACAGTGCACCAAGATGGCGGCCATCACTTTCTTCTCTATCAGTTCTGATGGCAGCTTCTGCTTCTTCCTCTTAGGAGCCAATTAAGAATTTTGACTCCCTTGGAAGCACCATGTTGTGAGAATGTCCAAGTATAGGATGACCAACACATCTTGGTTTGCCAAAATTTCCCTGGTTTTAGTACTGAAAGGCCTACATCCCAGGAAAGCCTACAGTCTTTGACAAACCAGGATGACTGATCACTCTACAAGTTTGCCCCATGGCTAGTCCCTGAGCAGTATGAGAAGGATGCCTAGCCAGCCCCCCCATTGTTTCAGCCATCCTAGTGGAGGTGCCAAACACATGAGTAAAGTAGCTATCTAGAATATTCCTGCCCCAATAGAACACAGCACAGGTTGCAGAATAGTGAGAAATAATGAGTTCGTTTTACTTTAAGCCACTAACTCTGTGTGTGTGTGTGTGTGTGTGCGCGCGCGCGGGTGAGTGTTGGTGTGTTGGTGGTGATGGCAGCAGCGGCACATGGAGAGTGGCCACTGCCAAGACGCCGGCTGCAGCAGGAAAGTGGGCCCAGGACTCCAGGATAAGCAGGAGCCACGCAGCTTCTGAGTTGTGGGAGGCAGGAGGCCCTGGATTCAGCTGCAGCTGCCCAGGTCCAGGGGTAGACCTGGGCATCTCTGTGCTCTTGAGGGCCTGGGAACTTCTCCCTGCCCCCCACAGGCTTGGGATGCCTGCTTACACTGCCTGGCCTCTCCCCGCTCCTGGCACCTGCTCTGATCATGGAGCAAGGCTGGGGCAGAACCCCGGAGTTGTCGCAATCCAGTCGGGTGCACGCATGCTCAGGGCAGCTGTAATACTCTGGCCCCCTCTTGCTTCGGCCCCCTCCAATCTTTGGGCACCGAGAAGCACGGAGGGAGGCCAAGGGGGGTGCTGAGGACAGCTCAGCACTGGCCTACGGGCGCCCCTTGGCATGAACAGCCTGGGCTGTGAAGGGTGGTGGAAGGCAGACAGGCTCCTGGGCAGAAGGGGGTGGGTCCCAGGCTGGGGAGGGCCTGAGGCCTCTGGGCTGGGCTGCCAGTCCTGCAGACCAGAGGGGGAACTTGTACTTATTGCTGGGCCCACCCATGGCTGACCACAGACCAATCAGCACACACTTCCCCCTCTGAAGACCATAGAAACCCCCAGACTCAGAGAGAGCAGAGGACAGACAACCAGCTGCAGAAAGGAGCTGTTCTCTCTGCTGAGATCTGGGAAGACTACCAGATGACCAGCTGCAGAGAGGAGCTACCCTCTCTGCTGAGAGCTGAACACTCTGGATGAACTGCCTACAGAGAGGAGCTACCCACCACGGGGTTTCCTCTGAGCTGTTCTAACACTCAGTGAAGCTCCTCTTCATCTTGCTCACCCTCCACTTGTCTGTGTACCTCATTCTTTCCAGAAACAGGACAAGAACTTGGGCAAAGGTGCCACCAGCCATAGAGGTTTCCAGCCAGAAAAGCAACACCCCAAAGATCCCATAACATTCGGGAAGGGAAGGTTGGCATCAGCAACAGATAATAGAAATGATGCTCTGTGTCTAGAACCTGGTCATCCACAGTCCTGAATATGATCTGGTACACAAGTCTTACCAGTGCAAGGGGTTCTCCTTGTCTCAGCTACATACCTTTTGCATTTTGGGATCCTCTTGAAATGCACAGTTTTCATCTTCTGAAATTTTCTTGCAAATTGTTCGGGCAATTTTGACCTCAATATAGTACTCCAAACTATCTGTCACCTGTCAATGAGTAATGTAAAAATCATATATCATTAAAGAATACATAATATCAATTGTCATCTCTGGTAAATAAACATGTCATTGACTACTCAAGGCCAAGAATGTCTTTTTTGCCTTCCCCCTCTTCAACTCTTTTCTGTCCAGAAGTTTTGGGGTAATTTGGAAGTTTTCTTACCTTGATATCTCTGTCTCTCTGTCTCTCATCATAGTATTTAATTTTAAAGTAATGGTAACTGTCTCCAAAATAAAGCAAGAAAACAATTCCCCCCAAAATTATTTTCCTGGGGAAGCTAATGGTTTGCTTATTAGAGCTTGGGAAACAGCAGAGCTTGTAGCATCTTCACACCTAATCAATAGATATTGAGGAAATAAAACTATGACCCTGAACTAGAACTTGCTTAGTGTGTATTTGTATTGATTCTCTCTAAAGTCTCCTATTCTTTGCCAATCTTAGTATCCACACCTTATTGAAATGTGGATTCCTCCAAAATTTCTGCCTCTGAGGGCATTCTACCTGCACAAAGCCCCTAGCAGCCCTTCTGTTCAAAGAGAGCCTCTTGGGGAAATGGAGCAGCTCAATGGCAAAAGTGGACTTTATTTAAAAATGAACAAGAAAACAAGGTTTACAAGACTTGGGGGAGAGAGCATATTAAAGAGAATGATCAAGTTTAAACACAATAACTGGTCCCAGAAGAATCAGAGACAACTGACAAAATATTAAAAAATTTTTTTTAGAAATTCTAGAAAAGTTTCCTAGGCATTGAACAAAGGGAGTGTGGTATGCAGAATTCTAAGATGCCCCCAGGAGTCCTGCTCCCTATTGTGTGTGCCCTGTGGGATCCCTAGGACTATGAATAGGATGGATTTTACTTCTGTGATTAGGCTATCCTCTAGGGGAGAGCTGAATTAAAATAGGGAGATTGACTTGGTTGACCTGACCTATTCACATGAGCCCTTTAAATCTTGGGTTAGAGGTCAGAGAGAGAAGTGCACACCCTTGGATCCAGCAATTTCACTTTTGGATGTATACCTAACTTCAAAGGCACACACATGTACAAATACAGGCACACCTCATTTTATTGTACTTTGAATTATCATGCTTCATAGGTACCGTGTTCTTTACAAATTGAAGGTTTATGGCAACCTTGAGTCAAGCATCTATCGGTACCATTTTTCCAACATGCATGTGCACATTTCCTGTCTCTGTGTCACATTTTGGCAAGTCTCAAAATATTTCAAACTTTTTCATTATTATTACGTCTATTATGGTAATTTGTGATCAGTAGTCTTCAATGTTACTATGTAACTGTTTTAGAGCACCAAGAACCATGACCATATAAGTCAGTGAACTTAAATCTATAAATACGTGTGTTCCTACTGCTCCACAGACTGGCCATTCCCCATCTCTCTCCTCTCCTTAGGCCTCCCTATTCCCTGAAACACAGTAATACTGAAATAAGGCCAACTAACAACCCTACTGTTGCCTCATTGTAATGTGAAAAGAAGAGTCACACATATCTCACTTTAAATGAAAAGCTAGAAATGATTAAGCTTAGTGAGGAAGACATGTTGATATCTAAGATAGGCTGAAAGCTAGAACTGTTGCACCAAACAGTTAACAAAGCTATGAATGCAAAGAAAGAGTTCTTGAAAAAAATTAAAGGTGCTAATCTATTGAACACATAAATGATAAGACAGCAAAACAACCTGATTGGTGATATAGAGAAAGTTTTAATGGTCTGGATGAAAGATCACACTAACCACAACATTCCCTGAAGCAAAAGTCTAGTCCAGAGCAAGGCCCTAACTGTCTTTAATTCTATGAAGGCTGAGGGAGGTGAGGAAGCTGCAGAAGAAAAGTTGGAATTTAGCATAGACTGGTTCATGAGGTTTAACAAAAGAAGCCATTTCCATAACGTAAAAATACAAGGTAAAGTGGCAAAGTACTCATGAAGAAGCTACAGCAAGTTATCCCGAAGATGCAGCTAAGATCATTGATGGAGGTGGCTACACAAACAAGAGATTTTCAATGTAGTTCGATCAGGCTTCTGTTAGAAGAAGATGCCATCTAGTACTTTCATAGCTAGAGAGAAGTCAATGTCTGTCTTCAAAGCTTCAATCGACAGGTTAACTCTCTTGTTAGAGGCTAATGCAGCTGGTGACTTTAAATTGAAGCCAATGTTCATTTACTATTCTGAAAATCCTAAAGCACTTAAGAATTATGCTAAATCTACTTTACATATGATAAGACAACAAATCCTGGATGAAAGCATTTTTGTTTACAACACGGTTTACTGAATATATTAAGCCTACTACTGAGACATAATGCTCAAAAAAAAAAAAAAAAAAAAAAAAAAAAAAAAAAAAAAAAAAAAAAAGCACATGCACAATTCCCTTCAAAGTATTGCTGCTCATTGACAATGCACCTGGTCACCCAAGAGCTCTAGTGGAAATATACAAGGATTTATATTGTTTCAATGTCAGCTAATACAACATCCATTCTGCAGGAGTAATTTCAACTTTCAAGTGTTGTTATTTAAGGAAAACATTTCATAAGGCTGTAACTTCCATAAAGAGTGATTCCTCTGATGGATCTGGGCAAAGTAGGTTGAAAACCTTCTGGAAAGGATTCACCATTCTACATGCCATTCAGAACATGTGTGATTCATGGGAGGAGTTCAAAATATCAACATTAACAGAAATTTGGAAGAATGTGATCCAACCATCATGAATGACTTTGAGGGACTCAAGACTTCAGTGGAGGAAGTAATTGCAGATGTGGTGGAAATAGCAAGACGACTAAAATTAGAAATGGAACTGAAAATGTGACTGAATTGCTGCTGTCTCATAATAAGATGTGAATAGATGAGGAGCTGTTTCTCAGAGATGAGCAAAGAAAATGGTTTCTTGAAATGGAATTGATTTCTGGTGAAGGTGCTGTGAACATTGTTGAAATGACAACAAAGGATTTAGACTATTACACAAACTGAGTTGATAAAGCAGCTGCAAGGTTTGAGAGGGTTGACTCCAATTTTTTCAAAAAGTCTACTGTGGGTAAAATGTTATCAAACACCATCACATGCTACAGGAAAGCTTTCATGAGAGTAAGTCAATCAATGTGGCAAACTTCACTGTTGTCTTATTTTAAGAAAATGCCACAGTCCCCTCAACCTTCAGCAGCCACCACCCTGCTCAGTCAGCAGCCACCAACATCAAGGCAAGATCCCTCACCAGCAAAAGATTACAATGGGCCTAAGGTTTAGGTATCATCTGCATTGTTAACAATACAGTATTTTTAACTAAGGTATATATTTTTAGATTTAGTGCTATTGTACACTTAATAGACTCCAGTATAGTGTAAACATAACTTTATTGGCACTGGGAGTCCAAATTATGTGTGTGACTCACTTTAGTGTGATATTCACTGTATTGCATGGAATACAATGCGATGGATTGTATTACGGAACTAAATCCACAAGGCACAGTATCCACAAGGTATGCCTGTGTGTGCATAGTGTCACTACTCATACAGTCAAAGACGGAAAACAACCCCAATATGTATCAACAATAGCAGGATAAATACATGGTAGTGTGCTTATATAACGAAATTTTCTGCAGCAGTCGGAACGAACATACTTTTTTTTCTTTAAGATTCCACACATAAATGAGATCATGTAGTATTTTTCTTTCTGTATCTGGTTTTTCACTTCACTTAACATAAAAAGTGAAATGGGTCAGGGAAGAAATGGGGAGACATAGGTCAAAGGATAAAAAGTCACAGATATGTAGAACAAACAAGTCTGGAGTTCTAATGTACAACATGAGGACAAAGTCAAGATTACTATATTGTATTTGGGATTTTTCTAAAAGTGTGGATTTTGGGGATCTTGATCCCCATAAAAAGGTAACAATGTGTAATGATGGATATGTTAATTCACTCAACTGTAGTAACCATTTCATTATCTACAGGTATATGAAAATATCGTGTTATATACTTTAAATATATACAATAAATTTTTTTAAAATAAAACACTTGATTTTGAAAAAACAAAAGGAATATATTATTGCTACCTGCCACAACATGAATGAAATGCACAAACATAATATTGAAAGACACAAGCCAAACCAAAATAACACAGCATGTGGGACCTCACGCCTATGAAGTTCAAGGAGCAGGTAAAACTGTGGTGTTGAGGGCTGTACACTTAGGCAGTGTTCACGGTAAAGGCTTCTTCTGGGGCAGAGCAGGGAAGAGTGGCATGCATAACTCCAGGGAGCCTGAGATGTTCTCTCCACACTATATGGGGAATCATTTCATGAGCGTTCATTTTAAAGTGATTCATTCTGCTTGACATCTATGCATTATGAACTTTTCGGTTTTTGTGTTGGTTTCACAATGAAAAGGTTTTAAGGAATAAATGGGAATTCTCATTTTTAAAAGGTTTTTAAAAGAATAATGTAAAGGACTTTTCCTACTCAATAGCAACTCTACAATACCCACCCAGGAACAAATAAAATAATCAAGGAAAGAGAATCAACAATGATCCTGCAACAGACTCAACTATATTTGGATACTTAGTCTATGGTGAGCTGGCTTTTCAAAACACAGAGACCTTTTATAGAGACAGTTACGGAAATTTACTATTTTAAAAAGTTAAAGTTAGATCCAGTAACTTTAACTGGATAACTTTAACTCCACACCATAAATAAAAATAATTCCAAGATAGATTACTGAGCTTAAATTATAAATGTCTTAGAAGAATTGTGTTAGATATGAGTTCTAAATTTCTTTTTAAAGAATCAATATGTCAGTATGTTCAACTCTTTGCCTTCTACTTTTAAACTTAACTTC
Organism: Homo sapiens; assembly: GCF_000001405.40. NCBI lineage: Eukaryota > Metazoa > Chordata > Mammalia > Primates > Hominidae > Homo > Homo sapiens. The sequence goes on along the minus strand of NC_000020.11, from coordinate 23,529,345 downwards.
CTCATAAAACAACCTTTTTCAATCACCTGCTCCACCCTGACTCATTCTGATTACCTTCTCTGCCCTGACTCATTCTCCACCCTGACTCATTCTGATTTCCTTCTCTGCCATGACCATTTTCCCTGCCAAACCACTCATCCCATCACTCTCTTTAAATTAGCCAATCAGAATTAGTTTAGCCTGTGTGGTCTAACCCTAGCCAATAAGGGAACAACACAGCAGCAGGGCCCACGTGCATCAGAAATAAGAACCCTTTCTCCTCCCTTGTCCAGGTGTGTGCTCACCATTGCTCCATCTCTGAGGATGCACCCTTCTATAGAAGTAAATTGCCTTGCTGAGAAGAAAAATAGAAAATTTTATATTCAAGTGCTATTTCTTTTGCAGCACCAAAACTTTATTTATAACAATTGTAACTGTTATACTCAAGAATGGAAAAGGACTTCTTAAGCAAGATATAAACTCCAAACAACATATGGGAAGAACTAATAAATGTTATTGTGTCAGTATTTTTAAAAAAAATCTTACAGACACTGTAAGCAAAATTAAACTATAAGCAACAGACAGGCAAGCACAAAATATTTGCAGTATATATTGTCAGGCCTCTGAGCCCAAGCTAAGCCATCATATGCCCTGTGACCTGCAGGTATACATCCAGATGGCCTGAAGTAACTGAAGAATCACAAAAGAAGTGATATTTAAATGGCCTGTTCCTGCCTTAACTGATGACATTCCACCACAAAAGAAGTGAAAATGGCCAGTCCTTGCCTTAACTGAATTGTGAAATTCCTTTTCCTGGCTCACCCTAGCTCAAAAAGCTCCCCCACTGAGCACCTTGTGACCCCCATTCCTGCCTGCCAGAGAACAACACCCCTTTGACTGTAATTTTCCTTTACCTACCCAAATCTTATAAAATGGCCCCACCCCTATCTCCCTTTACTGACTCTCTTTTCGGACTCAGCCCGCCTGCACCCAGGTGAAATAAACAGCCTTGTTGCTCACACAAAGCCTGTTTGGTGGCCTCTTCACACGGACGTGAGTGAAATATATGAGAATCATAGTTTAATATGAATAGTGCATAAAGAACATCTATGATTCTGTAAGAGCAAGACAAGCAATGCAAAAGAAAAAGGGAAACAATTCTTAGAAGTAAACATATATTGTAGATAAATTCAATGGAAGACAATTTCTCACTCTATAGGGGAATTAAAAAATGTTATTGTTGCCTCCATCAGACTGGCAAACATCTGAAAGACAAAATGAGACCACAGCTGGTGAAAATGAGAGGCAAGAGGTACTGAGACCTGCAGCATTGCCAAAAATCTAATGTAATTTAGCCCTTTTAAGGGGCAATTTGCCATTATTTTGCAAATGTACTTTTTAACCAATGAATTCAAATTCAGGATACTATCGGTATTAGTCAGGGTTCTCCAGAGGGACAGAACTAATAGAATAAGTTTGTATATAAAAGGAATTTACTAGGGAGAATTGGCTGACACGATTACAAGGCAAAAATCCCATAGTAGGCTGTCTGCAAGCAGAGAGAAGCCAGTAGTGGCTCAATCCAAGTCCAAAAGCCTCAAAACCAGGAAAGCTGGCAGTGCAGCCAAAGGCCCAAGAGGCCCTGGGGACCCACTGGTGCAAGTCCCAGAGTCCAAAGGCTGAAGAACCTGGAGTTAGATATCCAAGGACAGGAGAAGCAAGCATCCAATGCAGGAAGAAAAGAGCCAGAAGCCTCAGCCAGCAAAGCCATCCTCCTCTCCCACCTGGCCTACTTTGTCCTAGCCTCACTGGCAGCCGATTGGCTGGTGCCCACCCACACTGAGGGTGGGTTTTCCTCTCCCTGTCCACCGACTGAAACATCCATCTCTTCTGGCAGCACCCTCACAGACACACCCAAAAACAAGACTTAACCAGCCATCCAGGCATCCTTCAATCCAGTCGACACCTGATTTTAACCTCACAATATCAAAGCAACACATACAAAGGAATATTCATTGTTTCACTTTTCCTATTAACAAACCTCATGGTCCATTAGGAGATGGGCGAAAAAAAATTATGGCACATCATCTCATGAAATACAACTATGAGGTGGATCTAAGTGTATTTACGTAACTTTTTAAAGACATGTTTCAAGTGGCAAAAGAAGTAGAGAAAAACATAGAAAGCATGATTTTATGACTATAAAATATACTTTTAAATATTTCAGATGCATATGTAAGTACATAGAAAATATCTAGAAGGACAGAGCACACTGCTCTTAGTGGTGCCCTCAAGAATGACAAGCCAGACTGGGAATGCAAGAAATTGAGGGTTTGCTTTCATTTTTTAAACAACTTTCAGTTGTACTCTTAGAACTTTCTGGTGACTGCATATCAAGTTTCCTAACCTCAGTGCTATTGATATTTTGGGCTGGATCCCTCTTTGTTTGGGGGCTGCCCTGTGCCTTGCAGGATAGTTAGTAGAATCCTGAGCCTCCACTCACTAGATGTCAGGAGCAGCCCCCTCTGGTCATAACAACAAAATAATCTCTCCAGGCATTGCCAAAACTCCCTTAAGGAGCAAAAGCCACCCCTAGTTGCAAACCATTGCTGTATATTTGAGTCATAGGTCTAAGTTGAAATTACAATAAAAAACTAATAGCTCTAGGCCGGGCATGGTGGCTCACTCCTGCAATCCCAGCACTTTGGGAGGCCGAGACAGGTGGATCACAAGGTCAGGAGATTAAGACCATCCTGGCTAACATGGTGAAACCCCGTCTCTACTAAAAACAATTCAAAGAAATTAGCCAAGTGGGGGTAGGGGGGTGGTGGCGGGCACCTGTAGTCCCAGCTATTCGGGAGGCTGAGGCAGGAGAATGGCGTGAACCTGGGAGGCAGAGCTTCTAGTGAGCCAAGATTGCACCACTGTACTCCAGCCTGGGGGAAAGAATGAGACCCCATCTCAAAAAAAACAACAAACAAACAAACCAAAACCCAAAAAACTAACAGCTCTAATTCATACTCATCAGCTACCAAGCAACCGCTAATCCTATCTTGACCCACACTTGCTCAGGAAATAGGAGGCAGGTGGGGTCCTGGCTGCTGAGGAGCCCCTCAGTCTTTACACAGACAGGCCCCTCTGACTCCTGGCCATCCGAAGACCCCTCTCCTCCCCTACCCTGTGGCTGCACTTTTTCCCACCACCTTGGCTCCACTGGGCATTGTTCAGAGACAGGTGCTGATGAAGAAGAGCACAGCAGCCTGAGTTTATTTTTATTTATTTTCTTTTATTTTTTTGAGACAGGGTGTAGTTCTGTTGCTCAGGCTAGAGTGCAGTGGCACAACTGCAGCTCACTACAACCTCAAACTCCTGGGCTCAAGCAATCTTCCAGCCTCAGCCTCCGGAGTATCTGGGACTACAGGCACACCCAGCTAATTTTCTTTTTCTTTTTTCTTTTTTTTTTTTAATTTACAGATGAAGTCTCGCCATGCTGCCCAAGCTGATCCCAGGCTCAGGCAATCCTCTCACCTCAGCCTCTCAAAGTCTGAGAATTACAGGTGTGAGCCACCACGCCTGGCTCAGCCTGGCTTTAAATCTTGGCTCTTCTACTTACTAGCTTTGTGGCTCTGGGCAAGTTACTAAACCTTTCTGTGACTGTTTCCTCCTCAGTAATGTAGAAGAAGGTAGTTCTAACTTAATGAGCTATGAGACCTGAGTGCACCTGTGGAAAGCAACCAGCCCTGGTGCCAAGTATACTGGAATTCTCTCATTGCCGTGTGGCTCCAGGCCGCTGGGGATGAGATGCTCCTTGCGCCAGCACTCACATTGCACAAACTCTGCAGCAGCACTCAGTCTACCAAGAGATAGTCCAGCATGATGACATCAGTTATTAACAGTGTATCATATGCTTGAAACTTGCTCTAAGAGTAGATCTCCAGTATTCATACCACACGCAAACAAAAAAAGGTAACTATGTAAGGTGATGGGTATGTCAATTAGCTTGATTTTAGTAGTCATTTCACAATGTATAGAGCAAAACATCATGTTGTATACCTTAAAAATAAATAGAAACATTTAATATGTCAAGAAAAAATTAATAAAATTGCTTCAAATATCCAAAAGAAAAGAAAAGAGCAGCATCTATAAAATTTCCCTAAAGGGCCTGGTAGTAAAGATTGTAGGCTTTGCAGGCCAAGCTGTCTCTGTAACCACTCTGTTTAAAAGCCTGCAGCAGGCTACACTTGGCCAACCCCTGATACAAATCTGTGTATTCTTAAATCTCCCAATAAGATATGGCTGTTTTCTTTTCATAAAGCCTATGTGTATATTATTAAGTTTAAGCTGAATTGTCACCAAGAATTTTTCTTTTTGCTTTTATTGTGTGTTGTTTGGGGGATGATACATTTAAAAAAATCTCTCTCTGTGCTCTTTTGCAGCAGTATGTAGCTGTAAGGTCAAAGAATTTTAGATACTTGTGTTGTAGTCTCTTATTGAATCTGTTTCTACCTGATTCTTTTGAATTATTGCCTGCATTCAAAAGCTCACAGTAAACTAAAAAATAAAACATTCATTCACGGAAAAAAAAAAAAAACAAGAAACAGTACAAAATGGTATATAATTTTTTAGATATCCAGGTATTTGGTTTACTGTATTATTAAACACCGGCCTATAAAGCAAAAACACTATTTTATTGGTGTAAGTAGGAAAGCTTAGATACAGAGAAACCCAAGAAAGTGGAATAGTTCTGGAGGGGGCGGGAACTTACTGAGAACAGGTGTTAAACATGCCTGAGAGGCTGCAGGCTGCCTGTGTTCTAAGGTTTTAATTTCGCTCATTGGTGGCACATTCCTGGTCATAGGTGTCCTCTCCTCAAGCAACACAAGCAACATAACCAGAACTACAGAAAGAACCAGAGGGAGCCAAGGTCCCACGGAGCATGGCAAGACGAATAAGGGGCCTAATGTCCCAGCACTGTCGGGCATGCAGCCTCCCAGTGAACCTTCTCTCCTGATCAGATAAGAAAACAGGAAAGTAGGGCAGGTGGCCTGGCAGCCTGGAGACATGAACAGGAAAGGTCAAAGGGAAGGCGGCAGAGAGATGAGCTCGAGAAGGAAGAGCACAAAGAGGCATCTCTGCGTGACACTTCATGTCAGCACCGCCATGACCCAAGCTCGGTGTCGCCTTCCACCTCTGCCACCCTCTCACTCCCCAGACTCCAGCAGACTGATCTCATTCCTGGGCCTTCACGGTGTGCCACCGTGGATGCCTTGGGTGCCTGCCGAGCCACAGGACAATCACCTCTCTCAGGAAATTTAACGCAGGTACAAAGTTATCTTCTATTATACAGCCCAGATGAAAATCTCATCAATTGTCCCAATAACATCCTTTATAATTTTTTTCTTTTCTTTTGTTGAGAAATAAAAATAAAACCCTAAATCTCCAATGGACCAAACAGACCCCCTCTAGGCCAAGGGGACCTCAGAGAAACCTTAAAAACTGAATTCCCGGCCATGAGGGGATGGGATGTCAGACATACCTCAGTGTGCCCCCTCCTCACTAACCTTTAATTTGTATTCTTTCCTAAGGAGTAAGCAGAAACCAACACTGGAAAACAAGAAATAAACGACTCATTCTTTTATGGCCATTAGTCAATCATCTGAGGCCAAGACCAGAGTCCCTCTTCCCTCTTTGCATTTTGATGTGACAGCTCACCAGCTTCACAAGGCATCCTTTCTTGAAAACTGGCCACCATCTCTGGACTGGTTTTGCCTGACATGTGGAGGATGCACAGTGAGGGTTTTGGTGACTCTACTTCAGCTTTTGCCATCAGAGGGCTTAAAATCCACCTTTGGATAATGCTAATAGCATCACTTTTTGAAGATGCAACCCATGAAGAGGCATGAAGCTCAACTGTGCATGCATACATTTTTCTTTCATGAATCTTCATGACTCCTCCTATAGCTTATTAAATATATATACTTAGCCAACCCATTCAGCACAGATTCCTGTCTTATGCTTCTCCCCTCAAAGTGCCTCTTTCCAGCTTCCATCAGAATTCCCAGCCTGTCAGAATGGCCACCCTGTAGGCTGCAACCCTTTAGAGAAACAAAGCTCTCCTTTTCAAATTCATAAACCAGACTGAATCTCTAGTTGACACCAAGATAACACAGGACCACCTGCTGCATTTAGCCATCATGCTTCGTAGGTCTCCTTTGTTGGGGAACAGTTTTCCAGCATTTTCCCCTGTTTCTCATGATATTGGATTTATGGATTTATCTAATTTCTCCTCTGATTACATTCAAAGTATGCATTCTGGGCAAGAATACCATATACAGGTGCTGGCATCCCCTCTGTGCACATCGTTTCAGGAAGTATGTGATGCCAATTTGTCTCAGTGTTGGTGGTGAGCATTTGGTAAGAAAGGTGTTTATCAAATTTTCTGATTAGAAGGATGTCTTTTCCCCTTGTAACTAATAAGTAATCTCTGCAATGGTTCACGCCAAACACTCTCACTCAGTGGTTGTAGGATTCACTGATGATCTTTGCCTGAAATAGTTATGACCGTGGTAGTGGTGAGAAGATACAACTAGAAGATGGCATAATTTTCTAGTTAGGCCACTTCTTTCACATTTTTGAGATGGCACTTTCCTGTAAAGAGGAGCCTCCCTTCTGTCCAGGCTCCTTTCCCAGCATCAGCTGTACTCGCTCAATGTGTCATAACCCATCTTTGCCATGGCCCACATTGATGATGCACAAATGGTCCAAACTTGCTCCCTTCAAGCTACCTTCTGGGCTCTTATCTCTACTTTTTGATGTGACTGTAACCATTTTCAAGTGATTTTAATGGATATTTTTGTTTCATCTCCATCCTAGTATAATAAAGAATGAAATAAAATTTGTTTTCCTTCAAAAACTCCTAAAATAAAAGAAATATATTATGACTAAAGGCATCTCTCAGTTGTGTCTTCCATTCCTAGTTTCAGTAGCCATCCACAGATAATGGGCTCTGTTCAGACTGATGTAAACCAAAAATAAAATTCTAAGACCTCTCAAGTGACTGAATGGACCCCCTCTCAGTCAAGGGCATTCCAAAGTAAAACTGAAACACTAGTTCAGGCCATGATGGAAAGGAGGGTCAGGCATGCCTCATTATACCCTCCTCCCTTTGGAATTCAGAAACAACTGACCAGCTTTAACATTAAAACAGAGGTCTTCGGACTGACAAAACAGATCTTTGTAGCAATAAGTTACCAAATTCCAACTTTACTATAGCATCCCAAGACAGATAACAGGTCCTGAAAGAAGCATTTTACCAAAATATATTTCTTTGATGAATTTTGAAATGACCCTGCAAAGCCAGCTCTTATGGGGGTAAATTTGCATTCTGTAGAGAATCTCCTTCCTGTTCCAGGTCTTCTCCTGATCCAGGAGAGAATTAACTAAAAGTTTAGCACTTTTTAAGGCCTGATAAGAGACATTTACCATCTGTTCTCTCTGAAGCCTGCTACCTGGAGGCTTCATCTGCATGATTAACTTTGGTCTCCACAACCCCTGATCTTTACCCAGACATTCCCTTCTATTGATTCCAGGTTTGTTTGTTTGTTTGTTTGTTTGTTTGAGACAGAGTTTTGCTCTTGTTGCCCAGGCTGAGTGCAATGGCATGATCTCGGTTCACTGCAACCTCTGCCTCCCTGGTTCAAGCGATTTTCCTGCCTCAGCCTCCCAGGTAGCTCTGATTACAGGCATGCACCTCCACACTCAGCTAATTTTGTATTCTTTTTTAGTAGAGATGAAGTTTCTCCATGTCGTTCAGGCTAGTCTCAAACTCCCGACCTCAGGTAATTTGCCTGCCTTGGCCTCCCAAAGTGCTGGGAGTACAGGAGTGAGTCACCACGTCCAGCTGATTCCAGGTCTTAAGGTAGCAACTTAACTCTTTCAACCAATTGACCATCAGAAAATCTTGGAATCCACCTATGACCTGGAAGCCCCCACTTCAAGTTGTCCCGCCTTTCTAAACCAAACCAACGTACACCTATATGTATTGAATGATGTGTGCCTGTAACTTCTATCCCCCTAAAATGTACAATATTAAACTATAAACCACCTTGGGCACATGTTCTCAAGACCGTCTGGGGCTGTATCACAGGCCTTGGTCACTCACATTTGGCTCAGAATAAACCCCTTTATTCTGAGTTTGACTCTGTTTGTTGACACTGAGGGCGGGGAGTGAAAGGGCAAGGAGCAAGCACCCCACCCACCTGCTCCTGGCTCTTCAGAACCTTCAGCACCCTAAAGCTGAACTTGTTATACTAAAGCTGGCCTTGTTATACTCCTTCATGGCGAACCAGAGTGCCTGCTGCACATAGACGTAGTTTTGAGGGATATCTTGGAATGTCCTCACCACCTTTGTTGAGCCCCAGGCTTGGAATCTTCTGGATGCAAGGGCCACAGTGGCCACTAACAGCAGCAGGGCCTGGCAGAGCCGGACCATGGCTCCTCAGCCAAGGGTCACAGGCCAAATACCATCTATCCTTTCAGGACTGGGGCAAGATGTGGCACACTGGCCCCTGCTGCCTCTGAAGATACACAGATACTGGCACCCCAGCTCCTCTTGGCACTGCTGATTAAAAGGAAGGAACTTCTGTTAACACAGCGGTGATATTGTAGTAGAATTAGAAATAGACATTTGGTCTTCACCCCAGGTTTCTAGCAGGAAGCACCTAAAACCCTTACAATTGCCTGAGTGGTTGAGATGTCACAGCAGCATCTTGGTTATTTCTAACATGCCCTTTTTAACGACAGCTGAATGTATGCTAATGAGGTGAATCCTGGTGGGATCCCAGATAGCCTCAGGATAGAGGCTGGTTGCAGTGTGATTAGAAGATTGGAACTTTCAGCCCCACCCTCCACCTCCAGGGAGGAAAGAGGGGCCAAAGATTGAGTTAATCAATGACCAGTTAATCAACCATGCCTGTGAAATGGAGCCTCCATTGAAACCTCAGAAGGATAGGGTTGAGAGAGTTCCATAGGCACTTCCTGTGTCTTATGTAATCATTGCCGTCCCCCATGGGGCTGTTTTGTGAGTAACTCCTTTATACAGGAGGAAAATGAGACTCATGGAGAGGTCAAGAGAGCACTTAAGCATACTTGATGGAAGCATCCACTTTTTAACTCAGGGTCTGCCCTTCCCCCTACCTTGTAACCTATCTCAATCTAAGAGATACACATATGTAGGTAACCGCTTGGAATGTACACTTGCTTTTGAGGATATCCAATTCTACTATAGAATATAAATGAGCATGTAGTTTGTAAGACAGGCAAACCAGTTAAGATGTGTATAGAGAGTGGGCAAATAGAGATGTAGGCAGAAATCATAAGTTGTGTTAATGAAAGATATGTGGAGGTAGCGTATATCTAAGTTGAACACAGAACGTGTTGGCAAAACAAAGAGACACCTGATATCCATCAGGCACTAAATATACACGAGATACACACAGCCAGAAGATTCATGAGGTCTTAATCTGGCCACCCTCTGGTGACATCATTCTGGCACCCTACATGCTCTCCCCTAGAAATGCAAATCAAGTCCTCAGCTGTGCAGGAGGCTCATCAGCTGGCTGGCGCAGCCCTGCCTGCATCTGTCCGTAAACCAGTGTGTGTGACTGACAAGCACCTTCCATCTCTAGGACTCTTGCCCAAACGTCCACCATGGTCCCCCAACCCTACCATTAGTGGGGAGCTGATGCGGCTGAGAGAGATGGGGGGTGTGAACATGGAGGACCTAGCACCAGGCAGATGGTCTCCTCACTGTCACCCCATTTCTCTGTGTTTTAAGCACATTGACCTGTTCCACCCTCTTCTCGCTCCTTATTTTACACTGACCTGACACTGGTGGGCTTCCAGCAGCTCACTCTGAGAAGGAAGCCTTTCTGCTCTATGGTCTCTGGATCACCTTCCAGGGTGGGTTTGGAGGCCACTCTTGCTAGCACACCACAGCTACACCATGGGCCCACCTCAGATCCAAGTTCTTCGCCACGTTCCTGGCTGCTGGCCCTCGAGCCGACTGTCCCGGCCCACGGGTGGTATTGCCCTTCTTTGTGAGGACTTGAGCTGACTGCCGGCTGCCCCTTGGCTGTTCTCTGTCCCCAACAAACTCACTTCATCCTCCTGTGCCTGGTCAGTGTCTGCTGGGGTCTGCACTCCAGGGCACTTCTGCCCTCTGGCTTCACTCCCCAGCCAGGTAGTCACACTCATGGCCCCTTTGTGAGGTCAGCCCAGGCCCTCTGATGCTGCTCAAGTGAAGGGCGCTTCTGACACTGGCCCTCAGAAGGCCATGGGCTCACCAAGGGCTGCCAGTTCGCAGAAGTCCCTCACCTTTGTTCCACACCTGCTGACTTTCTAAACTGCTGTCCTCTGGACTGTGCTAGGTACACATGACAGCACCTTGGCAGCCATGTCTTTCAGAGCCCCGTTATGCAATGCCATGGCCCTAGAAGCAGAAGGAACCATCAAAGAACCAGGCTAAAGGACTTTGGGACCAACAGGCATTCAGGAATGCACCTGGCCAGGAGCTAAGGGGCCACCAGCTGACAAGAGTTGCCACCAGACACGCCAGGTAGAAGATGTCAGCTGGCAATGGCCATGCCAGCCTAAGCTACCTCTGTGGAGTGAACAATGTAGCCCAGAAGAGCCAGCACAGATCCCTCCCACCTATCAGCCCTGTCTTCCCCCATCTTGATGCATGTCCCAGGTAAGCATTCCTGATTCTGCTCACTTGGGACACAGTTCTCTACCCTGTTTGTGATCTCAGGACCTGACACCTGTCTGCTCAAGCCAGGTTCCATGGAGGAGCAGAACTTCATCCTGCTCTGCATTTAGGGCCTGCCTCGGAGACAGTAGGGGAGCTCCCAAGAACTCACAAGTTTGGAAATTAATATTTCTCTTTGCAAGATAAAATACAGATCAGCCCAAAGTACATCAGACCTGAGGTCCAATTCCAAACAGAAAGTCGGCCCTGATAATCCCTGGGTTAAAGGCCCAAGTGTTTGAAACTGAATTGCACGCTCGACTAGGGAGCCCTTTCTAAGCTGGTACAACACACAGAGGCCAACAGTAAAGAATAATAAATCTGGCTATACATTTTGTATAGTGTGCACATGTGCACAAACACACACACCGGACACACACACCACAAAGACCAAAGAGGAAAGGGAACACACAATAAGTCATTTAGAACATATTTGGTAAAGGGCTAAATTCCCTTTTATGGAAACAGCTCTTTAAAAGCCAACAGAAAAAGACAATTTCCTCAATCGTCCTGGCTCAAAATGAGCCAAGAATTCAAGCAGACAATCTACTCAAAAGGAATCCATTTCCTCTCTTGGCCACACATCAGTTGTCTGAAAACAGTTGGCCTGTGGCGATGCCTCACTCCAACTGCCACACTGATCCACACATCTTGTGTCCAAAGCAGAACACAAGTGTCCATGGGAGGTTGCACAACACAGAGCCAAGAGATGCCTGTGTCCTCCACTGAGCATTCCACAGGGGAAGGGGCCTGGTAAAAGGAAAAGGATGGAGGCAGTGTTTGTTGAGCGCTGTGGTGGGTGTGAACCCACAAGCCCGCAGGGGAACCAGAACTCTCATGGGCTCCTTCAGGGCTGGGGTGGGGCCTCTTAGAGGTCCCAGGGCCTGTGCACGGGCCCCCATGGCATAGGGACAGGAGGCAGCCCTCCTCTCCTCTTGGCATAGTTCCTCCCCCCGTCAATGTTCACATCACCAAACACATTCTGTCTAAGGTGGGGTCATCAGGACCACAGGCACTGGTTGCTCTGGGAACTACTGCCTCATAGCATTTTATTTTGCTCATGACTCAAGATAATCAGGATTTTAGGAAAGACCCAGCTAGGAAGGTCCCAGGAGGTGCAGGCCGGGAGTGGCTGGGACCACCATCATCTACACCATGACTGGGCTCCCTGATAATGAGGAGGGGGTTTTATAATGGATTTATTCAGAGGTAATTCACACACTGTAGGATTCACCCATTTAAGCATACAAGTCAATGACTTTAGTATATTCATAGAATTTTATATCCAAACCACAATCAATTTTACAACATTTTTGTTACCCTAAAAAGAAACCTCAAACTTTTTAGCCTTTATATGCCAATTTCTCCATCCCCTTTCAGCCCTAGGGAGGAGCCACTAACGTGCTTTCTCCACAGATGTCCCTCTTCTGGGCATTGCACGTAAACGGAATCGCTGTGTGTGATCTCCTGTGTCTGGTTCCTCTCACTTAGCATGTTCCCAAGGTTCCTCCTGTCTGTAGCCTGTATCACTACTTCATTTATTTTTATTACAAATAATAACCTGTTGTATGCATATACCATATTTTATTTATCCACTCATTAATTAATGAGAAGTAGGGTTATTTTGGCTACTGTTTTGGCTTTTTGGCTGTTTTTAATAAATACTGTTACGATCATTCCTGTTCAGACTTTCATGTGGACATATGTTTTTCTATCTCTTGGGCATATACCTAAAAGTAGAATTATTGTGTCATATAATAACTGTATGTTCAACTTTTCGAGAAACTGCCAGATGGTTTTCCAAAAATAGTTGCACCATTTTGCATTCCCATCAGCAGTGTTTGAGGGTTCCAGTTTCTCTACATGCTTGCCAACACTTGTTACCTGTATTTTTTATTATAGTCATGCTAGTGGGTGTGGAGTAAGACAAGTAGTGAGAAATGTGACACTGGAAATTTTAATTTTCATAATATCTAAGGACTCTTACTTATACAAATTTTTTTTTTTGAGACGGAGTTTTGCTCTTGTTGCCTAGGCTGGAGTGCAATGGCATGTCTCCCAGGTTCAAGCGATTCTCCTGCCTCAGCCTCCTGAGTAGCTGGGATTACAGGCATGTGCCACCATGCCTGGCTAATTTTGTATTTTTAGTAGAGACTGGGTTTTTCCGTGTTCATCAGGCTGGTCTCGAACTCCTGACTTCAGTTGATCTGCCTGCCTCGGCCTCCCAAAGTGCTGGGATTACAGGCATGAGCCACCAGGCCCGGCAAGAAAATTTTTTAAAAAGACAAACAATCCAGTAGAAAATCTGGGGAAAAGTCATGAACACAAATCACAGTAAAATAAATATAAATGTCTCTGCTACACATGTGAAAATATGGTTAAGCTCTTCAAAAATAAAAATTTAACCCAACAAGGAAATGTCACTATTTTCTTACACATTGGAAAAAAGTTAAACACAACAACGATGCTGGATTGATATGTGGCCTTCATGCCACGCTGGCAGAGTGGGAATTCAATAGTCCTTGTTAGTAGCAATTTAGCAATCTGTTAAACATTTAAAAATTACATATTCATCAACACAATGTTCCGCATATAGGATTTTTATCCCACAGAAATATTTGCCTACGTGCTCAAAGCTGGCTGAAAAATTATTCACTGCAACATAGTTTCTAAAAGAAAAGAAAATGAGAGAAACAGCCCAAATATGTATCAATAATAGATTTATCTATTTATTTATTTATTTATTTATTTATTTTTGTAGCGATGAAGTCTTGCTATGTTGCCCAGGCTGGTCTCAAACACCTGGCCTCGGGCTATCCTTCAGCCTCAGCCTCCCAAAGTGCTGGGATTACAGGCATGAACTACCACACCCAGCCCAATAGTAAATTTTAAATAAAATGTTTAGTATTTGTGAAATCAGATTTAAAACATCAACCAAAATATGTGCATGCACTGAAAGAGATCTGTCGTATATAAACTGCTGTAAGCTAGTTGTAAAACACTAAGCAGAGAAGAATTTGCATTTGTTAAGAATGCAAACAGTGATTTCTTAAGGTCAAAGAAAGGAGATCTGGGTATTTCCAACCATTTGCAGCTTTGTGCCTGAGGCATGGTGTTATGCAGGAATTTCACTTTCTAAATGAATTATTCCTGTAGTGCTCACTCTGTTCAAAAATAAAGTTATTTTTAAAAAGGTCAAATTCCCATAGTAAAAGGCAAATGCAGAGAGGCCTGAAGATGATGAAAAGCACGTGCCCATCCCACTCCTTACCTCCCAATTCCACTTCCCAGGGCTCCTAAAGGATGTGGAGTCCTGAATATAGAAGATGAGACGTTAATTCACACAGCAGCTTATTATTCTTTCCTCTGCCTCTCACTGTTTTGACTAATTGATCAACAGATAGATAGATATTCTACTAGTTGCTTTTATAAGATTGAAAACTATCATCACACTCTCACAGTTCATCATCTCCCAGGATTTCCTGGCACTTCTCTCTGTAGGATGAGGATGTCAGCACAGCCCTGCTGTCACCCTCACCACCCCTATGCCTGTGTGACACCTTCTGTTGTCAAAATCCTCATTTGTTTTTTTTCTCAAGACTGTACTTTGCCCAACATTTGACCTAAAATATTGAAAACCAAGAAAACAGTTGTTTAAATGCACAGGCATGGCATGGTAAGATGTCTATTTTTTTCAGTATGATTCTCAGTGGCCATTGGAATATTGCAGCTGCAAGCAAAGGTGACTTCAGCTGGGGGATTTGTCACACGCGTCCGTGTGAAGAGACCACCAAACAGGCTTTATGTGAGCAATAAAGCTTTTTAATCACCTGGGTGCAGGCGGGCTGAGTCTGAAAAGAGTCGGCAAAGGGTGGTGGGATTATCATTAGTTCTCATAGGTTTGGGATAGGCAGTGGAGTTAGGAGCAATTTTTTGTGGACAGGGGGTGGATCTTACAAAATACATTCTCAAGGGTGGGGAGAATATTACAAAGTACCTTCTTAAGGTGGGGGGAGGATATTACAAAGTACCTTCTCAAGGGTGGGGAAGATGTATCGTACAAAGTACATTCACAAGGGTGGCGGAATATTGCAAAGTACATTATCGCAAGGGCAGGGAGAGTGTGTTGTCACAAAGTCAATTGATCAGTTAGGGTGGGGCAGGAACAAATCACAATGGTAGAATGTCATCAGTTAAGGCAGGAACTGGCTATTTTCACTTCTTTTGTGGATCTTCAGTTGCTTCAGGCCATCTGAA
The DNA here is from genome assembly GCF_000001405.40 of Homo sapiens. NCBI lineage: Eukaryota > Metazoa > Chordata > Mammalia > Primates > Hominidae > Homo > Homo sapiens. The sequence goes on along the minus strand of NC_000020.11, from coordinate 23,514,302 downwards.
TGTATACGAGCAGGTCACAGGGGATATGATGGCTTAGCTTGGGCTCAGAGGCCTCACAGTATTAACAGGCAAAAGGGAAAATGAGCCATGCCTGGAGCTATGGAGCTGATTGAGTTAACACGGCCTGGAGAAGGAGGAGTCATTTATTGTCATTTCTTGTCTTACCCCCAGACAATAAATGGCTTCAGCAGCAGGTAGTGGTGGGATGTGCTGAAACAGGGAGTGGAGGAGAAGCAGATTTGGGCAGGAAATGTGAAGGGTTGAATTTTGGCTAAATGGAGTGTCAAGTACCTGCAAGTTGCACTTGTATCAGGTGGCCCATACCCTACCTCTGGTTGCCAGCCAGTCTCCAGCCCACTACCCCAGTTCGCATTCCATTGGCACTTGGGAATACCAGAAATATTCTTACTTGCTCCTTGACCTGTTGTTGCCGCCTTCCAACCCCCATTATATAAAGAGTTCCTTTTTTACCTGTAATGCTGAATAATGTTCCATAACTGATTTCACCTAGTCCCTATTCTGAGCATATGTGTTATTTACATCATTTGCTATTATTATCAACAGCAAAATTCTTATTCTGTGTATCCCTCCTTGTACATACCCAATATCTTGCTTGGGAGAAATTCCAGAAAATCAAATAGTCAACAAGCATCCAAATGCAACAAGCTACCCCAGTCCTGTAAAAGAATTGTTCATTTGTGTATGTGTGTGTGTGTGGTGGAGGGGGGGAGGGCGGGGGTGGAGAGAGAGAGAAAGAGAGAGAAAGAAAGAGAGAAAAAAGAGAGAGAAAGAAGGAGGGAGAGAATACATGAGCAGTATATGCAGTTCATTAGATTCCTAAAATGAGGAACCAAAAAAAAACATCAGTACATAGAGATAATGATTGACATATACAGTCATGCTTTGCTTAACAACAGGGCTATATCTGAGAAATGTGTCACTAGGTGATTTTGTCATTGTCTGAACATCATAGAGTGACTTACACAAACCTAGATGATAGAGCCTAATCCACACCTAGGCTGCATGGTATGGTCTACTGCTCCTAGGCTGCCTACCTGTACAGCTTGTAACTGCTGGATGCTGCAGACAATTGTAACACAATGGTAAGTGTTTCTACATCTAAACATTTCTGAACACAGAAAAGGTACAATGGAAACATGGCACTATATCTTTGGCCCACCGTTGTATATGTGGGCTGTTGCTGATGGAAGCGTCCCTGTGTATCACAGGACTGTAGCTCATTCCCACAACAAGCCCAGTGGAGAGAGGTGAGAGGGATGCAGAAAAGGAAATGAGGGAAGAGAAAGAGAAACAAGAAGAAAAGTATAAGCCAAATGGGGGACAAAGTAGTAACAAAAGGTTGCCTTTGAGCCAGGCAAGGGGTCAGGTGAAGCCAGCAAGCTGGCCTGGGAGGACAGAGGAGGAAGGAAGGAAGGCCTCCTACACCAGAGGCACCCCCCAACCTCCCACGCCCTGGGCCTCTGAGGCTCTGGGTGTTCCTCCTCCCTGGGCTGTGCTCTTCCTCCGCCTTCCTCCTCCTCCCCTGCCCAGGTGGATTTCTTCAGTGCACAGTCAATTCCCAATTATGGGCGGGAGCCTCCTGGGAAATCCATCCTTGTTCCTCAACCCCCCTGGGTGCACATATGGACTCCACAGGCATCCCCCTGATGAGGGTGTTGCCTGTGTGCCCCGCCTCTTCCAGCCCTTCCTGATTGGCATCTGCCAGCTCTTGCTTACTGGGAGAGGTGCATGCAAAGATGCCTGCTGTCACTGGGGCTGCCTCCCTGTCACCTGGTGATGATTCTGTCCACTTTTGCTCTGTTTTAAGGCATCTATATAGTTTGGGATGCATTTGGGTTCAGGATTATTACATCTTCCACATGAATCATTCTTTATGACATTAAATGGTGGCTTTATTTAGTACGTCGAGAAATATTTTCTGAGGCCTACCGTGGGGTCAGGCTGTTCTAAACATAGTGGTCAGTGCCAGGTTCCACCGAGCATAAAAGGTAGGGGCGCCACCTGCTCCTGGGGGTCCACTGACCAGGCAGCATTTTCACCTGAGTCTTAAGTCCTCCAGGTAAGCAACTATATGCAAAGAGATGTTTTACCTCCTCTTTTCTAATGTTTATATCAGTTCTTTCATTTTGGGGCCTTAATGCATTTTCTAAAACATTTCAGAACAGCATTTTATTTTAGTTCCTGAGACCTAGTTTCATCAATTTACTTACACATAATCTTTTATGGTCATTTCATTTTACAGATATCGTTTGTAAACATTATATTACTGGTCCTTGGTTTCTTAGTAGGTCTTTTGGTAGGGAAATTTAGTAGGGAAATTTAATCCAGTCACATTTTTGTGGTCACTAATATTTTCTTTTAATCCATTCACAACTTATTTATTTTATTTTCTTGTAATCATGATTCCCATCATTTTTTCCCTTTATTCATGTTTGGAGAATCGATTTTCTCTTCCTCTTCTAGTAAATTGGAAGTTCTCCATTCTGGTTCTTTTCTATTAGTTTAACTCTTATGTATTAAGATATATTACTCTTAAGGATCTTGAAATGGGGAGATTATCTGGGATTATCTAGATGGGACCAATACAAACACAAAAGTTCTTGTACAGGAAAGAGGGAGGTCACAGGGTTATAGAAAATGAGACAGAAGGAAGAGAAGAGAGGGAGGCTGAGATGCGAGGATGCTGCATTGCTGGCTCTGAGGATGGAAGAAGGCAGTCCTGCCTTGGGTCTTGGGCTGGAGAGAGCAGGCTTCTGTTGGAACCAGGAACAGCAGGACTGTTTACAGAATGACAGCCACCATCATCACCAGCTTTACCAGCTCACATCAATTTTGACCTAGTAGGCAGGGCTTGGGAGAAGGAACAAAACACATAGTGGGTGGTGGGTGTGAGGGAAGCTTCACAACCTGTATCACAAGTTGAACATAGGGAAGCGAATCCCACTGAAACTGGTGCATGTCAGAAGCGTGGCGGGCTCATGCTATGAGCGAGGGCCTGGGCTCCCTCCCTCCCCAGGTTGCATACATCAGCAGAGCCTCTACTTCTGCATGTGAACAGTTGTATCTCTCTCACTTTTATACACGCTGTGGAAAAGCAGATCAAGACAAGACCTCCAGCTTCTCCCGGGATTGCTGTGGGAGAGCCCCTTCTCTGCACAACTTTTGGAGCCACCTTGGGCTGGAGGGCCCAGATGAAGCTACTGAAATAAGTCATTTAGTGATGGAATGATTGATTGATTGATTGATTGATTGATTTCTCTGTCTGTCTCCAGGCCTCAGTCCCTTCCCTCTGACCTCCCTGAGATTTCTCCAGAAACCACCTAAAGCCCTTCTCCATCTGTAGGATTAGGGGTCTCCTGAGAGGCAGGTCTCCCAAGAGGCTGCCAAGTCCATACCTGGAGAGCTCTGTCACATTTGGATTAGTTCCCTTTCAAAGCAAATGAGCCTGGGAGAGAAAACAGTTCCACCACCCCTTCTTTCGTAGACCCATCATTTACTGGCCACTTCCCAAGCCAGATGTTAAGCTGGGGACAACACCCAGTGCAGCCAGGCTCACTGTGAGCATGGGCACTGGCCTATGGTCAGCACCCCTGGGCTGCAGCTCGCGTTTGGGAAAGTCGTCTAACCTCTCTGGCACTCAGCTATCTCTACAGAACAGATAGGATGGTCTGATTCAGTGATTCTCCTCACAACAGGGCCCTCAAGTCTTGCTTCAGGGATTGCTGAATTAGGGAAGACCCTGTAGAAACTTCTCCCTTCGTCACATCTCCCTTTGTCAGAGAGAAGCATGGGGGGACTTTGAGCAATTCTGGGACTGCAGCCTGGCACTGAGTTTTGTCTTATAGTTGAAGTTTGCTGTAACATTTAGCAATTAAAGCTGGTCCCACCGCAGGGTCACGTTCCTCCTTTGCAGCGAGCAGTCTCCATGTCCTATGCTTTTCCTACTTGCAAGGTGAGGCTGAATGAGCTTCAGCAGGCACAGGACACACTTCCCATGTGCACCTATTCCTGCAAGGGCCCAGGTGTGAGCCCTGAGGCTCCTGGAGGAAGGGCAGGCAGGGTTCTGGAAGCAGAGCATGCCAGTCACCTGCACATGCGCACCCGCTGGGGCGAGCCTGCTGTGTGAAAGTCCCGGAGGCCCGTCACTGCAGTGTCTCTGGTGGCGAGATCACTGGGACAGGGGAGGAGGGCCCTGGGGAGGAAAGGGAGAAGCATCTTCACCCTCCCGTGGTTGTCTTTCTCAGAGAGGTCCCCGGACTCACATCTCCACATCCATGGAAGCCTGGGAGCCACAGATGCTCCCCGTGTTTAGGCAAAACCTAGGGGCCCCCGAACTCAAGCCCTCCCTATACTGCAATCTGAGAACTCTCTGTTCTTTGGAAAAGAGAATTGCAGTCTTTCTTTGTCCCTGGACTACTTTGAAGTTGCAACAATCAAACTCTGTGTCAGCTCAGGAACTAAACGGACCTGAGAAGTAACATTTCTCAACTCTGGTGAAAGGAAGTCTGCAGCCAGCCCGTGGGAGGAGGCAGCGGAGGCAAGGATGGGTACCTTGCTGCTCTTCCATCTGTCCCAGGCCCCTGGCTTGACCCCATCAGTGACTCACAAAAGTGTCCAAATACATCCATGGCCTAGACGGAGAAAGGCCACTGCCCTCCCATTCCAAGTCCACTGAAGCTGCTCTGCCTGCCCACGCTGCCCACTCCTGGGAGGCCAGCAGCCCTGTCTGAAGTGGGAGGCAGGCTTTCCTCCCAAGCTGCAGGTGAGCCACTGAGGGCTGAGCTGCATGGCGAAGTCTTAAAGCCAGAATATGGCAGAGCTGAAACTGGAGCTGCCTTCCGAGCTGGCCTGTGGCTGCACCTCTGCCCTCTTCCGGGTCAGCGACCTGGAACTCAGATGCAGGGTCTGTGAGGTTACTGCAGAGCCAGCCTCTGCTCTGACCTCACTTCCCACTGGCCAGTCTGCTCCCATGGCCCAGCCAAGATGTTGAAACTCGCTTCCTTGTGCTAAAACATGGCTAAGAAAGAAAGCTGTTAGCTAGGATTGACCACAAGGTAGCCAGACACTGCCTGCCTGAAAAGATGGATAGAATACTGAGGGGAGAGTGTTTCCCTGCACTCTTCAGCCTCTTTGCCTCCCACTACCCAAGCCTGGCCCCACAGCTGTGGGCAGTTACTCAGACCACATGGCTCCTTTGATCATGACCCATTGCCCTGTTCATTCCCTCTGTCCTCTTTTCCGCATGGCTTCCTTAGGCCCTGGTCTTCCCACAGCTTGGGCTGAGCCTGCCAGGATGCAGCCAGGGAGGTGGGAGGCTGCCAGTCACTGGGAAGCAGCCCTGGCTCAGGAGGGACAATGGTGTGTGCGTGCATGTGTGTGTGTGAGAGAGAGAGGAGTTTCTGAAAACGGGGTACTGACCCCAGGATGGGGATGCTTCCTGTGTGATTGGGGTCAGGGTGTAGGAGCAGAGGAGGGCAGAAGGCCTTGTGTGGAGAGCATCTAACAGCTCTGGGCAGGGTGGGAGCACAAAGGCACTGTCAGCCATCACCACCACCAGCAGTGCTGCCAGGTCCGCACAGGAGGCTGTCCAGACGCTGAAGTCACCTCTCCCCTACTGGAGGCCTGACACCAGTCCCTCCATGGGAGAGAGCAGATGCTTAGGTGGGCCTGAAGAGCGGCTCCCGTTCACCCTGTGGGAGGTTGATGGCATTGAGTTGACCCAGCCCCAGTACATCCAGCTGAAGCTTGTGAACTCGGCACAAGTTTATTTTTGTTACTTCTCTTTGGTCTATGAAGAAAAAAACAGCTAATTTTGAGGGTGAGAAAAATGCACCAAGTAATGACAGAGATAGTGTGAGTTTTGCTTTAAATCTATTTTATGGCCCTTTGATTATGACAAAAAAAAAAGAATTATCTGGCTGTGGTTTTGTGACAATAATTATACAGTGGGCACTGACTGAGCTAGAGGATGCTGGAGGCGGATGAGGTCGTTTTGACCCTTCCCCCCTTAGTTTCCCATCTCATCCCCAGTCCTGCCAGGAAATTGGAGACAAATTCCACAGGGTATCTGAGGAGAGGGAACAGAGGGATATTTGCAAAGGAAAACCAACAACGGAGGGTAAAGGACCCACAGTCAGTGAAAGGGGCACGTGCACCATCCCTAGACCCCACGGGTGAAGGATGCAGTGGTGGCCAAGCCCAGTGTGTTAGTTTCCCACGGCTGCTGAACAAATACCACCGCCTTGGCAGCTGACAGCACAAGTTTGTGATCCTACAGCTCTGAAAGTCAGAGTCAGGACGGGCTCACTGGGCTCTGGACAGTGTGGGGGTGGGGGGGGGGGGTGCTGCATTCTTCCAGACGCTCTAGGAAAGAACCCATTTCCTTGCCTTTCCTGGCTCCTAGAGGCTGCCCACAGTCCTTGCCTCATGGCCTTCTGTCTTTCAAGCCTGCAGTGAGTGGAGTTCTTCTCATATTGAATCACTTCAGCTCTGACTCCCCTACCATTCTACCATCTTTTAAGGAATTTGGGCTTATCTGGATAATCCAGATAATCTTCCTATTTTAAGGTCAGCCTATTAGCACCCTTAACTCCCTCTGCAACCTGAACTTCCCCTTACCAGCTTGCATAATATATCCACAGATTTCAGGGCTCAGGATGTACACATCTCTGGAAGCATTGCTCTGCCTGCCACACGCACTAGGGGTTGCTGTAGGTGGCGGGGAGGGACTGCCCAGCAGGAGCGCTGGCCCCTGGCGGAAGAATGCAGCTGCTGTTAAGTGGGTTCCAGCAACCAGTAAGAAATATCCCAACACTGGCTCCAGCTGCGCTCATATTTCCGCATGCTCCCATTCCCCAAAATTAGCCAAATGCAGCCATCAGTGGAAGGGCTAGGGAGCCTGTTAATGGAGTCCAACAATGGCAGACTCCCAGGACCCAGAGCTGCCTGTCAGTGAGAACAATGAAGCCTAACACCAGAGTGGAAATGAATATAGAATTTATTATAGATATGTATTAAATATATATATATACTCTAAATATATATTTACACACATATACACGTATGCCTACATATGATTCTGGAGTTCAGAAGGATGTAGCACAAATATGAAACATCTACTAAAAATGAAATTTTTAATTCACCTAAAGATACAAAAGTAGAAAGACCAATTGGGAGTTTATTACAGGTGGGAGTGAAATGTATTCAAAGGAAAGAATAAACTCCCTCAACAGAGTAAGTAAAAATACTGGGACATGTGTGAACAAGGCATGTGCATGCAGTTACCCAAGCTCCAAGAACTGCCAACCTAATGTTTATGGTGTTCAAGGTTTAGACCATAGATGAAAGCTCCAAGAGCCAGGGCACCCCAAACCTTAACGAGTCACATCGGGGCAGGGGGAGGAGAACTTCTCTTCGCCAATGAGACAGTTCCCCTAAATCCTCAATGAAACAAGTTCTTCTTGGAGCTGATGTGGCTGAGAACTCTTGGGACCCTGTGTTGATGGCACTAAAAGAGAAAGGAAAGAAAAGCCAGAGGTAAGACTCAGGAGTTATGAAGGGACCATTTCCCTGGCTATATATGATAGGTAGTCAGAACTTTAGCATGTAGGATTTGTAAATTATCTTTTATTTTTTTATTTTTTGCTACACTATTATGTGTTGTCTTACAGAAAAAAAAAATCTGTGTGATACCAAGATGCTGTTTTAGTGCAGAATATCAGGGATTTCTGAAGAATATGCATAGACAAAAGGAGGAGGTGTCTTGAAATTCAGAACATGGGGTATAGAAAGTTCTAAAATCCTATAACCATGGAATCCTCATAAGCTTCAGGAATGGGGAATGGGACTTCTTCAAACCATGCTTTTCTATAAAACTGGTAGGTCCCAAAAGAAAGCGAAGCTGTGGACCTCGGTCACTGTCCACACACCTACAGGCAAGCCTGCACCTGAAGGAGGAGTCTAGGACCCCCACAGCACCCACCCTCACCATGTCTGTGTTGGTGTCCTCGCATAGGCATGCTGTGTTTCCCGGTGTGTCCGTCTTGTTTCCCAGTGAGCCCTAAGCCCCTTGATTTGCCATCAAAGGACTTAATGAGTATTTCACTTAAATTATTCCAGCAAGTAAGAAAAGTGGCAAAATGTTATAATGTAGTCAGATTCACAACATTCTCCAGTACAAACTACCAGCAACTGGGGAAAATTTCTACTTACAGCAACAACTAAAAACCATTTGGAAGCTATTTAGGAGCAAAATGGTATACAGGATCTTTGTAAAAAAAAAAAAAACTAGGAGATTTAAATACTTTAATGTATTAAATATTCTTAACATATCAATTGTCCTGCATGTTAATGTACAGAATTAGGTGGTTTACCATTGACATTCAGCAGAAATTTTTAAGACTTGAGGGCAGTTCTTCTCAAGCTTTAATGTGCACACAAACCACCTGGGATCTCATTAAAATGCAGATTTCGAGTCAGTGCGTCCAGGATGGGCACGAGATTCAGCATTGCTAGCAAGCTCCCAGTGCCACTGATGCTGCTGATCCATGGCCCACATCTGTGCAGCAAGTCTAATGGAGGACATCTCATTTTCCACTGGATCCACCTCAGTAAGGGCGTTCCTCAGGGAATGAGCCAGAATCGGGGCAAATCAGACCATGTGTGGCCCCATGCTCAACCCCACTCTTTCTCATTCTTCAATAGTGGGTTGGGTTTGCAAGATAAAAGCAGCCCTTGGCTGGGGTGTGATTTTTTTTTTTCCTCTCCTACTTTCTAAAATTAGCAGTTGTTCCATATATCTTTGTCCATTTAGAAGACTCAGTCAAGAATGCTTCTTGTGGCTGGGCGCGGTGGCTCACGCCTGTAACCCCAGCACTTTGGGAGGCCGAGGTGGGCAGATCATGAGGTCAGGAGATCCAGACCATCCTGGCTGACACAGTGAAACCCCGTCTTTACTAAAAATACAAAAAGTTAGCCGGCCATGGTGGCGGGCACCCGTAGTCCCAGCTACTCGGGAGGCTGAGGCAGGAAAATCGCTTAAACCTGGGAGGCGGAGGTTGCAGTGAGCTGAGATTGCACCACTGCACTCCAGCCTGGGTGACAAAGCAAGACTCCATCTCAAAAAAAAAAAAAAAAAAAAAAAGAATGCTTCTTGCCTGTGGGATCTACCAGAGCTATTTATCTAGGGGTGCGTTACGGTCATCTTAGACATGGAGATTGCCTGTAACAATTGCAAAAGAGCTTCAAATTCAAAATTCAAGGAACCCCAATCAAGAAAAGGTAGTCACAGGGCAATTCTCAAAGTAGCCATGTGTGGTCTGAGCACGGGGAAGTCCTCCAGCTCCAGAATACCTCCTGATTGCAGGTTCCATTTGCCCTCCTATGAGCAGCCATGGTGAGCACCCCAAACTCCTGACCTCCCCAGCTTTGGGGAAACTAGTACTTGTGACATATTTAATGTTAAATCTTCCTGTCAGGAATATTATCTGTCTCTCCATTTTGCCAGATCTTTTGTTCCATCAATAAAAGTTCAGTTTTCCCTCCTTGAAGTCATTGTAAAGCTTGTCATTGGGTGTGTTCTATGCTTGTTGTTGTTGTAGTATTATAAATGTTATTTTTATCATATATTTTCTATATATGCATTAAATAGTAAAGAATTTCAATTTTACATTTTCAAGGTAAACATTTATATCTATAAATAAAGTTACTTTAGCCTGTTACTTTCCAAATTCTCCAGAATTTCTCTGGTCCTCTTTGGCGACCTAAAGAAAGAGACTGAGGCAAAATTAATATAGAGAGTTTATTTGGGCCAAGGTGAAGGACAGCAGCCCAGGACACACTTCCACATTGCCTTGGGGAGGAGTGCTCCTGTTCAGCTTTTGCTACAAGCAGGCTTTTAAAGGCAAAAGGGGACAAGGAGTGGGCGGATACAAAGGTGTTTGCCAGGAGTTCTCATTGGTTCACAGAAAGAACTCTGGGTGGTGATTGGCTCTACACTGTTGAACTATATAGGGTATGGATAATGGTGTCCGGCACATGGCACCCTGTAGCTACTTGGCATCCATTAGTCTAGAGTTCACATAGCCGGTGGCTTCAGGAGGTCATTATTTAGTTCAAGGCAGGAGGGACACATTGCTGCTGTGTCTGCTGTCACATTTCAATGCCCCTCTGGGCTTGATAATTAAAGGGGACTCACATTCCTCAGATTAAAAGTTTCTTTTTTTCCTCACCTTTACAGCAAAATCTTTCAAAAGAAGTGTCTGTCCTCATGGTCTCCAATTCCCCTCTTCCTGCACTCTCTGGAACCTACTCCAGTCTGTTCCATGCTCTCACCAGGGTGAGCAATGACGTGGGAAGGTTGAACCCGTGGTCGGCTCTGAGCGTGCATCCTCCTTGACCCGCCCGCCATGACTGGCACAGGTGGGCACTCCCTCCCTTCGAGGACAGCACGTCTCTGTGGCCTCAGGGCTCTTGCCTGCCGCCTCTCACCTGAGAGTGGCGGGGCGCAGTCCTCAGACATCTCTGTCTCTCCTGTACTTCCGCCCTTGTTGATTTCCTCCAGTCCCGTGGGTGGGAGCCACATCTTCATTTGCACGTACCTAGGAAAATAATGACTTCATTACTTTATCCAACTCATTTGTAGCTTTAATGTTTTTGTACTTCTGAAAGATTTCTCAGTCTTTAGCTCTATTTGTGGTTTTCTCATTTTTATAATCTGACATTGGCTTGTGTGTCTTTTAGGGCCATTTTATTTGTATTTTCTTGGTGTCTTAGAGTATGTTTTGTTGAGACATAATTCTTTACCCCACCTAACGCTCTTTGCCTAAATTCCATGACGCCTCATATTAATATTTTCTCCCCTACTTTCTTTAATTAGCAGCTGTTCAGTGTATTTTCATCCTGAGCAAATTTTCAACATGTCAGGATTAGTTTGTGGTCAAAGTGGCTTTTATGAGCATCCTGTGAGTTTTATACTCTAATAAAGTCTAAGACTCTCTAGTCTATTAGTTTATAAAATCCACCCACATTTATTGTCTGTATTATTGTGTCTTATTTCCTGGTTTTAGCTTGGGTAAATTTTCATTCCTTTGGATTTCCCTCTCATGCATTTGTGCATGCTACCTGATGTTTCCATTCTACTATCACTTACTGCTAAAGTTTATTAACTGTTCATTTACCCTGGTATTTTTTTCAACGTATCAATCAGTATCTGCCTAACACAGCCTGTTAGACACCTGCCGTGGGAAACTGGTTTTTCTTCTTCCATGATTGCTCCTTTAAAAAAAAGGTAATTAATCATTTTTCTTTTTTAGAAAGCAATTTGTTCTTTTTTTAGTAGGAGCCAACCCCTAGATTGGTAAATTCTCCATCATGAGAAAAAGCACAGTAGTGATACCTAACTGTTTTCTAGGGTCGACTAAAGAAAAATATCAAGTTTTTCAAGAATTAAAATTATTTTTTATTCCGGAGTCTTACTGAAGACCGTAAATGGAGGTCTACAGCCCGGGAGCAGTCCCCTAGAGAAGTTCCATCAGACAATTCTGAAATAGGGCTTCAGCCAACAGTTTATATATGAAGTGTGGAGGTTCAGTATGTGCAAAATCACATCACACTTGCTCGGAAGTTACAGTAAAGCAGAATCACGTGAAGGTTTGGGTGTAAGAATCCACCTGGTTATAGATGACAGAAGCATCATCACTGACCCCAGCAGGCATCATCTTATGTGCAGCAGGAAGCAGGGACTAGGATGGTTTATCTTTTAAGGAACATAGTGGCTCAGGCCAGAGACGTGGGGGCCGTGCGGCACTCTATCTTCTTTTGTCTTCAAAGCGTCTTTCTGGAGAGCTGCATGTTGTTGCAGAGTCAGGGGCATTGTGAGATTCCGCTGCAAGCAGGCAAGAGCACACAGGCTTCTCACCATTGCTACTTTGTCTCACACTAGCACATACCCCCACCATGCTTTCCCCTTTCTTTAATTTTGTTTTAAAACAAAATTAAAGCAATGATATTTGCAGAAGTGATTTCCAAACTATTTGGTCTCATGGGCTCTCCACCCTGGACTGGTTTCCTGGACATTTCAGTAAGTGCTGGCTTTTAGGTGGCTTCTGTGGCTACACCAGTGGAGCTAGTTTCATCCACAACGGAAGTCAAGGCAAAATTCCACAAGCAGGTGTGGCTTTTACCTCCATGCCCTGAGGTTCTGTCACCTTGCTTCTGGAACAGGGCTCAGTCACTGAGTCTTGAACTGTCAGATTTGGAGTTTTATCAGCTTCACCTGGGTGGTCAAGCTACAGCATGGTGTAGGTGACAAAGCCTCCAGGAATACGGTTAGCAAAGCAGAAAGCCGGCGTGTCCACACAGAAGGTGCCCCCAGCAGCTCACTCAGAATGTCTCTGTATTTGAGGATGCAGGTGTGTTATTAAAAACAAGGAATCTGAAGGAGTTTGGAACCAGAAAAAAGGAACAATAATTGCTCCAGGGACATGATGTTCATTTTATTGTCTTCAGGCATCATAAGTTCACGACCAAAAATGTTCCTATCTGGTAATGGGTGGCCATCATCAGCGTCTGAGCACTTGCTCTCTTCCCTGGGCAGGATCCAAATAGTACATTCGCAGTGTCGCCTTCTCTGGACCACAGCTGACTCCTAGGTGGCCCTGCAGTTGCCAAGCCCCTACACAAGGGGCCAAGGTGCATGTCCATCAAAGACATCTCTTAGCCATTGGGTATTTTTCTGTGTATCACTCACACCCTTCACTCTGTCCCCTCCATAGCGAGCGGTAGGTGTCTGAGGAGGCGTGCCTCAGTCTCCCTGCGGGGACCCGACACGGGATGGGGCAGAGGGAGGGAGGGAAGGCAGCAGGCCCTGAATCCATCGGACAAACCTGATGCCCTGGACTGTGGGGAACTTTGGGGGATTCACATGGAGACTGCAATAGGGTAATTTTCAGAAAGTTATAAACCTAGACTACTTACAAACACAGAAGGAGCATCTGATTCCCTCAACTCTGTAAAGAGAAAACCAGCAATGGGCGATACTATCTGAAGGAGAACTGGAGGAGTCGTAGTTATTGGGCATGAGGGGAAATCCCAGGTCAGTTACATAACTGGTTCAGTTCCTAAAGAGCAGAAAATCCACAGCATCTGGGGAGATCTTTTCTGCTGCACAGAAATCACTGGCATCTCCCTTGGACAAAAAGCTCCACAAGTTAACAGTAAATTTAGAATCTGGCCTTAAATCAATAACAAAGACCGAGTCAAACAGAGGCACATTCCCTAGATAACTCCATCACCCGCAGTAGGCCTGTTAAGTAACGTTCCAAAATGGTGGTGGAAGCTCTGCTGATCTCCCTCTGCCTTTTTCCAAATTTCAAGCAATTTTTTTTCTAGACGGAGTTACAGAAGAGAGCAAGAAGGAAGTAACATGGCCTGGGGGTGGGAGTAAAACAGTCCCCTTCGCTGAGGCACAAGTGAGTCCCCCAGAGCCCACCCCCTGTTCACCCTTCACCTGCACCCCCCCACCCAGCCACCCCACCACACAGAGGTCCAGAAAGAATCAGCGGAGGGCACTGATTGGCTGCCATTTTCACCCCCACACTCTCAGGGGCACCGTCCGCCCCCAGGTTTTGATGACTGTCTGTCCCTGACATTTTTGCAGATTTTACAAATGCATCTAATGGTCTAAGTGTACCAACCACGTAGGAGAAGGAGGGCCCCTCCTAGGACGCACATGGGACATTACTCCCAGGCCCACCCCTCTTGCCTCCCATTCCACCAGGCCCCTGGGGGGCAGGCAGTCCTGACACTCTCCCAGGTCATGTGTGAGCAGATGGGATTAAGTTAGGTGGTGAAGGCCCTACAGGTAGAAACCGGCTAAGCTGGGACAGCACTCACGTCCTCTGAGACCAGAGCACACCGGGCTCCTTCCCAAGTCTGTGGCTCTGAGCTCTATGCTGCTGCTGTCCCTGTGGTCCGCAGGCAGCCCACCCCTGGTCCCAGCAGGGTCAACACCTTGCATCTTGATATAGTTTGGATGTTTGTCCCTTCCAAGTCTCATGTTGAAATTTAATCCCTAGAGTTGGTGGTGGGGCCTGGTGGGAGGTGCTTGGGTAGATCCCTCATGAATGGCTTGGTGTCTTCCTCGAGGTAATGAGAGAGTTTCCCACCGTAAGATTGAGTGTTAAAATGTGCCTGGCACCTCCCTCCCCGCCTCTCCTCTCTGTGTCTCTATTCTCCCTTTCTCCTCTCTGTCCTCTCTGTTTCTCTCTCTCTCTCTCCCTCCTACCCTTCCCCTTTCTCTCTCTTTCTCACACTGTCTCTCTCTCTCCTGCACAAGAAGCACTATGCTGCTGCTACCGCTTACAGAACTGTGAGCCAAATAAACTTCTTCTTTATAAATTAGCCACCTCAGATAACACAAACAGACTTTTATCGCAACACAAACAGACTGAGACAGACCTCACTCCCCACCAACCAGCAAGGTCCCCACTGCCCTGCCCAAGATTGTCCTCAGCTGAATTCCTGCTTGTTCTCACTCACAGCATGGCCATGACTGGTCGCCAGGTGGACAGGCCATGCATCCCTGCAAGGAGGACAGCAAGGTAGAGGGCAAGGACCCCCCTGTGAATCCTGAGCCTGGCAGCATCCAAGACCACATGAATTGCCTGGTTCTGCCCCTTCCCCTCCAGCTCCATGGTCTCCTGTGTTCCCAGTGCTCCTGCATTTCAGGCCCAGACAGCACTGGGCATTCAGAGCTCCCCATGACCTTTAAGAGAACGCAGCAGGCCCTGTGACAGTGGGCTCATTTCTGGAAAAGGCAGGGAAAGGTGGTGTAGAGTGAGTCCATGTGAATGCACGTGTGTTGTGTGTTCTCCTGTAATATCTTAGCAAAAAGACATTAAATGCTGGATAGGAGAAATGAAGCTTGTTTTGCATTTTATTTCAGTTTGGCTGTGTTTAGAGGGAAAATGAAAGGAAGAGATTAAGACAGGCAGGTTGAAAAGAGATAACATTAAATTAAATAAAATTTTAATATAAATAGAAATGCACTTAGAAATAGACCTGTGCATAGAAACACATATATGTGATGTGTCTCTAGGCCTGTACAGGAAGCAGATCTGTACACAGCACAGGTGGGCATCATCCCCACTGTATTGCATCCAAGCTGGTCACACACTGCTGATCCTTGTCTTCTCCCGACATCTGAGTCCTTGAGGCTGCCTCTCACCTATCTATCAGGAAAGACAATTCAAGATGTTCCAAAAATGCTGTCTTTCTTAAGACACTCATATCCCAGAAAACCAGAAAAGACACATAGAGCTATAAGTCCATGCAGCCACTGGGAGCCCCTGGAAGGCAGGGCTGTGGTCTTCTCTAGCCTGCTGTTCCTCATGGCTCATGACTTCCTGTGTCTGGGGTAGAGGGACGGGAGGGCAATTTCTTATGGAGTCTTCCAAGCACATAGGAAAGAAGCACTTTCAATCAGGATACATGTATTAATCTCAAGTAATAAAAGATACATCACATTCCAATCCTGGTTCCTTTGTTAGTTGGGGATTTGAGAAGGGAAACAAGGAAGCAGAGTGGGGCCTCAGCAGAGGAAGCAGGGTGGGCATAACGGGAGTGGCACACAGACAGAGACCACAGGCAGGGGCTGAAGAGGGAGAGGAGACAGCTAGGAACAGCAGAGGCTTTCCAAGGCAAGTTCCACTTGTCTCTGCTGCCTGAAGGCAGGGCGACAGTCTCCAACTCCTGAAACACGCATTGGCTAAGTCAGAGGAACCAGAGGAAAAAGTAGTTTGAGGCCTTGGAGTTTCATGGCCTCATCCTGTTGGGGGCAGAAATACTGAAATCCCTACCACCTACCAAGCAAGCCATGGGAGATAAAACCTGGCTTCTCCTAATGGACATTGGAGATACAATTAGCCTCTTGAGTCATAACCAACACTATGTTTAAAATAGATACATCTATTTTTAAAATTTTTAATTATGGCAAAATACATACAAAATGTACCATCTGAACTATTTTTGAGTGTGTAGTTCAGCAGTGTTGTCTATTTACATTGTCATGCATCCAACCTCCAGAGCTTTTCATTTTGCAGAAACTCCACCCATTAAATAATTCTCTATTAGACACATCTGTTTAATAGTTACTTTCTTCAAGAGAATTTTGTCTCCTGCTCTTCTCCTTGTTTGGCTACTTCCTTCTCCAAGTCCCCTTTCCCTCTCTCCCTCTTCCCTCTCTCTCTCTACACACACACATACATGCACACACAAATACACACACACACACACATGCACACACATGTACACCCATGAACAGATACACTCAATCTAACACAGCTTATCCTTCAAGATTTATTGCCACCACCCCTCTCTCTTTGTGACCATTGTTTACATACACAGTGATATGGTTTGAAATCTCACTTTGAATTGTAATAATCCCCACATGACAAGGTTAGGGATAGCTGGAGATAACTGAATCATGGGGTGGTTTCCCCCATACTGTTTCTGTGGTAGTGAATAAGTCTCACAAGATCTGATGGTTTTATAAATGGGAGTTCCCCTGCACAAGCTCTCTGCCTGCCACCATGTAAGACATGACTTTGCTCCTTATTCACCTTCTGCCGTGATTGTGAGGCCTCCTCAACCATGTGAAACTGTGAGTCAATTAAACCTCTAATCTTTGTAAATTACCCAGTATCAGGTATGTCTATCAGCAGTGTGAGAACAGACTAATACATATAGGAAGAAACACAAATCCCCCAATTTATAGAGATCCCACAGGGGAGGGCTACTAGTTCTGTCACAGGGGTCCCCCAGACCAAATGACCTGTCCATTCAGGACTCTTAGACAGGAAGAGCCTCAGGCCAAAGGAAGCATCCAGATGGAACCTGCTGAGTTAGCACCCAGTGGGTTCAGACCTCTGTAAGGGATTTTTACCCAAGCCAAAGGGATTCATTCCTCCTCTGTGTTGCAGGAAGTCAGGAACCCCGAACAGAGGGACCGGCTGAAGCCATGGCAGAAGAACATAAATTGTGAAGATTTCATGGACTTTTATTAGTTCCCCAAATTAATACTGTTATAATTTCTTATGCCTGTCTTTACTGCAATCTCTGAACATAAATTGTGAAGATTTCATGGACACTTATCACTTCCCCAGTCAATACTCTTGTGATTTCCTATGCCTGTCTTTACTTTAATCTCTTAATCCTGTCATTTTCGTAAGCTGAGGAGGATGTATGTTGCCTCAGGACCCTGTGATGATTGCGTTAACTGCACAAATTGTCTGTAGAGCATGTGTGTTTGAACAATATGAAATCTGGGCACCTTGAAAAAAGAACAGGATAACAGCAATGTTCAGGGAACAAGAGAGATAACCTTAAACTCTGACCACCTGTGAGCTGGGCAGAACAGAGACATATTTCTCTTCTTTCAAAAGGAAATGGGAGAAATATCACTGAATTCTTTTTCTCAGCAAGGAACATCCCTGAGAAAGAGAATGCATCCCTGAGGGTAGGCCTCTAAAATGGCCGCTTTGGGGGGCGGCCATCTTTTATGGTTGAAGCTGTAGGGATGAAATAAGCCCCAGTTTCCCGTAGTGCTCCCAGGCTTATTAGGACGAGGAAATTCCCACCTAATAAAGTTTGGTCAGACCAGTTGTCTGCTCTCAAACCCTGTCTCCTGATAAGATGTTATCAATGACAATGCGTGCCTGAAACTTCATTAGCAATTTTAATTTCTCGCCAGTCCTGTAGTCCTGTGATCTTGCCCTGCCTCCATTTGCCTTGTGATATCTTATTACCTTGTGAAGCATGTGATCTCTGTGACCCCCACCCTATTTGTACACTCCCTCCCCTTTTGAAAATCACTAATAAACTCTTGCTGGTTTTAAGGCTCAGGGGGCATCATGGAACCTGCCGACATGTGATGTCTCCCCCGGACACCCAGCTTTAAAATTTTTCCCTTTATACTCTGTCCCTTTATTTCTCAGACTGGCTGACACTTAGGGAAAATAGAAAAGAACCTATGTGAAATATGGGGGGTGAATTTCACCTGATATCTGGCTGAATTTACCCCAATACTCTGATTTGCTGTAGGGAATGGAATCAGACCTCACCCTAACCTTTGTACTTGGTGATGGGTAGACCATCAAGCTGAACAAAGGTGCGTGGCTGTGTTCGGTGCCAGCAAAGAGGACCTGGACATGCCCATCTTCTGTCCCCACATATATGCAACTAAAAAACAAAACACCAAGCAGAGAGGCATGCATGAAGAAAGCACATTGGGAAGAGCCTCCCACCTGCCATTGCTTCATTTTCATGGATAAAGTAGTCACAGAGGTTGGAGGGATGCCTCAAAACACCATTAAGCATCTTCACACTTTTTCTCCATCACAGTGAATTCACCATTCCAGGGAAGTGCTCCTACCAAAAAGCTGCAGCTTAATTTCTGAAAAAGATGACAACAACAAAAATTAGTAGAGTGCCAAAAAAAAAAAAAAAAAGAAAAGAAAAACAATTGTCCTGTTGCTAGGTGTCAGTTTAGGTGTGTGCTGACAGATGGGTCACCACTCTCGAGCGAGCTCCCAGGAATCTGCAGAGCTAGAGGCTGCAGACTTCATAGCCATCAGCAGTTTCCCAGAGGGATCTCTGTTCTATTTTAACCACAGGAAGACAAGAAATGTTAATAATCATAACATTGTGGTGCAAGTTCAGATATAAACTTGACATTATGTTTAATTCCCTTTAATACAATGTAAATAAAATGATTCTAATTGTTAATTAAAGTATGTTATTTTATTGATTAAATAATCCATTTTAATATTGGCAAGGTTGTGGACAAAAGGGAATGCTTACACACTGCTGGTGGGAGTGCAAATTAGTGCACCCATTGTGAAAAGCAGTGAGGTGATTCCTCAAAGAACTAAAAACAGAATTACCATTCAACCCAGGAATCCCACCCAAAGGAATATAAATTGTTCTACCACGAAGACACATGCACATGTATGTTCACTGCAGCACCATTCACAGTAGCAAAGACATCAAGTCAGCCTAAATGCCTGTCAATGGTGGACTAGATTAAAAAAACAATGTGGTACATGTACACCATGGAATTCTACACAGCCATAAAACATGAGATAATGTCCTTTGCAGTAATATGAATGGAGCTGCAGACCATTATCCTAAGCAAACTAATGCAGAAACAGAAAACCAAATACCACATGTTCTCACTTATAAGTGAGAGCTAAACAATGAGAACACATAGACACAAAGAGGGAACAACAGACACTGGGGCCTCCTGGAGAATGGAGGGCGGGGGAGAGAGAGGATCAGAAAAAAATACCATATCGGGTACTGTGCTTACTACCTGTGTGATGAAATAATCTGTACACCAAACCCCTGTGACACGAATTTACATATAACAAGCCTGTATGTGTACCCCTGAATCTACAATAAACTTTTTAAAATCCCTTTTGTTCTAATAACAAGTCAAGAGCAATTTAGAAAATTCTAGGGCCTAACATATCTTTTCTTCCAAAGAACTCTGCTTTTCTTTCAAAATATCATTGAAATGACAAACAAAATATCCTATGTGTATGTGACAGATTAATGAATGGATGGATGGATGGGTAGATAGATGGGTAGGCAGAGAGATAGTGGTCCTGGACAAACCGCAAGGGCCATCTCAAATAGACTGAAATCACTGGGGCACTTCCAGGAGTTAAGAGGCAGACAAAGTCAGAAAGAAGAAAGTTTAGTCCCTGCTGAGTATTGAAAATATGCAATAAAAAGTACTGGATCAAGATGACTTTACAGGCAAATTACATCAAATTTGGGAAACCAAATGCATCTGCTTGGAAAAAGAGAAAGTTTTTATTATTGACAAATGTCTGCTTGAACATGTATGTCTTAAAAACTGAGACGTATCATGGAAATCTTAGACACAAGTGGGCTCCTTGAGAACAATTTTCTTTAATGCACTTTAATATTTTCTACAAACTGCCAAAAGCAAAAACTTTTCTACAATCCCTAAAAGCCCGGGAGAAAATATAAATTTAAAGCAACCATATTCCTAATACCAGTAAAAGATAAAACAAGCATAAAAGATCAGATAGCATTCGGACAAGCTCACTGCTGAAATGTTTGTCCTGACGGGTCATTTATTGTGAGCTGGAAATGATAGGGTTTGTTTCATTTGAGCATACAGAGGCAGTTTTCATCAAACATAATGGCAGGGCAGTTCATAAATGTACCTGCAATTTCCTGTGCCATGGCAGTGCATAAAGCAGTGGTTCTCAAAATGATCCTAAGGCCAGCAGCAGCAGCAGCAGTAGCACCACTCAGGAACTCATTAAGAATGCAAATTCTTAGATCCCATTTCCTGAATTGGAAACTCTGCCGGTGGAACCCGGTCATCAGGGTTTGTCAATACCTCCAAGTGATTGTGATGCCTGCTCACATTGGAGAACCACCAATGTAAAGACAGGGACAGTGATGCACCTGTTGGGCAAACCTGCAGAATGCTCAGGCCTTCATCTGTCTGGGACCAAGTACTGGCCTATGAGCTGCTCTGAGATAAAAAATACAGGCTTGAAGCCAAAAGCCCCTGGGCCAAGTCCTCCTTTTGTTGGGAGTCTGTGGGTTTGCCCCAACCTTCCTGGAAACCTGGACTGACCCCAGCAAAAATCAACTGTAAACCCAGGAGGGTGGGGCCACCCTCTGGCTTAGTCATTGCTTAATCTCCAGCACCCAGAATAGACCTGGTGCAAAGCACGTAGCACCTGGTGCTCAGTAATTTTCTATGAGTGGATGAGTGAATGAATGAAGTTCCTTTTGTGTCTGTATGGGGATGAGTGACCATGGGCCCAGCAATAGTGGGTGGCTTGTCTGGACCCAAGAGGACAGGCTTTTGGTGATTATGTGTTGTCCAGTGTGCCTGCATCAAAAGGCCAGAAGTCAATGGAGCCCTTGAGATAAGAGTGGTCTTGACAACATCCTTTCTGCAGGATGAAGGATGAGAAAGAAGCTCAGAGGGTTCCACCACGTTCCGTGGCCCTGGATCTTCTGCTATAAAGGCCACAGGGTTGGCTATCTGGGGCTAAACACTGGGAGCCACCCAGACCTCAAAGAGAAGGTCTGCGTGCCTCAGCTTTCTCTCTTGGGTTCAGAGCTGCCTAGGCCGTCACAGATGAGTGGTTCATCACCTACCCTTTTCAGCTTGGAGTTTTCTTGAATGGCGCAGATTTCATTAGTGCTTAAAGGCTTTCTGCAATCGCTGCGGGCAATTTCTACATCAATAAGGTATTCCAGAAGATTTGTGACCTGTTGGTTAGCAATTATGCAATTTTATTCAAAAGAGTTGTACTTTTTTAAAGTTTTGACAAAAAAAAAAAATTACTCTTACTCTCGTCCTTTCCTCTTTCCTTCCTCCCTCACCCCCAGACAGAGCTTTAGCGGAAGGCTAAGATGCCCACTGCCTGGAGCCCTGTGTACAACAAGATCAGTCAGGACTCCATAGGCTCCTGGAGCTGGACACTTGAGTAAAGACTCCTCTCCAGTTTGTCACCTCCTTGAAAGCAAGGCCTTCTCATTCCATTTCCTGTCCCCAAGCCCAGGGCATGCTGCATGCTCAGTGAGGACTGAGAGGTGAAAGGTGGGCTCTTCAGAACCATCAGCTCTCCTGGGCCTGAGATGCTCAGGTTCACACAGGCCTGACCAGGGGACAGCCCCCTCAGCCACATTAGGCCCCAGTCCCTCAGATTCCTGTGAAACCTCCCATCCTCTGGGGTTTCCCCACCCAAAGCCCCTCCCACCAGCTCAGCACACAGTCCATGAGGACCCATGCAGGCATGAGTTTGCCTGTCTTGTTCTCTGCTGAGTCTTTAGTGAGTAGAACAGCAGTAGGTTTATAGCAGGACATTAGTATTTGTTGAACTCATTAGTGACTGAATGCAATCAAGGCTACTTGTGATGTCCATTTAAATCTGTTTTCATCTGGCATTAAAGGATTACAGCAGGAGATGAAGGAGTGTCTGCTAGTTGGGTCCAGGTTCACCTGGACTCACCTTTATCAGATCTTTTCTCATGGCTAGCATTCTATCTGTCTCCCAACCTTAGCAAATACATGAACATTTGATTTGCAGTTTGGGGTTTAAATGAGTTAATCTATGCGAAGGACTTAGAACAAAAGCGCAAGCGTTTGTAGAAAGTGCTCTGTGTGTTCACTGCCTTATTGATGCTGTGGAAGTGTCTAGGCTCTTAAGCATTCACATATTTAGGATTTTTGCATAGTGATATTTTTCTTATATGCCCACTCTTTCAGTCTGGCTTCAACTGTGCCACCATATGCAAATGTCCACCTATATGGAAAGACACCTTTACCTGAAGCTGGGCTTGCAGTGTCTTGACCACCAGGAAGACATACTTGTCCTCGCTCTCTTTGTTGTATTCTTGCATGGCAAACCACAGACACTGCTTCACGTTGGCATTTGAGGCATTGACGGGTTTTAATTTCCTCAGCACCCCTGTCTCATTCTTTTTTGGGTCTTTCCTGGCCACCAGGGCCAGGGGAATGGTGAGGAGGATCAGGGAGAGCCACCGGCACCTGGGCATGGTCCCTTGGGCAAGAGGCAAAGTCGACTCTCCTCCTCGTCGTCTCAGGGCTGGAGCTGTGGGCAGGATGGGGTGGCCGCAGCTGCTGCTGTGGGTTCAAGAATCTTCGAGCCACACACTGCCTCCTGTTAGCGTCAGCCCAGCTGGATTCAAGACAGGCCATTAGGGTCACTCTTTGGGGTTTGTCCTCTCTTTCTCCATGGAAACCCACCCAGGAATGCCAGTTAAGGAGTCTCTCTACCAGCCTCCCCTCCTTACCCTGAGAGCAATCTGTGTGTCTAGGGAGAGTTCCTCTCCCCTTCGGCCCCAGTGTGTCTATGCCTACCCCTGTGAGCGTCACTCTTGTTATCTGCTTCTCAGTCCTGTATGATGTGATCATGAAAACTGTGGCTGCCCCAGAGGCCTTGTGGCCTCAGCCCTTGGTGGACTTTCAGCCTGCTGTGCCTGCAGCTCCTTCTTACTCCCTGTGGAGCTGGGAGCTGACCTGACCAGTGGTTCTCCTAGGTCTTCAGCACTCTTAGTTCATGCCTGTGGCCCAGTCAAGGGTCTCTGTGGGTCCTGGTCTGCGGTCTCTCTTGCCCCTCTGAGTCCACGCCCTGCAGGGAGGTTACGCTTTGTGATGTAATTCAGCACCTGTGTCTTGTCCCAGTGAGGACATCTCCCACTTGCCAGCCTCCGGCCTTTGGTCTAAACAGCTCTCACAGGGGCACAGAGAGCAAGCAAATGCCTCCTGCTGTGCCCTCAGAGTCAGGGGCCTGCAATGGTTAATACTGAGTGTCAACTTGATTTGATCGAAGGACACCAAGTATTGATCCTGGGTGTGTCTGTGAGGGTGTTTCCAAAAGAGATTAACATTTGAGTCAGTGGGCTGGGGAAGGCAGATCCACCTTTAATCTGGTGGGCACAATCTAATCAGCTGCCAGCGAATATAAAGCAGGCAGAAAAACGTGAAAAGGAGAGATGGTCCTAGCCTCCTAGTCTACATCTGTCTCCCATGCTAGATGCCTCCTGCCCTCGAACATCAGACTCCAAGTTCTTCAGTTTTGGGACTCTCAGACTGGCTCCCCTTGCTCCTCAGTTTGGCAGACAGCCTGTTGTGGGCCCTTGTGATCATGTAAGTTAATACTTAATAAACTCCCTTTTATATACATATTATTTATATATATAATTTATGTATATTTTATATATATATAATTTATATGTATATTTTATATATATACAATTTATATATATATTTTATATATATAATTTATATATAATTTTTATATATAAATTATATATATTTTATATATAATTTATATATATAAATTATATATATTTTATATATAATTTATATATATAAATTATATATATTTTATATATATAAATTATATATATTTTATATATATATAATTAATATATATATAATTTATATATATATTATATATATAATTAATATATATATAATTTATATATATATTATATATAATTAATATATATATAATTTATATATATATTATATATAATTAATATATATATAATTTATATATATATTATATATATAATTAATATATATATAATTTATATATATATTATATATATAATTAATATATATATAATTTATATATATATTTTATATATATATAAAGGGGAGTTTATTAAGTATTAACTTTATATATATACACAACCATATATATCCTATTAGTTCTGTCCCTTTAAAAGAACCCTGACTAATACAGGGCCCCTCTGGCATCTTCTGCCCACCTGTGCCAATGACTCTGGCTTCCTGAATGCCTGGCCTCTGAACTCCCTTGGCTTGGGCCAACAGTAACCCCCTGCCCTGTCCTGCCAGGGTAAGGGTCACGTGGCCCACTCTGATGCCCAGGCCTGGCCCTTAGTGGGAGGAGGGGGGCACGCACCTGTTAAGCTCTCAAAGCTTCTGCTTTTCTGTGAAAATCCCAAATCAGTGTCCAGAAAGTTCCTGGTGAGGCAGAGAGGTGAGCATTCTTCCTAGGCTGCAAAGATCAATGGGTTCTATGAGCAAGGGCAACGTACAGAAAACACATATGGGGCAGGAATCTGTCAGGCAGGTGGCAAAGCATTGCAGACTACAAATGCATTATGCTGTATTTAAACTTTCTCCCTATGACTAGATTCTTCAGTTTCTCATTTTCAGCTGTTACAAACAGTATTGCAGTGAACAATCCCTTTCCAATATCTTCATGATGTTACACAAGTGTTTTTGTAAAATAAAAGACTAGATGTAAAATTGATGCAAAGCTTTACGCAAATTTAAATTTATTATTTATTGCCAAAATGTTCGTCACTTACTAATTATATATTCATGATTTTCAAATCCTGCTGCATGTTAAAAGTACTGACGGAGATTTAAAACACCAGGGCATACCTAACTGATAAAATCAGAATCTCTGGAACAGGGTCCAGGAAGCCAGCTGTTTTTAAAGTTCCCCAGGGGTTCCAATCTGCAGCCAAGTTTGAAAATCAGTGTAGTGGATCTGCACTTCCTGATATTAATGTGCACATGAACCACCTGGGACTCTCGTTAAAATGTAGGTGCTGAGTTTGTGGGTCTGAGGCAAGGCCTAGATTCTGCATTTCTAACTAGCTCCCCATGTGATCCAAATTCTGCTGATACTCAGATCCCAGTTTGATTAGAGAAGTATTGACCTGTGACAATCCCTGCTTCTTCATATCTTTGCCTTCAGCCTAGCCTTTCTTCATGGAATAGATGATTATGTTCCGTTTATTTGATTTGTACTATTTGTATTATTGGTCAGGGTTAACCATGTTTTCATAGAGACTCACTGAGTCTAGGAGCACCTGATCTGGGCCCCAGGAGGCATGTAGAGCAGACTTCCCCTTGGTGAGGCCAGCTGTGACACCCTGAAGCAAAGCCAAGCCTCCTGGACAAGCCAAGGAGAAGTCAGCCTGTAGACCTATGTCCCTGAAAATGAAGCCTTACTGTAGTTAGCTACAGGATAGGGGTGGTTTGTTATGCAGCACTTCTGGGCCAACAGCTGACTGCTACACACACATTCACTGAATCAAAGCAGTATTTCTAGGTTTTAGACTTTGGAGAAGTATGTGGTGGTGGTTGTTAACTAGGTAAAAGATCCAAATCGTATATCTTTAACACTTTTATGCTCCTTTGGCCTTCACAAGCATCCACACTCACATGCACACACACACGTGCACACACACACCATCATCATGTTGATATTACTCAGAAATTTTTGATTTGGGCTTTCTCTGAACATACTCAGAGAGCTGCTCCAGTTACTTTGCACACTTTTCAAGCAGGAGTAAATCCTCACTGCTGCATGCTATCAATTATGAGGCTGTTTCTTACGTAGCACAGCTTATCTATACCAAACCTTTATACTTGAGGTCTTTTGTTTTCCTTTAATTTTAGAAAATATATCTCCATAATTTCTTCAAATATTTCCATCTTTTTATTTTTCTTCCATTTTGAGATTTCTATGGTCTTTTGGGGGAAGTAGTTGCAGGGCTTTTTGTTTGTTTCCAGCTTTATTGAGGCATAATTAACAAATAAAAAGTTATATAGAGGGTGCACGTGTGATGCTTAGACAGATAGATAGCAAAATGATTATCACAATCAAGCAAATTAGCATATTCATCCCCTCATATAGTTACCTTTTTTTTAATGGTGAGAACAGCTGTGATCTACTCCCTTAGCGAACTTCAAGTATACAATACATTATTATTAACTGCAGTCACCATGCTGCACATGAGGTCTCCAGAACTCATTCCTCTTACAGTTGAATGTTTGTACCAGTTGACCAATATCTCCCTCTCTCCTCACCCCCAAGCCCTTGGTAATCACCATTCTCCTCTCTTTCTATGAGTTTGACTTTTTATTAGAGTCCACATATGAAGGAGATCATGCAGTACTTGTCTTTCTGCATCTGATTTATTTCACTTAGCATAATGTCCTCAAGGTTTAAACATGCAGTTGCAAAAGGCAGAAAACCCCATAGCCTTGGCCCAAAAGCTCCTTTAGCTGATAAACAACTTCAGCAAAGTTTCAAGACACAAAATCAACTTACAAAAATCGCTGGCATTCCTATACACCAACAATAGCCAAATCAAGAGCCAAATCAGAAAGGCAATCCCATTCACAATTGCCACAAAAAGAATAAAATACCTAGGAATATAGCTAACCAGACAGGTGAAAGATCTCTACAGTGAGAATTACAAAACACTGCTCAAAGAAATCAGAGATGACACAACCATATGGAAAAATATTCTATGCTCATGGATAGGAAGAATTAATATTGTTAAAATGGCCATACTGCCCAAAGCACTTTACAGATTCAGGGCTATTCCTATCAAATTACCAATGCCATTCTTCACAGAATTAGAAAATCAATTTTAAAACTTACATGAAGCCAAAATTCAGCTCAAATAGTCAAGGCAGTGCTAAATGGGAAGAACAAACCTGGAAGAATCAACCTGACTTCAAAGCATATTACAAGGCTACAGTAACTAAAACAGCATGTTACTGGTACAAAAACAGACACATAGACCAATGCAGCAGAATAGAGAGCCCAGAAATAAAGCCATACACCTACCACCATCTGATCTTTGATAAAGCTGACAAAAACAAGCAATGGAGGAAGAACTTCCTATTCAATAAATGGTGCTACGATAACTGGCTAGCCATATGCAGAAAATTGAAGCTGTACTCCTTCCTTCCACCATTTACACAAATGAATTCAAGGTGGATTAAGGACTTAAATGTAAAACTTACAACTATAAAAACCCTGGAAGATAACCTAGAAAATACCATCTGGACATAGGCTTTGGCAAAGATTTCATGATGAAGATGCCAAAAGCAATTGCAACAAGCCAGAAATTGACAAATCGTACTGTTTAAACTTAAAAGCTTCTGCACAGTAAAAAGAAACTATCAACAGAGTAAACAGACAACCTACAGAATGGGAGAAAATATGTGCAAACTATGCATCTGACAAAGGTCTAATATCCAGAATCTATAAAGAACTTTGTTTAAATTTACAAGAGAAAAACAAATGACCCCATTAAAAAAGTTGGCAAAGGACATGAACAGACACTGTTCAAAAGAAGACATACATGTGGCCAGCAAGCATATGAAAAAAAGGTCAATATCACTAATCATTAGAGAAATGCAAATCAAAACTACAATGAGATACAATCTCACACCAGTTAGAATGGCTATTACTAAAAAGTCAAGAAATAACCGATGCTGGTGAGGTTGTGGACAAAATGGAACACTTATACAGTGTTGGTGGGAGTGTAAATTAGTTCAACCATGGTGGAAAGCATATGACTATTCCTCAAGGAACTAAAAGCAGAACTACCATTTGACCCAGCTATCCCATTACTGGGTATATACTCAAAGTAATATAAATAATTCTATCATAAAGACACATGCATGCAAATGTTCATTGCAGCACTATTCACAATGGTAAAAACATGGTCTCAACCTAAATGCCCATCAATGACAGATTAGATAAAGAAAATGTGGTACATATACACCATGGAATACTATGCAGCCATAAAAAATACAAAACAAGATCATGTCTTTTGTGGGAACATGGTTGGAACTGAAGGCTATTATTCTTAGCAAACTAACATAGAAACAGAAAACCAAATACTGCATGTTCCCACTTACAAGTGAGAGCTAAATGATAAGAACTTATGAAGACAAAGAAGGGAACAACAGACACTGGGGCCTACTTGAGGATAGAGGGTGGGAGGAAGGAAAGAACCAGAAAAGATAACTATTGGGCACTGGGCTTAATGTCTGGGTGATTAAATAATCTGTACAACAAACCCCCATAACACAAGTTTACCTATGTAACAAACTTTCACACGTACCCCCCAAAATAAAATGAAGTTTAAAAAATTTAAAAAAAGAATAACTTTAAAAAATGCTTTTAATAAAGCAATTTTGACAGTCTTCCAAAATTGGAATCTACCTGCATTCATTTTCTGTGGCTGCTGTAACAAACTACCACAAATCTGGTGGCTTCAAAAAGCACAAATGTGTGATCTCACAGTTCTGCAGGTCAGAAGTCCAAACTGGCTTTCACTGGGCTAAAATCAAGGTATGGGCAATGCTGTATTTTTTTTGGAAGCTCTAAAGGAAAGTGCATTTCCTTCCCCCTCCAGTTTCTAGAGGCTGACTAAATTTCTCAGCTCATGGTCTCTGATGGTTAATATTATGTGCCAATTTGACTGGGCTGAGGAATGTCCAGGTAGCTGGTAAAACATTATTTCTGTGAGGGTATGTCTGTAAGGACATTTCTGCAAGACATTAACATTTGAATAGGTGACAGAGCAAAAAAAGATCTGCCCTCACCAGTGTGGATGGGCATCATTCAATCCATTAAGGGCCAGAATAAACCAAAAAGGTGAAGGAAAGGCAAACACATTCTCCCTGTTTGGGCTGGGACATCATCTTCTCTTGTCGTCAAACATCAGAGCTCTTGGTTCTTAGGCCTTCAGGCTCAGACACCACCAACAACTTCGGTCGTGTCTCTAGCAATGATTCCAGAAAGAAGGTTTTCGGACTCAGTCTGAATTACACCACCAGCGTTTCTGCTTCACCAGCTTGCAGGTGGTTGGTCATGGAACTTCTCAGCCTCTGTAATTGTGTGAGCAAGGGCCTGCAATAAATATATAAATATGCTATTGCTTCTGTTTCTCTGGAGAACCTTGACAAACACAGTCCCTTCCTCTATATTCAAAGCCAGGTGTGGAGTATCTTCAAACGTCTCTCACTTGCTCTCCCTCTCTCACTCTCTGCTGCTTCTACCATCACATCTCTATCTCTGACCCTGATTCTGACCCTCCTGCTTCTCTCTTATAAGGACCTGTGTGTTACATTGGGCCTGCCCAGATAATCCAGGATAATCTCTCCATTCCAAGATCCTCAATCACACCTAAAAGCTCTACATGCAAAATACATTTACCCCTCCTCAACATTCAAATAGTCTCAACCCTTCATACCACCATACCAGGAGATTTGGGATGGGCCATGTAACTCCCTGAAAGTAGACTTTTGACCCCACTGGTTGTCATCAACTCCTGTTACTGAAAGAAATCTTGCACTGTCCTGTTCTTTCCCTGGGGCCCTGGTACCTGAAGTCTTAGAATTTGCTGCCAGTTTCTACAGTGAAAAATTGCTTCAAAACAAGAGCCAACCTGTAGCCGCTAGTCACTCAGGAGTCTCACGTAGTTTTGTTTTGTTATTCTTTGATGGTCACTAGAATTTAAGTTTCCTTCTCATTTCTATAGTCTCTCTAGCATTGATTTCAGAAAGAAGCCAGCAGCCCGTGCTAGTTCACCATCTTGACAGGAACTGGAGGCCACAGGGGATATGAGCATGAAAATGGCCCTGAAGCTAAGTGAGCAGTAACCACAGGAACAAAAGCAGAGTTGAATAAGCAGAAGAAACTTCAGCTTATCCGTCCAAAGGCACATCACTAGGAGAGTGTACAAACACAAAATGAGAAAATACAGTAAACAGAAAGGTTTGAAAATAACAGAGAAGATATCTAGCATAATGGTAATAAAAATACCTCAGTAAATAAAATATTGAGACTTACAGATTGGAATTTTGAAAAAGACCCACAGCATAGTGTCTATAAAAGACTCTCAAAATGAAAAGATGCCCAAAATATTTTTTTAAAAAAGGTTGGGAAAATGTTTAGGAAAATCTGAAGCAAAAAAATAGACTTTCAATCTTAATATATTACAAAATAGAACTTAATGCAAAAAATAAAGTAATAAGAAACTGTGGTAGACAGAAATCTTAAAACAACAACAACAAGATATCCCCTCAGGGATACACACTCTGTATAATCTCCTCCCCTTGATTGTGGGTAGGACATAGAAATACAATGAAATATCATTGCTGGGATTAGGTTAGGTTATATGGCAAAGGTGACACTATTTTGTAGACATAATTAAAGTCTCCAATCCATCGCGCTGAGATACTATAAAGGCATATTTCCCTGCATGGACCTTACCTAACCAGTGAGTCTTTAAAGGAGAATCTAGAAAAGAGTTATACTTTTGGAATGTCAGAGTGGGGAACTCCATGGACCCATTCACCCATGTAAATGCAGGAAACCTAGGCTATGAAAAACAATCTTGAAAAATAACAAAGTTGGGAGACTTATACTTCCCAATCTCAAAACTTACTATAAAGCTACAGTCTTCAAAAAGCTGTAGTACCAACATAAGGATATATATAGAGATCAATGGAATAGAATTGAGAGTCCTAAAATAAACGCATATGAGCTTGGAGGAGGACCCCAAGCCTCAGATGAGTCCCCAGTCTTGACTGACAACTTGATTTCAGCATTATAAGACCCTGATTACAGGACCCATATAAGTCTGACTCACACAAATTGAGAAACTCAGATAATAAATAGATGTTTTAACCTTCTAAGTTTGTGGATATTTGTTACATAGCATAGATAACTAATATAGGAACAAAAATAAACAAAGGAAAAAATAGGACAAGAAAATACAGTCATCAAAACATTTATATACCATCATTGCAGTCTAACACATATCTAGCAAAAAATAAGAGAACTGCAGAAAAAAAAGATAAGTGACCAACGTTTTATTTGATAGTCCTAAAGCCAAAAATTGATAGATCAAGAAGCCAAAAAATAAGCAGAGAGGAAAAGACTTGAAGAGTACTCTAAAAATGTTTAGTATAAAATGCCACATCCCACATTAAAAATTATAAAATTAAGGATTTCTGACCCACGGAAGACATAAGAAGTCAATAGACAAATGACAGTATAGATGAAGACATTGGCCATGTCTGAATTAATATGTAGAACAGAAAATCAGTGTGAAGATAAACTTCATGGCCAATAGAAAGTCCTGTGTTTCTCAAAATCTGTTGTGAAGGGCCAGGTTTTTTTCACATCTCCAATCAATTACAGACTGTATTTTTAAAATATAAAACTAATTTGAGGTTATGTATGATTTAGATGGAATTTTAGATTTTTCTGTCTGCCACGCACAGGATGTAAGCAGGGGACATGTCTGTGTAAAATATAGACCATTGCAGAGATAATAGGTATCATCATTTAAAAAGCAGCAGAACTCTTCAAGCGGGGTGCAACCAGGAGGCTGGAAGAGGAATGGGAGGAGGCCATTCAGGGTCTGTGGAGCTCAGAGAGCAAGTGGGGCAAAAGATGAGTATGGTATGGCTGGAGACCAGACAAGGGGTTTTCATGACAGACAGATTGGTTACTTTGATCTGCTGATTGCATTCCTGGGCTGACAGGAGAAAGGAAATAAACAATAGCAGCTTTTGTAGTGGGTGATTTTCTTTTGAAAAAAAAATAGTATTTGGGAAACATCAGACAAATGAGATAAGTGGCAGTTGCAAGTGTTCCTAAGCCTTTGGTTTGTTCTTTACTGAATGCCTGTGGATCTGTGGGGTTGGAAACTCAAGAGTTAGAAGGGCAGTTGGTGATATGGGTAGTGGAATCGTTTGGCCCTGAGGTCAATTTCAGAAAATCCCAGTAATTAACCACAAAAGTAGCTCAATGCCCTAATATGAAGATGGGGAGGGGGCTGTGGTGAGGGTTAAAGGAGATGATTTCGGTGACACATATTTTACAGTGTTGGGTGTGTAGGGATGTAGTTCTGTGTCTCTTCAGCCTCCCTCACTCCAATGCTGAGATTTTAATTAAGTCTTAATTTTAGGAGGGGTCTCAGCAAATGCATTCCAAAGAGCCCTGCTCCTTCAAAACAGGTCACTCGATAAGATGTAGAAAATATTCGGGGTTTGACATAGATCTAGAATTTAGAAATATATGTCAATTTTGTGTACTATAACTTTCAATATGTTTACTTCCTACTTATTCAGGCCACTTAATGACTGACCCAAATCCAGAGAGGTTTCTCCAGGAAACAAGATGGACTCCTGGATTCTGGCTGATCTTGGATATTGACACATTATTCAAAGCTCTACTGGTTTGAGGTCATCATATTACTAACAAAAGTGGCAGGCACAAAATTTACTAACCCTACCAAAGCTGCTTGCATAGCTCATGGCCACTGGGCACCATCAACAGTGAAATCCGCAATAGGGCTATGTTTTCAATTTCTATGAGAGCCGGAACTAAAGAACACAGGCCATGGACAAAATACCCAACTGCAGTAAACACAATTTCTAAAATATTGGAGTACCTTAAAGAACCACTTCACAGCCATAGCCCCAAGCACCGAACACCTGAGGACTCCAAGTATTTATGATTTAGGCCCAAATTTTCTGTTGCAATACAGATAGGGGTAATGCTTGGTCCCTAAGAGAAATATAAAATGAAACCAGTGGGATTTTGTGTGGATCAAGGTAGAAAACAACTGG
Source organism: Homo sapiens (assembly GCF_000001405.40). Lineage (NCBI taxonomy): Eukaryota > Metazoa > Chordata > Mammalia > Primates > Hominidae > Homo > Homo sapiens. The sequence goes on along the minus strand of NC_000020.11, from coordinate 23,481,262 downwards.
CTTATTGTGAAAAAGAGCAGGATGCCAGGCCTTCCTTGTGAACTTGGAATTAAAGGTAAAGGTGCTTCCATCAGCAAGCAATGCTGACCAGAGCTCAGGGAGGGTGTGGCTGTGCTTGTCCGGAACAGTAGGCATGGGGTCCATAAACAAGGGCTCCACCCCTCCCAGCCTGAGTGCTCTCAAAGCCAAGGGCCAGCAATTGATTGGTTTTGCTAACCATGCAGACATCCCCTTGGTAATATAAATATGCCCTATCAAATTATGGAGGGATGTTGCACACAAATCCTGCACAGAAGTTGGCCGAAGGACCAAAGCTGCCACATCTTTTTGCCATGACAGATGGAGCTACCCAAAGCTGTTTCTGAAAATTCTGTCCCATAAGCCCTATGGCAAATTCATGGGAATGAGCTATCCAGGAAAAAGGCAGACTTCTTACCAAGAAATATTCAAATCACCCCCCAAACCAAGGATGGAGGAGTAAAGACTCCCTAGCCCTTCTGTTCGGGAAGACTCCTCCAGAAACTGTTGCACTGTCTCTTTGCCCAATGCATGTCCCCCCACCACACCATCCCCTCATCTCTCTGCCCCTCCAAGGCTGATCCCCCACCAAGACCCCAGCAGAGAGGACTGCTTGTCAGGATGGGTGTCTGTCACCACAGTGCTTCTCCCAGGGGCAGTGAGTGATGCTGGCAGCTATGAAGCCCTGGCTGGGTCCCAGATAGGTAACACAGGCATCAGGAGCAGGTGTGGGCATGCAGACTGGAACTGCCATCTTCTGAGCTCTGGAGAAGACATCTGAGCTCTGGAGAAGACATCATTGTGATTCATGCAGCCCTCGGTGTCCACAGAGGGCAGAGCCTCCTGTCAGCTTCAGTGACCTTCTCTGATCCCTAGGCCTGCGCCTGGCCCTTCTGCAGAAGAGCCACCCTCTGTGAGCCTGTTCCTGAGATGGAAACAGAAGGGTCATGTGTGGTTAACAAAATTGTCTGCATTCCTTTAGAGTGGATGGATGATGGCATAGAGAAATGGAAGGATGAATGAATGAATCAGTGCATGAATGAAGGAACAGATGGATGGATGGATGGATGGATGGATGGATGGATGGATGGATGGATGGATGGATGGATCGATGGGTGGATGGATGAGTACACCAACCAACTGGTGGGGGGCTCCTACATGAACTGCCTCAAATCAACTGGGGAGTTTGGTTTATTCAACAGTCTACACCTGCAGCCAAGGTAACGATGATAATGAATTCTCCCTTGCTTATCACTGCCAGAAACATCCATGGCAAATAAATAATAGGAAAGAGTGCAAAACTGTTCACAGACCCAGAAGGAGCTAAGATGTCTTTAATTCTGCTAGTGCAGCATAGGCCTAGAACTACAAACTTTCATACTCTAGAGGAAGAGAGGACTTCTGCTGCAAAAAATCAGGGGCTCTGCCACCACCTGTTTCCACATTACAGGTGATGTTTAGGAGGTTGAACTGGGAAAACCAAGGTCGGGCATCCATGACAAATGTGCAGTATACCTGAAAAAAAATAAGTATAACATATAAATTAGAAAAATGTAATGCACTGAGAGCATTTAGCATGTAGTAGGGGGTCAAGATGTATTAAAAACTACAAAAAATGAAAAACAAAAACAGTCATCCAGGAACAGGGCTTGAAATGCCCAAGCCTCCACCAGGACAAGGGGCACAGGTGGCTGAATGCTCCCACCTGAGCCTGGGGATTCCTGAAAGCATGCCTGATTGGGCCATCACCTGACCCCTGAAGCATCGTGTCCACTCACAATCTCCCTAGCACACATGATGCTGGATGAACGGCTCCCACCCTGTGTGTTCTAGGGGAGAGAATGAACTTCCCAAGGGATGGTCCCTCTGGGCACCCACCAACTGAGCACAGCAGTTGACAGCAAGCCTGCAGGTGGAAGGGCGAGACCAGCCCTGCTGCTCCTGTAACTCTGATTCAGAGCATCCTCAACCTCTGAGCTCACATGGGTCATGTATGGGTCATGGGAGGATGGTGTCAGAACTCAGACTGACTAGGACACATCCTTACCACACAGGAACTAGAGGGACAGGTTGAGTGACCGGAGAAACTAGACAGTCCTGCAATCCCCAACAACAAAATAAGAGTGAGGACTGCATGGAGAACATCATCTACCTGGATCTCGAGGGTCTCAGGAAGGTACTGGCCTGGGGAGCAAAGTGAGGGCTTGGTCTGGGGACAAAGGCCATGTAGAATCTGCAGGTGCCTGCTATGTCCAGTCAGCCATGCTGTAGGCAGAGGGATCTCCCTGGCACTGAGGCCAGGCTTTGTCTGCTTACATGCCAGCCTTCTGCCTTCACTGAGGGAGCCCTGACACCAGGTGGGAGAGGGCTCAGGGACCCTCATTCTGCCCCAGGATCACCTCTGATGACCTTTCTAAGCCTCCTCCCAAAGGCCCACCTTGATATTACTATCCATTCCCGAGAGATTCATGATGCTTTGGGGTTGATTTTATTCTCAAACCTTTTTCTCTGCTGAGCCTTCTTGCAATGGGCAATTGTCAATGTCTTCATCATATTTTTTACAAATTGTGAGGCCCATCTCCAAATCTGTTAAAAATATCATTGTCTGAACTCAAACAAATTTACAAGGAAAAAACAAACAACCCCATCAAAAAGTGGGCGAAGGACATGAACAGACACTTCTCAAAAGAAGACATTTATGCAGCCAAAAAACACATGAAAAAATGCTCACCATCACTGGCCATCAGAGAAATGCAAATCAAAACCACAATGAGATATCATCTCACACCAGTTAGAATGGCAATCATTAAAAAGTCAGGAAACAACAGGTGCTGGAGAGGATGTGGAGAAATAGGAACACTTTTACACTGTTGGTGGGACTGTAAACTAGTTCAACCATTGTGGAAGTCAGTGTGGTGATTCCTCAGGGATCTAGAACTAGAAATACCATTTGACCCAGCCATCCCATTACCGGTTATATACCCAAAGGTCTATAAATCATGCTGCTATAAAGACACATGCACACGTATGTTTATTGCGGCATTATTCACAATAGCAAAGACTTGGAACCAACCCGAATGTCCAACAATGATAGACTGGATTAAGAAAATGTGGCACATATACACCATGGAATACTATGCAGCCATAAAAATGATGAGTTCATGTCCTTTGTAGGGACATGGATGAAATTGGAAATCATCATTCTCAATAAACTATCGCAAAAACAAAAAACCAAACACCGCATATTCTCACTCACAGGTGGGAATTGAACAATGAGAACACATGGACACAGGAAGGGGAACATCACACTCTGGGGCCTGTTGTGGGGTGGGGGGAGAGGGGAGGGATAGCATTGGGAGATATACCTAATGCTAGATGACGAGTTAGTGGGTGCAGTGCACCAGCATGGCACATGTATACATATGTAACTAACCTGCACATTGTGCACATGTACCCTAAAACTTAAAGTATAATAATAATAATAATAAATCATTGTCCACGTCTGTCAAGAAGAATTATACAAACAGTTGCTAAGTGTTTTCTTTTCATGAATTTTTTTAAAAGGCAGAGAAACAAATAGGAAAGTGGATAAAAGGCTGCCATGTGCATGTCATATAAATAGGCCTAGACAGGGCCATGTACAATCTCTCTGCAGGTCAGTAGAAGACAGTCCACTAAGTGTGCTTCAGATACACACTGGAATCTTCCCAATGACTAATACCTGACAGACAAATTGACAGAGTGATAAACATAGGGTGTGACACACTCACACAATCAAATCCTGCGCAGCAGTGAGCCTGCACATGCCGCAGCCACACCTAACAATACACTGCCTCTGCCTTACACCTGAGCCTCAGCCACACACAGAGGGCTCACACTGGGTGGTTCCTTTTACACAGAGTGAGAAATGGGCGAGACTAATGCCTGGGATTAAAAACTAGGTCAGCAGGACTCCTTGCAGGTTAGAATCTAGATGGGATCACAGAGGGGGCTCTGGGGGATGGCACTGTTCTGCTTCATGTGAGTGCTAATTGCTCGTAACCATCTACCTTGCCAGTGATCATCGAGGTGAATGCAGAGCTGCACCATGCTGTTGTGCATGTTTCTTAGGCTTCTATAAGAAGTGATTAAAAGTTATTTTCATTTCTTTACGTAGAAGTCCATGAAACTCAGGAAGCACCCAAATGTAGAGAGAAAATGAATCCAGACCAGAAGTCTGGACAGGCTGGGGCACAGGTCTCACTGGACAGCCTAGAAATTGTCGAGAAACTTGACCCAGTCAAGGGCTCAGCAATCCATGCTGGGGTTGAGATGATACCCAACTATGCCCTGGAACAAACTAACAACCACACTCATGCCCCTATACACACAACACACTCACATTCATGACCAACACACACAACACACTCACACTCATGCCCCTATACACACAACACACTCACACTCATACCTAACACACACTCACACATGCATGCCCAACACATGCCAGAAACATGCACTCATGCCCAACATACACCAACATACACTCACGCGCAACACACACCAACACACTCACACTCATACCCAACACACACACCACACTCACACTCAAGCCCAACACACACCAACACACTCACACTCGTGACCCTATACACATAACGCACTCACACTCATGCCCAACACACACTCACACACACATGCCCAACACATGCCAAAAACATGCACTCATGCCCAACATACACCAACAACATACACTCATGCCCAACACACTCACATACTCATGCCCTGACACACACCAACACACTCACACTCATGCCTGACACAAACCAACACATTCATACTCATGCCTGACACACACCAACATACACTCATGCCCAACCCTCAACACACTCACACACTGATGCCCCAACACACCAACACACTCACAGTCATTCCTTGATTCACACCAACAGCACACTCATGTTTTTACATATATCAATAACACACTCACATACTCATACTCCCATACACACCAAGAACACTCACATATGCCCTGCCCCTCCTTACATTCTCCCCTTTTAGGCTGGCATGAAGCCCCCACCCCGGGCACTGTGGCTGGGCAGCAGCATAACCCCCCTGTGCCCAGGGCTCCTGCAGCCTCCCAGGGTCCAGGGATGGGGATGCAACCCAAGGAAGGGGCAGATGGCCAAGGAAATGGGCAAAGATCAGGAAGGCTGTGTGCCCACCGCAGGAGGAAGGGCCCCTGAGCCCAATCTTCAGAAATGTGGTGCAGACATGGGACCCCCTCCCACGTCACCCCCTGCTGCCATCACCACGGGCTTTGAGCTATTCAGTCGGTGAAGAGAGTTCTGGGAGTGGACAAAATGACTGCCACTCACCTTCTGCTGGGCTCGCTGGACCTCCAGCAACCTGTGCGTGTACTCTTCCATATTGTCCTCATTGAACTGAGCCACAGCAAACTCCATTGATGCCACAAAATACTGATGTCTACGAATTCTTTTTGAATGATCCAGATGCGGGTGCTCAGCACAATAAGTGCCATGAGCAGGGGCACCTTCTACCACATGGCTATCCTCAGCGTACCCACTGGGGGCCAGGGACACTCAGGTGGAGGAGTGGTGGCAGCTGCTGCTGGTGACTCCCTTCTCAGCTCTGGGTCCCACACAGCCCTGTCCACCAGGGGCCCTGAGCTGTTGAGCACCTCCCTTTGAGCAGTGCCTTGTCCAGTGCCTCTCTCCACAACCCCGCAGAGTCCCTCCGTTATCTCCAAACAAGGCAGAGCAGGAGGTCACATAACTTTGGACCTGCAGGCATGCATGCAACATGCCTGCTGCCTACCTTTTCAGGGAAGCCTCCTCCAGCTGCAGCCCAGCCCTGAGAAGACCCGGTGGAGACCTCGAGCCCACCTGGCTTGCCCTCACATAGTGCATGTAAGGCTCACCAGGGAAAAAGAAATCTCTGAGACCTCTGGTGAGCCAGTTCCTGAAGAGCAGAAGCAGTTGCTAAGCCTGCCCATGACGGGGCTGGAGCCCACATTGCCAGCTGGGCCCAGGAGAGCACAAAGTGTGTGGCCAGTGGGGCTCTGAAGGGTGCAAGGGAGATGTCTATAAGAGTCCATTTTCCCTGCTGCCAGACCTTCCTCCACCAGAAGGTGCAACTGGCTTCATCCTCCCAGGCTGATTATTAGTTTTCCTTCATTTCAAAACCAGTTGTAATTTCCACTATGACATTTTTTTTAATCTGTGGGCTATTATAGCTGTATTGTTTAATTTCCAAATGTAGTTGATTTTCTAGTTATCTTTTCTCTCATCGACTTCTAATTCAAGTCCACTATAGTCAGTCAGAGAACACCATTTCATTATCTCCCTTCTTTGAAATTTTTGAGTTATTTGTCTAGAATAACCAATATTCTATTAATATATGCAGTTGAAAAGAATACGTATTCTGCATTTTATAGATGTAGAGTTAGATATTTATATACATCAGTAAGTCCATTCTGTTGAAATTTTCTATATATTTACCCTTTTTTCTTTATTTCTTTTTTTTTTTTTTTTCCTGAGGCAGAGTCTCACTCTGTCACCTAGGCTAGAGTACAGTAGCACGATCTCAGCTCACTGCAACCTCTGCCTCCTGGGTTTAAGCAATTCTCATGCTTCAGCCTCCCAGGCAGCTGGAATTACAGACATGTACCACCACGCTTTTGGATTTATAGTAGAGACAGGGTTTCACCATGTTGGCCAGGCTGGTCTCAAACTCCTGGCCTCAGGTAATCCACCCGCCTCAGCCTCCCAAAGTGCTGGGATTACAGGCATAAGCCACTGTGCCTGGCCATATTTACTCTTTCTACTTTGTCTTGTTTTATTGAGTTTGGTTTGGTTTGGTTTTGGTTTAGGTTTTGGTCGCCTTTTCTGCCAGTTACTGAGGGGTATGTTAAAATTTCTCATGATGATTATGATTGTGAATTTGTCTATTTCTTTCTGACAATTTTTGCTTGATTTATTTTCAGACTATGTCGTCCAGGGCTTATACAAGTAGAATTGTTACACTTTCTTGGTGGCTGACCATTTTATCATTATATAATGTACCAGTTTATGCTGAGTAATGCCTCTTGCTCTGAAGTCTGATGTCAGAGACACCAAAACATTTAGCATTGTTTTGATTCTTATTTACTTGAATATCTTTATTCATACTTTTATTCTAATATGGTATCTTAATTAATATGTGCCTTTATAACCACCAAATAGTTTTTTAAATCAGTCTAAGAGTCTTATTTGGAAAGTTGTTCCATTTACATTACTCATATTATTAGTTACTAATGACTAATATTACCATATGTTTGGTTTCAAATCTACCATATTGCTATTTGTTTTCTATTCATTTCATTTGTCCCTGTTTCTTGTTTTATTCAATTTCTTCTCCTCAGTGGCTTTTAGTTAACCTCCCCTTTTGTCTTTTCTTTTTTTTGAGATGGAGTTTCACTCTGTCACCCAGGCTGGAGTGCAGTGGTGCAATCTCAGCTCACTGAAGCCTTCTGGGTTCAAGCAATTCTCGTGCCTCAGCCTCCCGAGCAGCTGGGACTACAGATGTGAGCCACTCTGTCCAGCTAATTTTGTATTTTTAGTAGCAATGGGGTTTCACTATGTAGATTAGGCTGGTCTTGAACTCCTGGCCTCAAGTGATCCAGCTGCCTAGGCCACCCAAAGTGCTGGGATTATAGGAGTGAGCCACTGCACCCAGCCAAGTTATCTCTTCTTTACCTCTTCTTTTAGTGGTAACTATAGTGATTGTAATGAGTATCATTGACTTAACTGAGTTACCATAAATTAGTACCTTTACCACTCTCTGATTTGCAAATCGACAAAAGCAAAGGCAGCTTTGTCATGGTGAGCTACTTCTCGCAGGAGTCAGGATCCACATCTGCAGACTATACAAAGACAAACAACACAGATTAAAAGCACAATCATCATTGAAATCACAGAGCTTCCAAGTGTTTTTATCCATTTTCAGCTCCTTTGAGCACTCCAGCTCCTGGCATTAAGGTCAGGTGTGCCTGGGATGCTTTAAATATTTGTTCTTTTAATTTTAAATCCTTATGTTAAGCTCCTAGAGTGGGCCATATCATTTGAGGTTGAGGTGCCACTATACTGCCATGGTTCCAGATAATAGGAACTCTTGCTGTACTTATTATTATATCTACCATCTGACTGTTTTGTTCAGATCAGCTGAACATAGTGTGACCGTGGCACACAGACTGAGAGGTGCAATTTAAGCTAAACATCGCCTTAGGGGACCAATTAATAATGATTCCATAGGAATCGTTGTTCAGTACCTCTGCCTGTTCTGCAATGCAATCTTCCTAAACAAGTATGTTCATTTTTTCTAACTGGGTCCATTCCTGTTTACAAATAGGTTTTTGAGGGCGGTATGCCTCAATTATAGGAGCAGTTTTATTATGATAAATACTGAGATCAGAAAGCATGTGTAACTGTGTCATAAAGTGATTGCATCCAGGAATTATTGCCAGCCAAGATTGATAAATATACCCAATAAGTATAATTGTTCTCTGTGTCAGCCCTTACTGAAGGAATACTCATGGCAGTGGTGATAACCGCTATCATAGCTACCATAAAATTACTCGTTGTGACTGGTTGTCCCGCTTTCCTCAGGTTTTCTTCCACCATCTGTGACAGCTTCTTGATCTGTCCCCAGATGGGTGGCTGTGTTCGACAGGTGTTGCTTGTGACAGTTGGAGTCCTCCACAGAGTCAGTCTTGACATGGCTGCAACTGGGGGGTCCTCAGGATCCTCCCGGAGTCTCTTCCTCAGCATCTGGCTCATGATAAGGTTTCAGGTGTCTTGATAGTATCCAAATTGGCTGTTGATTTTGGCCTGGAGAAATACAAGCATAACCTCTACCCCAAGTTATTATTTTACCTATTTCCCAACTTTTTGTTATTGGATCTCTCCACCAAATCAGTTGTTCTATTTCTGTCTTTGCAGCTGGTTTCTGTAGATGCTGTTCAGCTGCTGATAACATCTGGCCTTTGGGCAGGCTCAGAAAATTTAAAGTCAATAATGCTAGATTCAGTTGTATCTGCAGTGTCCCATATTCTCTGTCTCTCCCCTTCTGCTTTTGCAGCTGCTGTTTTAGGGAGAGATTCATTTTTTCCACTATGGCTTGTCCTTGAGAATGGTATGGGATACTGGTAATGTGTTTAATATTCCACATAGAGAAAAATGTAGCTAGAGTTTGGCTAGTATAGCCTGGGGCATTATCTGTTTTAATAGAAGCTGGAATGCCCATGCATTCCAGCAAAAGGTGATTTTTAACACAGGCAGAAGACTCTCCTGTTTGGCATGCAGTCCAGACAAAGTGAGAAAAGGTGTCCACACATACATGTACATAAGCTAGTCTCTCAAACGAGGGAACATGTGTGACATCCACTTGCCAAATAGAGTTAGGTTCCAGTCCTCGAGGATTAACTCCTCCTGTAAAAGATGAGGAATGTACCATTTGGCAAGTTGGGCATTGCTGGATAATAGCTTTAGCTTCTTTCCAGGTAATGCTGTATCTGCGTTTGAGACCAGAGGCATTAACATGGGTTGAATTATGAAAATGTCTAGCATTAGATATTGCAGTAGCAACTAGGTGATCAGCCATTTGATTCCCTTCAGTCAAAGGTCCTGGAAGAGGTGTATGAGCCCTAATGTGAGTGATGTAAAAAGGGTGCATTCTACTCCTAACTGCTGTTTGCAATTGGGTAAATAAAGTCATCTGTTGTTCATCTGTATGAAATCATAACTGAGCATTTTCAATTAACTGTGTGGAGTGAACCGCATATGAAGAATCAGAAATCACATTAATAGGCATATCAAAAGCAGTCAATAACTCAATTACAGCTACAAGCTCCACTTTTTGAGCTTAAGTATAGGGCATCTGAAAAACTTTACTTTTTGAGCCAGAATAAGAAGCTTTACCATTACTAGACCCATCTGTAAAAACATTCTCAGCACCTTCAATTGGTTTAAATTTCATTATTTTAGGGAGAATCCAATCAGTTAATTTCAAAAACTGAAACAGCTTCATTTTAGGAAAATGATTATCGAGAATACCCACAAAGTCAGCTAAATGGATTTGCCAGGTAAGACTATTTATAAAAGCTTACTGTATTTGTGCCTTTGTGAGAGGGACAATAATTTTTCCAGGATCATATCCATGTAATTTAACAATCTGAGTTCTCCCAATCCCTATCATAGTAGCGATTTGATCTAAAAAAGGATTTAGAGTCCATGAATTAGTATGTGGAAGAAAAAGCCACTCTACCAAGTCCTGTTCTTGGACAATAACAACAGTAGGTGAATGCTGAGATGAAAAAAATTAGCAAATCTAGAGTCTTCTCTGGATCTATTCTATGTGAGCCTTATGGACTTGCTTTTCAGTCAGCTGTAACTTGACCTCAGCCTCCTTTAATTGCTGACGGCTAGTAAGACTAGGATCTCCTCTAAGGATAGAAAACGGATTACTCATGGCATAGGTAGGAATGCCTAGAGCAGGTCATATCCAATTAATATCCCCTAGTAATTTTTGAAAGTCATTTAATGTTTTTAGTTGATCCCTATGTATGGTTACTTTCTGTGACACAATGGTAGTGCCATTTACTAAGGTCCCCAAGTAGGAGTAAGGAGTAGTAGTCTGAATTTCATCAGGAGCTATAATTAAACCAGCATGAGAAATCGAATTTTGCAAGTAATCATAACATTAGAGTAATATTTCTCGAGTATGGGCAACACAAAGTATATCATCCATATAGTGAATAATGTAACACTGTGAAAATTTTTTACAAGTAGGTTCAATTGCTTGCCCCACATACATCTGGCAAATTGTTGGACTGTTTGACATGCCCTGTGGCAACACTTTCCAGTGATAACGCTTAGCAGGCTGCAGGTTGTTTACTGCAGGAATTGTAAATGCAAACCGTTCACAGTCTTGCTCAGCTAAAGGGATAGTAAAGAAACAGTCTTTTAAATCTATGACTATTAAAGGCCAATTTTTTGGAATTATAGCAGAAGAAGGCAATCCTGGCTGTAATGCTCCCATAGGTTGTATAACTGAATTGATGGCTCTTAACTCAGTTAACATTCTCCATTTACCTGATTTTTTCTTAATTACAAACACTGGAGAATTCCAAGGGGAAAATGTTGGAGCTATGTGCCCATTTTCTAATTGTTCAGTAACTAATTTCTCTAAAGCCTCCCATTTCTCTTTACTTAGCAGCCATTGTTCTATCCAAATTGGTTTATCTGTTAACCATTTTAAAGGTATAGGTTCTGGAGGCTTAACAATGGCCACCATAAAAAATTATTTCCTAATCTTTGGCAGGAACTTTGTTTTTCTGCTTGAAGCAGTTCTTTCAAACCTTGCAAATTTTTTTCTAGTCCCATACCAGGGATATACCCTATTTCATGCATTGTATATTGACTTTGAGGGCTATATAATTGTTCTGGAATTAGAACTTGTGCTCCCCATTGTTGTAATAAATCTCTTCCCCATAAATTTATAGGTACAGAAGTTATAATTGGTTGAATAGTCCTAGGTTGTCCATTGGGCCCCTCACAATGCAAAATATAACTACTTTGATATACTTCAGCAGCTTTACCAACTCCAACTATGTTAAATTGAGCAGGTTGAATTGGCCACATGGACGGCCAGTGCTGTAGAGCAATGATTGAAATGTCCACTCCTGTATCTACCAAACCTTTAAATTTCTTTCCTTGAATAGTTATTTCACAGGTAGGACGTTTATCAGTAATTTGATTTACCCAATAAGCTGCTTTGCCTTGTTTGTTTGTGCTTCCAAATCCTCTTGATGGTTTAATTTCACTTTTTCCCATTCCTACATATGGCACAATCAGGAGCTGTGCTATGTGCTTTCCTGGGTCTGCTTTCCAGGGAACAGAAGTAGATATAACAATTTGAATTTCCCCATTGTAATCTGAATCAATGACTCCTGTATGTATTTGTATCCCTTTTAAACTTACACTAGACCTTCCAAAAAGTAATCCTATTGTCCCTGCTGGCAAGGGTCCACAGACTCCTGTTGAGACCTTTTGCAGGAGTTCCCCAGGCAGAAGGCTCACAGCTTTTGTGCAGCATAAATCTACTGTGGCACTACCAGCTGTGGCAGGGGACAGACATTTTACAGGGTTGAGGGAATGGCCTGTGCTGAAAATGCCCCAGTTTAGAACAGGGCCCAGGACGGGCCCCTCATGCATTTCCCGAAATCAAGTTCCCTTCTTTATTAAACTTAGAGTGACACTGACTAGCCCAATGATTTCCTTTTTTACATTGTGGACATATTACAGGCTTAACAGTTTTCTTTTTTCCCCTATCTGGCAACCTGACTCGCTGATTTTTTCTACATTCTTTTTTAGCATGACCATGCTTCCCACAGTTAAAACAAGCTCCAGGAAATGGAGTATTTCCTTTATCCACTCTTAGTCCTGCCATTGCCTGTGCCAACAAGGTAGCTTTATGCAGATTACCTCTGATACCATCACAGGCCTTGATATAATCAACTAAATGTGCCTTCCCTCTGATAGGTTGCAGAGCAGCCTGGCAATCGGGATTAGCATTGTCAAAAGCTAATAACTGCAACACTATATCCTGAGCGCCAAATCTGCAATCATCTTTTTAAGAGACCCCTGTAACCGAGCTATAAAATCAACATATGCTTCCCTTGTCCCTGTTTCATAGCACTAAAGGAAGGGTATTGTTCTCCACCTGAAGTGATTTTTTCCCACTCTCCAATGCACACTCCCCTAAGCTGTTCTATGGCATCTTCCTGCATGACCAGTTGTGCATGTAAACCAGACCAGCTGCTAATCCCCAAAAGTTGGTCTGCAGTTATATTAATTTGAGTTTCGGCCTGGGCATTGTGAGCAGCCTGAATGGAAGCGTCATCTGCCCACCAAGTTTTATTTTATTTTATTTTATTTATATATGTATTTTTTTATTATACTTTAAGTTCTAGGGTACATGTGCACAACATACAGGTTTGTTACATATGTATACATGTGCCATGTTGGTGTGCTGCACCCATGCCCACCAAGTTTTAAATTTTAAGAACTGAGCAGGAGTTAGACAAGCTGAAGTAAGAGTGTCCCAGTCAGTAGGAATCATCTGACTTGAAATAGTAACATTCTTTAACAGTCCCATTCCAAAAGGAGAACCTGGTCCATACTGATTTATAGCTTGTTTTATTTCTTTGAGTAATTTAAAAAGAAAAGGCTCAAATGTAGCTGTAATATTTCCCTGTTGATCTGGGGGGTGTATTCTAACAGGGAACTGCCAAGCCTCTAAATCACCCTCTCGTCTAGCTTGCTGAATTCCTGCCTGAATAGAACTAAGACTGGTTGCTCGAGGCACTGCTCAAACAGTCACTGGGGCAACTACTTTTCACCCAGTGTCCTCCAGAAAAGAAAGATCTGGGGGTTCATTTTCTTCAAAATAATAAGGAGGGGGTGCAGAAGGGTAGGGATGAAACTTTCCTTCCTTTGCCGCTTTAGCTGGCAAATAAACATGCTCTGTAACCTCTTCTGTTACTTCACTATACTCTTGTTCTCCTCATTATCAGTGTGAAAAAGTTCCAAGGTGAAAGGAACCAGACCCCACACTGTCCCACCGTTACCCTGATGCTTCTGAGCTCCCCTTCTTACTCACCATGGGGATTGCTTTAAGAGTACTCGGGTGTCCTCCAGCTAGTTTTCCATTCCAACGGTTGCTCTGGCAACCCTTCGATCCGGATTCGAGTCCCACATTGGGTGCCACTTGCTGAGACCAGCTTGGTCGGGGAGACCCTAACCCTGCGGCGCTAGAGGAATTAAAGACACACACACAGAAATATAGAGGTGTGAAGCGGGAAATCAGGGGTCTCACAGCCTTCAGAGCTGAGAGCCACAAACAGAGATTTACCCACATATTTATTAACAGCAAACCAGTCATTAGCATTATTTCTATAGACATTAAATTAACTAAGAGTATCCCTTATGGGAAACAAAGGGATGGGCCGAATTAAAGGAATAGGGTGGGCTAGTTAACTGCAGCAGGAACACACCCTTAAGAAACAGATCACTCATGCTATTATTTGTGGCTTAAGAATGCCTTTAAGTGGTTTTCCACCCTGGGTGGGCCAGGTGTTCCTTGCCCTAATTCCTGTAAACCCACAACCTTCCAGCTCGGGCATTAGGGCCATTATGAACATGTTACAGTGCTGCAGAGATTTTGTTTATGGCCAGTTTTGGGGCCAGTTTATGGACAGATTTTGGGGGGCCTGCTCCCAACATACCACTGCAAAGATGGTGAGGAAACCTTAGGGCACTATTACCCCTTTGTCCACTTCTACCTTGTATGTTATTGTTGTCATGTACTTAAATTCTACATATTTGATAGCCTGTAAAACAATATTACAGTGGTTTTATACGTTTAATATTCATGGGGATTTATCAATTATATTTACCCTTCTTCTGTGCACCATTCCTTCAACATTACTTTGCTTCCACCTGGGATCATTCTCCCTTACCTCCAAAGAACTCATTTTAGTGTTTATTTTTTATTGGATCTTGTTGGTGTATCATTTAGCTTTTTCCAAAAGCTGACTTTTCTCTAAACAATTTAACTTCTCTGGGACCCCCTATCCTAGGGGTTCAGCCAAATCTCCATCTTCTCTCTTCTGGGTGTCCCCAAAATACTGCTAACACATGGGTTTAAGACTATAAATTTCCCTCTAAGCCCTTTTATGGCAACATCTCAGAAATGTTGATATGTCATATGGTTATTATCTTTCAATTCAAAATCCATGAATTATTTTTAAATTTATTGTTTGATTTTTTTATTGTTAAATTTACAGACAGCTAGAGTTATTAAAATTATTTTTAGCTATTTTTATTATAGTTGTTTACTGTGAACAAAGAACACACTCTGAAACATTTTCATCTTTAAAATTTTTGAGTTTTTTTTCTTTTTGATGTTCTGAAAATGTCTTTATTTTGCTTTCATTTTTGAGGAGTATCTTTACTGACTATGGAATTCTAGATTGTTCATTATTTTCTTTCAGTTCAAAGATTCAAATCTGGGCTTCTGCAAATGGTCTATTTCCAGTTCACTTTTACTCCTAGGATGTGGCCTCTCATGGTTTCACCTGAAACCCTTGGATATTTACCATAGTCTTCTTCCTTATCAGGCACTGAACTTTAATTTTTGTCCCCTCAATTGAAGCAGAGAAAATGCATTTTCCCAAGCAGCGTTGAAAGTCAAGATCTTTCATCCCCTTTCTGCCCCTGGTGCCCTCCACTCTAGGTCTTGCTCCAAGTCAGGCAGTTTCCTACATCAAGGCAAGTGTCTATTACCACAGTGTCTCTCCAAAGGGCAGTGAGTAGCATCTGCAACTGAGTCCTCACAATGGAGACCATGCTGGGCCCCCAGGCTGAAGGATTTAAGCATCAAAAAGCTGGTAGGGACATGCTGAGTTGAGCTGCTGCTTCTGCAATCATCTGCAGTCTTGGCAAAGTTTTTCTTATTAACCGAGAAGTTGGTCAGGCCCTTAGGGACAGGCTCATATACCTAGAGGACCTTTTGGAGACTCATGGGCAGAGCGGAGAGCTGCCTGATCAGGGCTCCTGCCCTGGAGCTTCTGCAACCCTCCCTTGGGATTCCTTCATTACCAAAGGTGCAAAATCAGAGGCTTGGAATTGAGCATATATCCACACACTCGTGTTCACAGCAGCATTATCCACAATAGCTGGGAGGTGGAAGCAGCCCAAGTGTCCATGGAAGAATGAGTGAATAAAAAAAATGTGGCATTTCCATACAATGGAATATTATTCAGCCATAAAAAAGGAAAAAACGGTTACATGTTACAACATGGGTGAACCTTGAGGATGTTATACTAAGTGAAATAAGCCAGTAACAAAAGACAAACACTATATGATTCCACTCACATGAGATATCTAGACTAATCAAATTCACAGAGACAGAAAGTAGACTAGGGGTTACCAGGGGCTGGGGGAGAGAAGAATGAGGTGTTATTATTTAATGGGTATGGAGTTTCAATTTTACAACATGAAAAAATTCTAGAGATGGATTGTGGTGAGGATTGCACATGGATGAATGTACTTAACACCACTGAACTGTACACTTAAAAATGCTTAAAATGGCAAATTTTATGTTATATACATTTTAACCATAATAAAAAATTCAGGGGCTCAGGAGAATTCAGAATCACAAAAGAAAAAGCCTATGATTTGAAGGCAAGTTGCTCCCTATAAAGTGTCTTCTGGCATTGTCTTCTGGTGCCCAATCTGGCAGTAGAGGAGGCAGCAGAAGGGAAGAGCATCCCCTCCCTGACATCCCCACTGCTGACCTGCTTGGTCTCCTCTGGTCTCTCAGCTGGCCTGAGGGTTTCTGCCTCCTTTTGGAGCATTTGTGTTGCCTAAGAGCACCAGAGGCTAATGTTAGCCACTCTGGAAGGTGTGTCTCTGCCTGCTAGACTTTTGCAGAGTTCGACAGTCTCAAACTATCTCTCCTTGGGTGTCCAATTCTTATATCACATTTGAGAGCCATCATGCCCAGAGAACCACTGAAACACAGCAAAACACAGCAGAGTAGCCATCTGACCTTAGAACGTTTCATCATTTTGTGAGCTCTGAAAAGTAGATCTGGAGAGAAACAAACAAACAAAATGCCTTTTCTTCAATCCATTGATCCATAAATCAGAAACAGGATCAAGCATCAGCACAGTTATTTCACCATGTGAAAAAATAATAGGAATTTTCTTCCTGGCAGCGGACAAAAAATTTTGTGAGTGTCTTAGGGAAACTTGCTGGAAGGGAACATGGATGCTAGAGAAGACAGATATGCTGGCTAAAGCTGTTCCTGGGGTTCAGATGCCTGAGGAACCTAGACTAAGACTGATGGGCCTCTCTATGATAGACCTAAAATCCAAACATATCAATCATTACATTAAATATAAGTGATCTAAATTAAAAGATAGAGATTGTCAAAATGAATAAAAATATCTCCCAACTGAATGCATATACCTCCCTATTCACATATAGAAACACGTATGATTATATGTGTCATGTTATGAAAATCCCAATAGTCTACCTCAAATCCTATAGAACTAGAGGATGGTGGTATTTATAAGGTGATGGACACATACGTAAGAACAGAATACAGTAGTCAAAACATAGAATAGAACAAAATAGCCATAAATAGACCAACTGGTAGCCAACTCACATTTGGCATTGGTGTAGAGGCAATTCAATGTATAAAGAACAATCTTTTCAATAAATGGTGTTGGAACCATTGAGCTTCCATATGCAATAGAAATGAATCTGAAACTAAATTTTATCATATATGCATTATACAAGAATTAACTCAAAATTGAATCATAGATAAAAATATAAAACTATAACAGTTTTAGAGCAAAATATTCATGGCATGAAGTTAGAACTTTCAGACATGACACCAAAGGCATGATCCTTTTTTAAAAAAATTGTATATCTCTCATTTTATGTTAAGGAGTCATAAAATGATGTCTCAGCATACAAAATCAATGTGCAAAAATTACCAACATTTCTATACACCAACAAAAGTCAAGCCAAGAGGCAAATCAGGAATGTACACCCATTCACAATTGCCACAAAAAGAATAAAATACCTAGGAATACAGATAACTAGGGAAGTGAAAGATCTTTACAAAGAGAACTACAAGACACTGCTCAAAGAAATCAGAGATGACACAAACAAATGGAAAAACATTCCATGCTCATGGATAGGAAAAATCAATGTTGTTGAAATCAATATTGTTAAAAAGCAGTTTATAGATTCAATGCTATTCCTATTAAACTACCATTGACATTCTTCACAGAACTAAAAAAAACTATTTTAATATTCATATAGAACCAAAAGAAGAGTCCAAATAGCCAAGGCAATCCCAAGCAAAAAGAACAAAGCTGGAGGTATCATGCTACCTGACTTCAAACTATACTACAGGGCTACTGTAACCAAAACAGCATGGTACAAAAACATACACACACACCAATGGAACAGAATAGAGGACCCAGAAATAAGGCCACACACCTACAACTATCTGACTTTTGAAAAACCTGACAAAAACAAGCAATGGGGAAAGGACTTCCTACTCAATAAATGATGCTGGGATAACTGGCTAGCCATATGCAGAAGATTGAAACTGGACCCCTTTCTTACATTATGTACAAAAATTAACTCAAGATGAATTAAATACTTAAATGTAAAACTCAAAACTATAAAAACCCAGAAGACAACCTAGACAACACCATTTAGGACACTGGCATGGGCAAAGATTTCATGACAATGACACCAAAAGCAATTGTGACAAAAGCAAAAATTGACAAATGGGATCTAATTAAACTAAAGAGCTTCAGCACAGCAAAAGAAACTATCAACAGAGTGAGCAGACAATCTGCAGAATGGAGAAAATTTTTTCAAGCATGCATCTAACAAAGGTCTAGTAGCCAGCATCTATAAGGAACTTAAATTTACAAGAAAAAAACAAACAACCCCATTAAAAAGTGGGCAAAGGACATGAACAGACAGTTTTCAAAAGAAGACATACATGCGGCCAACAAGCATTTGAAAAAAGGTCAACATCACTTATCATTAGAGAAATGCAAATTAAAACCACAATGAGATATCATCTCACACCAATCAGAATGGCTACTATTAAAAATTTTTAAAAAACAGATGCTGGCAAGGTTATGGCGAAAAAAAGAAGGCTTATACACTGTTAGTGGAAATGTAAATTAGTTCAACCATTGTGGAAGACAGTGTGGTGATTCCTCAAAGTCTCAAAGACAGAAATACCATTTGACCTAGCAATCCCATTACTGGGTATATACCCAAAGGAATATAACTTGTTCTGTTATAAAGACACATGCATGCATATGTGCATTGCAGCACTAGTCACAATAGCAAAGACATGGAATCCATCTAAATGTCTCTCAATGATAGACTAAAGAAAATGTAGTACACATACACCATGCAATACTATGCAGCCATAAAAAAAGAATAAGATCATATCCTTTGCAGGGACATGGATGAAACTGCAGGCCATTATTCTCAGCAAACTAATGCAGAAACAGAAAACCAAATACCACATGTTCTCACTTATAAGTGGGAGCTAAATGATGAGAACACATGAACACATAGAGGGAAACAAACCACACTGGGGCCTATTGGAAGGCAGAGGGTAGGAGGAAAAAGAGGATCAGGCAAAACTAACTAATGGGTACTAGATTTAATACCTGGGCAATGAAATAATCTTTACAACAAACCCTCATGACATAAGTTGACCTACAAAACAAACCTGTGCATGTACCCCTTGAAAAAAGAAGATAAATTGAACTTCATGAAAATTTAAAGTTTTACTCTAACACAGACACTGTTAAATGAAAAGACAAGCTACAGACTGAAATAGGATATTTTCAAATCACATACCTAAAAAATTGTAACCAGAAAAAATAAATAACCTCAAAAACTCAATAGTAAAAAAACAAACACACCAATTAATAAATGGACAAAAGACATGAATACTTTACCAAAGATAAACACATAGTAAATACACTTATAAAAAGATCATTAGTTATTAGCGAATAGGCTCCATGTCATCAGTCCTTGGACAAATGCTGATTAAAACCATGATGAGATACCACACAGCTAAAATAAAAAATAGTGATAACAACAAATGCTGGTGAGGATGAAGATAAAAACTGGTTCTCTCATTCACTGCCAGTCAGAATGCAAAATGGTGTAATCACTATAGGCATGTTTTGCAATTTCTTACATAGGCATACCTCAGAGACATTGGGGGTTTCATTTTAGAGCACCACAATAAAGTGAATATTGCAATAAAGTGAGTCACACATTTTTTGGGGGGTTTCCCAGTGCATATAAAAGTTGTGTTTATGCTATATCATAGTCTATTAAGTGTGGAATCATGTATAAAAAACAATATATATACCTTAATTAAAAATGATTTACTGCTAAAAATGCTAACAATCTGTGCCTTCAGTGAGTCATAATCCTTTTGCTGATGGAGGGTCTTGCCTTGATGTTGATGGTTGCTGACTGATCAGACTGGTGGTTGCTGAAGGTTGGGTTGGCTGTGGCAATTTCTGAAAATAAGACAACAATAAAGTTTATGTCTGGCTGGCCAGGGTGACTGCACCTTTAAAGACAAACTATCAATTTGCATTGCCACGGTGAAGTTTTAACATCTCACCAGGAATTTCCTTGTGGGCAGAATATGGGGGAGGCGAGTAGCTTTTCATCTTGTAGTCTTCTTACTTAGGAACCAAAAGGTGGAGGCAGGTTTGCATGACCCAGTTCCCAGCTTGACTTTTCCCTTTGGCTAAATGAGCTTGGGGCCCCAAAATTTAATTTCCTTTCACAGGGTGTATCTGACTGTTTCCCTAACCCATTTTGTCTGTGTTATCTTAAGTAAAATGAGGATTCCCGACATTTTTTGTGTGCCTTTTGTTTATGTGAAAACTGCGGGCTTCTCAATATCCCACACTTTTCCCTTTAAATTTTGAACCCCCAAAATCATCTTCAGAGAAAGGCACCTGTCTCCCAGGTGCGTCCTTAACTTTGGCAAATAAATCTCCAAAAATGATTGAGACTTGTCTCGCCATTTTCCTCAATTGACATCCCCATGATTACAAAATTTATGAATTAAAAAGTGAAAGATAACTATTCAACAAATGGGGTGGGTAAAACTAGATAGCCAACTGCAAAATAAATAGATAAATAAATACATAGTTCAATCCCCAAGGCATTCCTTCCACCAACACAAATTCCAGATGGGATCAACAAATACAAAGGATACTTCTGAATGCTCATCTGGCAGCCAGGACAGCCACCCCATGACCCTCTGGATTCTACTGAGGCTTACAAGAGAACCCTGGTTGAATGTGGAGAGGGAGCCGGACTTCCTGTTGGTGAGGGCATTTGGGAAGCTCAGCTGTTAGGCAGTCACCATTTGCCTTCTGAGCTGTGAAGCAGGATCCCATTATATTTGTTCCCAGAACGGTATAAATGCATTTTAGGTGCTTATAAAGGACTTGGGGAGGCCAGCAGGGTTTGTGGAAAAGGCATTCTCATCTAATGTTGGCAGAAGTACAAGCTGGGGAAGTATAAACAGAAGTGATGCTATAAACACTTAGTTGTCTTGTGAGTTTGTTCCTTATTTGCTAAACCACTGGGAACCAGTTGAAGACCTCACAGCAGTGGTATAAAACTAGCTGTATTGTGCAGGGAGAGGCCAGAGTGAACAGTGCAGGAATGGTCAGGATATTACAGGAGTCTGGATGGAGTCAGTGAAGAGTGGGCTGGAAGGCAGCTGTGGAAATGCAGTCTACAGGGAAAAGGATTTTATTCATTCAATCATCCATGTGTTCATGCCTTCACTCATCCAACATGTTTTTGAGCAATGACTTTGTGTCAGGCCCTGGAGATACAGTTGTGAATAAAACTAAATCCTGCGCCATGCCAGTGGTTTTTGACAGGTGTTCTGAAGAATGACCCAATGGGACCATATGACTGGGTACAAAGAATGAGTCAGAGGAGAGAACCAAAGTTTAACATTTGGGCAAGTGCGTGCATGTGTGTGTGTGTGTGTGTGAACATTGTCAGTGGTTCATTCAACATCAGGAACTGCACTACTTGTCAGAAATACAGAAAATAACAAATGATAATAACAACAACAATAATAATTGAACATTTTTTTAAAAACCATTATAAGCTCTTTGCCTGGATTATCTCATTTCATTAGCATGAATGAGAACTATTTTATACCCATTTTGCAGGTGAGAAGACTGAGGCACGTTGAATGTAAGTAATTTGCCCACAGCCACCCAGCTGGTCAATGGTGGAGCCAGATGTGAGTCCAGCCAGTCTGACTTTGTTGTCCCAAGGGATTCAAAGTGAGGTTCCAGAGGCAGAGCTGAAGAGCAGTGGAAGGAGAACAGCTTGCATGTTTTGATAGAAGTGTGGCCAGATAGCAGTGGCATCCGTGTTAGCCTGGGCAGAAGGTGGGCCAGGCAATCAGAAGGCGCTTCCTGGAGGAGATTGTTCTTCAGCAGAGTCCAGGAATATGAGCAGCTGTTAACAAAAGGAAGAGAAGGACAAGAGTGCTCAGCAGAGGGGAATCCCCTACCAAGACAGAGCTACAGCACGTATGCTGGAGACTTTGAAGGAGGGAATTTGGCTGCCCCAGGAAGCTCATGATCTTAGACTCCTATAAACCTACATCTCTTAAATGTTGGCCCCTCTTTAATGGAGAGAAGAGGCCAAATGGTCTAGGGAAGGTGAGGAAAAGGAGTCTCTGGCTAAGAGCTCGGCCTCTCCTCTGAGGCCCAGCAATTCCAACTCCTCTGGCCCCAGACCCACAAAACAAAACCCATCTTAACCAAAGTCCCAAAGGAAACTGGGTCCACCTCCAATGGTTCAGGGGCCTTCCTTCCCGGGAACAGTACTGATAAATGTGCCTTTCTCATCCTCACCGTAATTCAGTGATATTTGCTGGTTCTCCTGGGAGACTGGCACCCTCCTGATTAATTGCCCATTCAATCCTCTCTGAGTCCAGAGAGCTGCATTCGTTCAATTTGGCCAGGAGAACAGTTTTCATGAGACATGAAAGCTGAGGAAACAACAGCAAGCGAGAATCAGCATGCAAGGAGACACATCCACCTGAGCTACGGGGAATAATGAAGAAGATTTAGCAGGGCAGGAACATTCATTGATTGCAATCTGAAAACTTACAAAGCCACTGGAGTTTAAGAGTGCATGGAAAATTTTAGAAACTGGCACATTCCTCAGCATGTTCATCTATGTGAGATGACAGTTTGGTGGCCAGATAGCATCTTCCAGCAGAGCAACTCCATGCCTGTGGCTGCAGGAACTTTGGGCAAATATATACAAACTGCAGTCTGAGTGTTCTATACCAGGTTGAGAGGAAGTCTTTCTGACAGCTGGAAGTGGCAGTCCATTCTATTTTTAATTTTAGCATCTTAACCAACTCTTGGTAGGATGTGGAAAGTCAGAAAGATTTTTTTTTGGAATATAAACATGCTACAATATTGCATCTGTGGATGGATGTCTCCTAGCAATTAATCCATGGACCCATAGATCCATGTTACCCAGAAGAAGCCATAGGGGATGGAGTGTGGAACTGAGACATGACTGGAGGACTTGTGGGACTTGGTGGCTGACTCTGGGCCTCCCAAGAGACAAAATAGGGTACCCCAGAGAGGCGATGGAAGGAAGTCAAGACAATGAGCCTTTCTTTGGCTGGAGGAGATTCAGTTTACAGTGGGACTTTCAAAGGAATTTGCAGCAAACAGGTAGCAATATAAAATCACACTTCAAAAAGGGAACTTGGAATGAAGTTAACTATATGGGAGTCACCTCTACGGGAGCATTGAATGTGACCAAATTGTTAGTAACTGAGACTGTAGAAGAGGGGTTCTTAAAATAGCATCAAGGCTGGTGCAAGTACAATGGTATTTACAACTTATTGATCACAAACAGTTACAGATTCCTTTGTTCTTTCTCCACCCCCACTGCTTCACTTGACTAGCCTTTAAAAAAATTTATATATATATATATACACACATATATATACATACATACATATTATCCCATGCCAAGGGATTGGATTCAGCGGCCTGTAACCTCCCTAAAGTCATATGCAACATTTTATGTAAATGTTACTGAATGTTAAATGGAATTTTTTATTAGGACAAGTTTCAAAATCAGGTGCCAGAGAAGAACGTAAAATTTTTCATAGCGGATACAGAAGCCACCTGAATTGCTCACCCATGTTGAGAAAATGAAATGTCCAGGAGTCGGGAACAGAGGAAGTTCTGAGGGAGGTGATCTACCTGACCCTCGCCCAAGCTAGTGGTGACTGACTTCCTGCTTTTCTGGCCAGGCAGCCAAGAAGCGGCTGGGTTGAGATGGTCCAGAGCAGAGAAGGAACTGAGGTGGTAGGGATGTCAACAGGGCTCCACATACCTCAGCCAAAAGAACCAGAGCAGTCCTGGCCGAGACAAGAGCAACCGGCAGCCGGAAGGGAGAGCCTCTGTGCTGCCATGACAGGCAGAATAACACCCCACCCGAGATGTCCGCATCCTAACCCCAGAACCTGTGAACTTGTTACCTTGTGGGCAAAAGTGACTTTGCAGATGTGATTAAGTTAAGGATCTTAGGATGGTGAGATTATCTGAAGGGGCCCCATGTAATTAATCACGTCCTTAGAAGAGGGAGATGGAGAGTCAGAGAAGGAGACATGCTGGGGAGAACCAGAGGCCAGAGAGTAGAGAGACTGAAGAGACTCCATGCTGGCTTTGATGATGCAGGAAGGGGCCAGAAGCCAAGCAATGCTGGCAGCTGAAAAAAATAGGTTCTCCCTTAGGCCATCCAGAGGGAATGCGACCCTGCCAGTACCTTGATTGTAGGGCTGGTAACCTCCAAAATTGCAAGATAATAAAAGGGTGTTGCTTTAAACCACTGTTGTTAGTAACTAGTTACAGCAGCCACAGGAAATGAGCACAGCTGCCAGGGGAGCTGCAGGGGAGGGGCTGCTAGCGATGGAGGCTGGGCAGAGGCAGGAAGGGACCCCAGAACAGCCAGTTTTAAAATTCTGCCAAGGCTTGGGAGCACAGCAGCTGCAGCCAAGTAGGAATTTTCCAGTCCTCTACATCTTCCTTCTCTGCTCGTTCTGACACAGAGGGGCCCTAAAAACCATGGCTGGTGAGATGGAAGAGGCAGAGGAGATGTGGTGTGCATAGGGAAAAAGAGAAAGAAGCAAGCACTCCTCCCCAAATGCAAGCCTCCAGGAGGGAGAAGCGCAACTTTAAAGCACGTTCAAAGTTTTGACCATCTCCAAAAACTAGCATTTCAATAACTGGATTGAGACTGTGTATATTGCCTGGGAGTCACTTGAAAAGTCACAGAGGACAAATAGCATGGCTGAGTCCATGCAAAGGAACAGTAGGAAGTGAGGACAAAGCCACACCATGATGACACTTGCAAGTGAAGCCTGTTCCCCATAAGGGGCACATTCTCTGTTTTCAGGGGAGTGGGCCACAGCTTCCATCAGCTTCTCAAAGGGGATTCTTGTATCTGCTGAGGTAAAGAATTATGAACATAGAGGAAGAGGTCAAGATTTGGGCTTGGAGAAGAGTTTGTATTCCAGCCTGCAGGGGAGTGGGGAGGGAATAACAAGAAGAAAAAGCAGAGGGGAAAAAAGACAAGATCAAGAGGGCTGGAGGATGTGGTGTTCTTCACACTGCTCACCTCCCCATGCAGGGCCAGGAGGGCAAGTGGGCGACAGGAAGAGAACCCACGGGCCACTGACGAGATCAACCAAGAGGTAATGCTGCCAGTGCAACCCTGTGGAAGATCGACCACCTGCGCCTCCTGGCCCGGCTTCTTTGGTGCCGCCCTCTTGCCTTGCTACCTGGGGCCTGAGGGAACTGGCAAGGCATGTTTGCACTGACACAAGTGAAGGCCCATGGGCTGCCCACTGAGGTCGGAGATGAACATTGCCAGTTCTGCACAGCTGCAAAGCACACATGGGAGGGGATCCACAGTCAGACCCCACAGACATTGACAGGAGGGATTCTTTGTGAGCCCCACCACCCTGCCCCACCACGTGCTAGATGCTTACATATACTATTCCTAGTGTTACAGCAATTCTGCCGGAGACATGTAGTAAATATGTCTATTCCATGAACAACCTAAATCAGACAATAAAAAACAAAATTTCATAAATACTGTTCAGACAATTGCACAATAATCCCACTACATATTAAGCACTTACTATGAGTCAGATTCTGTTTCAATTAGTAGTAGTATGTGGCCAGCCATGAGAATTAGAGACCAAAACTATGGTGGTTTAAGCACACAAGAGTTGAAAATAAACTCTTATTTATATAAACAAGAAAATAAACTTTACTATACAAGAGTTGGGATGGCAATATAGGGCTGGCACTCCAAAAAGTGGCAAGGGCACAAGGCACCACAATCCTTTCGTCTTTTTCTCTCCCATCCTCAGAGCTGGCTTCTGTTCTCCAGATTACTTCATGTTCCAATAGAGCTGCTGGAGCTCCAGCCATCATGTCCTCATTCCCAATGGCAGATAAGGCAAAAATGACTCTTTGTAACTGAGTCAGCAATTTACAGAGTAAATTCCTCTATGTCTCAAACAACAATTTCACTTAGATCTTGGTCATGAGACTACCCCCACTGCAAGGAAGGCTGGGAAATGCAGTCTTTATTGCAGGCAGTCCCATACTCAAACAAAAATGCAGCTCTGTTACTGAGGAAAATAAAATGAGCAGTCTCTGCCCATAGGCTCTTAATTATAATGTAAGAGTAACCCAATGAAAAGAGCATTGATATCCCACTTACAGCCGCTCAGGGAGCTCAGGGCAGAGGCCAAGCAGACCTCACACTAGGCCCAACTGATGCCCAGCTTCTCACCTTTTTCTGCTTTGCCTTTGTGCCACCAGACAAATTGAGGCCGTCCTGGAAGCACAGACAGGAGGTGGAGACAGAGCCCTTCCACAGTGTTCGCTCTGTGGTGATGCCAAACCCTCCATCAAGAGGGCATGGAGGATGTGCGCTCCACTGTACTCCAAGGAGTGAACCCTGAGGTCCATGAGTTTTGGGAGTGTGTGTGTGTGCAGGTATGTATGTCTGTGTGTGTACTGTGTCTGTGTGTTTTAGCGTGAGTGTGGGTATGTATGCGTGGGGGGGTGTGTCTATGTGTGTTGTGTGTGTGTTTCAGTGTGAGTGTGGGTGTGTACATGTAGGTGTGTGTGTATGTTGTGTGTCTGTGTGTTTCAGTGTGAGTGTGGGTGTGTAATGTAGGTGTGTGTATCTGTGTGTTGTGTGTCTGTGTGTTTCAATGTGAGTGTGGGCATGTACGTGTAGGTGTGTGTTGTGTGTCTATATGTTTCAGTGTGAGTGTCATTGTGTATGTGTAGATGTGTGTGTAGTATGTGTGTTTCAGTGTGAGTGTGGTTGTGTACATGTAGGTGCGTGTGTCTCTGTGTGTTGTGTGTGTGTTTCAGTGTGTATGTGTGCATGTGTGGCGGTATGTGTGTGTGTTGTGCATCTGTGTTTTTCACTGTGAATGTGGATGTATACATGTAGGTGTGTGTGTCTGTATATTTCAGTGTGAGTGTGGATAGGTATGTGTCTCTGTGTGTTGTGTGTCTGTGTTTCAGTGTGAGTGTGACTGTGTGTGTAGGTATGTGTATGTGTTGTGTGTCCGTGTGTTCGGGTGTGAATGTGGCTATGCAGCAAGTGTGTCTGTGAGGGAAGGCTGAGCAGGGGTGTCAGGAAAGAGGCCCTGGCTTCCTGGTTCCTGGCATCCCCTGGAGGCACATGAGGAAGCCTCGAAACAGGCGTTGGGTGTGCCCAGGGCTCCTCCCCGGGTTCCCACACAGGAGCCATCACTGCACATTTTTATATCGCATCTTCCCAAAAGACACCATAACAGGCCTTCTAGGAATCGAACATAACCGCACTAAGCCTGCATTCTGTGTGCCGTGGGACACAAGCTCCAGCCTCCACCCACCAGTGGCTTCTTCCTTCTCTAACTGGCAGCCAAGTCTGGGGACTCCCATCAGGTCCCCAGGATGGGACCTTTAGGAGACCAGAATGTCCAACCAGAAAGCTCCCTGTGTCTCACACCTGAAGCTTCCTCGCCACTGCCTCCTCCTCCAAAACATGCAAGTCCAGCGGAGGCCACTCTAGGACTTGTCGGTACTGGGGAATCGTCGGTGTCAGAGTTGACTCTCCCTCCCTTCACACCTTTCTGTAGGGTGCCTCTGCTCCTTTGTCCTCTAAGGGAGGGGATTTTCCAGAACTCGTCTCCAGGAACCAGGCTGGGGGAGAGTGGCTTCCGGTGCAGGCGGCCCCTCCCCACAGTGCCCACCCCCCACTGCTCACCTATGAATGCGCCAGTCCTGGCATCCAATCTCCCCGTGTCTCCAGCAGCTACCATCCTCCAGGACTCCCAGGGGCCCTCGCCTGGCTCCCACCAAGACAATGCTGGGTCCACAGAAGCCTGTGTGTTGCTGAGGGAGCAGCCCCTCAAAAGAGAAAATGTGTGTGTTATCCTGTGTGTGTGTGGCATGAACTTATGCAAAAACCATTGCACAGTCTCTTGCTGCTCTCCCCTCGAGTTCAGCTGCTGATGAAGGGGGAGGAGGAGGAGAGGAGAGCTGTGGGTGTCCACCACCAGCTGCTCTTAAATCCTGCCAGGGCAGGTAGGGTCAGTGTGATTCGACTTGTCCCTGAGGAGTACAGAGAACACTCTTCCTGTTCCTCTGCAGCTGAAGGATGATGGCTGAGCCCTGGCAGGCCCTACAGCTCCTGTTGGCCATTCTATTGACTCTGATGGCCCTCCCCTACCAAGCAAGGAAGAAAACCTTTCTAAGCGTCCATGAAGTGATGGCAGTAGAAAACTATGCGAAGGACAGCTTGCAGTGGATCACCGACCAGTATAACAAGGAAAGTGATGACAAGTACCACTTCAGGATCTTCCGAGTCCTTAAAGTCCAGAGGCAGGTGAGTGTATGACTTCCCGCCTCTCCCCAGGCCTGATACGCCCACATCGGGTGGCCACTGGTGTCAGGAATAGTCCCACTCAAGGGAAATTCAACCTTGCTTAGCTTGATGTGAGCACTTTAAGAGAAGCATAAATTCACTAGGGTGATGAAATTAAGGCACTTAAACAAAACCCAGGACCAGGGATCCTCAGCACATTACATCCCAAGGGCCAAAACTGCCTGCCGCCCACTTTTGTAAGTCGTGTTCTTGTGACCTAGCCATGAGCATGCCTGTGCTTTGTCTGCCACTGCTTGCTGCTGCCACACTCATGCCGAACTGAGTAGTTACAGAGACCACATGGCCAATAAAACGTAAGATGTTTACTATGTAGCCCTTTACGGAAAAAGTTTACAGACCCCTATCCAGAATCACTAGCGTCACTTGCATTACCCAAGGGATAGATTTGCCCAGGGGGAAAGTTCATGTTTCTGATGGTTTCTGGTTAATTCTCTTGGAATGACAAAAACAATCATGAGTCAAATAGAGGAGAGAGGAGCCCGCTAATCCGCCTAGGACCAGCTCCTTGCCCTTGGACGTGGGGTAGCGGAGCCCCCAGGCACAGAAACCGCAGACAGGGGAGAAGGGGACAAGCTGTGCCTCCCCCACGCCTGGCGCCCACAGGTCACTGACCACCTGGAGTATCACCTGAATGTGGAAATGCAGTGGACCACCTGCCAAAAGCCAGAGACCACGAACTGTGTCCCCCAGGAAAGGGAGCTTCACAAGGTATTGGGTAAAAGCACTTTAACGTAGACAGAAGTCCTTTTCAGTGAGGTTTTTCTGTGGCTTTAGAATGAGTTGGGAAGAATTAATTGGAATTTACTCAAGCTGGCTTGAAAAGAATGCATGGGTAACACCTCCTTCCTCAGAGAGGGAAAGCAAAGGTGGAGACAGCCGAGATGCTGCTCCTTTGTTGCTGGAAGGAGTGTGAGGAGGCTGAACATGTCCAGAGAGAGGAGTTGAGGTGGCCGAGCTGCAGGGGCACACTCTGGGGCGAGGGAAGCAGACAATTCCTAATATTTAAGCAGCCTGTGGGAGGGACCTGTCAGGTGCGCTGACTGAATACCTCAGAGTCAACATGACAAGGCCGCGCAAGTGCTGGGCTCCTGTCCTCTCTCATTTCATCCAGCCATGTTCATCCAGGGGGAGGAGGAGGTGAGGAAACAAGTTCAGAAATGATTTGACTGGTGGGTGAGGGTGGATGAGGGGCACAAACTTGCATGCGTGTGCTCTGCTGGGAAGCCACCACCCCCGAAGGCAGCTCCAGCTCCAACAGGCCTTCATCCCACCTGGCACTGGCCCATCTGTGGGAGATGGTGCAATGGACAGATGGATGAAGAAATGAAGCAAGGCTGCATGCACTGAGGGAGAGGAAGCAAAGTCAGGAAGTAAAGATGGATGGGTGGATGGAAGGAGGGATAAATGGAAGAATGAATGGAGATGGATGAGGGATGAATGGAAGGATGGATGAATGGGTTGATGGGTCGACAGATGGGTAAATGGATGGATGGGGGATGGACTGAAGGATAAATGGATGGACAAATGGATGGATGGACATATGGGTAGATGAATGGAGGGATAAATAGATGGTTGGAAGAATGGGTGGATGAATAAATGGAGCCAAGAGAGGACAAATAAGGGAAGAAGTGAAGTTTAAAAAAATGAGTAAAAATGAAGAGGGAAAAAAGAATCAGCAGTACCCATGGTGAATATGGGCTGCGCAGACACTTTATTTCTAAATATCTTGTTTGATATTTATTTTGATTTCAGCCGCTTGATAGTAACATTGCTGGGATCATTCCAGAAAATGTCCTTCTGTTTGTGGTCAAATAGGATTGTAGGGGTGGAGAGGTGGTAGCCTTTTCTCCATCTTCGTGTCTTACATCCTCTTCCTTCTCCTTTTAAATTTCACCTGGCGTCTTTTAAAATATTGCCTTTGTTTTTTGTTTTAGCAAGTCAACTGCTTCTTCTCAGTGTTTGCTGTACCCTGGTTTGAACAGTACAAAATTTTGAACAAAAGCTGCAGCAGTGACTAGGTGTCCTGGAGTGTACAACTGCGGCCACTGCATGTGAGAGAATCCTGCAATGGGCAATAATCCTTAATATAGGCAATAAATGTTTGTCAACATATTCTCTTAAGATCGTGATTCCACTTTTTTTCTTTTTCTTTTTATCCAAATTCTTCAGCTCATAGTAATAATCTGAAAGTCTGCTGGGCCAGGGCAGTTTGGGGGTCCAAATGAGGTGACCTACATTATTCCTGACCTTATCACCTATGCCTTCATGGTAGCAGAACTTCAATTTCATTCTCATATCAGGCAAGATTTTAAGATTCTTTAGATTTTAAAATAGTATGGAGAAACTGAGAAGCAGAATAAGGAGAGGGAAGAAGCTCAAAGCAACTGAACAGCCAAGAGACATTTGCAAGTATGGCCTGTGATGGCACGTCTGAGGGGCCCAATGAAGATCACCCTCTCTCCTTACCTAAAGTGTGAAATAAGAAGAAATCACCAAAGAACTAAGAAAGACAAGGCCTTTGCTACTGATATGATAACCAGGTTGAGAGATGTGCCTTATTTTTGCAAGCAAGTGCACTTTCTAATTGCAAACTCCAGAATTAGACTTCTGCCCCCTTGCACGAGCAACACTGGACCAAACCAGGTCTGTCTATAAATAAATTCCTCTCCTAGAGGAGCAAAGGGACATATGTGCCCCCCGTGAAGGAGGCAGACCTGGTGACAATGCCCAGTTCATTCTTCCCAAACAGACCAGTCAGATTAATCCCAGCAGGAGAGGAAGTCCTGAGGACAGGGAGAAGCCAGGAGTCCTCTGTTCAAGGGGCTTTCTTTCCACAGAAGGCACAGCAGCCACGGGAGGAAGCATCCCCCAACTCCGCAGCCTGATTCAAGGTCTCAGATGATGTCACCGGGCTTACCCCACTCCACTTCCTCCTCCATGTGGTTGCAGGGAGGCTGCCAGCAGCTCAATGGGTTAGGTGTGTCCTCCTTCACATCCAGTAAGAAAGGGAGGAAGATCTTGTTCCCAAGAGCTCAAGCAAAAGCCTTGGGTTTAATACAACAGGTGAGGTCTAGGGACACCATAGCAAACACACACACATATACACACACACATACACACACACACATACACACGGCATTACAGCATTCATTTCCCTGCGGGGAGAGGGAGTTGGGGTATTTATCCAACAGTTCAGTTCCCATCAGTATTGGCTCTTAGGGGGCATGAATTCCCTAGTACCTCTGGCCTGAGGCAGCTCCAGGGCAGAGTAAGCGGCAGAGACGGTGCACAAATAAAAGGGCACAGGGAAGTCAAGCTGGCATGCACAGAAAGTGTGAGATTTGAGAGACTATAGGCAGAGCACCAACAGGAGAGCTCCTGCATGTGTGAACTGTGAGCTGAGATGCACGTCAGCAACACCAGTTCTCACCAAGATGGGATTGGCTTTGAAAGAACAAATAATTTATTTTTGGCTTTTACTCTCCCTGTTGAAGTGCTGGAATGCCCAGAACCCTGTTTCAGCGGGGCCCAGGTGGGGTTTCCCTCCGCCAACTGCCTGGGATGATGCTAACCTACAATGTCTTCATCTTTAACTGAGAATAACAGTACCTACTCCTTGAGGCAGTTGTAAAGATTGATGATGATAATGCATATAAATTGCTTAACACAGTGCCTAACACGAAGCAGGCATTCAAATAAATATTAACCATTAGGAAGAATGCTGGCAGTGGCAGTGGTAGTAATTTAATACCAGTCAACAGTCAACACTTTTCTGACATTTTTTGCTATGGTGTCCCCAAGGCAGGCATTACTATTTTTGGGGAGATTAAAAAGAGAAGGTGGAACATTTATGCCCATTAATCTCTTGGATTTCTCAGCCAACGTTGTGGGGGCTTTCTTTGAAGTTTTTTAAAAAATTAGTATATATTTCCAGGAAGTTACAAAGGTAGTAGAGAGAAGTCCTCTGTGTCCTTCCTCTAGTTTCCCCTAATGGTTACATCTTATCACATCACAGAAAAATATCACAATTAGGAAGCCAACATTGGTACTGTGTGTGTGCCATTTAGTCACACGTGTACATTCGTGTAACCAGCACCATGCTCAAGACACAGCACTGCTCCATCGCCGGAGAGCTCTGCTGTGCTGCCTCCCTGTACTCAGCCAGGGCCTGGGTGCCCACTCCTGTCTCAATGCTGGCTCAGGCCCACCATTCCTGTTTGCTAGTTATGAAAGCAAGGTGAGCGGGTGGGGTGGGAGAGTTCACTTTAAAAAATTCAAAGTAATGCCATAAAGTTTGGTAAAACATTATAAAAAGAATAGAGTGTCAATATGAAATTGTGTTTAAAGAGATAGAAATACACATTGGGTAGAGTGTGCACTGCTCAGGTGAGAGGTGTGCCAAAATCTCAGAAATCACCACAGAAGATGTTATCTATGTAACCAAACAGCACCTGTTCCCAAAAACCCATTGAAATAAAATAATAATAACAATAATAATAATAAGAGATGACTCTAAAGTTGGAAAGCAAAAAAAAGATAGAAATAGTACAATTAGACCATATAAATAAAAGATGTTCAAAAAGTAAGAACTTAGAGGTTGAACAAGATTTAAATCGATAAGTAAGTAACATTAGAAAAACAAATTAGGTAAAAAACAAACAATGTTTAAAAGTCTTGAGCAAAAAATAGCTAAAGGCTAAACATAAGCACATCCTATTACCAACTAACTCTTAGGCATATATCCAATAGAAACACATGTATGTGGCCAGGCACGGTGGCTCATGCCTGTAATCCCAGCACTTTGGGAGGCCGAGGCGGGTGGATCGCCTGAGGTCAGGTGTTTGAGACCAGCCTGGCCAACATGGTGAAACCCCATCTCTACTAAAAATACAAAAACATTTAGCTGGGCATGGTGGCAGGCACCTGTAATCCCAGCTACTTGGGAGGCTGAGGCAGGAGAATCACTTGAACCTGGGAGGCAGAGCCAAGATCGTGCCACTGCACTGCGGCCTGGGCAACAAGAGTGGAACTCTGTCTCACAAAAAAAAAAAAAAAAGAAAAAGAAAAGAAAAGAAGTACATGTAATGTGTCCAGCATTAGACAGGCACACTCACGCTTGTTAATAGCTATTGTTCTTAGAAGCTGAAAACGACCCAAAAGTACATTATCAGTACAATAGATAAATTGTGGTATATTTACACAAAGCAATTCTATACAATAAAGAAAGTGAACTATAACTACACACGACCACACGGATGTATTGAATTCAAGAAGCCAGAAACAAAAGAATATATATTGTATGACTCCATTTCTAAAAATGCAACCAACAAGCTGTGTTAAGTTAGGATGTTAGAATCTGGACAGAGGCTGCCTTTGGAGGCTCTTCATCTATAAAGTGGAGAAAAAGTTGCCATTTCGTAGGGTGGTCATGATGATCAAATAGGATAATGTGGGCAGCAGGCCAGTGCTGGTCACCCAGTCAGCCCTCAATTAGCTTAGATTTGCAGGACTGGGTGCTTTCTGGCCTTTTTGTTTTTGTGACGTTTGTGGGGAGGTTGTTTTTGTGGGGTTTTTTGCGCAGGAATTCCACCTCCTTTAACTCTCTTCCTCCATCCTCTCTTCTCCCTCAGGCCTTGCTGTCAAGTTTGAGGTTCTTGCTCTATGTTTATTCTTCCCCTTTAGCAATACTCCCTCAAGTTGCCATTATGACCAGCTGGTGGCGCTGGTGCCTGGGAAGAGGCTGAATGGTCAAGTGGTACAATAGGCACACTGTCAGCCATTGTCTGTGGCTATTAGACCATTTCTGGTCTAACATGCACCTTCTCTAATCGACTGTCAGCCAGAGAAGAGGAGAAAACACAGGTCTTATTTAAGCAGCCATCAGAACATGGGAGGCTCAATGACTCAGTGTGCAGAAATGAGTTCGCACGGCCCGCCTGAACTGCTGTCCTTAGAAAGGCTGCTTGCAGGCTGGGCGCAGTGGCTCACGCTTGTCATCCCAGCACTTTGGGAGGCGGAGGCGGGTGGATCACCAGGTCAGGAGATCAAGACTATCCTGGCCAACATGGTGAAACCCTGTCTCTACTAAAAATACAAAAAAATTAGCTGGGCGTGGCAGTGCACGCCTGTAGTCCCAGCTACTAGGGAGGCTGAGGCAGAAGAATTGGTTGAACCTGGGAGGCGGAGACTGCAGTGAGCCAAGATCGTGCCACGGCACTCCAGCCTGGCGACAGAGCGAGACTTCGTCTCAAAAAAAAGAAAAAAAAAAAAGAAAGAAAGGCTGCTTGCAAGGCTGGCCTTGGATGGAGTTTGAGAACTTGGAGGGTCAACAGTTCCCTACACTGATAGAAAACTTTTCCTGCATGAGAAGAGGGCCTCAGTGTGTTTACATTCTCTGTACAGCAGTGAGGTTGACATTGAACCCCTGCTATCCTCTGGGAGTCTGGAATTTTGGCACGTGCCAGGCAGAGACTACCTTCATGACCAGTCCCCGGTAAAAACCCTGGCTGCTGGGTCTTAAGGAGCTTCCTTGTGACACATACTGCCACAGCTCACTTCTGGGGGAATTGAGCGTGCTCTGTGTGACGGCACCGAGAGAGAACTCTGGAAGCTCCTGGCTGGTTTTCTCCTGACCTAGCGCCATGCACCTTTTGCCTTTGCTGGTTTTGCCCTGTGTCCCATTGCTGTCATATCACAGCCATGAGAATGACTCTAGGCTAAGTCCTGTGAGTCCTCTAGTGAGTCACTCAATGTGAATTTGGTATTGGGAATCTCAGACACACTCACAAAAATGTGTGTGAGTCACAGTGTTGTGTGTGTGCTGGGAAGAAATAGGGCTCCCCACACTAGGGTCAGAGCTCAGGGACATGCTAAATTCAGAAAAGCCATAGAGATGTGGGGTGGCGTAGAAAGAATGATGAGGTTTCCCCAATGATTATGAACATTCTGTTCTAATTGCATCAGCTGGGTGGGTGCGGTAGCTCACGCCTATAATCCCAACACTTTGGGAGACTGAGGCAGGAGGATTACTTGAGCCCAGGAGTCCATGACCAGCCTAGGCAAGAAAGGGAGATATTGTCTCCACAAAAAAAGTGTTTTAAAAAATTAGCTGGACAAAGCGGTGTGCACCTGTAATCTCAGCTACTTGGGAGGCTAAGGTGAAAGAATCACTTGAGCCCGGGGAAGTCAAGGCTTCAGTGAGCTCCACTTTAGCGGAGGCTTCAGTGATTGCGCCACTTCTCTCCAGCCTGGGCAACAGAGCAAGACTGTGTCTCAAAAAAAAAAAAAAAAAAGAAAGAAAGAAAGGAAAAGAAAGAAAAGATTGCACCAACCCCTGAAGACCACTGAATGTGTGTGCGAGTGAGTGTGCATGTGCTTGACATGTAGGAGTGAGTGGGTGGGCGGGTGGATGAGTGTGTGAGGCTGTTAAAGTGAATGTGCATGTATGTGAGTGGTGAGAGTGTGAGGGTGTCGTGAGTATGAGCATTGTGTGTGTGGGTTGTGAAGGTAAGTATGTGCAAGTGTGTGTACGTGTACACTCTGTGTGTGCATGTGTGTGTGTGCATGTGTAATAAGACCCCAATGAGGGAGACATGATCCTTTACAGTTTAATAACAGCCAGTGCACAACTCAATCATATGAGCCCTCATCTGAGGTTTCTGCCCACATGCTCGGCCTCCAGACAGGAATTGTTCCAGAGCTGGAAATAGTTTATCCAGGGCATGGTGTATATCAAAGACTCGCAAATTAAACTCTGTAGAAGAAGAAAGAAAACAGACTTTGGGGGAAGTATTTTTCAAAGGCAAGCAACAGGCACCTGTTCCCCAGGTCTCTCCCTGTGGCTGCTCATGAACCCCATGGGCAGAGAGGGGAGCTGCCCACAGTCAAGGGTAGAAACAGAAAGGAGTGCCAGTCTGGAACAGGAATGTCACCCTGTCTTCCCCCTACCCAGCCACTTGGGACCCACAGCAGGTGAACCTGGAGTCTATGGCCTGGCCGGACCCTGTCATGTGGGCCAGGCAGGCCAGCAAGGAGCAATAGCATCGTTACCTCCTCCTGCACCTCCCCAGGCATGGGGGAGCCCCTTGTATCTGCCAGCTTTCAAGGGGTGCCACTCATGGACCAGGAAAAATAGAAGGGAACAAGGAGGAAATTGGACAACCTTAGAGACCTGGAGAGGGAGAAAGAAGACAGAAGAAGGACCCCAAGGAAAGGGAACCACTGCTTTCACGCAGAGGGTCTGGGGAGCAGGCCAGGTTGGAGAAGGGTCCAGGCAACCAGAGGCCTGGGTGCAGGGCTGTACCAGCCCAAATATAAAGCCTCCCTCCTTCACCCAGGTGCCTCAGGAGGTGCCAGACAGCCCCAGGGCTGGGCCCCAGCTGGCCCCAATCCACACAAGTGGCAAAACTGCCAACTTCTAGCTGTTGCTTTTTAAAATATTCACTTCACAAGTCCCTTTGGGATGACTTCCACTACACACCTTTCTCAGCTTCTTGCTTTGCAGGGGGCAGGAAGAATTGCTCGTGTCATTCCTCTTGCATTTGGTCCAGCCAATCTTCACAGTG
This sequence comes from Homo sapiens, assembly GCF_000001405.40. Lineage (NCBI taxonomy): Eukaryota > Metazoa > Chordata > Mammalia > Primates > Hominidae > Homo > Homo sapiens. Next base: position 23,443,959 of record NC_000020.11, on the reverse strand, counting down.
ACTATATACTCCACTCCCGTCGTCAGCTGCCGAGAATCAGTTGTGCTGTTAGTGTGGACTCCAAGCATCCAGTGGCTGACCCTCTCCTGGAGAAGCTAGGACTGAGAGTAAAGCTCCCAGGGCCACAGTTCTTGTTCGCGGAGCTTACCCACCAAAAGCATGGCTCCCTTCTCCTTACTTCTGGCTGGAGGGAGGGCAATGGCAGCCAAAGCCCCTGGTCATAGGTTGGTTTTGCTGCAGCAGCCACAGAAAGCTTCTCACCTGCCTCTGTTCCATCCTCAGGACAGAAGAGGCAACATCAAGCTGGGTTGCCTGGCCACCACAGGCCACTCCCAGGCTGGCAGATGTGGCCTTCAAAATGCAACAGAGCCAGCATCTTGTCCCCACCCCCCCAGTCCCTTCTGCCATTTCCTCTGTCTCTACTATCCTTCCTGACCAACCTAGTGGAAGGCAGCTTAGCAATACAGTTAAAAACAGTTTTGGAATCGAATTGATTTGGGGCATGCATTTTCCATTTAGTGACTGTGACCTTGAGCAAGTTACTTAGCATCCTCAGCTTTTTCACTTACAAACTACAAACCACAATTGTGCCTGCTTCTGGAGTTGTTATGTGGGCTAAATGGAAGCTTGCATTTCCCTGAATGCATAAAATAAATTTTAAATATTTTCATAATTATAAGTTATTACATCTTTTAGCAAAGTGTCTGCAGTGTTACTTTGAAGCAGATTCAGTGTTAGGAGAGTGACAGAACACAAAATCTGGCTTTACCCCCTGCAGACTCTGTAAATTTTACTGAATCTCAGTTTCCTCATCTAGGAAATGAGGAGAATAATGCCAGTTTCCTCCTAGCGTGTACAGAAATGAAGGAAGGAGGCATGGTGGGTACACGAGCCATGGAGAACGCATGCCAGGGATTTCCCCATGGCTCTTTCACTTGTGATCAAGTGTGAGGCCATGAAGCCTGCAGGGGTTGGAGCCTGGAAAAGCCCTTGTGGGCAGGGAGGCCCTACGCCCAGAAGGGAGACTAACAGAGAGCTTGGGGGTTACGGTTCCCTGTCGGGTTCTGAGCTGGATTCCTGAGTAGATATGTGGATTAGTGGATCTTCACCGGTGCAGGAGAAGCTCTGGGAAGCTCCCTGTTGCCTTGCCCTGTCACTGGTCAAGCCCAGTGAGAGGGCTTGGTCATCTCTGGGGTGGTGACTGAGGCAGAGAGTGCCCACACTGCTCCTGGGAGGAAGACACCCTTAGCAAACACTGGGACAGGGCAGCAGGGAGCCTAGACCTGAGGGCAGTACCAGCCTCCCCGCACCCAAACATGTGGGGGCCATCCATGCATGGGCATTTGCAGGGCTGCCCCAGGCACGGTCACACTGACTTTCAGCATGCTCAGAATGTAAGAAAAAACTAAACCACCCGTCATCACTGTAACTGACATTCCAGTGTGCAAAGTGTTATTCGTTATTAGACTTATTTGTTCGATAATGACAGGAGTAGTCATAATAACAGCAAAGATTTTTTATAAGTGCTACCAGATGTTGGCACTGTGCTAAGTGCTTCCCTCCTATTCTGAGGCACTTTGCAGGTGAAGAAACTGAGGTCTGGAGAGTCTGGATGTCACTTGACCAGGAGCCTCAGTTGGGAGGAGCTGGGCGTGAAGCCCCCAGAGGCACCTGGCAGCCCTCCACGCCTGCTCTTGTCCCCTCTGTGAGGTGTAAGGACAGACACAATGGTCATATGGGTGTGGGGGTGCCCAGAGGCCCATGCCAAGATCACCCAGCTACCAGGAGGCACGCCTGCTCTGTCTGCTTATCAATGTGAATGACATCAAATGCTCATCATTATTCCTTAACAGCTAACTTAATGGTGATGGATTGATTTCACAAGGCAAGCCTCCTTGGGGTCTTAACCAATTGTGGAAGAACCAAGAACCAAATGGGCAACATCGCCATCTTGTGGTAGAAGTGCCTCACTGAGCCAGCCTGTGGGACAGTCTGCATTGGGATGAGGATTTGACCTATGCTGACTGGTCCTCCCCACGCTGCCCTCCCGCCTTGCCGGTTCTCTCTGTTCCAGCTGCCTTACTCTCTGGCGAGAGAGCTTTCCCATAGCCAGTTGTGTTTTCCCAAATCTAGCTAATTGAACTAGGACGTAGCATTGTTGCTGCCCCAACTTCTACAGTCAGCCCTCTGTACTTACGAGCTCCATATCTGTGGATGCAAACAACCGTGCATCAAAATATTCAGGAAAAAAAAATGTATGGTTGCCTGTATACTGAACATTTTTTCTTGTAATTATTCCCTAAACAGTACAGTATAATAATTATCTACATAGCATTTACACTGTACCACTTATTATAATTAATCTAGAAATGATTTACCATATGTGGGAAGATGTGCATAGGTTATGTGGAAACACTATTCCATTTTACATAAAAGACTTCAGAATCCATGGATGTGGGCATCCTGAGGGGTCCTGGAACCAATTCCTCATGGACACCAAGGGGACTGTATAGTTTATTATCTGACCTTGAGGAAATGTTGTACCAATAAAAGGGGTTCCCTAACAACTTTTCTTTCTTCTATTATCCTTCAATTGATATATTTCAGAGAAATTTTATATGTAAAACAGAAGGTGAGGTGATCTGGCTGAACCCTATCTCTCACATCCTCTCCACTTCCAGAATAAACCCTCTGTATAATTTGAAGTTTGTATAACACAGAACACCCAGTTTTGAATTTTACAACCCTACACATTGAAAAAATATTGGGGGCTACAGGCCTACAGAGAATATTTGTATTTTGCCAAATGAGAACTTTAAAGGGAGCAAAATTATCCTTGCTGTCACTCCGGCAGGGTCAAATATCAGAATGAAAGGCATTTCTTCCCAAGGAAAAAGAGCTGGCCGGGCGTGGTATCTCACGCCTGTAACTCCGGCACTTTGGGAGGCCGAGGTGGGCAGATCACCTGAGGTCAGGAGTTCGAGACCAGCTTGGCTAACATGGTGAAAACCGGTTTCTACTAAAAATACAAAAAATTTAGCCAGGTGTGGTGGTACGTACCTGTAATCTCAGCTACTTGGGAGGCTGAGGCAGGAGAATCACTTGAACCTGGGAGGAGGAGGTTGCAGTGAGCCAAGATCATGCCATTGCACTCCAGCGTGGGCAACAAGAGCGAAACTCCATCTCAAAAAAAAAAAAAAAAAGAGTTTAATCCTCAGTGAACACTTTTGCCTCTAAGTGTATTGGAGTTAGAGTTCATGCCAGTCCTTAGGAAAGCATTTTGGAAGCATGGCTAAGGACATTCTGGGATCTGAACAACTCTACAATGTACCTGCTACAAGTGAAGATGCTTCCCCCTTGGGACCTCACGGAGGACCACCACTTGGTTCTCTTGGGAGCTACCCCAGAATCCTCACATGTCTGAACTGGCAAGAACAGGGCCTGCTGATGTCTTGGGAGAGCAAGGTACAAACCTGCATCTGACTTCGAATTAGCCTCTGGACTCGATATAAGTAGGTGTCGTTGCTGGCATTGTTGTAGGATTGAATGAAGAAGTTGAGTGTTGAATTCATGTTCTTCTTGCTCATGAGCTTCTGCTGGAAGCCCTCCCACCTTTGGAAGTGACCCAGCTTGGCTGACAGGACCAGGGCAATCAGCAGCAGCAGGGGGTTTCTCCAGCATCCGATCCCCATGTCTACAGCCTCAGAAACTTTCTTCCCAACTGCACCTTCCAGGGTGTGGTGGTGCCAGGCTGCAGTTCACTCATTCTCCCATCATAACCCTCACCAACATAGGCTTTCCTGGGGGATGGCCTGCCTGCATTTAAACAGAGATTCAGACCTGAACCTTGTCACTCAGTTTCCAGCCAGTTCATTTTCTACCCATTTACACCACCCATTCAGTTCTTTGGTGATCCAGGCAAGCAAAATTTTTAAACACCTGCTAAGGCGTGCAAGCCCCTCTCCCTGCCTTCACATGTCTCAGGGAAGAAAAGCCCCAGAACAGCCCCTACAGTGCTCTGCAATAAGAGCTGGGGTTGTAGATAGAGAAGCATCACTTACAGGAAGGGAGGCGGCCTTACGGAGAAGGTAATATCTGAACTGAGATATAAGGAAGCAGTCATATGGAGCAAGGAGTGGTACATTATTCTTACCTTCCTTGGGTTCCAACTGTCTTACAAAGCCACCACCTGTTCCCTGTGCTTCCTTTACAGACACGTTCTCCTTGCTCACCTGCCGCCCGCCCACCACAGATTTCTGCTTGCAGGATCCCCCTATACCTGCAGGCCCTGCACTGGCTTTTGCTATCTTGTTGTGACCCTAGTGGAGCTTTGTGAGGTAATTGCAGCCTCCCTATGAGGGAGGAATAAACTGTGAGCCCCATTTAGAAATTATCCGCAGACCCCTGAAGATTAGGTGTCACTTACCCCCAAAAGCCCATGAATGCCCTATTTTAAAAACATTTGCTGGCTGGGCGCGGTGGCTCACGCCTGTAATCCCAGCACTTTGGGAGGCTGAGGTGGGTGAATCACCAGAGATCAGGAGTTCGAGACCAGCCTGGCCAACATGGTGAAACCCCATCTCTACTAAAAATACAAAATTAGCTGGGTGTGGTGGTGTGTACCTGTAGTCCCAGTTACTTGGGAGGCTGAGGCAGGAGAATCACTTGAACCCAGGAGGTGGAGGCTGAAGTGAGCCGGGAGGGTGCCGCTGCACTCCAGCCTAGGTGACAGAGCGAGACTGTGTCTCAGAAAAAAAACAAAAAACAAACAAAAAAAAACACCTTAAATGGAATCCTACCAGAAAAAAACATTAGTGGAATAGTTGATGAAATGTGAATAAAATCTGCAGATTAGTTAATAGTATTGTGTGAATGTTGATATTCTAGTTTTCACCGTTGTACTGTGATTGTATAATATGTTAACATTTGGGGAAGTGGAATGAAGGGTATACGAGAATGCTTTATGCTATTTTTGCAGCCTTTGTGTAAGTCTGAAATTATTCCAAAATAAAGGTTAAAATGTCCAAAACTAAATAAAGCGTTGTTCTGTGAGGAGTAGCGTGCTGAGGGAGGGGAAGCAGGAGACTTAGGATCCAACTGTCCTGGCTCAAGTCCTTCGCTGGGGACTCTGGGAGAGTTACCTCATCTCCCTAAGCTGGGTTTCTTCACCTGTAATATGAGAATGGGGAGAAAGACTCCACTTGAATTGTGGTAGAGACTAACTGGATGTAGGCAAAGAACCTGCTCCCAAGTCAGGTGTCAGGTGCATAAGAATGTCTTCTTCGTGATTCTTCTGTGACTCTGAACCCACACTTCACCCATGGCCTGTCATGTCCCGGAAGCCAGGCCACCTTCCATCATGACAATGTTGCTAGCACCAGTCACAACATCCTCCCTTGGCCCCAGAGCCTGTCTTGAGAGGACTTGTCCAGCCGGTGGAGGTGATACATTTGAAATTCCCTGAGCCTGAGCTGCCGAGGGCCACTTGCTGTAGAATAGATAATGAAGGATTCCGAGTAATCCGGGAAGCCACACAGACCTGTGCCGTCTCAGCATGCCCCAGACACCTGGGATACCCCCATCAGGCTGAGGCCCATAGAGAGGAAAAATAACATTGGGTGGGCCATATTAGAAACCCCATGGATGTGGGGCTCAAAGCATAAACAATAAATCTGCTTAAGAAATATGGGAGTTGGTTGTGTCCATAAAGAGGAAAATGAGTCACTGGCAATTTTAATTGAAGAAAAGGAAAACATAGACCCTGACTATGCCACAGAAAGAGATGTGAGGCGCCTAACAGGTCACACTGGCGTTCCTTAGCTTGTGTCAGCAAAATGCTGATTTCTGACTCTGTGGACATGGAATCAGGAAAAAAATATGATTCTGGTAAGGTACATGTATAAAGGGAGACAGGGAGCTTGGTTACAGCATGGAATAGGGGCAGAGCATAGTGGCTGACACCTGGGAGGCTGAGGCTAGGAGGATTGCTTCAGCCCAGGAGTTCCAGACCAGCCTGGGCAACATGGTGAAACCCCGTTTCCACAGAAAATACAAAAATTAGCCAGACATGGTGGCCCACATCTGTAGTCCCAGCTACTCTGGAGGCTGAGGTGGGAGGATCACCTGAGCCCAAGAGAGGTCGAGGCTGCAGTGAGCTGAGATCACACCAAGCACTCCAGCCTGGGCGACAGAACAAAGGGAAATAGAGGGCTTAGTTGTTGTCTGGTTACTGCCATGAAACAATGGAAAAATAGGGGCCTGAGTATTTCCGTGGAACAAGAGTAAATTAGGAGTGCTGGCTATAACAAATAGGAGCCCTGTTCTTGCCAATAAAAGAAGGGAAAAATATGAGCTCTGGTTAGACCATGGAATAACAGGAAATATGAGGTCTGCTCATGTCTGTGGAATAAGGAGCATAGGAGAGAAGGATTGCAGAAGGGCATGAGAAAACTTCAGGTGATAGATATGTCTGTTGTATGAATTGTAGTGATAATTCCACAGGTGCATACGTATGACAAATTTCATCAAATTGTACACTTTAAATATGTGCAATTTGGCCAGGCGCCGTGGCTCACACCTGTAATCCCAACACTTTGGGGAGGCCAAGGTGGGCAGATCACATGAGGCCAGGAGTTCAAGACCTGCCTGGCCAACATGGTGAAACCCCATCTCTACTAAAAAACACAAAAATTAGCCGGGGAGCACATGCCTGTAGTCTCAGCAACTCTGGAGGCTGAGATGAAAGGATCGCTTGAGCCCTGGAGGTCTAGAATGCAGTGAGCTGTGATTGTGCCACTGCACTCCAGCCTGCCCAGCAGAGTAAGACCCCGTCTGAAAAAAAAAAAAAAAAAGAAAGAAAGAAAAAGTATGTTTCCCAGGAGTCCAGCAAACTGGGCCTCCTGTCTCATAAGCTGAACCTGGTAACAGGCCACTGCTGGACCAGGCATGATGGCAAGTGTGGGATTCCTGTTGGATCAACCCGTGGCTGGGTGCTGTGTGGGCGAGATGGTGTGTGTCCCACAGAGGCCCCCTATGAGCTGCACAACTTCCTGGTTCTGTCTGTTGACGACCAAGCTCAGGATTTCTTTATCAGTCCAGCTCCTAGGAGAAGCAGGAAATAAACAAGAACATGATGATGTGTTTTATCCCAGCAGGCTCTGCTTATGTGGGCTGAGGAACCTGCAGACAGGGAGCTTCCTGGCTGTAGTTCTTCATCACTCCTTCACCAGTAGATATGGCATTGGTGCTGGGAAAGGGTCACACTGTGACACTCTCTTCATCAGCCGACATCTGCTATCTGAAATTTTCTGATCATTCTGGGGAAACAAATAATCCTCTGTAAACAACACGGCTGATCTCGGTTGGTTTCTTCTCTCCACTCTATTTTTTTTTTTTTTTTTTTTTTTTGCATGTAGCACTATTTGACAAGCTCTTCTTTGTCCCCTAAATAATCCTGTTCTAGGCTGGCTGCTGACCTGGAGATAACCCAGGCAGAAAGCAAATCTATTTGCGACCCACCTGCTGCTGGGCACCCTCCAAACATGGCCCAGGAAGGAATGGTCAGCAGTCTGTGCCTGCTTGAGGAATCTCCCAACTGTGGCTGCAGGGCAGGGGTAGGGGAGCACAGTCCATGCTGCCAGCAGCAGCTCCCACTGCAGCCCTGAGCCCTCGCCCCCAGGGCAGCAGCAGAAGAACATGGCTGATCTTGGCTGGAAATGCCTTCTGATTCTGGGGAGCAGGCCAGCAGCAGGCGCACAGAAAGTCAGCAAACAAGGCGGTGCTACAGATGGCTCCAAGCTGGCATCGCTCCAAAGGTCCCAGGGTACATTTTCTCTTTCCAGACACAGAAACATGAGAAATCACAAGGCTTAAAAAGTGAGAGCGTGTCACAAGAGGCCAAGGATGCCCAGAGTGGAGGGGCTTGTGGGGAGGTCATCGTCCTCATCCAGCCTTTGGTCTCCTTTCTGCAGACGTTTTCCACAACACAATATCTGTTTACCAGCTCTTAAATAGTCATCAGGTTCCATTTTGAAAGCAAAGAAAAAGCAGGTGGATTCTGCAGGCTGCGACACTCCTGCTTCCACCTTCTCCTGCGATCTGTCTGGTTTTCTGTAAGCAGATGCTTTTCCCACTGAAGCAATGAGCAGCAAAAGCGGAAGAGGGCCAAGAGTCTGTTGAAATCTGTAATTAAGTCTTCAAGTTCAAATCTTTTGCCCATTTTTCTGTTTGGTTGTCTTCAATTGATTTGTAGGATTTATTTATCCTTCTTGCAAATGTCATCCTCTGGGTTGTGGTTGTCTTTTCATTTTATTTATGGCATGTTGATGAAAAAATATTCTTAATCTTAATGGAAAGAATGTATTGATTTTTCTTTCTTGTGGTTTGCATTTTTTATGTCTTATTTAGGAAATCAAGGTCATAAAGCTACTTTTAAATATTTTTTCTGAAATTCTTAAAGTTTAGCATTTCCCATTTACGTCCATAATCCATCTAGATTTTTGTGCGTGGTATGTTTACTAATGTTTTCTTCAGAATTTTTGTATCTATCTTCATGAGTTAAACTGGGCTGTGATTGTTTTTTCTCATATTGTGCTTTCCTGGTTTGGGTTTCAAGGTTATACTGGCCTCATCCAACGGGTTGGGGAGCATGTCAGTCTGGGTCTCCACAGTCAGCACAGGCACACTTGCAACAGGAGAGTTCAGGGCAGTTTCTATACGGGGCGCTGTGCAATGGTGCAGGGACACAGAAACCCTGGGACACAGGGCAAGTGTCTGCAGCAGCCATGCCACCTAGCCTAAGCCTGAAAGATGAGGCAAACATCTAGAAAGAATTGGAGTGCCAGCTGGCCACTTTGTGGAGAGAGCAGGGGACAAACACCATGATGTCAGTCTCCTCTGTCCTCTACCTCATTCCTAGGCATCTTGTTGTCAAATACAAGCAGAAGTTATAGGGCACAAGAGCCCCACGGATGGAGTCCATAGCAGCCTGTGTTGTGAAGCAGAGAGCAGCATGGAGAAAGTGCCTTAGTCAGGGTTCTCCAGAGAAACACAGAGATATGAAGAGATTTGTTATAAAGGATTGGCTTGTACAATTATGGAGGCCTCGAAGTCCACCATCTGCTGTTTGCAAGCTGGAAACCAAGGAAAGCCAATGGTATAGTTGGAAGGCCTGAGAGCTGGAGAGCCACGGGTGTGGATTCCAACCTGAGTCTGAAGGCTTAATAACCAGGAGCGCTGAGGGCAGGAGAAGATTGATGTCACAGTCCAAACAGCCAGGCAGAGCTAATTCAACCATCTGCCACTCGGGCACTCAGTGGATTGGATTGAATGGTGTCACTCACATTGGAGGGGCCATTTGCTTTACTCAGTCCACTGATTCAAATGCTGACCTTTTCCAGAAACATCCTCACAGACCCATCCAGAAATAACATTTAACAGATAGTGGGCATTCCGTGGCCCAGTCAAGTTGACACGTAAAATTAACCATAACAGAAGGTTAGCCAGTGGGGCTAGGGAGCAAATAGAAATTAGCCAGCACCAGATGATTTCCCTCTGTCTTAGTTCTCTTGAAAAGCTGCTAGTTTTTATCTTTTTGCCCATTTCTTTTAGGGATTGGGAAAGGGATATTCTATGATCTGACTTCATTTCATTTCTTTATCCAGATACTGTCCCAATGTGCAGCTGATTTTCATCATTTGCAGAAGGTATCTTCTATAAAATCTCTGCAAACATGGAAGTAGTAAATGCTAAACCATTGTGCCCAGGAAAAACACAAGGTTTGGTTTCCTTGAGTCTCTGGTTACAACACTTTCTGTCAATTGATCAATATTTAACCTTATTTTATGTGTGTCTCTAGTTAGAGGTGTCTTTTAAATATATATTGTTGACTCATTGTCATCAAGCTCACCACCAACAGTCCTGTAAATGCCTGAATGAAGCTTATTTAAGACACATTTTCTCCATAAGGCACCTCACAGTCTTCTTGTGCCTAGGAACTAGATAGCACTGCAGCACTATGCCTGGGGCCATTTTAATCAGCAAAATCACCAACCAAAAAAAGCACAAAACTCAAACCACATGTGATAGCTCATACCTGTAATGCCAACACTTTGGGAGGCCAAGGCTGAAGACACTTGAGCTCAGGAGTTCGAGATCAGCCTGGGCAACACAGCAAGACCCCACCTCTAAAAAAAAAACCAATACAAAATTGTGAAACGTGGCACTAAACAGGCTGTGAAGAAGGACACATTAACAATATAAGAGCTAGAACAAGGCTGGGAGTGGTGGCTCAAGGCCAAGGCAGGTGGATTACCTGAGGTCAGGAGTTCGAGACCAGCCTGATCAACATGGGGAAACCCCATCTCTAGTAAAAATACAAAACTTAGCTGGGTATGGTGGCACGTGCCTGTAGTCTCAAATACCTGGGAGGCTGAGGCAGGAGAATTGCTTGAACCCAGGAGGTGTAGGTTGCAGTGAGCTGAGATCGAGCCACTGCACTCCAGCCTGGTAGACAGAGTGAGACACCATCTCGAAAACAAACAAACAAACAAAAACAACAACAGTTGGAACAAGAAGGCAGATTGCTGCTGTATTTGACCTCAGCTTGGAACATATGTGTCAGGCCACCCACATTTTTGCCCACTCTGAGCGTCTGTGAATGACGGCAAAAGTGCCACAAGTGTTGATTTTAGGAATGCAACTTAATTTTAGCAAGTAGGTGAGTTTGCAAATATGAAATCCATGAATAATAAGGGTTGACTGTGTTTTTAAAGACAGTTACTACCATGTTAAGAGTAGATTTGCGAAGACCCAGTTCTTCCCACCTGATAATGAAGAAATGCTAGTACCGCACCCTAAATAAGCCTGGGACGGTGTAATCTAGTGATGGGGAAATTATTTCACTTTCCAAGACAGTCTTAGATGTTTCCATAAGAGCCAAATGTGATGCAAACCAAATATGCCACCGTGGAAAAAGGTTTTGTGAAATCTGATTTATTCAACTATTGGCCATTAACAACCAATTACAAACACTTATAGCAACAGAGAAAATATATGTTTCATAAACAAACAAAAAATACAAACTACAAGCATACTCCTAATAATACTTACACATGTGTAAGTTTGATGGATAAAAATGAGATAGCACTATATATGTATAAAAAATTAAAAATGTTTCATTGAGCAGGTAGAATTATGAGCATCTTTTTTTCCCTAAAATTTCTCCTAATGTAATATTAAATAATCATGTGAAAGGAATTCAAAGAGTATGTGAGAAATAAACCATTTTTCCCTTTAAGCAGTTGTGTCTGTGGCTCACAACCATTTAACTTACATTAAGCATAGATAAGAAAGGTCCTAGAATATATAATATAAATAAAAATTGTCAAAATGATCTTATGCCCATTTGCCATAAATAAAGGCATCAAGTTAATTTCAAAACTTGTTTTTAGACTTTTACATCAACTAATAAAAAGAAGAATATTTGGTCGGGCACAGTGGCTCATGCCTGTAATCCCAGCACTTTGGGAGTCTGAGATGGAAAGACTGCTTGAGCTCAGGAGTTTGAGACCAGCCTGGGCAAGAGAGCAAGACCTCATCTCTACTAAAAATAAAAATTAAAAAACAACTGGGTTTGGTGGTACATGCCTGTAGTCCCAGCTACTCAGGAGGCTGAGGTAGGAGGACCACTTACGCCTGGGAGATTTAGGCTGCAGTGAGCTTTGATTGTGCATTTTATTTTTTTTTATTTTTTTTTTTTGATGCTGTATTCTTTATTGCATCTTATCGACTGGTGCATGATTTCGGTTTTTCTCATTTTTTTTTTTTTTTTTTATTATACTCTAAGTTTTAGGGTACATGTGCACATTGTGCAGGTTAGTTACATATGTATACATGTGCCATGCTGGTGCGCTGCACCCACTAATGTGTCATCTAGCATTAGGTATATCTCCCAATGCTATCCCTCCCCCCTCCCCCGACCCCACCACAGTCCCCAGAGTGTGATATTCCCCTTCCTGTGTCCATGTGATCTCATTGTTCAATTCCCACCTATGAGTGAGAATATGCGGTGTTTGGTTTTTTGTTCTTGCGATAGTTTACTGAGAATGATGGTTTCCAATTTCATCCATGTCCCTACAAAGGATATGAACTCATCATTTTTTATGGCTGCATAGTATTCCATGGTGTATATGTGCCACATTTTCTTAATCCAGTCTATCATTGTTGGACATTTGGGTTGGTTCCAAGTCTTTGCTATTGTGAATAGTGCCGCAATAAACATACGTGTGCATGTGTCTTTATAGCAGCATGATTTATAGTCCTTTGGGTATATACCCAATAATGGGATGGCTGGGTCAAATGGTATTTCTAGTTCTAGATCCCTGAGGAATCGCCACACTGACTTCCACAATGGTTGAACTAGTTTACAGTCCCACCAACAGTGTAAAAGTGTTCCTATTTCTCCACATCCTCTCCAGCACCTGTTGTTTCCTGACTTTTTAATGATTGCCATTCTAACTGGTGTGAGATGATATCTCATAGTGGTTTTGATTTGCATTTCTCTGATGGCCAGTGATGATGAGCATTTCTTCATGTGTTTTTTGGCTGCATAAATGTCTTCTTTTGAGAAGTGTCTGTTCATGTCCTTCGCCCACTTTTTGATGGGGTTGTTTGTTTTTTTCTTGTAAATTTGTTTGAGTTCATTGTAGATTCTGGATATTAGCCCTTTGTCAGATGAGTAGGTTGCAAAAATTTTCTCCCATGTTGTAGGTTGCCTGTTCACTCTGATGGTAGTTTCTTTTGCTGTGCAGAAGCTCTTTAGTTTAATTAGATCCCATTTGTCAATTTTGGCTTTTGTTGCCATTGCTTTTGGTGTTTTGGACATGAAGTCCTTGCCCACGCCTATGTCCTGAATGGTAATGCCTAGGTTTTCTTCTAGGGTTTTTATGGTTTTAGGTCTAACGTTTAAATCTTTAATCCATCTTGAATTGATTTTTGTATAAGGTGTAAGGAAGGGATCCAGTTTCAGCTTTCTACATATGGCTAGCCAGTTTTCCCAGCACCATTTATTAAATAGGGAATCCTTTCCCCATTGCTTGTTTTTCTCAGGTTTGTCAAAGATCAGATAGTTGTAGATATGCGGCATTATTTCTGAGGGCTCTGTTCTGTTCCATTGATCTATATCTCTGTTTTGGTACCAGTACCATGCTGTTTTGGTTACTGTAGCCTTGTAGTATAGTTTGAAGTCAGGTAGTGTGATGCCTCCAGCTTTGTTCTTTTGGCTTAGGATTGACTTGGCGATGCGGGCTCTTTTTTGGTTCCATATGAACTTTAAAGTAGTTTTTTCCAATTCTGTGAAGAAAGTCATTGGTAGCTTGATGGGGATGGCATTGAATCTGTAAATTACCTTGGGCAGTATGGCCATTTTCACGATATTGATTCTTCCTACCCATGAGCATGGAATGTTCTTCCATTTGTTTGTGTCCTCTTTTATTTCCTTGAGCAGTGGTTTGTAGTTCTCCTTGAAGAGGTCCTTCACATCCCTTGTAAGTTGGATTCCTAGGTATTTTATTCTCTTTGAAGCAATTGTGAATGGGAGTTCACTCATGATTTGGCTCTCTGTTTGTCTGTTGTTGGTGTATAAGAATGCTTGTGATTTTTGTACATTGATTTTGTATCCTGAGACTTTGCTGAAGTTGCTTATCAGCTTAAGGAGATTTTGGGCTGAGACGATGGGGTTTTCTAGATAAACAATCATGTCGTCTGCAAACAGGGACAATTTGACTTCCTCTTTTCCTAATTGAATACCCTTTATTTCCTTCTCCTGCCTGATTGCCCTGGCCAGAACTTCCAACACTATGTTGAATAGGAGCGGTGAGAGAGGGCATCCCTGTCTTGTGCCAGTTTTCAAAAGGAATGCTTCCAGTTTTTGCCCATTCAGTATGATATTGGCTGTGGGTTTGTCATAGATAGCTCTTATTATTTTGAAATACGTCCCATCAATACCTAATTTATTGAGAGTTTTTAGCATGAAGGGTTGTTGAATTTTGTCAAAGGCTTTTTCTGCATCTATTGAGATAATCATGTGGTTTTTGTCTTTGGCTCTGTTTATATGCTGGATTACATTTATTGATTTGCGTATATTGAACCAGCCTTGCATCCCAGGGATGAAGCCCACTTGATCATGGTGGATAAGCTTTTTGATGTGCTGCTGGATTCAGTTTGCCAGTATTTTATTGAGGATTTTTGCATCAATGTTCATCAAGGATATTGGTCTAAAATTCTCTTTTTTGGTTGTGTCTCTGCCCGGCTTTGGTATCAGAATGATGCTGGCCTCATAAAATGAGTTAGGGAGGATTCCCTCTTTTTCTATTGATTGGAATAGTTTCAGAAGGAATGGTACCAGTTCCTCCTTGTACCTCTGGTAGAATTCGGCTGTGAATCCATCTGGTCCTGGACTCTTTTTGGTTGGTAAACTATTGATTATTGCCACAATTTCAGATCCTGTTATTGGTCTATTCAGAGATTCAACTTCTTCCTGGTTTAGTCTTGGGAGAGTGTATGTGTCGAGGAATGTATCCATTTCTTCTAGATTTTCTAGTTTATTTGCGTAGAGGTGTTTGTAGTATTCTCTGATGGTAGTTTGTATTTCTGTGGGATCGGTGGTGATATCCCCTTTATCATTTTTTATTGTGTCTATTTGATTCTTCTCTCTTTATTTCTTTATTAGTCTTGCTAGTGGTCTATCAATTTTGTTGATCCTTTCAAAAAACCAGCTCCTGGATTCATTGATTTTTTGAAGGGTTTTTTGTGTCTCTATTTCCTTCAGTTCTGCTCTGATTTTAGTTATTTCTTGCCTTCTGCTAGCTTTTGAATGTGTTTGCTCTTGCTTTTCTAGTTCTTTTAATTGTGATGTTAGGGTGTCAATTTTGGATCCTTCCTGCTTTCTCTTGTAGGCATTTAGTGCTATAAATTTCCCTCTACACACTGCTTTGAATGCGTCCCAGAGATTCTGGTATGTGGTGTCTTTGTTCTCGTTGGTTTCAAAGAACATCTTTATTTCTGCCTTCATTTCGTTATGTACCCAGTAGTCATTCAGGAGCAGGTTGTTCAGTTTCCATGTAGTTGAGCGGCTTTGAGTGAGATTCTTAATCCTGAGTTCTAGTTTGATTGCACTGTGGTCTGAGAGATAGTTTGTTATAATTTCTGTTCTTTTACATTTGCTGAGGAGAGCTTTACTTCCAACTATGTGGTCAATTTTGGAATAGGTGTGGTGTGGTGCTGAAAAAAAATGTATATTCTGTTGATTTGGGGTGGAGAGTTCTGTAGATGTCTATTAGGTCTGCTTGGTGCAGAGCTGAGTTCAATTCCTGGGTATCCTTGTTGACTTTCTGTCTCGTTGATCTGTCTAATGTTGACAGTGGGGTGTTAAAGTCTCCCATTATTAATGTGTGGGAGTCTAAGTCTCTTTGTAGGTCACTGAGGACTTGCTTTATGAATCTGGGTGCTCCTGTATTGGGTGCATAAATATTTAGGATAGTTAGCTCCTCTTGTTGAATTGATCCCTTTACCATTATGTAATGGCCTTCTTTGTCTCTTTTGATCTTTGTTGGTTTAAAGTCTGTTTTATCAGAGACTAGGATTGCAACCCCTGCCTTTTTTTGTTTTCCATTGGCTTGGTAGATCTTCCTCCATCCTTTTATTTTGAGCCTATGTGTGTCTCTGCACGTGAGATGGGTTTCCTGAATACAGCACACTGATGGGTCTTGACTCTTTATCCAACTTGCCAGTCTGTGTCTTTTAATTGCAGAATTTAGTCCATTTATATTTAAAGTTAATATTGTTATGTGTGAATTTGATCCTGTCATTATGATGTTAGCTGGTGATTTTGCTCATTAGTTGATGCAGTTTCTTCCTAGTCTCGATGGTCTTTACATTTTGGCATGATTTTGCAGCAGCTGGTACTGGTTGTTCCTTTCCATGTTTAGCGCTTCCTTCAGGAGCTCTTTTAGGGCAGGCCTGGTGGTGACAAAATCTCTCAGCATTTGCTTGTCTATAAAGTATTTTATTTCTCCTTCACTTATGAAGCTTAGTTTGGCTGGATATGAAATTCTGGGTTGAAAATTCTTTTCTTTAAGAATGTTGAATATTGGCCCCCACTCTCTTCTGGCTTGTAGGGTTTCTGCCGAGAGATCCGCTGTTAGTCTGATGGGCTTTCCTTTGAGGGTAACCCGACCTTTCTCTCTGGCTGCCCTTAACATTTTTTCCTTCATTTCAACTTTGGTGAATCTGACAATTATGTGTCTTGGAGTTGCTCTTCTCGAGGAGTATCTTTGTGGCGTTCTCTGTATTTCCTGAATCTGAACGTTGGCCTGCCTTGCTAGATTGGGGAAGTTCTCCTGGATAATATCCTGCAGAGTGTTTTCCAACTTGGTTCCATTCTCCACATCACTTTCAGGTACACCAATCAGACGTAGATTTGGTCTTTTCACATAGTCCCATATTTCTTGGAGGCTTTGCTCATTTCTTTTTATTCTTTTTTCTCTAAACTTCCCTTCTCGCTTCATTTCATTCATTTCATCTTCCATTGCTGATACCCTTTCTTCCAGTTGATCGCATCGGCTCCTGAGGCTTCTGCATTCTTCACGTAGTTCTCGAGCCTTGGTTTTCAGCTCCATCAGCTCCTTTAAGCACTTCTCTGTATTGGTTATTCTAGTTATACATTCTTCTAAATTTTTTTCAAAGTTTTCAACTTCTTTGCCTTTGGTTTGAATGTCCTCCCGTAGCTCAGAGTAATTTGATCGTCTGACGCCTTCTTCTCTCAGCTCGTCAAAATCATTCTCCATCCAGCTTTGTTCTGTTGCTGGTGAGGAACTGCGTTCCTTTGGAGGAGGAGAGGCGCTCTGCGTTTTAGAGTTTCCAGTTTTTCTGTTCTGTTTTTTCCCCATCTTTGTGGTTTTATCTACTTTTGGTCTTTGATGATGGTGATGTACAGATGGGTTTTCGGTGTAGATGTCCTTTCTGGTTGTTAGTTTTCCTTCTAACAGACAGGACCCTCAGCTGCAGGTCTGTTGGAATACCCTGCCGTGTGAGGTGTCAGTGTGCCCCTGCTGGGGGGTGCCTCCCAGTTAGGCTGCTCGGGGGTCAGGGGTCAGGGACCCACTTGAGGAGGCAGTCTGCCCGTTCTCAGATCTCCAGCTGCGTGCTGGGAGAACCACTGCTCTCTTCAAAGCTGTCAGACAGGGACACTTAAGTCTGCAGAGGTTACTGCTGTCTTTTTGTTTGTCTGTGCCCTGCCCCCAGAGGTGGAGCCTACAGAGGCAGGCAGGCCTCCTTGAGCTGTGGTGGGCTCCACCCAGTTCGAGCTTCCCGGCTGCTTTGTTTACCTAAGCAAGCCTGGGCAATGGCGGGCGCCCCTCCCCCAGCCTCGTTGCCGCCTTGCAGTTTGATCTCAGACTGCTGTGCTAGCAATCAGCGAGATTCCGTGGGCGTAGGACCCTCTGAGCCAGGTGTGGGATATAGTCTCGTGGTGCGCCGTTTCTTAAGCCGGTCTGAAAAGCGCAATATTCGGGTGGGAGTGACCCGATTTTCCAGGTGCGTCCGTCACCCCTTTCTTTGACTCGGAAAGGGAACTCCCTGACCCCTTGTGCTTCCCAGGTGAGGCAATGCCTCGCCCTGCTTCGGCTCGCGCACGGTGCGCACACACACTGGCCTGCGCCCACTGTCTGGCACTCCCTAGTGAGATGAACCCGGTACCTCAGATGGAAATGCAGAAATCACCCGTCTTCTGCGTCGCTCACGCTGGGAGCTGTAGACCGGAGCTGTTCCTATTCGGCCATCTTGGCTCCTCCCCTGATTGTGCATTTTAGCCTGGGCAACAGAGCGACACCCTGTCTCAAAAAAAAAAAAAAAAAAAAAAAAAAGAAGAAGAAGAAGAAGAGCACTTACTAATGACAATAATATATATTTTCTCATAAGCATTTATTTTAACTTAATTTACCATTTTTTGTTTTCTGTAACAGATATTTGCGTATATTTAATTTTACCTTTTCTAACTTTTTGGTCTGAATTTTATAGAGTAATTTTTTAAGGAAAGGTTAAATAAGATTAATAAAGTTACATTTGGGGAAACTTGTAACAGTTTTCACAGGGTGTGAAATGTCACCCCACACACATAACACACAAACACTTAAACTGATGTTGTTTCAAAAAGTTTTTTAGAGATTAACAAAAGCTGTTTAATTATTTCTCTGAAATGTGCCATTCAAATGTTCTTGGGTTTTGTTAGTCTATGAGAAAAATGAAAAGAATCACTGTAAATAGAACAATTAAATTCTGTCCTTAGAATTGCACAACCTCATCCACACAGATGGAAGATTTATTTTCATTAATGCATTCCTTTAACGATTTTGGGTGAAGAGCCTCCTGAAATGGACTTCTTCCTTCCCTGCCTTCTGAAGCAGAACACTCTGCTTTAGATGGTTTGACCTTGTCCGATGACTCTGAGCCACGCTTAGCATTTCAGGCAGAACGAAGGCTGAGATGTCATCAGAGAAGGCCACTGCAGACCTGGGCAGGGACCGTTGGGCCATGCCATGCAGGGCCATGTGAGCTGAAGGCTGTCCCCCAACGCCAGCGTAGGGGCTCCAGCTTCCCAACTTTGTCAATGCAACCAGAGTGGACCAGGGTGAGCACGGACTCCCTCTAACCTAGCTGTCGTGGTGTGAAAACATCTGCAAATCCTCAGAGGCCCTCCCATCAGGAGATGTCGTCTCATTTCCCTCCCCTTTAATGTGGGTGAGCCTTCTTGCTTTGCTTCAGTGAAGCAGCAGTGATGTCCCATAATTTTCCATACTGGATCTTTGCCTGGTGCTTTCTCCCCTTCTGTGAACACACACAGATGGCTACACCCTTTCCCCATATCGATTCTGTTCTTTTCTGACTCTGGCTTTCTTAGTATTGGGGTTCTCAAGTAGCTTCAGCCCTGTCTTGATGGATCATCTTTCGGGGTATGTGCTGATTCAGTCTGAGTGTCCAGGTGTCCACCTCCATCTTCTCACAGGGAAAAGCCAGCAGTACTGTTGGCTCTGCCTTGTTCAGGCTACGCTCCTTTCCTGCTCTGCCTTCTCAGAAACTCCCTGAAGCCTTTTTCTTCTTTTCTTACAAGTGTCCAGAACTTCTGAAAAGCAAAGCACATAGAGGCTAGTGCCATCCACTAGGACTTGTGGAATGATAAAATTGTTCTCTGTCTGTGCAGTCCATATAGTAGTGTAGGGGGGCATCTCAGGCTCCTGGTGGAGTCTGAAAATTAAACTTACATAAGACAAGTTAATAGCAGGAAAGCACACAGGTGTATTTGATACAAGTTTTACATGGCATGGGAGGCCTCATAAGGAAATGAAAACCCAAAGAGGCAGTTAGAGTGTGTTACTTATTTACTGAATTGGACAAAGAATAGTAAACTGAAAATGTGATGAGGCAGAGGGGCTTGGGCTAGGGTAGTTAATTGGATAGAAAAGTGACTAAGAAGATAAGGGTTAGTTTAATAGGGTTTGTACAGAATTCTCTTAGCCTCAACTTCCTGTCTTTGATGATAAGAATGTTGCTTTAGTTCTAGTATAAGAGGGACATCTTTCATATGGGAATTTCATCTCTTGCCTTTAAATAAACAAGAGGTTGGGGCCAGGCGCGGTGGCTCACGCCTGTAATCCCAGCACTTTGGGAGGCCGAGGCTGGTGGATCACGAGGTCAGGAGATCGAGACCATGCTGGCTAACACAGTGAAACCCCGTCTCTACTAAAAATCCAAAAAATTAGCCGGGTGTGGTGGTGGGTGCCTGTAGTCCCAGCTACTTGGGAGGCTGAGGCAGGAGAATGGCGTGAACCTGGGAGGCGGAACTTGCAGTGAGCCACTGCACTCTGGCCTGGGCAACAGAGTGAAACTCTGTCTCAAAAAAAAAAAAAAAAGAAAGAAAGAAACAAGAGGTCAAAGTGTCCAGTGTGTATTCTGTATGCAAAAAAGAAAAGAAAAAGTCAAAATAATCTTCTTGCACCTGTCGTTTTTTGGGTGTCTAACTTTTTTTTTTTTTTTTGAGCAGAGTCTCACTCACTCTGTCGCCCAGGCTGGAGTGTAATGGTGCAATCTCGGCTCACTGCAACCTCTGTTCCACCTCTCAGGTTCAAGTGATTCTCCTGCCTCAGCCTCCTGAGTAGCTGGGATTACAGGCATGCACCACGACACCTAACTAATTTTTGTATTTTTTGTAAATTTTGTATTTTTGGTAGAGATGGGGTTTTACTGTGTTGGCCAGGTTGGTCTTGAACTACTCACCTCAAGTGATCCGCTTGCCTTGGCCTCCCAAAGTGCTGGGATTACAGGCGTGAGCCACCGCCCTCAAGTATCTAACTTAGTCAATCCACCAGGTGTCTAACTTAGTCAATCCACCAGGATGCTATATTTATAACTCTTTCAGTAGCCACTGGCTATGTGTGGCTATTGAGCACTTGAAATACGGCTAGTACAGCCAAGAAATGGAACTTTACATTTTATTTAATATTATTTAACTTGAATGTAAATAGCCACCAGTGGTGAGTGGCTCCATCCTGGGCAGCGCAGGTGTGGGCAGTGGGTCCTTTGGCTCTTCTCCAAGATGACTTCTATTCTTCTCCTGATCCACACCAGGGGTGCTTCTCCTTTCCTTTTCCTTCTTGTTTCAAGGATTCCTCAGCTGTCTCTCTAGTCAGGCCTTATTCTGTGAGGTTCATCTCTCTGCCCTGCCTCCTTTCCTCCCCCAGCCTTTGGGAGAATAAAACACTAGCTCTACCCAGTAATTAAGGTTTGAAGGTTTTCTCCCACTTTGGTGTGGACTGGCAGAACGGTGGGAGTGCCCACAAATTTCCTGTGACAAAGAAGAGAATGAAGGAAATTACTAGAAACCACCAAAAATGTCTCTCTTAATTGCAAGTGCTAGCTTCGGGGAGGCAGTCTGTTCCAGCTCCTTTTCAACTGACTACAGATATGAGAATCTAGAACTGTGTGCTTTAGGATAGGGATGGAGAGTTCTTTTCAAAATGTGCATTTTCTAGACCCCAGCTGCAAGAGACCTTGATACCAAAACCCAGTGGCCTAGGAATCAGTATTTCTTAAATATCCATTAGAGCTTCTGCATCGAACCACGTTAGGGAACAACTGATTTAATCAACACACTGATTTACTTAGGAGCTTTTGACTTAGCCTCACTCCATTAAGCCCCCATAGACTGCTCTGCTTTCCAAATGCTTATGTTCACTTTTTACAGTTTTTCTCTGGTCTCCCCTGCATTTACGGTCACCTCCAATTTCCCGCCTCCTTCTCTCTCCAAAAACACACAGCTCAGCTTTTCAAAGTTAGAATAATGCATGTAGTAATCGTAAATAAACTGCACGAAGAGCTGAGATTTCTTTCTATCTCTACGGAGTCCTGAAATGTATGAACTCTGTGACATGTGCTTTAGTCAACTTTCTTTCTAGGAGTTTGGCCCCTCTTGCCTTGCCCTCTACAGACAGTCTTCATTTTCTAAAATTTTGCATGCCAGTGCCCAGAGTGTATTTATTAACAGTTTGAAACTGTCATAAATCTCACTTGGCAGTGATTTTCTTATTAGTTTCAGCATCTCTGCCTTAGCACTGCCAAGCTTGAATGGTCTAGACATTGTCTTCAAAAATAACTCCCTCTGGGACAGGCCTGAAAGTCTCTGGCACAGGATCCCATCTATCTATGGATACTTCTCCTAGGAGATTAGAAGTCTTCCTGGCAGGCAAACATTTTGTCCCTGGAGATCCATCCACTATGGCCAGTATTATGTAAAGGATAAGAGTTCAATGGTTCACATCCATTGAATATAATTCAGTCAACAAAAGAGTGGATTATGCATATATTGCATATATGCAACTCATTTATAACCAAGGAAGAGAGGACCAACAGAAAGTTACAGTTTGGGGAGATTTAAAAATAACTGAACTTATATTGGGGACGTCTTGCTCTTGGAGATAAAAATGGCTCTTATTGCCAGCTGTTGCTCGTTTTTTGGTGGGCGGTATCAAGCATGTGATGCTTTGGTGGCTACACCAGATTCTCTTTTGCAGAACTTGCATGAAGGGTGTGGGTTCCATCCAATCTGTTATCCCCTGTTCCTTCATCCATCCCATTGCCATGCGAGTCTTACTGAGGAGGTGATCTTTACTAGAGGCCACGGATCATTTTTCCATTTCTGCATACATACAAAATTAAAGTTCACCTTGGCCCAGGACCCCTTTGGGGGGGTCACGCCCCCTGCGCCGACGTCCTGGGAGCTAGCGGTGCGCAAGCTCGGCTCACACACACCCCGCCCCGGGGCCTCCTGGGAACTGTAGTAGGCGGCTCGCGAATCCCCGCCGCCATGACAGGACCCGGACTACAGCTCCCGAAAGGCCTCGCGCGTCGCGCCTGCGCCTGCGTCCCTGCGGCCGCCAGAGGGAGGGTTAAGGCGCCTGGGCGCACAGCGAGCCGGCTGAGGGGGCTGTGGCGGCCGCGGCGGGCGACATGGACAACGCGGGGAAGGAGCGTGAGGCAGTACAGCTGATGGCGGAGGCCGAGAAGCGAGTCAAGGCCTCCCACTCCTTCCTCCGAGGGCTGTTTGGGTGAGCGCCAGACCGTGCGTGCCCTGGGGGGGGGGGGTCTCCGTACTTGGCCCCCTTCCTTTCAGGCTGACCCCCCGAGTCCCCCACGCAACCTCTGGGGCCCTCAGACCACGTCTAGGGGCCCTCAGCCTGCAGGCGCCCTCCAGAAATCCTGTAGGGTCCCCCAGCGCCCCCTGGAGCCCCCAGGACGCCCAGGGGCCCTCAGTCCGCACGCGCCCTCCAGAGACCCCACAGGCCCCCCCAGGGTCCCTGGAAACCCCGCATCCTCCCAGGGGCTCTCAGCCCCCACGCGCACTTTAGAGACCCCCTAGGGCCGGCAGAACTCCCCAGGGTTCCTCAGCCCCCACACGCTCTCCGGATCCCCTAACACGCCCCCTTAGAATCCCCAGAGTCTCACAGGGACCCTCAGCCCCCACGCGCCTTTCAGAGAACCCCTAGGACCCCCAGAGCTCCCCAAGCGCCCCACGAAGCCCCTAGAACACTCTGGGGGGGGGGCTGTCAGCCTCACGCGCCCTCTGGAGACCCCAGATCGCCCCCCTCGCCCTGGCCCGGGTTGGTGCGGGGGTCCCACGACCTAGAAGGTCAGCGGCTCCCTGAGGCCCGCGGGCGCGGTAGCTCGGGGCGCGCGTGGGGCCCCCTTCTCAGTGCGTAGCGAGTCGTATTGGTGCATTTCGCCACGCTGAAGCCCGTATCGCTCCTGAGACCGGTCCGGGTGAGGCGCGCCGGGGTGGAGCCGGAGGGGTGGGTGCGGGGGCCGCCCCCGGCGCCTGGAACGCGCACCTGGGGGCGTCCCGCCTGCAGGTGGGCCCCGCCGGGGAGGGGGCGGTCCGGCGAGGGATCCAGAGCTGGTGTGCTTGTTGGCCTCTCTCCAGGGGCCTTGCGCCGAGTACACCTTTAGTAAATACTTGACTAATGAACGAATATATTTTCTCAGCATAGTATTTTTCCTTCTCCGGAGATTGATTGATAGCCAGAGCCTCCTGTTTGATTAACGGTAACGCTGCTGCTGTTTAAGTCAGGCGTCCTTTGGGAATCCCTTTAATTTCCTGTAATTCTTCCGTGCTCTCCTAAGGAGGATTTTAAATTCCAACCTCTCAAAAAGCAGAGCCCGCACTGACAGCCCGGAAGAATTCTGGGCTGTTGAATATGTGAATGATTCAGCTGTTTAGGATGAGAAAGGCAGAAATTTTGTGTGTGCCTGTTTCGTTGTTTTCTTTTGAAAGTGAAAGATCCTTTGCTGTTACCAAGAGCAGATACTTAACCCATTGCATGACTAGACACGATTTTATTTCTGTACACATTCAGTTCAGACTCTATTTCAGAAGACAGACATAATGGGCTCTTAGCTTGTTTTGCCAACTTCATTCTTTTGGCTATAAATTATAATACTTTACCGCTATTGATACGTCTTTAGGAAATGCTTAAGGACAAGTTGCATGCAGTACGCATAACTGCAGAAATGCATAAAGGCTGCAAAAATGCAAGAAGATAAGGGTCCCTGTCCTCAGGAACCTCTCAGAGGACGTTTATCACAGCTGGTTTCTAAATTTCTCATGTGATGTGTAGGAGATATAGCTATGAATTATGTTTTGTTTTGCATTTAAAAGTTATGACAGTACCATCAAGTGCTAGCGCCACACTAACTCCTTTTAAATGTTTTGATTCACAAAACATTTAAAATTCACTCTAATAAAATTTAATGTCATAGTACCTCATGCCAGGAGGTTATTTTAATGTTACAACATTATTTCAAGTCAGGAAGTGCTTCCCTGTGGGAGAGTCTGTAACTGGCAGAGGAAAAAGCTTGACAGCACTTGGTGCTTGTCTCAGGAGAACACTCCTTTTGGGAAAGAGGTTTTCGATGTTTTTAGGAAACTAGGCCAAATCTTGAGCTTATAATCCTTAAAGGATTTTGAAAAGCCTTTGTTTTTAAAGAAACATCTCCCTTTTAAATGTTGCTACCTATGTTATTGACAGGACATATAAGAAGACGAATCTTCACCATTCACACTCAGTTACACAAAAGTTAATGCATCTTAGTTCTTACCTGGGTACAACAGGTTGGTTTATTATCTAGCTTTGGGACCTAGGGCAAGTTACTTAGCCTCTCTGTGCTTCAGTTTC
This sequence comes from Homo sapiens, assembly GCF_000001405.40. NCBI lineage: Eukaryota > Metazoa > Chordata > Mammalia > Primates > Hominidae > Homo > Homo sapiens. The sequence continues at coordinate 23,419,180 of NC_000020.11, read as the reverse complement.
CAGTGTATAAAACGGAGACAATAATAGTATATCTCAAAATTTATGGGAGTTCAGTGAGGTTATGTTTATAAAACATTTGGAACCATGGATGTTGGAGACAGTGACCATGAGATATTAATTAGCATATTCATCAAAATTATCAGCTCCAGTTATTTATCAAAGAAGCAGTAGGCCAAACAGATAACTTTTCCAGAATTTCAGAGCCGTAGACTGCATCATTGATTTTTTTTTTTTGAGACGGAGTCTCACACTGTCACCCGGGCTGGATTGCAGTGGCGGGATGTCAACTAACTGCAACCTCCGCCTCCCAGGTTCAAGCGATTCTCCTGCCTCAGTCTCCTGAGTAGCTGGGATTACAGCCACCCGCCACCACGCCCGGCTAATTTTTTTTTTTTTTTTGTATTTTTAGTAGAGACGGGGTTTCACTGTGTTGGCCAGGCTGGTCTCGAATGCCTGACCTCGTGATCCACCTGCCTTGGCCTCCCAAAGTGCTGGGATTACAGACGTGAGCCAGCACGCCCAGCCTCATTGATCTTTTAATGAAATAAAATATCTGAAAGAGCTTTAACCATTAATGTACCATGCAAGTGTGATTTATACTTTGAAGACTGTTATTTCCAGTAATACTTGCTCCAGGAAAGCTTGCAGGAAGAAGAGTACTTAGAATTTTAGGAGTTTAGTAATATTGTATAATTACTGAAGCCAGAAAACAGACGTAGTGTTCCTGTGTCAGTAGGACAATTAAGATTCTGTATCAATTTTAGATGTTTAGAATCCTACCTTATAGATGGCATGTATCATCACCTTTCTAGACTGGAATACATGTTATTCCACCCTGCCCCTGCCTTCTTAGCTATAGAATGTCACCATTTTCATTCCTAAAGGTCTGCATGTAATCCTTTATTTAAAACGCAGAGTAATCCATCTCTATGTCAGACTCCAGAATTAATGTAATACAAAATTAATAAAACACACATACTGACTTGAATATCATCAGAGCTCATATATTTAAGAGCTGACTAGCTGGTGCTTTAAAGAGGATAAGCCATCTGTTTTCAGGTTGTGGCAGTCATTAAAAGCTGCTTGGCATATTGCAGATATTTCACATCACAGACATTCTGAATGCTCTATCTGCAGATTAAAGCCTGTCATGAGTTCTCTAGTGTTTACCACTCACAGTGGTTTTGTGGCAATACTGTATTCTTAGTAGTATTCTATAGCTTTTGTTTCTTGCTTTCAGTAAAATTAGATGAAAATATGCATATGTATTTATGAGAACATGTCAGTCAAATATTTCTTCTCTGTGTAAGGCACAAATCCTCTGCCTTATCTGCTTGATAGGTAAGGTATCAATATTCCTTTCCCATCCCCACCTTCCTCCCCAGGAAAAGAGCTGACAAGGGATGCAAACATTGCAGGAAACCACTGTTGTGGTGGTTTGTGTTTCTGCTTAATTGCCCGTTAAGCAGTAATGTGCTTTTGTAGTTGTGGAATTAAAACTTTTTCTCAAGTTTGTAGTATAGTACGTTTAGTAAAACTACTTCCAAAGGAGTTGTCTTGTCCTTTAGTTTGTTGCCAGGGATGAGCTATGGAATTTTGTAGTTAATTTCAAATTCCAGTTTATAATGTTAATGAACTACTGGTATGATTTTAAATCGGCCTGAGTCTGACATTAAGATAGTTTTGAATTGGAAAAGCCTCTTATAATACTATCCCCTCCATCTTGTTGCTATGAGACCCGGTTGGGAATAACCTGCACAATGCACATAGAAGAAAGTGCTTAAGACTGACAGTGGAGGCCAGGTGCAGTGGCTCACGCCTGTAATCCCAGCACTCTGGGAGGCCGAGGCGGGTGGATCACTTGAGGTCAGGAGTTTGAGACCAGCCTAGCCAACATGATGAAACCCCGTCTCTACTAAAAATACAAAAATTAGCCTGGCGTGGTGGCGGGCGCCTGTAATACCAGCTACTTGGTAGGCTGAGGCAGGAGAATCACTTGAACCTTGGAGGTGGAGGTTGTAGTGAGCTGAGATTGTGCCACTGCACTCCAGCCTGGGCCCCCGAGCGAGACTCCGTCTCAAAAAAAAAAAAAAAAAAGAATGCCAGTGGAAAGATGTTCTTTATGGTTAATGCTGTCTTCCTTTGCCTTTCAGTGTTTAGTCTGAGTTTACACAAGAGCTACAAATTTGGCAATGTCAATGTAAATTTAATGAAAGGCCCCATTGGGTTATCTTGAAATAATTATGAATCTATAATTTGTTGGTTGTTTGTGAAAATTGTGAATATTTCTTAAGCATTGTAGACTGTAAATTATCAGTATTCTTCACTTGTGTTTATTTCAACAAAGATTGCTTTTAAGTTTGGCCAAAATATGGTGGGGCCATGTGATAACATAGGTGAAGCATTTAGGTTTTCCTCAGTTACAATTCTTGTTCAAATGCAGATTGAACTTTTAAAAAAATTATTAGGCTCAGGTTTACTGACAGAGACAGGTGATACAGTATAAGAAATATATACGTATATTTGTGTATCTTTCTCAAAAGAAATCGATTATAAATTGAACAATTATTTTTATAAATTATATAATATACGTAAGAAATATAATTATATTATTATTCATGGGGAGACCAGGTAGAGGCTCAAGTTCTCTCATTTACTATTTTGGTGACTATAGTCAAGTAAATCATACTCAGAACTTGTTTTTTTTAGTTTTCAGATGGGCAGAGAGACAGAATCTGTTTTTCACGATTGTTAAGGATTGAATGAGGTCAGAATGCTTATTCAGTTGCACAGAGCTATATAACTTTATTATAATTGTTTGGTTTTCTGATTTTAGGTTGTTACAGCTTGGTATCAAATGATAAACTGTTACCAGACTGGCCTTTTTCTTGTTGCATTTTTGCAGTTTTCTCCACATATTCTTTCATTCTTGTGAGCTCTGTGAGGTGCAGTTACTCTGGAGAGAGGGAGGGCCAGTAATCATATGTGGCTCCTTGGAAGTCTGCCTGTTTTGTTGCTGTGGCTAACACCTCACCCAGCCTGAGGCATGCGTTAGGCACGTGGTAAATATTGGTGGAGAGAATGAATGTATTAATGCTAATACAAATGCTGATGTTTTTTCTTTTATTCTTACCTAGTTTTCAAGAGCAAAGCTATACCAAGTAAAGGAGAGTTTAAGTCGCTTTCTTCCGTTTTATTTATGTATTTATTTTTTTGAGACGAGCTCTCACTCTGTTGCCTAGGCTGGAAGGCAGTGGCGAGATATCTGCTCACTTCAACCTTGACCTCCTGAGCTCAAGAGATCCTCCCACCTCAGCCTCCCAAGTAGCTAGGACTACAGGCATGCACTACCATGCCTGACTAATTTTGTATTTTTTGTAGAGACAGGGTCTTGCTATGTTGCCCAGGCTTGTCTCCAACTCCGGGACTCAAGCGATCTGCTCTGCTGACCTCAGCCTCCCAAAGTGCTGCGATTACAGGTGTTAGCCACTGTACTAGGCATTTTATTTAAATATTTGCTTATTATGAACATTGTAGCTGTACACGGTAGAAAAGTACAAGGAGTACAGAGAGTTTTCTTTTTTTTTGAAATGGAGTCTTGCTCTGTTGCCCAGGCTGGAGTGCAGTGGCATGATCTTGGCTCACTGCAACCTCTGCCTCCTGGGTTCAAGTGATTCTGCTGCCTCAGTCTCCTGAGTAGCTTGGATTACAGATGGGTGCCACCACACCCAGCTAATTTTTGTATTTTTAGTAGAGACAGGGTTTCACCATGTTGGCCAGGCTGGTCTTGAACTTCTGACCTCATGATCCGTCCACCTCGGCCTCCCAAAGTGCTGGAATTACAGGCATGAGCCACCGTGCCCAGCGCAGAGAGTTTTCAGTTGAAAAGTAAAGTTCTCTGAGTCTTCTTTTTACGTAATCTCACTCCCAAGAAGCAACCATTTTTAACTTTCTCATTAGTTTTTCTGATGGTTACCACCATATTTCTAAATAATTTTAGAGCACTTCTACTTCCTGATATCTTGATTTTCAGACAGTATCTGTTGATTTTGCTAAAAATGATGAAAAATTTATTATAACTTACATGGTCTTACATTTTCCCCTTTACCTCCTCATTTTACTTAGTTATGTCTCAATCTCTATTACCTTTTATATATAAACAGCATATTTAAATCTTAATTCATGTATGAATTAATGCTGAATAATTAAGCTAATCAAAATATTATACTTAAAATTTTTTTAATATATTTTTCTATTTTTGTGAGTTATGGAGTCAAAGAGAATATATTGTCCAAATTGTGATATTTTTGAGATACTAATAAAATGGGTACAAGTCAAGCATATCTATGCAATGAGGACACAGAATCACCCTAGTTACAGACTTCATATACTCTTCTTAGATTTTCACATTGTGTTTATCTGATTGGTTATAAAATCAGTAAAGCTTTTGTACCTTCAAAGAATTTTCAGTGACTAATAAAGTTCACAGTAAGGAAACTTGGAAGTAGAGTTTCAGAATGTTAACTATTTCTGTATTTAAGTGGAACTTATAAGTAATAACAAAATCTAATAAGTCAATACTTCCTTGAATTAAGGTATATTTTTTCATGGTGAGGACTTGTCTGTCAATTCCAGTTTTAGTCCGTGTATTCATTAGGGATTAGTGTTGTATTTTGAAGGCCTTTTTGAATATCTGCGGAGATAAACATTTTTCTCCTTAAGAGTTATTATATGTTAATTAGTAAATATGAGGCCTCGTATTGTACTGTCCTCGCACTCCTGGAGTAAACCTCTCAGGATTATAATATATTTTTAAATGTAGATTCCATTTTTATTTTTATTTATTTGTTTATTTTTTTGCGACAGGGTCTCACTTTGTTGACCAGGCTGGAGTGCAGTGATGTGCTCATTACTCACTGCAACCTCCGCCTCCCAGGCTTAAGTGATCCTCCCACCTCAGCCTCCTCAGCAGCTGGGATTACAGGCACAGGCCACCATGCCCAGCTAATTTTTGTATTTTTATTAGATATGGGGTTTCACCATATTGGCTAGGCTGGTTTCAAACTCCTGGGCTCAAATGATCTGCCTGGTTGGTCTCCCACAGGGCTGGGATTACAGGCATGAGCCACTGTGCCTGGCCTAGATTCTGTTTTTACATACATGATTTAGGATTGTTTTATCTACAATTCATTTGTATATAGCTTTACTTTATCAGCTTGAAGTATTGCTGTTACAGGTGCCTCCTAAAAATAATGTGGATGTTTTTCTTTTTTTTTTTTTGGACTCTGGTCTTTGAAGATTTAAGAATATACCACAGTGAAACCATTGGGGCTTTTGATGGGTATTTCTTTGATAACTTTCTTGTTTTTGTCTCTGGAGTTTGTAATGTTTAAATTTTCTATCTCTACTGAGGTCAATTTTGGTAAATTGTGTTTTCCTAGGAAATAATTCATTTTATCTAAGTTTTAAAAAATGTATTTGCATTGTGCATAGTAGTCTTTTCTGACTTTTAAAAATGTTCTGTTTTAGTAATTTTCTTCTGTCACTTTATTTTTGTGTTTGTGTTTTTCCCCTTTTTTCCTTGATTCTTTTTCTCTAAACAACCAATATTTTGATTGATTTGTTCTACTGGTTTTGTGTTTTCTGTCTTACTGACTTATACTTTTATCTTTATTGCTTTCTTTGGCTTCTTTTGTTTTTCCCTCTGGTTCATTTTTCTAGGGAGGTGTTTATTCACTGTTTTCATTGCTTTATTTGTATGGATTAAAATATTCATGGCTATACATTTTTTTCTTAAAACTGCTTCAGTTGTATTTTATAGATCCTGTTACATAATGTTTTTATCTTAGTTTGTTTCCCCTTTGTTGCAAGAGGCTTTTATTGTAAGGGTTTTATTCCAGGTAGAAAGAATGGCCTTTCTTTGTATATTATTACTTAAACTTTTTTTTTTTCATTATGATCAGAGAACTTACTGAGATTTTCGTTGCCACTTAATATATTGTTGGTGTTCATGAATGGTCCAGGTACACTTTACTTAAAATTTTTTTTTCGACACGGAATCTTGCTGTGTTTCCCAGGATGGTCTCGAACTCCTGGCCTAAGCAATCCTCCTGCTTTGGCCTCCCAAAGAGTGCTGGGATCATAGGCATGAGCCACCTGCACCCAGCACCCATGTACACTTTATTTTTTTGGAGACAGAGTCTCACGCTGTTGCCCAGGCTGGAGTACAGTGGTGCGGCTCACTGCAACCTCCACCTCCCAGGTTCAAGCGATTCTCCTGCCTCAGCCTCCCCAGTAGCTAGGAATACAGGCACACGCCACCACACCTGGCTAATTTTTGTATATTTAGTAGAGACACGGTTTCACCGTGTTGGCCAGGCTGGTCTCAAACTCCTGACCTCAAACGATCCAATTGCCTTGGCCTCCCAAAGTGCTGGGATTGTAATCTCCCATGTATACTTTAGAAGGTGGATATTTTCTTATCAAATTTTGATAGAGATCCCTCTTGTCTAGTTATTGATTATATTGTCTCTGTCTTTCATGTCTGTATTTTCTGTTCACTTGATCTGTTTTGGGGGGCATATTAATATCTGCTTTCTTATAAGTGTATTTCTATCTTTTTTAACGTTTGCAATTTCTGCTTTATAAAGGGGGCTACTGTGTTTTTGGTACATAGATTTTCACAACTAATATTATTATGAATTATATTTTTAGCATTATGAAGTGAACTTCTTTATTTCATTTAAAGCCTTTGAGCCCAAATTCTACTTTGTTTCATTGCAGGGTAGCAATCTCTGTTTTCTTACTGCTTGTGTTTGCATTCCTTAGGACTGTATTATGTAAGAGGATCATACATGCTGTCTGTTACCTTGTGCCCTCTGCTGCCAGTTGTGGCCATGTGACTGACTTTGACTGATGAAGTATGAGTGGAAGGCACTTCTGCCATGGCTTTTACCCTTCTGTAAGAAATTAAGAAGAGTATATATACCGGATAAGTGCTACATTCCAGAGTAGAGAATGATGACACTTGGAGAAAGAGGCAGCAGTCACAGCCAGTCTGCAGTAAACAAGTCAAGTGACTGAGAGAAGCCTTTGGGAGATGTCAGGGTTATTTGCTGTTATGACAGTTCTAATGAGAGCTGCTTGATTTGTTTGGTATACTTTTGACCATCTCTTTATTTTAAGCCTTTCGGAATAGGTATTTTAGTTGTGTTTCTTGTACTGAGCACAAAGTTGGGTTTTGTTTTTTGAGCAGATCTGAAAATGACGAGTATATGATTGGTTCTTAACTGTCATACTACTATATTTACTGTATATTATATTTTCATTGCTATTTGTCTTCATGTCTCTTTTTTTATTTAGGAAGGTTTGTAATTTTGTTCTACTGGTTACCTTTATGCTATAAATGTTTTTAAATATCCTTAGCTCCTTTTCCTTACTTAGGCGCCTATTATTTTGTTCACTCCAGAAAACTCCTGTTACCTATGTGCTTCTCAGTGAGCACGTTCTACATCTCTTGTTCTCTAATATCCCTTTTTTTTTAAGCTGTTTGTACTTTGTCAGACATAGAAGTGTTTCCCTATTATTTTTCTACCCTTGTCCTTACATTTTGTCTTAGATCTACAATACAACATATGCAGTGACACCACCAGTCATTTCAGCTATGTTTCCTAGTCATCTCTTAGTTATCCCTTGGGTCCTGGCTTACACTGGGGGTTGCATGCTGGATGGCCTGGTTGTATAATCCTTGGCTCACACTTTTTTCCCCCTTGAGTTTCTGGTAAAGCATTGTTCCACTGTTGTTTTGCTCCGTATATTGCTGTTGAAGTCTTAGCCTGATTTTCTTAGTTTTATAAGTAACTTTGAGTTTTTATGTGGAAGCCCAGAAATGTTCTTCATTTATAAAATCTAGTCATCTTACTAGGATATGTTTCACAGTAGACTATTCTGGGTCAGTTTTCCAAGTACATGTAGGCCTGTTCAGTATTTCGATTCATGCCTTTTGTTTCCAGAAAATTTTCTCAGATTGTGAAAATGGGTTTTTTCTTCCCCTCTTTAGGGACTCTCATTACATGGATATTGGCTCTTTGCCCATCCTGTATTACTTTTACTTAGATCCTTTTCTCTTCATTTTTGTTCTCTTGGCTGTTTTCATAGTTTTCCTTATTGTCAGTAGAATCTGCTTTCCCCTTAGGTATGCTATAACAGAGATTTTATTTCTGAGATCATTTTGTCTTTTTATTTCTATCCTTCTAGAATTTGAAACAAGAGTTCATCATCTTATTTTTTTGTGTATTTCCATGATGAGTTTTTAAATTTCTAGCTTATGATGTACTTTCATATCTGTTTAATAATATTTCAGTCATATGGAATTGTTTTCCTGTGCCTTGTGATTGTTTTAGGGAACGTATTTTAATTCTTGTTTCTTTTTTGTTTTGGGGCTTTTTTGGTATGGCTCATTTTTATTTTAATATTTGTTCCTTTTTTACAACTTTTATTTTAGAGTCAGGGGGTACATATGCAGGTTTGTTAACTGGGTATATTGTGTGATACTGAGGTTTAGGGTACAGATGATCCTGTCACCCAGATACTGAGCATAGTACCCAATAGTTTTTCAACTGTTTCTCTCCCCATACCCCGCTAGTGTCCCCAGTGTCTACGGTTGCCATTTTTATGCCCATGGGTATCCAGTGTTTAGCTACCACTTATAAGTGAAAACATGCGGTATTTGGTTTTCTGTTCCTGCATTAATTCACTTAGGATCTTCTTTCTTATGTAGTAGCTTCATATGGATGCTGTTTCTCCTTTCTGTTTAGTGTAGAGAGTCACAGAGTTTCTTGGACACACAATAGCATGTGTTTCTGTGATAGGAGATGAGCGGTTTGTGTGACTTCATGGGTTTCTTAGTTTAAATGCTGCGTTGTGTAGGTACAGTTAAGTGCGGTTTCTTTAATGAATGGTGCTGTGGAGGGGTAGGTTTGTGTGACTTCTAATTCTGTGATACTCTTTTGTTTCAAGAACGTATTTCCATCACTTGCCTTCTTTCCTTTCACTGCCAAACCTCCATAGAGCTGCCCCCACCTTCTAAGTTGCCTTCTCCCAGAAGCAGTGTCTTCTGGAAACTGCAGCCTGTGGCAAAGCCCTTCTATTCAGTTCCCAACTGCAGTGCTCTAACCTGCCAGGTCTTCCACCTGGTCTGGGGTGTTTGCCCACCCTGGTAGGGCACTTCCTTGCTGAGAGTTCTTCCCTGGACAATGATTGCCAGGTTAAACTCCCCTCTCCTGTCGACAGACGCCCCTCTGACTGGCAGCAGAGGCAGTGTTGCTAGCTCTGGTAGTTTTGGATTTTTTATTTCCTAAATTATATTTAATGGAGGCTTGCTGAATACTGCCTCCTTTTGCTGTAGGCACGGATTATGGGTGGTTGTGTATGCTTTTTGTTGATCTATAAGGTTTTTGGAGGATGTGTGGATATATTTATCTAAGCAGCCACCATGATTTTTTGGGAATCACATGTCTCATCAGTATTTTCTGAAGACTGAAATTCAGCTTAAATTTTTATAAAGACTGAAATTCAATTTAAAAACTGCTCTTGGTAAATCAGGTTGTATGTAACAGTCATTTCTGAATTAATCTAGCAGTTACCATTATCTTTCTTAAGTATTTAAATATGTTTGTTTTGTTTTATAAATAGGTCCAGTGTATACCTATTTCTTCTCTATAAAGATGACTACTCCCCATATAAAGTTGAGGCATTAGAAAACTATTGTCAAAATAAAGTCTAACTAGTTTTCTTTGTTATACTTGTTCTCATAAGCTTTATTTCAGGAAATTGTGCTTAAACACAAATACTTTGGTCACAGGCCTTAAATGTCTCTGATTATTTTCTCTGTTTGAGAATCTATGATTTTTGTCCTTAATTAAGCAGAAGTAAACTGAAAAGTTCTTAGAAAATTGATTCCAAAAGCTCAAGGCCACTGAGACAGCGCTCCCCTTACTGGTACAGTGCTAGCTGGCTTGGTGGAATTTTTCTTTCTCTCCAAGGCCAAGACAGGCCTGGCTGCTCCAGGGAACTGGAGGCTGGTAAATAAATGATACTGTTCATTTGTAGGTGGTCTGACTCAAGCCCATGCCCTGGGCCTTTCCACCATACCTTGGGCTTCTGCATTACCGATTTATAAAAGAACAGTGAAACATTTAAATGCTGCCTTTTGCTGTAAGAATTCAAATTAGCATTCTGGAGAGTATCTCCCTCCTACCTTTTTAAAAAAATAGTTTTTAATTGACACATTGTATTGCATATATTGATGGGGTACAGTTTGATTTTTTGATATACGTCTGTGTTGTATAATGATCAAATCAGGATAGTTAGCATACTCATCACCTCATACATTTATCATTTCTTTGTGTTGAGAACATGTAAAAATATCTCTTCCAGTTGTTTTGTGTCCTTCTGGGGCCTCTGCATCTCCTCCACGGAAGAAATCTCTACTTTTGCATCACATAAAAGATTTGTACTGTTTTAAAATATATTAAGCACTGAAATAAAGTAATCTTGGAAGGGTTAAGTTTACCTAGGAAAGCCCCAAGTTTTTAGAATCTGTGGAGTTTCCAGAAGTGAAGCATCAGGTGGAAATAAATTGTTTATAGAGCCTATAATATCACAGAGTAGTTGTGTATGGCAGAGGCACGTTCAGACAGATTTTGAATTTTCCTCTCTTCTGGATTCTTTCTACATTTGCTTATTATTTTGAGGCATACATGGGAAACCTTAAAAAATGAATGTGGACAGTTTGTTCCATCCAGACACTAAGCATCAGCCTTGTTATTGTGGCCTGTGTGCTAGGCCCTGTGCTGCTTCCTCTTCCCCAGAGCATCAGTCTAGTGGCTAAGGAGATACTGCTGGTAAATAATGAGAAGAAGGAGGTACCATGCTTTGTGGGGATCCCCCCAGGCTCCCCACACTGGGCAAGTCCCTTTTCAGTCTTTTGGGGTGGCTTGACACACCCCTTCATGGCATCCTGATGTTAGAGCTGAATTTTGCCTCTGGTTCTACATGCTTATCTTCATAGTACTGTCACTGTCACTTTTTGTGGTATTTCTACTCTAATATCTTGTGATTTTAGAGGCAACTTTATTTCTATCTCAGGAGTTGTCAGCCTTTTTCTTTGAGGTACATCTCATGATGTGTGTGTCATTAGTTCTCACAATTCTACGATGTCTCCTTCCTCCCACCCACAGTTTTAAAATAGTACGGACTATAGTTGTCATAGTTTTACAATGCTCTGCAATAGTTATTATTCAGGATGGGGGAAATCAAGATTTTAGATTATTTGAAGATGAATTGGTTTTCACAGCTCTGCTGTTCACTGGCTCCTGGTGGGACATTTGTGGCTTTGACAATGTTTCCTCAGGGGAACATGGGGAATTGATAGGCTTTTTCTCAGACCCTTCTGGCCGTGAAGCTTGATATTCTTTCCTCAGTGTCGTGACCTCCTTGTGGGCAAGAAGTTTATTTCCTTAGTGTTTTCTGGCACATATGGATCTCAGTAAATATTTCCTGAATAAGTACGGTCAAGAAGAAGAGAGTCTGCCTTGCCTCTGGAATGCAAGGGTGGTTCACCTGGGCCAGCCAGGTGGCAGTGGTTTTTGTGCTAGCTGGGCAGTGTTTTCTTTCACGGTGGGGAAAATGTTTTCTTCTTCCAAGTCAGATTCCTGTAATACAAAAAAATAGTTAATTTAGCTCAGTTTAGCTTCTTAATGTCAATTGAGTGCTAAGTGTTTAACTTATGTTGCTGCGTAATATGGATTCCCCACAGAATATTTTTTCCAAGGATCTTCTGCCTCACTGTGAGACCTCTGGATAACAGTTGTTACTTTGAATGCAAATTCTGAATACTTGTCCATAAAATTTACAAAAAATTAACTTTCACATAAAACAAAATAAGCATCCGGTGTAATTTCAAAAGTACCTTTTTTCAGGAAGTTTTAAAGTTATGGTCAGTTTATGACAAATGGGTTTTTAAAGTGAGGCTACCTCTGGCAATTCTGTTTCAGGAGACATGAGGATCTCATGGTTTAGCAAAGTTCAAAGGTCACTGAACTTGAAGTCAAGTGTCAGGTACACTACTGACCTTGGCTGGGTAGCCTTGGATAAGCCATTGTCCTCTAGATGCCATTTTCTCTTCAGTAAAATAGAGATAGTGTCTTTCATGGTTGTAATAATGAAAATGACATAACATATATGGAAATATCTAGCATAAAACCTGGAATAATGTAGGAACTCTGTTAATTCTAGCTGTATCCTGTCTCTGAAAATAAGTGGATAAAGTACATTTTAATTAAGCTAGTTTTATTTAGAAACCTTTAATAAGAATGATTGAACTATAATTACAGTTCAAGATTCCCAGTACTCTTTAGAAAAACAAGACCCAAGAAAGTAGCAAGACTTTACGCCAAGGGAGGTATGGCTAAGGTTGAGAATGTTTTCATGTGAGGAATTTTCCATTTAGGAAACTTATTAGCTGTTTTTCTTTTTTTTTAATGTGTAGATTTGAAGTGGAGGGAAAGGGACATGAAGGTGTGAGAGAAAGCTGTAGCTTATTCTGACACTTCATTTTTGGTATGGCTTGTTGCCATTCTATCTTTCACTGTGTAACATAGTCCCCAAAGGTTTTTGTTTGTTTTTTTGATTTTTTTTGTGTGTGTTGGGGAGGAGGTTTTATTGAGATTTAATACACATACCGTACAATTCACTGATTTAAAATGTACAATTCAGAGGTTTTTAGCCTATTCACAGGGCTATGCAACCACAGCAGTTTTAGAACATCTTCATCACCCCAGAAAGAAACCCTGTACCATTTAGCTGTCATTTTCCCTCACCTCCCTGCTTTTCCCCAACACTCCCACCTCTAGATGTCTTTGCCTGCTTTGCGCTGCTGTAACACAATAACCTTAGCCTGGGTAATGTATAAGAACAGAAATGTATTTCTCACAGTTTTTGGGGGCTGGAAAGTCTGAGATCAAGGCACCAGCGTCTGGTATCTGGTGAGGGCCTTCTTGCTTTGTCTTCACATGGTAGAAGAGAACCAGAGAAAATGGAACCTCCCTTTCACAAGCTCTTTTATTAGTGGCCTTAATACATTCATGAGAGCAGAGGGCTCATGACCTAAACACCTCCCAGTAGGCCCTACCTCCCAACACTGTTGCATTGGGGATTAAATTTTAATTTAGTTTTGGAGGGGACAAAAACATTCAAACCATAGCACTACCAACCACTAACCTGTTTTCTGTCTCTAAAAATTTGCCTACTGTAGACCTGTCATATAAATGGAATCTCACTGTGACTGCTCATATTGCGCATTAATATTCCATTGTATGTGTATACCACATATTATTTATCTGTTAATCGGTTGATGGACTTTTGGGTTGTTTCCACTCCTTAGCTTTTTTTTTGTTTTGAGACGGAGTCTCTGTGTCACCCAGGCTGAAGTGCAGTGACACTATCTCGGCTCAGTGCATCCTCCGCCTCCCAGGTTCAAGTGATTCTCCTGCCTCAGCCTCCTGTGTAGCTGGGACTGCAGGCACCCGCCACCATGCCCAGCTAATTTTTGTATTTTTACTAGAGATGGAGGTTTCACCAAGTTGGCCAGGCTGGTCTCAAACTCCTGGCCCTGAAGTGATCCACCCACCTCAGCCTCCCAAAGCGCTGGGATTACAGGCGTGAGCCACTGTGCCTGGCCACTTTTTAGCTATTATGATTAATGCTGCTGTGAACAGTTGCATACAAGTTTTTGTGTGGATATGCGTTTTCTCTCTTTCTTTATCTCTCTCTTTCATTCTCTTTCTTTCTTTCTCTCTCTCTCTCTTTCTCTGTCTCTCTCTCTTTCTTTCTTTTCTTCTTGACAAAGTCTCGCTCTGTCACCTAGACTGGTGGGCTGGAGTGCAGTGGTGTGATCTCGGATTACTGTAACCTCAGTCCCTCAAGTAGCTGGGACTACAGGCATGTGCCACCACACTGGCTAATTGTTTTTGTATTTTTAGTGGAGATGGGGTTTCGCCATGTTGTCCAGGCTGGTCTTGAACTCCTGACCTCAGGTGATCCTCCAGCCTCGGCCTCCCAAAGTGCTGGGATTACAGGCGTGAGCCTCCTCGCCCCGCCGGGATGTGTTTTAATTTCTCTTGGGTGTGTACCTAGGAATGGAATTGCTGGGTTATATGGTAACATTTTCCAAAGTGGCTGCACCCTTTTATATTCCTCCCAGTCGTATATAAGGTTTCTCCACATATATAAGGTTTCTCCACGTCTTCCCTGACTCTTGTTATTTTTTGTCTTTTGACAGACAGTAGCCCATCCTAGCCATCCTAGCAGGAGCCATGTGGTATCACATGTGTGGTTTCGATTTGCATTTATTCTAGATACATGTTCCTCATGAGACATACAATGTAATATTCCCAAAGGTTTTTATGCCTTCCATACATGGATCTAGATATGATAACCATTCTGATTGAGTACCTGCTCTGGGTGAAGCTCTGCAGTGGCAGCTGTATGTGGATTATTTCTTTTGATCCTCATAATAACTCCTAGGTATACATTATCTTCAGTTTACGCATGCCAAAACTGAGGTGTGAAGGAGTTAAAGAACTGGTCCAGGGCCATACTGTTAGTAGTTATTGCCTAAGGTCTGAGTCACACCTGAGCCTTGCTGTATGCCCAGCCTCTGCTCTGCACTAGGACTTGTGTTGACAGGGAGCTGCAAGCTCCTCTGCTGGAGCTTGGAGTTTAATGGAGTTCCTAACACGTGTGTGCACTCTTTCATGTACATGTGTTCATACCAGGCCCAGCATCCAGTGTCAGCCTTGACCTGTCCTGTCTCTGAGTCCTTATGTCCATACCCCACCGAGTTCCTTGTTATGTATACTGTACAGAGTCTGCTGCATCTCAGTTTTCCACTGTTTATTTTATGATTATAAATAGACAAGATAGATAAACGTCTTTCATGGAGGGGCCTTAGCATAGTAAAAGCAAAGTTAACTCTGGGAGGATTACGGAGGATAATTTTGGCTTTTATGTGAGAAGAAATTTCCAAGTAGCTTAAAGCTGTCCCTCAGTGGAATCAGCTGCTTGGTAAAGAACTTTGCAGAACTGTATATGTCCAAGCAACAGTGGAGGTACCCTTCTCTCAGGGTGTTGTAAAATGCATTTCTCAGGGTGTTGCAAAATGCATTTCTAAACTGGGCCGGACCCTGAGGCTTCCTCCAGGTTGGAGAAGGACTTGCCCTTACCAGAGTTGACATCATACAGCTGTAGAATGTCGTGCCACTTTCTCATAAGACGTGGCTTCTGAATAAACATAGTGCTGAACTCTTGGGAGATAACAGGGTAAAGATGTCTTTATCCTTCAAAATTTAATCTCCTTTGAAAAACGTACTTTTAACTACTCAGACTGATATAAAACTTCCAGCTTTTATAGATGGGAAGGACTCTGATTAAAGATGTAATCAGAATAACATCTTCAGTTTGTAACACCTCTGGTTCTGGGGTCAGCCAGATCTGTGTTTGAGTCTTTTTTTTTTTTGAGACATAGTTTTGCTCTTGTTGCCCAGGCTGGAGTGCAATGGCACGATCTCAGCTCACTACAACCTCTGCCTCCCAGGTTCAAGCAATTCTCCTACCTCAGCCTCCTGAGTAGCTGGTACTACAGGCACATGCCACCACACCCAGCTAATTTTTGTATTTTCAGTAGGGATGGGGTTTCACCATGTTGGCCAGGCTGGTCTCGAACACCTGACCTCAGGTGATCCGCCCGCCTTGGCCTCCCAAAGTTCTGGGATTACAGGCATGAGCCATCATGCCCTGCCCTGTGTTTGAGTCTTAATTCTGAGCTATCCTTTCTGTGTCACCTCGGGCTAGTTACTTTACCACTTAACACCCCAGTTTCCTCATCTGGAAAACAGGTATAGTAAGAGTATCTCCTTTAAATAGAGGTTAAGATTCTGTAATGCTTGTCTGGCACATAGCAAGTATATACTAAATGTTAATCATTTGAGGGAGGGAGAATTAGAGATGTGGATGGTTGTTAAAAATCTAATTTTTAACTTTTTCTCAGAGGAAACACAAGAATAGAAGAGGCTTGTGAAATGTATACCAGAGCTGCAAATATGTTCAAGATGGCTAAAAATTGGAGTGGTATGTACAAAGTTTTTGTTTGCTTTTTAGGCAAATGGTTTAAAATCACTTTGAAGGGAGAAATGACTGTTTTCCCCTTGAAGAGCAAGACTATTGGCCCCAGAGACAGATGTCAGTGCTGAATAACTGATGTGGCTGCTACTGACATATGGAGACTAAAGGGGTGTGCTCTAAGTGAATGAAGCTGGAAAGCCTGGCTTAAGTTTAAGCACAGGGACAGTGTCTGTCTTAGTTTCTATAAACTTCTTAATACAGTAGGCATGTGGTAACTTAAAATAGTTAAAATTACTTGGAATTAGAGTAATCTTTGCTTCTTACTAATATGTTCAAATAAACACAGTGCCATAAGGAATGAAAGTTGGAATAAAAGTCATTAAAACTAGTGGGATAAAGAGAATTTTCTTTACCTGAACATTGGTTGAGAATGACCATTCCCTGCTACGCAATAACTGATTGTGATTCCACTGAGAACTGAAAGTGGGGTTTGGGGGGAGGGGGATGGATTTACATTAACCTCAATAGACTCTTGGTTATTTTTTAAAGTAATGCTTTCTACCCAGTGAGACCGGGCATAACAAAATTCACAGGATTATTATTTTCATTGGTCTGAGATGGGATGGCTCTTTGAGAGAAATTCATCCCTCTCCCTTCAGCGAAAGAGATCTTTCATGCCTTAGTGATGGGATATTTCTGTAGTGAAAATGGAGACCACCGTTGACCAGAGCAGGGGACGTGGGTGTTGTGCTCTGGCTCACAGCTGCTGTGGGATTGGAAGTGGGACTCGCCCTCTACAAGCTGTTTCAAGGCAGACACTTTAAAATCATTTCAAAGGAGAAAATGCTTTTGAGCTAGATGATTCTAAAAGGTCTCTTCTGGCTTTAAAGATCTTTGTAAGAAGTTTAGTTTTAGCTAAGGCTTTAGATATGCTATTTTTCAAAACACACCTACGCCTGAATTATATTGTATTTTTAAAATGGTGGAGAAAACAGTTTGTTTCACATTCCCTCTTTTATTTTGTTCAGGTCTTATAAGTAAAAAGTGATCTTACCTGAAGAGATCACTTACTTACTTATTTATTTACTTACTTAATTTGTTTATTTATTTATTTATTCGAGACAGAGTCTCACTCTGCAGCCCAAGCTAGAGTGCAGTGGTACAATCTTGACTGACTGCAATCTCTGCCTCTGGGGCTCAAGCGATTCTTATGCCTCAGCCTCCCTCGTAGCTGGGACTACAGGCACGCGCCACCACGCCCAGCTAATTGTTTGTATTTTAGTAGAGACGGGGTTTCACCATGTTGCCCAGGGTGGTCTGGAACTCCTGAGCTCAGGCGATCCACCCACCTCGGCCTCCCAAAGTGCTGGGATTATAGGCATGAACCACTGTGCCCGGCTGAGACCACTTATTACTTATTGTATCTGGTGATGAGGTATTCTAACCTTTGGAAATTCCATTTCAGAGAGGCCACTGATCATGTATGTAACTAAGGAGGCTTTGTATGTGCACCCCGCGTCATCTGTTGCCTGGGGTGATGCTCTAGCCTCCTGACATTGTCATACTGCTGCACTTTTCCAGTCTGTTTCCATTTATGTCTGAGGTTGCAATTTTTTGAATTTTGGAAATCAGACCTTGGCGATGACCTTGAGCAGTAGGATAGGATATAAATAACTCCCACGTGCCTAGCGTTCCAGTGAAGGAACACTAGGCATAAATGTGTTAATGAAGTAACGTAACACAAGTTAAGTAAGGTCATATCATTCCAAATAAGAGCTGACGTCTCTGTAGTGGCCCTCAAAGACTATCCCCTTCCTTGTGCACCCAGCTCCCACTTCAGAGCCTTTGCATGTACTGTTCCCTCTGTCTCCCTACTCTTTCCCCAAACAGAATGTTGCTGGGTCCCTGCTTCCTTCAGCTCCCTCTTCACATGTCAACTTATTGGTGAGGTCTTCTCTGGCCACCCCTTTTAAAAATAACAATCTTGTCCTTCCTGGAAACTTTTTTTTTTTTCTTTCTCCAACACTGTTATCACCATCTAGCAAAAATAAATTACATAATGTTTTATTCATTTATATTTACATGTTTTTATTATATGGTGATTCTCATTAGAAAGTAAACCTTGGAAGGCCATGTTTGTGTGTTTTTATCTCTGCTGTATCTCCAGGCCCTGGATTATTACCTGCAAAGTCATAGGTGCTCAGTATATTTGTTGAGTGGATGAATATTAGACTCCTTGAAGTTCTATCCATGTTGCATTGGTGATGATCATAACAGCATTGCATCTCTTTATAGTTTTAAAAGTTCTTTCATAATGACTAAGCTAATTTGTTTGATACTCAGCTTTTGAGAGATCATCCTCACAGGTATTATACCAGTTTTGCGGGTGAGGAAATTTAGCCTAAGTTGTGTGGCTTCCCAGAGACCATTTAATTTAATATATGATCCTTTAAAGACAGTTCCAAGTTCCCCCTCCACCTCCGAGAATGGAGTCTTGCTCTGTTGTCCAGGCTAGAATGCAGTGGTGCGATCTCAGCTCACTGCAACCTCCGCCTCCCGAGTTTAAGCGATTCTCCTGCCTCAGCCTCCGGAGTAGCTGGGATTACAGGCATGTGCCACCACGCCCAGCTAATTTTGTATTTTTAGTAGAGATGGGGTTTCTCCATGTTGGCCAGGCTGGTCTTGAACTCCTGACCACGAGGAGTGCCTGATCCACCCTAAGTGCTGGGATTACAGGCATGAGCCACTGTGCCCGGCCCAACACTTCCAAGTTTAGATAGACCGAGCTAGCATTTGCTGTCAGTGATTGGAATGAATAGTCAGAGTGAAAAAGTAAGCCAGCAACTCGTTTTGGAATGTGGGAATGTGAAAATGTAAAATTAAAGCGCTTACTGTTGTCTGGAGAAATGGAGGTAGCCCAGAAGAGCCTGGGTGTTGTGGTATTACTGAGCAAGAAAAGGATGGCCCATGACTGATTCTGAGACAGGAAACATAGATAAGTTATCAAAAATGAAATGCCAGCAGGAGAGCAAGGATGTAGATTGTAAAAAAAAGATGGCATTTCAATATGCCAAACCACAGATATGATCTAAGGCTAGATTTGCATGTAATAATGAAAGTGGCCACCGTGTGTAATGTGAGTCAGGCCCTTCTAAGCACTTTACTTGCGAAGTCCAAGCTATTACTACGTTCTTCTGAGGCAGAGCCCATTAAAGCTCCCACTTAGCCAGATATGTTCCTGAGTTGCCACTTCATGGTTAAGTGCTGCCCCAAGTACCCCAGGTGCCTGGCCACTGTCCTGGCAGTGGCCTTTGCCCCTTCTGGATACCCACCAGCCTCTCATGATTCACAAGGGGCCAGCAGGGCTTCTTCAGTTCCAGCTCTAGCCCTGAGGCTGGCATGTACTCTGATTGTTCAGTGCCTTGGTTTCTTCCTGCGGCTATAACAAAATACCTTAGTGTAATTTATAAAGAAAATGAACGTATTGTTCAGAGTTCTGGAGGCTGGGTCGTTTAAGATCAAGGTGCCAGCAGATCCCGTATTTGGTGAGGACTGTTCTCACCTTCCACGATGGCGCCTTCTTGCTATGTCCTCACGTGGTGGAAGGAACAAGGCAGTTCTCTTCAACCTCTTTTATAAGGGCACTCATCCCATTTATGAGGGTGGTGCTCTCATGACTTTATCACTCCCCCAAAGGCCCCACCTCTTAATACTGTCAAATTGGATATCAGGCTCCAGTAATACAAATTTTGGGGGGATACTGCCATTCAGATCATAGCACTACCCATGTCATGCTGGTGGTTACATATTTTTCAAAGATGCCTGGGTACTCTTTTTAATCAGAAACTGTGGTACAGAGCAAGAATTGAACCTGGGCAGGTGGGCTCCAGAGTTTGTACTGTCCCTTTGCCCTCAGGTTCAGAAACCCACATGAGAACTGTGCATTTCCTCTGGGGAGAGGGAGTTGGAACAAGAGATGCAGCTGAAGCTTTAGCAGAATTGGATGTTTACGGCCAGGTATAATCATCTGTAATCCCAGCACTTTGGGAGGCCGAGGCTGGAGGATTGCTTGAGCCCAGAAGTTCAAAACCAGCCTGGGCAACATAGCACCTGTCTCTACAAAAAAAAAAAAAAAAAAAAAAAATTTTTTTTTTGAGACAAGAGTCTTGCTCTGTCACCCAGGCTGGAGTGCAGTGACACAGTCTCGGCTCACTGCAACCTCCGCCTCCCGGATTCAAGCAATTGTCCTACCTCAGCCTCCCAAGTAGCTGGGATTATAGGCACCTGCCACAATGCCCAGCTAATTTTTTGTATTTTTAGTAGAGACAGGGTTTCGCTATGTTCAGGCCAGGCTGGTCTCGAACTCCTGACCTCAGGTAATCCACCTGCCTTGGCCTCCCAAAGTGCTGGGATTATAGGCTTGAGCCACCAAACCCAGCCAAAAAAATTTTTTAAAGAATTAAAAATAAAAAATAGCCAGGTGTGGTGGCACATGCAGCTACTCAGGAGGCTGAGGCAGGAGGATCTCTTGATCCTGGGAGGTGGAGGTTGCAGTGAGCTGTGATCACGCCACTGCACTGCAGCCTGGGTGACAGATTGAGACCCTGTCTTGAAAAAAAGAAAAGAATTGGATTTTTTTTCCTCACAAAAAAAATTTATAGCAAATGTTTAATATCAGCAGTGAGTACTGCTTTATGATAATTTTTTTAGAAACCTAAAGGCTTTGTGATATTCTTAACCATGCTTTTCCTGGTAGATCAGATTCTTTCCTCTCCATTTCTGCTGTACTGACTTCCCCAATGTGACTCATTTTTCAGAGGCACTCTGCTGTGTTGCTTTCTCTGAACTCAGGAAGTTTCGCATGTTGATGTTTAAACCCTCTGGGAAGTGGCCTGATGCAGCCTCAGCCTTGATTTCCACTGGCCTCCTCCAGTCAGGGCAGGCTTGTCACTGGCCTCCACTTCCAGCCCTTTCTTACCTTCAAGCATTTCTTCTGTGTTCCTGTGACTCCTCTGCTAGCGATTCCTTCCCTCTTTCTTTTCCAGCACTCCAGAATCCATGGTCCCTGATCCAAAACCTTTTCTGAAAAAGATTAGTTCATGTACCTTATATGTTGTACTGTGTCCCAGTTGGAGACCTGGGTGGTACCCCACAACCAGATCCATCAGTGATTCTGCAGGGAAATTTGTAAATTCTCACACTAAATGGGGTAAAATAGATTAAACCTCATATAAATTTCAGTCAGATTTTGCTATAAAGTAAAGAAAAAAATTTGGATTTTTAGACTTTTCTGGATTTCAAAATTGTGGGCCTGATTTTCACTTTTTAGGAAACTTACTTTATCCATGAAGCCTTCATTAGCAGTTTCTTCCACACCGACAGCTAAGTGTAGGAGACACTAAGATAGAAAAGTGAGCAAATATCTTTGCGCTCAGTGTTTTACCTTTCTTTAATCATTTGTGGCTTGAAGCCCTTAGCTGATGTTTATTATATGTTAGTGGAATTGAATTGAGTAGCCCAAGACTTGGCTACTGGTATTGAATGGACAGATCAGGGAATAGTGGCTTAGTGCCCAGGGACACTTGGAAAGTCTGCTGGAGCTGAGGTGGAGAAGCTTTCATCGCTGTTTGACTTGATTCTGGTTATTTTTATATTTGCCCGAGGTGCACTGGACCACATGGATTTTTGCTTCTGACTAGAATGCTTCTTTTCAGTGGAATATAATTTTTCTAGGGAGGTCCAGTGCTTACAGCATGGGCTGCTCTGGGGGGGACTTGTTCCTCTGTGTTTAATTGTAGTGTCTTCTTCAGCTGCAGGAAACGCATTTTGTCAGGCAGCCAAGCTCCACATGCAGCTTCAGAGCAAACATGACTCTGCTACCAGCTTTGTGGATGCTGGAAATGCTTACAAAAAGGCAGATCCCCAAGGTAAGACAGCCAGGCATGTAGCATGCTATCTCTGTGTGTAACTAACCAGTCAGTACTTCCCTCAACGTTAAGGTCAGTGTTGGTGTGCTTTCAAGTCCTGGTAAAAAGGAATTTTTGTATTTTGGAATAATAGAGAATTTTGATAACCTTAGGGATTTTTCTTTTTTAATCATTTGGGGGCTTTTATGAGGAGAAATTATGTTAAATTTATACTGGCTGTTTACTTTATAGCATCATTTAATTAAACTCTTATTTATATTGCATTTTAGAGAATTTTTTGGAAATTACCTTTAATTTTATCTAAGACTTCTTATATCTTAATTTTGTGAAAATGTATATTGTTCATAAAAGGAAACTCTTATGTTCCCTTACTCCTAAATACCTAAGGAGTTTTCAGATCCAGTTAATGGGAGATTGTAATATTCAATCGTTAAAAAGTCTGATTCATACAGTATTCATTTGGTTTTTTAAAAAGTTTTTCAAAGTATTTGTTTTGAGGAAAGAATGCAATTGGATATTTAATGTGGTAAAATTTTGCAAAGATTATTTCTTTTTAGTTAGAAGAGTGTAATTAAAAGTATTAATTTCTTACCTTCCACACGCGTGCACAGCGGAAATTTTGTGTTTTTCCTTTTTCTTTTAGCAGTCCATTTTGTTTAACACACAGATCCCAAATTTTGAGAATAAATATGTCATAAAGAAATAGGGTATCTTCAATACCTTTGGTATAAGGGTTAATCACAGTTTATTTCCCAAAGTGACAAACTGGACACAGGTTAAATAAGCTGTTAGAGTGGTAACATTGTAATGCATCAGTACTTTAGAATATGGTGCAGGCATTAAAATCCCTGGTTTCAGAGAATCTTCAGTGACCTGGTAAATGTTTACATGTCAATTAAAGAAGCACATGAGACTGAATGTTGTATAATCTCATTTTCAGAAAAAAGTTTGTGCATATAGAAATGTGTCTAATAAACGCAAAAGGAAAGTACATCTGAGTACTAACAACGGATTTGAGCGGGATTATTGATAGATTATTTTTCTCTTTATATTCTGTATTTTAAAAGGTGTAACAGGGATCCACATTTTTTATGTAGTTTAGAGGGAAATTGTTTTAATTTTTGTTCATCTGCTTACCTTTCTAATTTTGTAGTCAGGCCTTTCTACTTTGCTGCCTCTTTAAACCAAACGTAATAAACTTGGAGCTGTCACTGTATGCCAGCATCATAAACACCATCATTTTATGATAGGGAAAATTTTTTGGCTCACTTGTTTAGAAAATTAGTAAAATTTATTAGCATTATTATTTATTAGATTTGTTTCTTCATTTTGTTAGTATGCTACAATTTAGCATCTTTGAACATTATACAGAATGTTGACTTTGCTTAAGGGTTGTTTGAATAGGCATTTCAAAGTGCTTTTGCTTTTGGCTGCATGGAGAGTAGAATCTATTGAGGTGATTGTTCTTGTGATGTGGTGCCATGTTCCAAAATTAATATATATGCATGGTATTAATGAGGAATATGTTTGCATTCATATTTTAGCAGATACAATTTATCAGTGTTGGTGACAACCTCTATGGTTTTATTTTCTTTATAATACAGTCTTTTGCCTGGATGGAGTCCTCACTTTAAGGTTAAGAGTAACTAAGCCAATGTTACTCCAGCTACAGTTCCCTAAATTATACTATAGCTGCTGGGAACAAAGCCATGCTGATGAATCTGGACTTGTGCATGATTTTTGTTTGCTTCTCATTAACCTGCCCACCCTCCACTCCAAAATTATACCTCATTAACGTTCTGATAACAGCCAGGAAGACAGCCTCACCTGAACCCTCTTTGACTGAATGGATTTTTCATTGTTTTTCTTAAATGCCTACGCTTCAGAGGCTATCAACTGCTTAAATGCAGCCATCGACATTTACACAGACATGGTAAGACATTGCATTGCTTGAGTGGCTGTGGGGTGGAGTCTTGAGATGGCTTAGAGTTCTATCTTTCTTTTTTATGTTCCCAAACTGGCATTCAGATAGGTAAAATCGGTGTGTGACTGTTTCTTGTTTTTTCCCCTAGGGAAGGTTTACAATTGCAGCCAAGCACCACATTACTATTGCAGAGATCTATGAGACTGAACTTGTAGACATTGAGAAGGTAAGCAGTGGGCACACTTCCTCAGATGTGAAGCAGGCAGATAAGCTGACTCAAAGAACTCTCCTCTCCTCAGTCTGAGAGTGATCGTAGGTGTAGAGTGGTCATAGATGGCCTTGCCTGGAGACTTTCTGGCAAAGTCTACTAGCTGGCTAAGTAGATGGGCTGTTTTCCTGGAGTGGACATCTAAGACATGAGAGCTGATTAAGATTTACAGAGATCACCTGTTGTTTCCACTCTCTCTGATTCATGTCAGAACATTAGCATTGCCAAAAGAACCTTCAGCTGTATTGCTTAGTACTCTAAGGCCCAGTGAAGAAAGTGTAAGAGGTCACCTCTGTACACTCAGTCAGCATCACAGCTTTAAGTATCTGTGTGCCAGTGACTCAGAAATCTGACTGCAGCCTAGACCTCTCTCCAAATGCTAGATTACTGTATCCACCTGCCTGCTGACCTCTCCACTTTGTCCAGCAGTCATCTCTAACCCAACATGTCTGGGACTGGATTCTCAGATGTCCCCAACCCAGTGTTCCCCGCTAAACTACAGGCTTCCTTGCCTTTTCTCTTTCTCTACAACCTGTGAGCAATTTTTGTGAGCGGTGTCCTTCCTGCTCCCAAGTCTTGGCACAACTCACTACCTTGTCTCTCAGCTCACACTTGATCGCTGCAGGATCCTTCAAACCGGTCTCCCTGCTTTTGCTCTCCCTACCTTGCCAACCCCACATCCCCATGCCACAGAGTAGCCAGAGTGAGCCTTCTAAGCATTGCATCATACTCTGTTTCTCTACTGCTGACAGTCATTAGACCCCTTTCACTAAGAGGAACAGCTGGAGCTGTGCAGAGCCTTCATGGGTCCACTGAATTGCTTCCTCCCAGCCCCACACTCCCCATGCATCTGTGTGGCCTGGCCTCTCCTCTTTTCTGTTATTCTCCTCCTCTTGCATACCCTGCATGGCCATCCTGGCCTCCTTGCTGTTCCGCACACATGCCAGATGAGCGCTCCTGCCTCAGGACCTTTGTATCCACGATTTCCTCTGTCTGCAAAGCTCTTCCCCAGATGTCCACGTGGCTGACTCCTCACATCTTTCAAGTCCACATGGCTAACTTCCCCGTGCCCTTCCATTTTTGCTCATTTATTACCTATTTCCATGATTAACTATTATGACCCCCTAGTTAATTTAGCCCCCCAGGAAGACATAGTAGATCCCCACACACCTCACTTAACTTCTTGTATTGCTGAGCAGATGTCTCCTTACAATATGCCCTCTCATATGCTTGCTCATCATTCTCATTTTGGTTGTCTCTCTCCCTCCGCCAGATTGGGCACACGTGTCAGCAGAGAGCTTTGTCTCTGCTTTGCTGATGTGTCCCAAGAGCCCAGAACTCTGGGACCTAGTGGGGTCTAAATATTTGCTAAATAAACAAATGCTACCCCTACCTCCACCATACCAAATGGAGTCTTCCTGGTCTGGGGAAGGATCTGCTAGGCGTTACTGAAATTGGACTGGCATTGTTAACGTTCACTCTTTTGACTGTGTGACCTCCACCTGTTGGTTATTCAGCACAAAATTTGCTCATATTTGTTACATAAAATTTATTATTTGACCTTTTTTTTTTATAATTGCCATACTTTTCTGAGGATACTCCCTGATCTTGATCAAGTCAGGGCCACCCTGTGCATTGACGTGTGTGTGAGCCTTCTCTTTGGAAGGTTATCTGTGGATCCTGGAGGCAGGTGATGGAGCTGGATCTGAACCTCCTTTGTTCCCTGGTGTGGAATTGATGATGGAATGGGAGGGAGATGGATCTGGTGTGGCTGGGGTATTTATTTGGTCAGGGTGTCTGGGATGGCCACAGTATCTTTATTTAGGTTTGAGTGAGTCTTGCGGGGATGAGCACTGTGCGCAGAGCATCTTTGCCAGCAGAGGCTCCTGTTCCAGCTTCCTCTTTCACAGTGGTCAGAAGGGCACTCTGGGGCAGGAGCCTGCAGTGCTGTGTCATTTCTGCTGCCCAGGCATGGTCTCCAACACATGGGTCTCCATAAACTTGAGAGCAGATAAAATGAAATGTGACATACTCTTTTTTTCTCTTGAAAAAAAAAAGGCCAGGTACAGTGGCTGATGCCTATAATCCTACCACTTTGGGAGGCCAAGGCAGGAGGATCACTTGAGCCCAGGAGTTCAAGACCAGCCTGGGCAACATGAGAAATCCCCATCTCTACTAAAAATATAAAAAAAAAAACTATCCAGGAATGGTGGCGTGTGCCTCATTCTGTTCCACAGGCTGGACAGGTTGGAGTGGCATGAACACAGCTCACTGTAGCCTCAGCCTCCTGGGCTCAAGCGATCCTCCCACCTCAGCCTTCCAAGTAGCTGAGACTACAGGCATGTGCCACCATGCCCGGCTAATTTTTTAATTTTTCATACAAATGAGGTCTTTTCATGTTGCCCAGGCTGGTCTCAAACTCCTGGACTCAAGCAGTCCTCCCATCTTGGCCTCCCAAATGCTGAGATTACAGTCATGGACCATCATGCCTGACCTTCACGGAATACTGAATTTTAAAATGCAGCTATAAAAGAACAGGTGTACTATGGTTCTCTTTTTGCAAATACTTAGTCACACACAGAAATAGTCTGGAAGAAAATATTTCTCTGGAAGAAAATATTTCTTTGGAACACCTGTCAGAGCTGTCATGTACACACATGTGAGATTACCTGATGAAGGTACATCTCCTCCCTCTAAAATGTGGGCTCTGTGAGGGCAGGGCCCATGACTGTTCCGCTCACCATCACAGCCCTGAGCCTAGCATGATGCCTATTTACAAAGTGGGTGCTCAGTAACAGATGCTAAGTGAATGAAGACAAAGTGCATCACAAATGAAAGCTGCCTATAGTTCCATGGCCTGTTTTGTTTTATTTGTTTTCTTGTCCCTGCAAATCTCTTCTAACTCACTAGGAGCTGCCTTGAAGCCACTTAACTAATGGGCTTGGGCAGAAAGGCAGCACCTTTAATCTGATTTTCAGAGACTGCTAGCTCCCTCATTTGCATTTGCTGTGAAACCTTTGTCATTCAAGCATCCTGCAAACCCACCACCTGCTTCTGTATGTTTGCATGCTAAAAATGGTTTTTACGGTTTTTAATCCTTGAGAGAAAAAAGCATTTTGCGACGTGTAAAAATTATATGAAATTAGAAATTTCATTGTTCATAAATATAGTTTTATTGGAACACAACCACACTTATTCATTTATATCTTGTGTATGGCTGCTTTTATGCTACCACAAGAGAGCTGAGTAGTTGCAACAAAGATGCACAAAACCTAAAATATTTCTTGTCTGACCTGTTAGAGAAAAACTTTGGCTAGAGCCCTGGTTTAAAGAGCTGCTCATACTTATCTCTTGTTATTTGGGGTATAGAAGGTTTTTTCAATCTTATGAGAGCTTTATTTCTAAGGCTGTCTACCACCGTCTACAAACCAGCTGATTCTTTGCAGAGTTCAGCTCTTACAAAACTGTGCTAAAAACAGCAGCACACACTATCATCTGACTCTTCTCAGCCATTTTGCTTAGTTTTGGACTCCGGTAGACACTTATTTTTTTGTTTGTTTGTTTGTTTGAGACAGAGTTTCACTCTTGTCACCCAGGCTGGAGTGCAATGGCGCGATCTCAGCTCACTGCAACCTCTGCCTCCCCGGTTCAAGCAGTTCTCCTGTCTCAGCCTCCCAAGTAGCTGGGATTACGGGTGCCCACACCACGCCCGGCTAATTTTTGTATCTTTTTAGTAGAGACAGGGTTTCACCATGTTGGCCAGGCTAGTCCTGAACTCCTCAGGTATTCCACCCTCCTCGGCCTCCAAAAGTGCTGGGATTACAGGCATGAGCCACCGCACCTGGCCGACACCAGTTCTTTTTTCTGAGTTGTCACGTGCTTGATTTCACTAACTTCTACCACAGCATGACAAGGACTTCTAGCTTTCTGGCCTGTGATCTCTGTTTCTTCTCCACTTGATGCCATATATTTTAGATTGACGGCAACACCCTTATTCTAGGTGACACTTAAGGTATTAGTGTGTGTAGTCTGTGCTGCAAGTCATAGACGTAAGGTGTAATTAGGGCTTCATAGCTCTCTAACAATCCAGTGTGGCTGCTAAGGGTTTGACAGTGGTAGAGACACTGGGGTTGGAGGTACCTTGTGTCCTTTGTAATTACTTAGGAACCTGCCTGACAGTTCTGCCATTTTGGTGTCTAGCTTACAGTGTCACTCTGGACTTGGTCATAGCCCTCCTAGCTCATGGGAAGTGGAAGGCCTGGAGGAGGATGCAAAGTGAGATATATGGCCCAAGCCTGGGAGTGGCCCCCAACATGTCTGTTTACATTCCACTGGAGAGAACTAGTCATAGGCTGCCCCTCACTATGGAGGAAGCTGAGGAAGTGGTGTAGCTGGGCATATGCCATGTGGGGAGGGGGAAACAGATTTTGATGGTCAGCAAGCATTCTGCTTCCAGAGGTGCATGCTTTCTTGTATTTCCTAAAGAAAGTAGGCCGAGTTGTGAAAAGTTTGCTGGTAGAGTAGGTTTATTTATGGAAAAATACCTATGCAAATGTAGTTTTAAAATGCAGCTCTCCAAATAAATTGTGTGTGAATAAAATATGTATGTTTTCAGGCTATTGCACATTATGAACAATCTGCTGATTATTACAAAGGAGAAGAATCCAACAGGCAAGTATTACTTTTCTTAATATGATTTAATGGGTTTTATTATGTGTGATAAAAAAATACTTCTTTATACTTTGTGAGTGTATTTGACTATACCAAATGAAGATGTACTGAGGCCCAGTGCACATCTTTTATTTTTCCATTGACTTGTTACTCACTCTGCTTTGGTTCTTGATTTCAGCTCAGCAAACAAGTGTCTGCTGAAGGTGGCAGCATATGCTGCCCAGCTTGAGCAGTACCAGAAAGCCATTGAGATCTATGAGCAGGTGAGGATACTGTTGTTTCCTTGGAGAGAAGTTGTCTGAATAATTTTTCAAAATTAAACTTTTTATTTTTCTGTTTATTGAGATATAATCCACACATCACGTAATGAGTACAGTTCAGCGGTTTTTAGTCTGTTCACAAAGTTGTATAACTATCACCACTACTTAATTCCAGAACATTTTAATCATCCCCAAAAGAAGCCCAGCAGTCTATTCTTTCCTCCTAGTCCCTGGAAGACACAATCTACTCTCTGTCTATATGGATTTTTCTATTCTGAACCTTGAATATATATGAAATCACATACCATGTGGCCTTTTGTGACTGCCATCTTTCACTTAGTGTATTGTTTTCAGGGTTCATCCATGTCATAGCAAATGTCAGTATGTCATTGTTTTTCGTGGCTAATACCTCATGGTTTATTTATCAATTTATGGATGTTTGGGGTTTTTCCACTTTGGGGCTATTATCAATAATGCTGCTGTGAACATTTGTGTTAAAGTTTTTGTGGTGGTGTTTTTAGTTCTCTTAGTTACATACCTGGGAATAGAATTGCAGTTGCTGGACCATGTGGTAAGTCCATGTTTAACTTTTTGAGGAACTGCCAGACATTTTCACAGTGGCTACACCATTATACCTTCCCACTAGCAATGCACAGTGTTCCAGTTTCTCCACATCCTCACCAATACTTGTTTTGGTTTTTTTTTTTTTTTTTTTTTAAATAATAGTCACCCTAATGAGTGTGAAATGTTGTCTCATTCTGTTTTTGATTGTTATTTCCCTAATGACTAGTGATGTTGAGCATCTTTTTATTTGCTTATTGGCTATTTGTATATCTTTGGAGAAATGTCTATTCCAGTACTTTCTCCGGATTTTAATTTGGCTGTTTGTTTTTTGGTGGTGAGTTTTAGGTGTTCTTTATATATTCTGGATATTAATCCCCTATTAGATATGTGATTTGCAAGTATTTACTCTCATTCTGTGGGTTGTCTCTGGACTCTGTTATTAATGTCCTTTGATTCACTGAAGTCTTTCATATTTTTGAAGTCCAGTTTGTCTATTTTTTCTTTGTCTGGCTTTTGTTGTTATATAGAAGAAATCATCGCTAAATCTGATATGAGGCTTTTCCTTTCTGTTTTGTTATAGGAATTGTATAGTTTTGGCTGTTAGGTTTAGGTCTTTTATCCATTTTGAGTTAATTTTTGTATATAGTATGAGGTAAGGGTCCAACTTTATTCTTTTATATGTGGATATCCAGTTTTTCTAGCACTAATTGTTGAATAGAACTATATTTTAACTATTGAATGGTATTAAGACCCTTATTGAAAATTATTTCACCATATGAAATATGAGGGCTTACTTCTGGGCTCTCTATTCCATTGATCTATTTATCCATCTTTGTGCCAGTATTACACTGTTTATATCTGTAACTTTGCAGTAAGTTTTGAAGTCAGTAAGTGTGAGTCCTCCAGCTTTTTGTTCTTTTTCAGAATTGTTTTGGCTATTCCAGATCCCTTGCATTTTCATCCGAATATTAGGATCAGCTTGTCAATCTCTGCAAAGTAGCCAGCTTGGATTTTGATAGGGATTGTATGGAATGTGCATACCAATTTGGAGTGGTTTTAGGGTTTTCTAGAGAAACAGAACCAATAAGAGGTGTAGGGGTGTATGTGTGTGTGTTTGTGTGTGTGTGAGTGTGTATGTGTGTTTAGAGAGAGAAATTACTGGAGGGAATTGATTCGCTTGATTATATAGGCTGAGAAGGCCTAAGATCTGCATTCTGAAGACCCAGGAGAGCCAATGGTATAGCTCCAGTCCAAATCCAAAGGCCTCAGAACCAGGAGAGTTGATGATGTAATTTCTAATCTGAGTCCAAGTCTGAATCAGGAGAATACCAGTGTCCTGGCTCTAAGACAGGCATTGAGAATGAATTCTTCCTTTTAACCTTTTATTTTATTCAGGTTTTCAGTAGATTGGATGAGGCCCACCCACATTGGGGAGGGCAATCTGCTTATTCATCCTACTGATGCAAACGTTAATCTCATTCAGAAACACCCCACAGACACACTCAGAATAACACCAAATATCTGGGCACCCTGTAGCCCACTCAAGGTGACACATAAAATCAGTCATCACAGAGAGTATTGCCATCTTAACAATACTAAGTCTGACAGTCGATGAATACAGGTTCCTTTTATATTTATTTGGATCTTCTTTCATTTTGCTCAACAATGTTTTGTAGTTTTTGGTGTGTAAGTTTTGTATTTCTTGGGTGAAATATACTCCAAAGTATTTTATTTTTTTTTTGACGCTACTACAAATTGAATTATTTTCTTAATTTCCTTTTAAGATTGTTAACTGCTAGTGTATAGAAATACAGTTGAATTTTGCATATCAATTTTTTGTCCTGCAACCATGCCAAACTTATTAGCTCTAATAGGTTTTTTTGTGTGGATTTCTTAGGTTTTCTATATCCAAAATCATGTTATCTGCAAATAACAATAGTTTTACTTCTTCCTCTGCAATATGAATGTGTTTTACTTCATTTTCTCGGTTGCCCTGGCTAGAATCTCCAGTGCAGTGTTGAATAGAAGTGACAAGAGCAGACATCCTTGTCTTGTTCCTGATCTTGTAAGGAAAACTTTCGGTCTTTCATATTAAGTGTGATAGCGGTAGATATCAGTAGTGGGGTTTTGGTAAATGCTTTTATCAGTTTGAGGCAGTTCCCCTCTCTTCCTAGTTTGTTGAGTGTTTTTATCATCAAAGGGTATTGGATTTTGTCAGGCATTTTCCTGTGTCTATTGAGATAAACATATGATTTTTGTCCTTTATTTGTCAGACTTTTTTCTGCATCTATTGAGATAAACATGGTTTTTGTCCTTTGTCAAACTTTTTTCTGCATCTATTGAGATAAGCGTATGGTTTTTGTCCTAATCAGCTTAATATTGTAGATTACATTGATTGATTTTCATATGTTGAACCAACCTTACATTCCTGGAATAAATTCTACTTGGTCATTGCAAACTTTGAGGGGTTTCCCAAGAACACCCTCAAGTTTATTAATAATTTGTTAGACAAACTTACAGAACCCACTGAAAGCTGTTATACTCACAATTATGGTTTATTACAGCAAACGGGTACAGATTAAACTCAAAGGAGAGACTCATAGGTCAAGGTCTAGGAGACTTCCAGGAAGAGCTTTCAGTTGTCGGCTCTCAGTGGAGTTATGTAAACAGCACTTACTTCCCCCCACAGTAATAAGTGAAAATAAGCGTAGACTGCTGCCAACCAAGGAAGCTCCCCTGAACGTGGTGTTCTGAGTTTTTATTGGGGTCCAGTGACATAGATGTTGACCACCCTTGTGGCTGACTTTACTTTTTGTAAGTGCCAGAATTGGTTTGCTAACATTTTGTTGAGGATTTTATGTCTATGTTCATAAAGGATATTGATCGTTAGTTTTCTTGTGGTGTCTTTGTCTGGTTTTGGAATCAAGGTAATTCTGGTCTCAGAATGCATTAGGATGTCTTCTTCCTCTTCTGTGTTTTGGAAGAGTTTGTAAAGGATTGGTGTGAATTCCTCTTTAAATGTTTGGTAGAATTCAATTATTTCTCTTTTTTTGTTTTTATTTTCACTGATTTCTGTTTTTATTGTTATTTCCTCCATTTTGTTTTCTTTGGATTTGTTTTGCTCTTTTTCTGGGTGCTTGACATGGAAGTTTAGCTTGCTGATTTTCATCTTTGTTGTGTATGCATTTTTAGTGTTATCAGTTACCCTTTCATACATTTGGCTACTTCCCAATTTTATTATATCATTATACTTTTATTTTTATTCAGTTAGTTGGATTTATTGATTTCCCTTGAGACTTCAGTGACCCATGGATTATTTAGTAGTGTTTTATTTAATTTCCAAGTGTCTAGCAGAGATTTTTCTGTAATCTTTCTATTGTTGACTTATTTTTAATTCCTTTGTGGTTAGATAACATATTTTTGCGTGATTTCAATTCTTATAAATTTGTTTTGTTTTATGGCCTAGATATGGTCTATCTTGGCATATGTTTTATGATTATGCTGTTATTGGGTGATGTTTATAAATGTTGATTAGCTCCTGTTGGATGATGGCATTGTCGAGTTCTTTAATATACTTGCTGATCTTTCTTTCTTTCTCTTTCTCTCTCTCTCTCTCTCTCTTTCTCTCTTTCTCTCTCTCTCTTTCTCTTCTTTCTCTTCTTTCTCTTCTTTCAGACAGAGTCTTGCTCTGTCACCCAGGCTGGAGTGCAGTGACTTGATCTCAGCTCACTGCAACCCTCCACCTCCCAGGTTCAAACTATTTTCGTGCCTCAGCCTCCCGAGTAGCTGGGATTACAGGTGTGTGCCATGTTGGCTAGGCTGGTCTCGAATTCCTGGCCTCAAATGATCTGCCTGCCTTGTCCTCCCAAAGTGCCAGGATTACAGGTGTGAGCCACTGCGATTGGCCTTTGATTTTCTTTCTAATTCTATCCATTGTTGAGAGTTGGGTGTTAAAATCTCCAACTTTAGTTGTGGATTTGTCTGACTCTTCTTTCATTGTGTCAGTCTTTGCGTCACATACTTTGCAGCTCTGGATTGCTATTCTTGCTGGAGAGACCCTTTTATCATTACATAATGTCCTTCTCTGTCTCTGGTAATTTTCTTGGCTCAAGTCTACTTTATCCACTTTATAGCCCTGCCTGGTTTCTTTTGATTAATGTTTATATGATATGTTTGTCCATTCTTTTTCTTTCAGCCTGTCTATATCATTATAACTGAAGTGAGTTTCTTGTAGTTGGATCTTGTTTTTTTTTGTTTGTTTGTTTTGAGACAGAGTCTTGCTCTGTCTCCTACACTGGAGCGCAGTGGAGTGATTTTGGCTCACTGCAACCTCTACCTCTTGGATTCAAGTAATTCTCCTGCCTCAGCCTCCCGAGTAGCTGAGATTACAGGTGCGTGCCAGCATGCCCGGCTAATTTTTGTATTTTTAGTAGAGACAGGATTTCACCATGTTGGCCAGGCTGGTTTCATACTCCTGACCTCGGTGATACACCCGCCTTGGCCTCCCAAAGTGCTGGGATTGCAGGCATGATCCACCACAGCCAGCCTGGATCCTGTTTTTTAATCCACTGTGCCAATCTTTGTTTTTCAATTGGTGTATTTAGGTCATTCACATTTAATGCAGTTATTTATATGTTAGGGCTTAATTCTGCTTTCTGCCATTTTAGTTTTTGCTTTCTATTCTTTGCTTTTTGTTTCTCTGTTTTCTTTTTCCAACCTTTTTATGGGTTGCTTTTCTTTTTTTTCTTTCTTTCTTTTTTTTTGAGACTGGGTCTCACTCTGTCACCCAGGCTGGAGGGAAATGGTGCGACCCTGGCTCACTGCAGCCTCCACCTCCCAACCTCAAGCAGTCCTCCCACCTCAGCCTTAGCCTCCAGAATAGCTGAGACTACAGACATGCACCACCACACCTGGCTATTTTTTGTAGCGATGGGGTTTTGCCATGTTGTCCAGGCTGGTCTTGAACTCCTGAGCTCAAGTCTTTTTGTAGCGATGGGGTTTTGCCATGTTGCCCAGGCTGGTCTTGAGCTCCTGAGCTCAAGTCATCTGCCCACCTCGGTCCCCCAAAGTGCCAGGATTATAGGTGTGAGCCACCACACCCAGCCTACTTGATTTTCCAGTGTTTCTAAGTACAGTTATTCCTCAGTGTCTACAGGGGATTAGTTCCAGGACCTCTCTCATATATCAAAATCTGTGCATAGTCAAGTCCCACAGTCGGCCCTGTGGAACTCACATATAAAAAAGTCTGCCTTTCATTTATATGGGTGTTGAATTCCTAAGAATACTGTATTTTCAATCCACATTTGGTTGAAAAAAATCCGTATATAAGTGGATTCACACAGTTTAAACCAGTGTTGTTGGAGAATCAATGGTATATATCTTTGTGTAGCTTTTGTGGTTAAATGCTGTAGGTTGGTGTCATCATTTTATAAGTTCTGGTGAAATATAGAAATCTTACCTCCCTTTCTGTTCTTTTACTCCCCCTATTCAATATATAGTTGTCTTAATGTTTCCTCTGCATACATTTAGAACCACATGAGTCAATGTTAGAATTTTTGTTTCAGCCATCAAACATAATTTAGAAAACTCAAGAAAGAAAGCCTGTTATATTTACCCATATTTTTGCTTACCATGTTCTTTCTTCTGGATGTTCCAAGATTATTGTTTCCTTTCTATTTAGAGAACCTCCTTTTGTCATTTTTTTAGGGTAGGTCTGCTGACAACAAATTTTCTTAGTTTTCCCCTATCTGGAAACGTTTTGATTTTGCCTTCATTTCTGAAACATAGTTTTCCTGGGAGTATAATTCTAAGTTGATTGTTCTTTTCCTTTAGTTTCAAAAATGTGCACTTTATGGCTTCCATGGTTTTACAAACTTCTGACATCAAGTGATCCACCCACCTCAGCCTCCCAAAGTGCTGGGATTACAGGCATGAGCCACAACGCCTAGTCGGCCTCCATTGTTTTTGATAAGAAGTCTGCTGTCATTCAACTTGTTTTCCCCTATAAAAAAGGTGTTATTCTCTAGACACTTTCATAATTTTTTTCTTTTAGTTTCAAAAGTTTAATTATAATGTGGCTTGGATAGATATATTTGGTTTTAAGCTATTTGAGTTTCCCTAAACTTACAGAATCTGTAGGTTTATGTTTCTTGTCAAATTTGAGAATCATTTAGCAGTTATTTCTTCAAGTACTTTTTCAGCTTCCTTTTTTTTTTTTTTTTTTTTTTTGAGACCGAGTCTTGCTCTGTCGCCCAGGCGTGCCAGTTTAATGGCGCAATCTTGTCTCACTGCAACCTTTGCCTCCCAGGTTCAAGCAATTCTCCTGTCTCAGCCTCCCAAGTAGCTGGGACTACAGGTGCTTGCCACCACACCTGGCTAATTTTTGTATTTTTAGTACAGACAAGGTTTCGCCATGTTGACCAGGCTGGTCTTGAACTCTTGACCTCAAGTGGTTCGCCTGCCTTGGCCTCCCACAGTGCTGGGATTACAGGCGTGAGCCACCATGCCCAGCCAGCCCTTTTCTCTTTCTCCTCCCCTTCTAGAACACAGATGCCACAAAAGTGAGACTGTTTTATTATCCCATGGGTCCTTGATGCTCTGTTCCTTTTTGTCAGTTTGTCTTCTCTCTGTTGTTCCTGTTGTTGTCTTCCATTTAGTGCTTCTTTCCTCTGTCCCTTTCATCCTGCTGTTGAGCCCACCCACTTTTTATGTATGGTACTGTTTTTTTTTTTCAGTTCTGAAATTTTTATTTGTTTTTACTTTATATCTTTTTTCCTGTGGCTTCCTTTTTCTTTGTGGATGCTTTCCATTTTTCCATTAGCTTCAGGTGTTATTGTACTTGCTTTTTGGAGCATTTTTATGAGGGCTTCTTTAAAATCTTCGTGGGATATTTTGGACATTTCCGTCATCTGGAACCATCATCTGTTAATGGTCTTTTTTCATTTAGCTTGAGATCTTCCTGTGTTTTTGGTATTACAAGTCATTTCTGATTGAAAACAGGGCATTTGCACATTAGGTTATGAGACTGGGTCTTGTTTAAACGTTCTCTTTTCAGTTGGCCTTCTTTGACATTCCTCTGGCTGGGGAAGGTGGGGATGTTACCTCATTACTGCCAGGTGGAGGTAGAAGTGTCAGCTTTCCACCAGGTCTCTGTTGACACCTGAGGGGCCTAGTCAGCCCTGGGCAGAAGTGGCATCCCCTCTCCTTATCTGTTTCTGCCAGCACAGTGCTGGTTTGTTCTTGGTATGGTGAGAGTCTTCACCCTCCACTAGACCTCTTCTGACAGCACACCAGCTGGAGAAAGAAGGGGAACCTCTTTCCTGCTTGACAGAGACAGGATGCAGGCTCCCAGTGTGGTCTGCACTGCCTTAGTGTCAGGGGGTTGGGTGGGGATCAAGCCTCAGCTCCCTATTTGGCCTTCTCTGAAGCTCCTAAGCAGAGGTATTGGGGTGCTTCTTACAGTCTTTCAAGAATGGACTTTAGGACTCCTTCTTCAGCCTTTGATGATGTAAATGGAGTTAGGGCCTCAGTTTTTCTGTGATATTTGGCTGGAGTAGAGCAGTTATTGTCTAAGTGTTTTCTCTCTTGCTGGGCTGCCCCTTTTCTAGTCCTTTGGCCAGAGAGAGCAGGCTTTTGTCTCTTCTCTTTTTATCTGTGCATACTGGCATTTCTGGGTTGCTGGTTCTTCAGTTTCATGCCATGGATATAGGAAGGGAAAAGAAAACTGAGGGAACCCACTACCACGTTTTCCCTTGGGAAACGTTTGTTTTTTAGAAAATGACCTGGGCTTTTAGTAGTGCTTAGTGGGAGGATTAGGGGAAAGGATGTTTACTCCATCTTATTGGAAGCAGAATTCTTCTGAGCTATTTTTAACTGGTTAAGACTTCATGTATTTAATGGTCTTGTCTAGTAAAATTTCTACTATATGGTATTCGGATAAAATAATATATTTCATAGCTAAACAAACATAAGATACATAATTATTTTCTAAAGGACAACAGATGAGAATGACTTTGCCTGATATAAGAGGGTAAATCTTTTAAATTTAACTCTGCGTTCTGTGCCTAGGTTGGGGCAAACACAATGGATAATCCTTTGTTGAAATACAGTGCAAAGGATTACTTCTTCAAAGCTGCCCTCTGCCACTTCATAGTAGACGAGTTGAATGCCAAGGTAAGGAGTTCTTCAGCATTGATTGACTGATTTCACCCATAAGAATACGTACACATTCTCTCTTGTTCTTGGTATCATTTCATTTTGATGTTAGTACCAAGAATAAACGGGTACATTAAAAATAAGTATTATTCTGTGGTATGTGTCCCAGTTGTAATCTTTTAACAGCTGTCAAAGCTGTTCTCAAAAGTTACCTGATAGTTTATAGCCATACCACCCTGAACACACCCAATCTCGTCTGATCTCAGAAGCTAAGCAGTGTAGAGCCTGGTACTTGAATGGGGGGCACTGCCTGGGAATATTTAGTGCTATAGGCTTAAATATATGTATATGTTCACTGGTAGCCACCATTTTTTTTTCAGTAGTTTTGCTTTAAAGAAATTAAGGGGGCCAGGCGTGGTGGCTCACATCTGTAAACCCAGCATTTTGGGAGGCCAAGTGGGGTGGAGCACCTGAGGTCAGGAGTTTGAGACCAGCCTGGTCAAAATGGTGAAACCCCGTTTCTACTAAAAATATAAAAAAATTAGCTGGGTGTGGTGGCGGGTGCCTGTAAGTCCAGCTACTTGAGAGGCTGAGGCAGGAGAATCACTTGAACCTGTGAGGCAGAGGTTGCAGTGAGCTGAGATCGCACCACTGCACTCCAGCCTGGGTGACAGAGTAAGAGTCCGTCTCAAAAAAAAAAAAGAAAGAAATTAAGGAACTAAGGGAGGAGACAATAAGAGTAGGATAATATCCATTTAAAAAACAACCAAAACAACAGGCAAGCTCAGAAATGGTGTTGGAGTGAGGACTGGGAAGAAGTTGAAAAGCACAGTGAGCACTGGGAGCCAAGAGGCAAAAAGACAGGCAGCCTTGGCATGGCCAGTGTCTGGAGTTGGAAGAGCAGAACTAAAGCCAGTAAGAGAAACTGTTCTTTCTGTCAGCTTCGAGCAGGAAGCTAAATGTAATTTATTTGGAATCTGGACTGTATTAAGAACGTCTCCATTTAATGGATGGATACAGATACCTGGTCTGTGAGTGTTTAAGAATTCATTTTCATTTACAATGTCTTCTCAGCAGCAGCCTAACTCAGAAAAAAGTAGTTTAGAAATTATTCTTTATTGAAATGGAAAATTCAGAATAGAAAGATTTTCTATGTTGATTCTGCTTTTGAGTTTAACTACATACTTTTTCAACACTTAATAGGATATAGGTAGATCTTATTTGAAGCTGATAGAATGTTGAAAGCTTTGTTTGTTTAGTAAGTCTGAAATTGATGAGTGGTTTTTCTCTCTCAGCTTGCTCTTGAGAAATATGAGGAAATGTTTCCAGCATTTACTGATTCAAGAGAATGTAAATTATTGAAAGTAAGTAATATTAGAACTTTGAAGAAAAATGCTTTTGTTCTGTTAGGTGACAACACCTAAGTGGGATTGGGTATGAAGTGAAGTTTTAATCTATAAAGTCTGCTAACTGAGGGGCCCTGGTACTTTCCTGCTTTCGTATTATAGGTGTTCAAATGCAATTAAGGTCAGAAACATGTAGTTGTGTTCTGAAATAGGCACCTGAGAAATGTTACTACAGAAGCTAGATCCCTAACTTGGCTCTTGACTTGTATATGAGTATTTCCTCAGTTTTGTGCAATATTTGGCAACATTGGTATTATACTTAAAGTATATATTTAGAAATGGGACTTCATCTTACAGAACTGTTTTTTAAAATATTTTTATGCTACCAGAAACTCCTAGAAGCTCATGAAGAACAGAACAGTGAAGCTTACACTGAAGCAGTAAGTTATGCTTTTGGGACATGGTACATTATTTGAAGATTTAAGTTAAAGAAACTTCTTTTCCTTTTCATTATGTGAATTCTAAACATTTATTTGAACATGACTCCAGCATACCTTAAGTTGTATTTTCCAAACGTCACCTTTTATATATCACACAAATTAAACAGTTCCATTAGCCATGCTGAGATTCGACTTACACTCAAAACTAATTTAGCTGTGAGACTAGTTCAGGAGCAAATATTCCATTTATATTCTTATAATTTGCTGTTTTAATTTTTTCTTTTGAAAATAATCTGACCCATAAATAAGTATAAAGTAAAATTAGTTAAGGCCAGGCACGGCGTCTCACACCTGTAATCCTGGCACTTTCGGAGGCCGAGGCAGGCAGATCATGAGTCAGGAAATTGAGACCATCCTCGCCAACATGGTGAAACCCCGTCTCTACTAAAAATATAAAAATTAGCCAGGCATGCTGGCACACGCCTG
The DNA here is from genome assembly GCF_000001405.40 of Homo sapiens. Taxonomy (NCBI): domain Eukaryota; kingdom Metazoa; phylum Chordata; class Mammalia; order Primates; family Hominidae; genus Homo; species Homo sapiens. The sequence goes on along the minus strand of NC_000020.11, from coordinate 23,378,958 downwards.
TAGTCCCAGCTACTCGGGAGGCTGAGGCAGGAGAATCGCTTGAACCCGGGAGGCAGAGGTTGCAGTGAGCTGAGATTGCACCACTGCACTCCAGCCTGGTGACAGAGCGAGACTCTGTCTCAAAAAAAAAAAGAAAAAAAAAATTAAATATAATTTAAAATATAAAAACTAAGTAGTGAGAATTTGCTGTATTTGTGGCATGAAATAAATGGAAGGTGGCCAGGCACGGTGGCTCACACCTATAATCCTAGCACTTTGGGAGGCCAAGGCGGGTGGATCACCTGAGATCAGGAGTTTGAGACCAGCTTGGCCAACATGGCAAAACACCATCTTTACTAAAAATACAAAAATTAGCCAGGCATGGTGGAGTGTGCCTGTAATACCAGCTACTCGGGAGGCTGAGGCAGGAGAATCTCTTGAACCCAGGAGGTGGAGGTTGCAGTGAGCCAAGATCACGCCATTGCATTCCAGCCTGGGCAACAAGAGTGAAACTCCATCTCAAAAATAAATAAATAAATAATAAATATATATATATATTAAAAATATGAGGGTTTTTTTCTTTATACTTTTTGTTTTTCCATCTTTTGCCATCTCATGTTTAGAATCAAGCAAAAAAAAATGTTTTTATATATTTTGAAACAGATCCTCACTCTGTCACTCAGGCTGGAGTGCTGTGGTGTGATCACGGCTCACTGCACCCTCAACCTCCTGGGTTCAGGTGATCCTCCCACCTGAGACTCCTAAGTACCTGGGACTACAGGTGCACACCACCACCCCCAGCTAATTTTTTTTTTTTTTTTTGCATTTTTTGTTGAGACAAGGTTTCACCATGTTGCCCAGGCTGGTCTCTTAACTCCTGGGCTTAAGCTATCCACCTGCCTTGGCCTCCCAGACTTCAAGGATTACAGGCATGAGCCACTACATCCAGCCTCAAGCAAATTTCTCAGTAGCCTCCTGTAACATGTTCATCACAGCTCAGGAGTGATAGAGGAAAGGAATGTTTTCCTGTCTGACTTTTGCCTACCACATCATTTTCATCCTATTGTAATTTTATTTTTGGGTAATGCATTGAAATGTGTTAATTCCGCTTCCATACATATTCTAACTCTGTAATTAATGTTTTCCCATGTTCAGTGAGTATTAATTTTCCATATTCCTTTCAAATTTTTATACAATATCCAGTTACTTTTGCCACAATAATTATGACTGTTAATGAATTTTTTTCTTACACGTTTGAAAACAGAGAAATGTCAAGCCCAGGAACTTGTCACTAGTATCAAAATAGTAACAGGATAATGAAAAAATAAACAATTTTTTAATGAAGAAAGTTATAAACTGGAATGATTAATTTCAAATGATGAAGAAAGTTAGTAGATTATGGCTGTAAAGGTATAAACAGCTTGGGGTACTATTATTTTGTGTTTTTAATGTATTTACATGGGGTAATTCCTGTTCCTCTTTCCTTATACTAGGTGAAGGAATTTGACTCAATATCTCGCTTGGATCAGTGGCTGACCACCATGTTGCTTCGCATCAAAAAGTCCATCCAAGGGGATGGAGAAGGAGATGGAGACCTAAAATGAAATGTTTTTGTCTTTGTGGCATGCAGCTAACTCCTCTTTAGTTTTGTCTTAGGGTCAAGTGATCTTTATGGGATGCCTATTTAATGGCTTAATTTTGTTGCATATGAGCCAGACGGCCTGTGTATTGTTTAAGCTCGCCAAGTCTGTGTTGCTGTGAAATGAATGAAGGAGAGGCTCCTGTTCATCTTGTGGTAATGATGGGTTGTTTCATGCTTATCAGAACCCCCAGCGTTTTCTGAGAAGTACTTCAGAATCTCATTCCTCATATTTCATTGGTATTTGTGGAGCCTATGTTTAATGTTGCCACGTGTTTTTATGTCCTTTTTGTTGGACTTGAGTACTCAGCCCAGTTGTTCTCATAGATGCTTTGCATTTTCTCTGTGCTTTGGCATCTGAATATGTTCTTTAAATGTGTGTTTAGTTTAGGACAGTTACTAGGAATGAGTTTATAACTTCATTAGAAATCATTTCTATTTTTGTTATCCTGTGATTATTTTGATGGTGCTAGTGACTAGTTTCTTTGCTTTTTGTGTTGTTCCGTATGCTAACATGTGCATGGCAAAAATTTAGAATAGCCAGGGTCTGTAGGCATCACATTGTGAGGAAGGGAGCTTTCTGGAAGTACTTGCTTCATGTATGGATGAGTGTCAAAGTGAATTTGATTTGTACTTAGACACACGCGTTTACACACACACACATATCACAAGATCTGTTAGAAATGGAATTTTTCTCTTTTTCTGGAGATAGTTTTCACTTTTAGTTGGAGTGGAAATCCCTTTATATTTACATTGAAGTATTTTAATTGGCATAGCCTGCTCATTATTTTCATGTTTATACACTTTCCCACGTTGAGGTGGTGTGTTCTGTGCTGTGACTATAGAAATCTTGGTCAGGGCTGGATAGATTATCTAAGTCAAGCTTGAGAATGAATGTATGTAATTTTCCTGTTTATTGTACATGATGGGTTAGGTGGGGTGAATGTGGTACAGGAATGTCCTGTATGCCCAAGTGGGCAAGAACCCCAACTTGTTTCTCAGGGGACTTGATTGTTCTCTTAGCTGGTGGAATATGTTGGCTTATGTGTTTGAACTCTGTCGTGTTTAATTGGTTTATATAATATATGTATGCTATCTTGATTCATGAACTTGATCCTATTAATTTATATGCTGATATTGTACTTTAGACATACGCTTGTCTCCTGAATGTCCTCTGAATATTTATAGTTAAATGATTTATATTTGAAATGTGTTGCCAGACTTAACCCAGCAGACACTCTGACATCACGGAGCTTCACTGATGACAGGTAACGAAACTTCCTATGTTATGTCAGGTAGTAGTAAGTAGTATTGGAATGATGTTTTCATTTTTGGTGGCTCTCAACTGGAATTGGTAGTGTTTCCAGGCCAAGGGTCGACTGCAGGTTGTTTGAGAAATGATGAGTAGGTCAGTCTAGGAAGAAAGAGAAAGTAGCAGGAAAGGAAGTGGGAAGGGCCAGCCAAGGACAGACTGTAGAGGATCCACATCAGGTGGCCACGAGGACTTGCAGGCTATAGTTATGGTGGTGACATGCATGAGGTGGGCTGGTAGAGCAGGAAGCTCTGTGATGTCAGAGCATCTACTGGGACTACAGGTGCACTGTAGTCCCCACTACTGGGGGTGGCAATGAAGACACTCTGTCTGTTGGGCCCTAGAATTTAATGTGGATTTCCTCCTTCCTTCCAAGTTCTGAGATTCTTAAATGAGAGCTGGCTGTCTTCTAGAGGTAAGACCTGGAATGGAGTCCAGTTGGTACTTTTTCACTCCCTCTTAGAATCTCTTATGAAAAAATGATCAGAGAGAAAAGTGGGGTTTTGTTTCCCCACCTAATAATATATCCTACAACCAGCCAAATGCACTTTTGTGAAAATGGGGTGTGAGGAGTGGTTCTGCAGCTTGAGTCCTCTGGTTTTAAGTAGTTTGTTTCTACTTGTTTAAAGAATCTTCTGGTCTGACCACTTAAAGTAAAAACTACATGATTTATTTTCGGGCAATTATGTTTAGCTTTCATCATTATACTCCAACAGACCCGTCTGAAGGGGTATTTTTTTTTAACAATAATGTTTGTAACATTTTGTTGTGTCAATTAGAGGGTCACTTGTTTGTATTGCAATAAACACTGGGACCAGTTCCGGGGTTAAGAATTAATTTTTGTTTTTAATATTTCACATGAAAAGAATCAAAGTAATTGTAATGGCTAGAAGAGACCTGCCAGAAGATTAAAAAAAAGAATGAGAGAAAAGCCCAGTTAGTGGTGTGCAAACTTACTTCCTTTAAATGTCCCATGGATGTAGGACAGTGCCATGTTTCAAGATGCCTGTGAGCTAGGTCTTCAAGATTTATAGAATGTTACTTATGAACAAAATATAATTATTTATGGTACAATTCTTGTACTTTAGCAAATCTGGAGTTAGTTCATAGTCAAAGTCAGTTAATATTTCTTAGAGGAAAGTTTTGCTTTTTGTGGCAACATTTTTATAGCTTGTGTGAGTTCTTTTTTATTTAATGATTTGAAAGCAGTATTTTTGCACAGTCGTGACCGTGTGTGGTGGCGTCACTGTAACCAAAGTATATGCACCAGCCCTTGTGCATTTATTGTTTCTCCTGATTTTGTGGATTTAAATGTCCAAATGCAAACCTTTGTGACTTCCTTTGGAGGACTTGGCAGCACAGCATGCCCCCGTGACCTGCCTGCTGTGGTATGAGCTATGACCAAGAGCAGGCTTCCTGCTCCATGGAGTCCTGAGTTGCTCTGGGGCAGGGGATTACGTTATGAAAACTAACCATGTGTAACAATAAATCTACCTTAGCAGAAAAAGTATGCTTGTTTTATTTTAACCTATAAAGTGGAAATTATCAGTAATATTTTGATGAGTCTTGTTGCTAAATTGGCATAGGTCAAAAGTAGCTTCCATTGTTTCAAGTTGTTCCCGTTAAGATTAAGGCAACAGACGTTAATACTCTCTAGGCTCCGGTCATTTGTTGGGAATTCCAGGGCACCGTAATGGTTTTGCAGACTGAGGGTTTAGAAGGAAACCCTGGTAACTTCTGTTGATGCAGTCCACTAAAGTACATGATAACCCTGCAGACCCCACATTCTCATCCCTTCCTTGAATCCTTTAGGGTCTACAGTTACTTGCAAAGTTGAGGAAGGCATGGTTGCTGGAAGACTGGTGGGGAGGTGAGGCACCCCTAAGCCTGACACTCTCCTACCCCAAGAAAGTACCACTCAACTATCTGGTCAGTGTGGGCATTTATTTTAATTTTGCAAAATATCTGCACAGGGAGAGGAGATGCCCCTGGGGAAGGGTCAGTCCCACTGACCACTGGGGCCTGAAGTTCTGATGAGGAAGAGGACCCATGGCGGGTAGTGCAGACCGGCTCATCCTACCATCCTATCATAGAGCCTTGATTTCAGGTCCTAAAGTATATTCACAACACTTCAGGTAAGTCAAAGCAAAATGTTTTAAATGGTAGAACAAGCTGTCCTCATCTAGGCATTCTGAGTTGTTGATCATTCAAAGCCTAAATCAAGTGGCTCTTCTCAGAATCAATTTCCTAATGAAGATGCCACCATGGTAGTTTAAAAGCTTAGTTTTGTCAGCCTTAGTTAAGAGTCCACGTACGGATTGCCAAAGGTATGCAGATGATTTTCTGAGTCTCATTTAGCATGATGTGATAGATCAGGGGTCCCCAACCCGTTAGAAACTGGGCCTTACGGCAGGAGGTGAGCTGCAGGCAGTGAAGCTTCATCTGTATTTGCAGTCACTCCCCGTGGCTCACATTACCACCTGAGCTGTGCACCCTGTCAGATCAGCAGTGTCATTAGAGTCTCATAGGAGTGCAAACCCTATTGAACTGCGCGTGCACGGGATCTAGGTTGTACGCTTTTTATGAGAATCTAATGCCTAATGATCTGTTGCTGTCTTCCATCACCCCCAGATGGGACTGTCAAGTTGCAGGAAAACAAGCTCAGGGCTCCCACTATACATTATGGTGCATTGTATAATTACTTCATTGTATATTACAATGCAATAATAATAGAAAGTGCACAATAAATGCAATGCGCTTGAATCATCCTGAAACCATTCTGTCCCCCCACCTGTGGGAAAATTGTCTTCCACAAAAGTGGTCCCTGGTGCCAAAAAGGTTGGGGACTGCTGTGCTAGATGATCCTCTGACCTGTGTGCCTTTCTCAGTCACATCAAATGAAATATTGTTACTCCTGAGTACATGAATATCATGACATTTGGTTAAATTGACAAGTACCCATCTTGTTTCCCAAAAATGAACTCCTTGGAGGGACAAGGTTTATTTAACAGGTTAAAAATTAAATTATACACTCAAATTTACTTGTTTGGATAATCACCTACAGCAAAATCACATTTCTGTAAAAATCACCTTAAATAAAGGTCTCCACCACATGGCCCATTTTTTCCAAACGACAGCAAAGAATTTGGTAAAACGAAAGGCTGCACATCCCTTTGGAGTTTGGGCTGACAGCATTTCACAGAAAATGGTTGGAAAATGGTTGAAGCAAGCTCCTAAATGGCCCTTCTTGAGGCTCTGGGAGAGGCACTGTGCCGGCACCTGGCCACTTTCCTCATTACACACTTGGGACCAATCCACTCAGATGGTGGCCTCGCTTCCACTCAGCATGGCTGTGCTTGGACTTGGAGGAATGGGGCAGATGCTCCAGGAGGTCCTCTGTAACCAGTCCCCTACAGGGTTACGTTTCTCTGTTCTCAGGGACAGAGAAATGTATATAGTAGAAGTCGTATCTTTGATGCCTACTTTTTACATTGAAGAAAGTGGCAGAGAGCTCAACCGCACTTCCAGCCCGGTTGTGGCCTGCGCATGAGCAGAGGCCAGGATTTCTCCTCTCCAGGATCCCACTGCCAGAGACCAACTGGGATCCAAGCAGTTAAACAGCTTAATCCTAGGACTGTATGAAATAAAGGCTTATGGACCCGGATTTTACATTTCATTATTCACGTAATTAAGCAAATTATATGTTTCAATTAAGAATCATATTTCTGCAGAACCTAAATTATAACAGAAATAGATCTTTAAAAAATTGCAAAACTGCTTTTACAAAGCAGACATTTATTAACAACATTTTTTTGTAGAATTTCTAAGGAAACAAATTCAAGACAAAAATCCCTCCAGTAGGTAACAAAATGATCTATTGTTTCAATTCCTTCTGATCAAGTGACTTTATTCCATAAAACAGTACATCAGCTGGGCAGGTTCGGTCTCCTCTGGATGTATGACAGTCATTATTTATTTGTGCTGTAAACATAACTAGGATACAGTGACACTGTCATAACTAAATTTGAAGTAAATTAGTACTGTGACCTCCAAGGGCAGGTGTGAAGCATGTTATCAGCGCCTGAAACACCTTGTAGTGGTTTCACTAACATAAGTTAAAACATAAGCACTTAGGAAGAAAGTCTTCCCTCATTAATTTCTGGCATAGTGCAGCTACATGTTCATTCTGGAACTTAAAGTACCTTCCTCTTAGAAAATCAAAGTGTTTTCACAGCAAGTTTAATAAATTAAAAATGTAGAGAAAAAAGGAACTAGTGAACAAAAGAATTCTCCAAGGTTCCCTTTTTAAATTAATGTTTAAATGTTACATGTGAATCATAGCATTTCACAAGCACGTGGCACATACTCAAGGCCCTAGAACCAAATGTCAACGTTTAACAAATACAGCAGAATCGTCTTTTCATTGTGAATTTTTAAAAGCAATAATTAAGTCCTGCATGAAACAGCCAAAGAAGCATTTGGGACAAAGTTACTGGTTCTTCACAATCAACTCTTTAAGGCATAATCGGAGGTAAGTGTGCTGAGACTTTTGGTCCCTACTGCTATGTTCTCACATGCTCCCAAGGAAATAGACATGTCAGTTACTTGCCTGTTTCCATCTCTAGGTGTGGAAATGAGAAGTCTGGGTTTCTGGAAATTACAGAAATCAAGTCAGAAAAACCTGGCAAAAGTAATAATACTCTGTGTTCTATAATTTGCCACAGTCACCTCATTTTGCAAATAAAATGACTACACAACTTTCAAGTACTCTAAAGCGTCTTAATTTTTCATGCCTCTGCAAAAAAATACTATATTGTTTTGCTAGACTCTTTGGTAGGACAGCTTTTACCTAATCTGATTTTTTTAAGACAAACTGAACAGCCTCATCTCATTTCTAAGTTGATTTTATGACAAACTTCCTAGCTGCGTATGTGCTGAGATTACGCTAGCAGTTTTGCAGGTGTTCAATCTGTCAGTCATACTTTGTTTACTGCCTACAAATGGGGGGTGGGGAGGAATGAATGCAACAATCTATTTCTTCAGTTGCATTTGAGGGTCCCCACAGAAAATCTGATTTGCTTCAATTCAACAGGGAAGAAATGACTGAAAATATGTGGCCCCAGTTTTATTTCAGCTTGGAAGAAAAATACCTTGAAAGTAGTTATGAGAGAAGTAAACCCACATGGAAATATAAGGCAGAGTGAGAAGCCAGGAAGACTGCTAACTACAATATCAGGAGCTGGTTCAGTTCTCTGTACTCTGCAATTAAGACCAGCAGTTATCTATAAACTAGGTAATCAAGAATTAGAACGATTAGCACATACACCCTACACCAGAATTAAGTGAGGTTATGTTCACTGCCTTTTTGTCAATAAAGTAGCTGAGATCATGCAGATCAGGATTTTTGAGGGAAAGCTTTAAAAATGCTGTGATAAAGCCGTGCAAGTTAGCAGAAGTTCAGGAAAATCTGCAGAGGCCATTCTTGCCCACATCTTTGCACATGGACAATTATTTTTCTTAGCCCCACATCATCTTGAGTTCAGCTACCACACACGCAGACTAACAGGATGGGAACTGCTTGAAGCTCTTATTCCATGTTGCTCAAAGAGTGAAGCTGTGTGGGCATCGAGTCTGTCTGTGGGGTCAGCTCGCTAAGCTCACTGATGGTGGTGGCCAGGAGGGTGTCCTGGGACACCACGGAGTCATCTGCCTTGCAGGCTGTGTCAGCAGAACTGTTCTCCTGCATGGTAGGTACAGTGTCTTGGACTGCAGCCAGGTTGTGGAAATGGCCATTTTCTGCAAAAGACAGCAATTTATCCGAAAGCTTGGATGACACATACTCTTCGTCAGGCTGTTCAGTCTTGTGTCCGTCATCGTTCTTGGGCGAGCCATCTACAATGACAAGGAAAGACTTCCATGGAGTATTCTTATCGTGTATCTATAAGTTAAACACAAAACAAAGGTCACTGAATGTGTCTCTGGACAAGTGCATCTTTTAAAACAATAGTCCCTCTACAACTTCAATTTTCAACTTTCACTAATAAGTACCCGCCTGCCACCACCCTCACTGTTACAGAGTAGTCATCGTGGATGGTGCTTTCCCTGGGCCTTGGGGCTTGGTGTTCCACTTCATTCATTCCGTGAGCGTTCCACTGCAGAGACAACCCAAGGAGAAAGTACCTGTTGTCTCGACCTCTAACCACCTTGGAGAATGGTGGTAGGTATTTCTCTTTCCGTGCATCTAAGGGCAGCAGCTTGTTTCTCAAATAAGCCAACCCACTGCTTACTGAGGTGTGCCGCCGAAGAGTGGACTTGTCGGTGAATGTCCGTCCGCACGCATTGCACATGAATGGCCTCTCCCCTGTGTGGATGCGGCGGTGGCGCTGGAGGGCGTTGAGCTGGGTGAACTGCTTGCCGCACTGGTCACAGCAGTAGGGACGCTCCCCTGAGGCAGGGAGAGAGGAGACTGCTGGTGGGTCCCTTTGGCCTACTGTGCTTAATTCTGAATACACACTTGAGTGAATGATGCTGTTGCAAACCACTGGGAAGCCTCAGCATCCAACATAAGGAAGGTTATGTTGGGAACAACTTAAGGGCTACAAATCCACTATCTCTATAATACCAAGAATTTATGGCCTACACCAAAAAGGGGCCAGGACATGTGCCTGCAGCAGGTATTATAACTATAGGAATGACACCTGTTTTCCATGGTAATGGAGTATAAAATTACAAGACCCCTAACAACTGAATATGCATGTGTGCATGTGCATTTACTAACATGTACAGATCATTATCCCTATGTCCACACATCCACATCCACTTCCTACATTCACACCATGACTAAGCTGTCTGTCCTTTTCAGTAAAAACTCCATGTAGCAAAGGGACTTAGTCTTCTCCCGTTTACACACATAAGTGCTCCCACTTTTCAGTTTCTCAGAGTTAGAAACAATCTCTAAAGAAATGCTATTATGACATACAAAGTTTGGCCAGTTTTCTTCAAAAGCTTAGTTCCAAGTAATTTACTGGTAAATCTACAAGCTTTAGAATTTTTTTTTTGGCCAAACTAAACTCCCTTCCCTGGGACATTCCAACCATACCTGTGTGGACTTTAATATGCTGGTACAGTGAATTCCGCTGGGCAAAAGTCCTGAAACATACTTCACATTTAAAGGGTTTGGATCCAGTATGGATTCTATTGTGGTGTTTTAAGTACTCCTTAGAAGCAAAACTCTTGCCACATGTTTCACACATAAAAGGTCTTTCACCTACATGAGAAAATGAAATAAAGTCATAAACAATACAGGCATTAAAAACACATGGAACAGTAGGTCTCCACTGTTAAAACCCACGTGAACTCAAAAGTGCCTTGGTAGGCAGCATGTTACATTTTCCAGTAAAAACTATCATAAAATATATATTCATGTAAGATGCTTGCTACTTACTGAAAGTTGGTGTAAAATATCCTTGGAAATTGCAAGAAAAATTCCATTTGACTAGAATCAAAGAGGTATTGTTTGTTCAGCTGGCTCACATTTTAGAAATTTACTCATTCCAAACAAGAAAATAATTTCACAACTTCTGTTTGGAGGAACTGCTGGATTATTTTCAAAGGAACACTTCTATGGATCTTTATCAGAATAAAGGGGAAGTTGACAATGGATATATATCACTATTCTAGAGTAGCAACTCCAATCAACTTGATTGAATTGTAGGACAAGAGTTTTAAATATCTCACTTTTTGTAGTTTAATCCCACAAATCAGACTTACCAAATTATTAGCTGTGCCCGATTTCACAGACATCAAAATAAAAATAGTGACTTTAATAAAATCTTACCATGTTAATATTATCAAAGGACCAATTCTAACTTAATCCTTCATTATAACCTGACCTTGTCCCCAATCCCAAGCTTTCTTTAAACAATTCTACTCATTCTGTAGTCATAATGCATGTCATTAAATGCTAATTTCATGACATTAAATGAGATTTTCATTCAATGACATGAATTATGACTTCAGAATGAGCAGAACTGGTGTCTAATCACACAGATGTGGTGTCTAATGAGTCAGAGACATGTCATCTCTGTCTCACATGCATTTGAACTTGAGGCTTGTAAGCCAGTGTTTACAGGTAAGAATAAAAAATGCAAGCAAAGAAGAAACTGAGAAGAATTGGAACACTTCAGTGCTGTATGCTTCTGTATCTTCCACAAGATTCTAAACCTCAGGGTTACTGTGCTGAAGCAGAATAAAGCCAACTTAAGTTTTATCTGTCACATAATTAATAAATCATAAAGACTTTGGAAAACAGAAATGAGATAATCCTACTACCTTAATGTATCATATAACAACTTATTTTCTTCTGGTCTTTTATGTGCAGGTTTTCAATACAATTGAGGTTAACTGTATGCTTAATTGTGCATTTTAAAGTTGAACATCCAAGCACAGACTTTTTCATGTCATTCAGAGCCCTTACTCTGAATAGCCGGGTCATAAGCCAGGGTATAGATTTACCAGAGTTGACTAGAGCACTTCCTTGTAGTTGGACAATCAGGCTGTTTCCCATTCTTAGTTAAAAATAGCAAGAAGGGGGATAATAGCATACAGCTCTTCCCATATGTTGGACAATTTCTTTAGGACAGAGTCTTAGAAAAAAAAATTTCGGTTACAAAAGAACTATTTTATATCTCTTGATACCTAAGACCTGCATGCCAGATCCTATGGCCTGGTGGTATAAAAGCCACAGCCATGTGCACACTAGCAACAAGGCAATGGGTGTATGTTTATTCATTTTGCTCACTTACTAGATGGAAAAGCTATATCATGGCTTTAACCTGCACCACCTTGGTAGATGCCAACTTCAAAATTAATCAATTGCATTTCCTTCTAGATCTAGGAAAGACATTCAATCACAACAGCATGAGTATTTACCTGTGTGACACCTTTTATGATAAATCAGCATGTGGTTCTGAGTGAATCTTGCACCACATTCATCACAGACAAAAGGTTTTTCCCCTGTATGAATTCTGAAAGTACAACATTCAGATGATAACTTAGGATGTATTTCAAAGCTCACTTTGCAATACAATTTCCACTCTATCCTGCAAAAATCGTTTACTCCAAGAGACCTAATGAGAATGACTGTAGTGACAGGTCAAGAGCCCATAATCTCCATCCCAAAATAAACTGAGTTTCTGCACAAGGTCAATGGATCCACACATTTTCCATAAATCACTGACTGGAATGTTCATCTACACCTGATCACAAGCCCTACTGCTGATGCTATAAGGCATGTGCAGGTAGAGACCAGGCCTTTGCAGATTTTTTTAAACACTAAAGACCACAATCTGATATTTGTAAAGCTGTCTCATACAGAATAATCAGCCACAAACACCTTAGGAACTACTGCTGATTAAGTGTCACATGATCAAAAATGTTACTCTCATTTCCTAATATGACATCACCAGTAGAGAAAGGAGAACTGTTCTCAAATTGCCGAAGGTGGCATTTTTAAAATGCATAAGCATTTTAATGTCACAACTAGTATGAAGTAGCAATCAAACATAATTTACTGAGCACTTCCTAAACCAAGTATTTTTAACTTATTATATAGAGTAAAAAATGAACACCATGCTGCTAACCCAAGACTGACCTAGGTTTGAGGGCAGATCTAGAAGAGAAGAGAAAACAACTGCTTGTTGGGATTTCAAGAATAAATATACTAAGAACTATAAGAAAACTTATTTAAAAACATCACCACACACCTGCAGCTCAGAAACATATTAAGAAACAGAAAGCACTGTCTGTCCTGATTCTGGAGTGCAGACTGCCTAGATGGCACTCCTTCCAAGCCTGAGAACCAAAAGACCAGAGACGAGTCCTAAAGCCTGAAATGGCATCTCACTGAGGTCTCTACTGAGACTGTGGGACCCGGATGGTCACAGAACCCCAAGATCTAAACGAAGAGTCAGGAAAGGAGAAATAAAGGTAACGAGGCCCAACTCTTCCTCCAGCACGGTGGGGCGAGCCCGCGGCCGCTGTCGCGGTCCCACCAGAGGGACGTCCCGGCCAGCAGGGGCGCCCCAGGGGTCTCAGAACAAGGGAGCAGAGCCATCACTCGCAGCCCCTGTACCTTGACAGAGAACTAAACGCTGTCTCGAAATAAGCCCCCAGGTTTGGAGCGGAGAAATTAAGCAGTGAGACATCAAATCCCAGGACGACCTCAGTGCTTGACACACCCTTCCAGTGCGCAGGGACCCCTCCGGACGGCTCCCCGCGTACCTCATGTGCGTCTTGAGCGCGGACGGCTGCGAGAACCTGGCGCCGCACTCGGTGCAGCCGTAGGGCCGGTCTCCCGTGTGTGTGCGCTCGTGCAGCCGCAGCGCTGTCTTGGAACTCAGGCCCTTGCCGCACTGGCCGCAGCGGTGCCGCTCGCCGCCGCCCTCATGCACCTGCAGCACGTGCCGCTTCACGTCCTTCTTGCGCTTGAACTTCTTCCCGCACAGCTCGCATGGGAAATGGCGCTCGCTGCTGTGCACGTGGCGCTGGTGGCTCTTCAGGTTGCAGCGGTTGGCGAAGGTCTGGCCGCAGGTGTCGCAGCGGTACACCACCTCGGTGGCCACGCCGTGGCGGTGCTTGCTGTGCTTCAGGAAGCTCTTCTCATACAGAAACGCCTTCTCGCAAATGCTGCACTTAAAGTTGCTCTTCTTCTTCTCCCCTTCTTCGTCCTCCTCCTCCTCCTCCTCTTCCTCCTCCGGCCCTGCTTTCTTTGACAATTCCTCCAACTCAGCACCTGCCTGGCAACCCTCATTTTTGGAAACCTGCTCCATCTCCGTGCCCACCCTGTCCGGGCTTTGGTCCTGGGGACACCTGTAGTCCCCCACATCACCCTCAGCAGTTTTCTGCTGCTCTCGGAGTCTTCTCGTATATTTCTTTTTAGGGATCTCCACAAAGACCTTCCTCCCAGCCAGCCTTCCACTAGCTCTCCTGATTTTAGGGTAGGGAGGTTTAACTACCTCTTTCTTCTTGTCTAGTTTGTCCTTGGACTTCTTCGGTGGCAAATCTGAAGACATGCCATTGCTGGCTCTCTCTCCTGGGTAGTCCAAGGAATCCGTGAGACCACTGGGGTGAGGGCCATCGGTGGCCACACTTGCCCTGGGGGCAGGAGCAGCACTAACTTGGGAGCCACTGCTCACCTCCACCTCCTGAGACTCTGAGAAATTTTGCAACTCCAAAAGTACTGACTCTAACATCTGTTTCTTTAATTGAAAACAAGTTTCTGATAAATCCAAACATTTCAGCTTTTCAGCCACTTCCAGCATTCGCTGCACCCGATCTTCTTCCACCTGTACCTTTGCAGTGTAGACAAACTCAAGAAATGAAGCAAAGTCAGCAACCTGCACTTCATTTAAGTAGACATTAGTCCTAGTACCATCCACACTCTTCTCATTAAGGAACACTTCCTTAAAAAACTTGCTGGTGGCAGCCAGCACTGCCTTGTGGGCCATGAAGTCTTTGCGGACACCCTGATACTCCACGCTGACTGTCACGTCACACAGGTGACCCAGGAGGCGAAGCTCATGCATCTCATGCAGTAGGTTAAATGGGGAGGATTTGGATTCCAGCAGAACTGCACCGCTTTCCATCTTTCTTCCTTCCAAAAACAGCTTTGAAAAAGAAACAAGAATTATGCATGAGCAACCACTGATGCAAAAGGACTAAAATTTATGAGGATTCCTTCAGTACTTGAGAGGATATAGACTCATTAACAACCTAGCTTTACTCAGGTAAAGATTCGAATGACATTTTACTTCTTAGCAGTTTTCTAAAGTGAGGTTCCTCATGCATTTTCCTAAGGTAATAAATTGGCATGAAAAATAGTGTATTCTAAGGTTTCCTCCAGTGATAAACAAATGATGGAAGTTGTGATTAGTGAAATACATTAACACAGTAATTTGCTCACCAAGGTCACTGTCTAATTTGCTTACATAGTCCCCAAAACTGTAAAAGAATTCATGGCAACAATAATGTCTAGTTCTCTGATCAGGAAACCAGATAATTAAAACACATAGCCACCACCATCTGGGAGCAAATCCAAAACCTCAGGGAATCATTTCTGCCTTTGAAAAGAACCAACTAAATAACTACTTTCCATGAGGAAAACTTCTTGGAAAAGTAGTTCACAATTCATCGCCCATTCCCAACATCCTAAACTCCTCAGAATTTGAATTATTGTTACTCTACTGAAATAATGTTAAGTTCCACAGCTTTTACAAGCTGTGCTACTTTGAGCAAGCAACTTCTCTGAACCCATTTCCTCCTCTGAAGAAGGCTGACCGGCTGTTACCAGGGTTCCATGAGCCTGAAACTTGTTGGCTAGTTTATTGGTTTCCCACACATAGGCCAAGGTGCTACAGTGATCCCCATTTCATAGATGAGGACCTATCAAGGTAACAGTCAATGGCTGGTTGGGACATGAGCCAGGGCCTGGTGCCCGGATTCAACTCAGACTACTCAACACACTCTTCCCCTCAGCCTTGCCAAAGGCAAAGGGCTATCTTTAGCCCCTAAATCTTTCCACTGCAGCGGGCATGCAAATTTCACCAACCCCACCTAAGGCCTCCAGATACCGTCACCCCATCGTCATTTCTGCTGCTTTGCCACAAACTCCCTGAATGTGTTTTCTCCCTGCCCTTCAGCTCCTGAATCTACCTTCCTCTTTGATTCCTGTTTCCATCCATCCAAAGCACATGCCTTCCTTCTAGCCTCCTTCGGCCAGACCACAGATGTCACCTCGGATTCAACGTGTCTAGAAAAAAAGTTGTCATCATCTTCCCTGATAAACTAGTCCCACCCCTCTCCCCTTCTCCAGTCTCATCAATGAGACCGCTCCCCACAACTAGCAGTCCCTCAAACATGGAAAAGACTGCCCTCTGGGAGTTCCGCTGTAAACAGGTACCTATGAGGCTTGATCAATGTCGCCTGAAGGAGACGCCCCAGTAAAACTGTGAGAACACTGACAAAGCCTAAGGAAGGGATCTATAAGAGTGGGGCTCTTATAGAGCCACTGGGGTTTCAGTGGTCCCAGCCCCAGCCTGGGGAAACAAGACTGCAGAGGGCTCTCTCAGCCTGATGCCCTGACTTCCCCAGACCTCTGCCAACAGGGCCCTCGAGGAGACCTGATTTCTCAATCAACAAAGTGGGTTCTGAGCGCGATTTCCTATGTTGCTTGGCTACTGGAGTGCAGGCACTGGAGGTGGCGACAGGGCAGTCTGCGGCCGGTGACAGCTGCGTATCCGCCGAATCTCATTGGCATTCCGGCCGCCTCCCAGTGCGCCCGGCATCTGCACCAACGTCGGCGGCCCCTGAATCCCCGAGGCTCACGGGGCCAGAGCCCTTCCAGGAGACGCTGCTACCCGCAGCCCAGTCCACGGCCACAAGGGCCGGGGTTTCCAGTGGGGCTTAAATCCGCCGCTGTCCTCGCCGCCCTCACGGCACCTCCCACCCTTCCCGCGCCACTTGGCCGCCCCAGCGCCCGGACGCCGCTCGGCCACTCCAAAGACGACCCAGAGAACAAACTACTGCAGCCACAGAGAAGCCCCTCCTCGGCCCGACGCGCCGCCTCCCGACGCGGGCATCCGGGGCCGCGTGGATCAGGCCCTCGGGCCGCCCCCTGCCCCCGCTCCCGCATCCCCGAGACGCGCAGGTCCACAGAGCAGCCGGGGCGCGCGGACAAAGAGGCGGCGGCGGGCGGCGAGGGGCCGGAGCCAGGCCTACGGGCCGCGCACTCACCTCCCAGCCGGCGCCCCCGCTGCAGCCGCTGTCCGCTGGACCAGGCCGGTAGGAACGGCCGGCCCGGCTGGGCGTGGCGTAGCACCCTGCGCGGGCACCGCCGATTGGTCGCTGCAGGCCCCTCCCCTCCCGCGGCCGGCCCCGCCCCTGGCGGGGCTGAGGAAGGGGCTGAGCCACACGTCGGGCGGCGGAGCGGTTCGGGCAGTTACCTGATCTGGCCGCGCGACTGACTGGCGACGCCGGATTGCGTCACCCGCCGCATTGCGTCACCCGCCGCGAGCCAAGGCCTGCGCCTGCGCAGGAGACAGCGACGTCTGCGCTGCGGCACGCCACAGGGGGGCGGGGCCAGTCGCGAAAAGTCACGTGAGCGTCAGATTCGCGTGGTCACTTTCGCGTCCATTCCGGGCTTCTGGCCGCAAGGCGCCAGCGCTTCCGGGCCCCAGCAGCCTGCGGTCAGGGCCTGCAGCTGGCTTCCCACTAAGAGCTGCTCACGTCCCCGAGGCCGAGCGCACCCTTAGGGCACGGTGGCCACGCGAGGGACCTCGCGGAAAGCCGGGCTTGGAGCTGGTACTCACCTTGGCTACTAGGGGCGCAGATGCCTCCACGGGCGCTGGAGAACTGGCGCCAGGCGGGGCTCGGCGCGGCGCTCTCCTCTGGGGCGCTTCTTCCGCGGTGCCCCCGCCCTGCTGGGGGGCTCGGCGCGCCAGGAGCCGGGACCGCACCCTGCCGTCTTTACTGCAGGGCTTTATTTCCAGGAGTTCCCATTCGGGCGAAAGCTTTGTTCACTACAGAACTTCCCCAGAGACCCATCCACTCTTCGGGGAAAGCACAATTGATTCCCTAAGATTCGCTGACTCCTCGAAATCTTGCTGTTTCCACCAATTCTTGCTCAATACTAACTAAAGCCCGCTTTGAAACACCTTCCTTGAGTCAGACTTCCAGTTCTCAATAAACTGACCTTGCCTTTTGCTCCCAGCCATTGGTAAAGCTTTGCCAGGTCATGCTGTCCCTTACTGTGGCCAGCAGTTAACTCAGCCTTGTCTTACCGACACGTTGAGTTTGTAATGTTTGGGGACTGTCAGGACAAATACAAATTTAAAATAAGGTTTACTACTTCCTGTTGAAAATATGAGATTTCCCTCCCTTTTTCTTCGAACATTTACTTTTAGAAAATTGGTAATTAGTGTAAGTACTTTTTCCTCTCTTTGAAATATATAAATCCTTTTGAAGACTAGTTAGGCCTTTTTGTGCGCTTTATAACCTAGATATGTCTTTTTCTAGGACCTAGGAGCCATCTCTTTAAGTATCAAGGGAGTTAATGCCCCTGTCTCCCAGTTTTAATGGGGGAGTAGGAGCCTAACTTCAGTGGGCCCTTTGCTCCAACTTACAAAATTATCTCATATCATAAAGATACAAGTTTCTTTTTCCTCTAGATAAAGCCAATTGGCTAACACAGAGGATCATCCCAAATATCAGGTTAGATGAACTGTGTGTGATGAAAAATGCTGCCAAGTTCCCTTGAGAGCTAGTTATTGTTTATCTTGAAAATGTGTGTAATAGATTGCTTGGCTGCACAAAAGAGTGAGATTTCGTTCTGTCTTTGCAGTCTCTTAATGGATTGCCTGTGATGGGTATCACATTCTAGTTTAATGCTTATTCAATTACAAAGTGTTTTCTTTCTCCACTACCTTTCTGAAGAGGGTTGGGAGATTGTACTTTTAATTATATTTCCTGAACAGGAGCCAGCTTCCCACACATAGTAGGTGCTCAATAAATATTTGAAGAATGAATGAGTGACAGAAATCTTTCTTAGGCCGACTCTCTATATTTGCATTCCATGATTTGAAGAAATTGGAATGAACGCAGTTTTCACCCATGGCTCCAGCAGGCCCAGAATCGTGTTTTATGATTTTGTTTTGCATTACAAAAAGGTGGTCAGGCACGGTGGCTCACGCCTGTAATCCCAGCACTTTGGGAGGCCGAGGCGGGCCGATCACTTGAGGTCAGGAGTTGAAGACCAGCCTGGCCAACATGGTGAAACCCCGTCTCTGCTAAAATACAAAAATTAGGCCAGGTGCGGTGGCTCACACCTGTAATTCTAGCACTTTGGGAGGCTGAAGTGGGCGGATCACCTGAGGTCAGGAGTTCAAGACCAGCCTGGACAACATGGTGAAACCCTTTCCCTGCTAATAATACAAAAATTAGCTGGGCGAGGTGGTACATGCCTTTAATCCCAGCTATTCAGGAGACTGAGGCAGGAGAATCGCTTGAACATGGGAGGCAGAGGTTGCAGTGAGCGGAGATTGCACCACTGCATTCCAGCCTGGGCAACAGAGGAAAACTCTGTCTCAAAAAAACAAAACCAAATTAGCCGGGAGTGGTGACAGGCACTTGTAATCCCAGATGCTCAGGAGGCTGAGGCAGGAGAATCACTTGAACCCAGGAGATGGAGGTTGCAGTGAGCTTCGATCATGCCATTGCACTCCAGCCTGGGCAATAGAATGAGACTCCGTCTCCGATTATGTTAGCTAGCATAACATAATGCTAGCTTATCCATTCAATACTGAAAGGATTGCTTTAGTTGAGTGTCTTAATAGCTTTAAAAATAGAGGTCATAAGACTCACAGACTCTTTGTGGCAATACTAAATGATAAAGAATGAAGGGCCATGCCTGGCAAGGGTTGTCATGCACCTCTACACTTCAAGAAGAAACTATGCCTTAACTGCCACAAGGTTTTTATTCTCTGGCAGCCAAACAAGCACTGGCCTCTAGATAAGCAATATTCAAACAATGTGCTTTTCATCCACCTCCACATGCTGACTGACACGCCCCCTGCCCCAGCCCCACCACTTCCACAAATAATTACTGCTTTGATTGGACCAGAGACTGACTGCAGTAACTTTTTCCTGATGGGAAACAACCGAACAGGGGCTGATTCTGGCGGTTTACAGAGGCTGCACACAAGTGCATCGGTGTCCTGAAAAGATCTTTCAACTTATAGGGTCTAAATGTAATACATGAATACCTGTAAATGCTAAGAGTCCACCCCAAAGTAAACATAGGTCACCTGTAACATGCACGTTTGTCCAGTAAGCATGGGTCAGGACCCGTTTCATGAATATTCATAGCTCTTCCTGTGGCCTGTTCATATGTGTACTTGGCTAAGTCCTTCAGCTTAAATTCCTGTCTTAGGCCCCCTTCCCTCCAGCTGCCTGCCTTTTGAGCTTCTGCCAGAAGCTATGCTTCCCAGCCTGTCAGAAGGGCCACCTTGCAGGTTATCACCGTTTAAAGAAATAAAGCTCTCCTTTCTATGTTTGTGATCTTTTTTTTAAATAATACAAATAGACAATTCACTTGACAGTGTGAATGGCATACTTCACTGACAATGGAATACTATAAAAACAATAATAAACCACTGATAAACATCAACCTGACAAAGTTAAATATAGTGTTTCATGCTGTAGAACTCTGCACGAGAAAAGTACACGGGAGTGAACAATTGTTACGTAAGGGCGTTCACTGCAGTGCACTTACATTAGTGAAACTTTGGAAACAATCTCACCTATAAGGAGATGGCCGAAGAATTTGATATATCCAAGCACTGGATTATTATGCCGGTCATTAAAACAATGTTTAAAAATATGTGTAATAGCTTGGGGAAATGCTCACCATGTTATAATGAGTAAAGACGGTACACTATTTTACATAGGGTCTGATGTGATTTGAAAACAAATCTATAGAAATAGACTGGAAAGAAATGTATCAAATTCTAAACTGCACAAGGAAGAACACTGACGCACGCGCAACGCCGGCGCCCTGCCCACTAGGCGCCCTCGCTGCCCCTCACCTGCACAGCCGGCGCACGCCCACAGGCTCGTGAGGGAGCGGCCGGTGGGTCAGGCTGGGCGGCACTCCTCGCCCATTGGCTGTCCCGGAGTCCGGCCCCGCCTCTCCCCGCCTTCTGGAGCCGCTGGTATAGCTCCTTCCAGGGCTCCTTGGAGACGGAGGGCGGGGCTAGGGCGCCGGAGTCACGTGGTCGCGCCACCGCGCGATTACTAGCTGTCAAAAGAGTCCTCAGAAGTGTCCTGAGCGGTCGCAGGGTAATGACGTCGGCCGTATCGGGGATGCTGGAACCTGCGGTTGAGTGAGAAACCGGCGCCACCGCCTGCGTCTTGGTCTCGGGCTGGTGGCCAGCGGGGTCTGGGCGTGGTTTTACCCAGCTCCTTTGCGAAGCTGCTGTCCTTTCCTCAACGTTACCACCCGGCTGGGCAGCCTACCCTCGGTCAGTACGTCCTGGCAAGAGCGCTTCGGGCGTGGCGTTCGTGTCGCGGGGGCCTCGGCTCAGAAGCGAGGGAAGAGCAGCCCTCAGAGGAGCGGCGACCGCGCTTACCGGGAGCCCGGGTTGGGAGAGGGCTCCCCAGGAGGGGTGTGAGCTCCGAACGAGAAAGAACGCCACCGCCTCGTGGGGTCTCTTCCTAATGTGCAGATTCCAAATCTCTACAATGCTGCAAAAGAGGTTACAGTCCACATCAAATTAAGCATGCCCTAAAGGGCAGCTGGGGTTCAGTTCAAGAGTTGAGTTTTAACACACACCTTTACCTGCCTTAAAATTGGGCAAGGTATCACAACGTTAAACCATTTCTCACAAGGCTCGTTGGTGATGTTTAAGATTTTTTGTTTGTTTGTTTGTTTTTTGTTACGGAGTCTCGCTCTGTCGCCCAGACTGGAATGCAGTGGCGCGATCTTGGCTGACTACAACCTCCGCCTCCTGGGTTCAAGCGATTGTCCTGCCTCAGCTTCCTGAGTAGCTGGGATTACAGGCGCCTGCCACCACGCCCAGCTAATTTTTCTATTTTTAGTAGAAACGGGGTTTCGCCTTGTTGGCCAGGCTGGTCTTAAGTTTTGCATCCTGGCTCCCTCCTCTTACCTAGTCCCAGCCTCTTGTCTACAGGACAAAGCAACTTTCTGCAGTTTTCTGTTTGCTCTTTAGAGAGACGGGGCCCTAATTTGGCAAAGTGGTAGGGGAGACAGGGCTGGTGTTTAAGGTCGACCAAAGCAACATCTAAATCTCTGCTCTTCCCCCAAATTGTCCAAATTAGCAGCAACAGGTGTGCACCTTCCAAGCTTGCAACAGACCACATTCAGAAGCTTGATTTCTTGTTGTTCTGGGAATATCTGGATCAGAGGTAACATGGTTCACTAGGACTCCTCAGCTTCACCCAGTGTCCATTTCACCTCCCCCGGCCTTCCAATGTCTCTTCTTGCAGATTTCTCCAAGCCACTCTCCCCGTCATCTCCTCCACCCCCAGGACCCAACTCCTGCCCCTCCCACCCTAGCCCCTGTTCTCCCTGCCCACCTCCTACCCCACTGGAGTGGCCTTTCATCAAACCTAAACCAAAGAAACCAACAGACCTTGCTGTCACCACTACTCCGGGACCTGGAAGTTAAAGCGAGGGAGAGACGGTGAAACACAGAAAGCAGAACGCCTTCTGTTCTTCCACAACACAGGGTTTGTGGACGTGGCCACTATAAGAACTCGCACTGCGTGCTGATTATACTCCTCAGCACAATTCATTTCTTAAACTTTTTAGAATAATTTAAAATTTACAAAAAGTTGCAAAAATAAAAACCAGTAAACTTTTCACCTTCATCTGCCTTATAATTAAGGCAGCGGGCAGCGCGCTGGACAGAACGGGAGGGGCTTGCGCTTTCCGCCGGTGGGAAACCCCACCCGCAGGGACGAGCCGGGACCATCTGGCCCTACCTGCCGAACGGCCGCTTGGTGGAGATGTGTCCCAGAACCGAAGGAGGAGGGTGCCACGCACATTTGTCTTGCCTTCCCCGGTGGCGGGGGCATGGCAAGGGCGGAGCTTCCCGCTGTGCCCTTGGAGGCCGCCTGCAACCAGGCTAGTGTAGGTGGGGACGCACGCCCTGTACCCTACCCATCCTGCCCATTGCGGGTCTGGCCCGGACCTGAAGGGCAGTAGTTGGGGCCGTCCCCGCGTCTTCTGGGCCCTGTAGTGAATACAGTCTGCCCCATTCAAATCCTTTTCCTCACTTAGGATTACTGCTGTGTGTCAGTGTCACACACCCCAAATTGATAATGGCTTAAGATGGGATTTCTCATTTAAAAAGAAGTCTTTGGTTGAGTGAGCTGGGGCTATTTTGGTGTTTCCACATGGGACCTAGGCTCCTTTTAGCTCAGCACTATCCTACGTCTAGGGTATGGCTGAGCTGTTCTCTTGGCCAAGACTGAGCCAGAGCCCGTGGTCAGGTCAGCATAACCTTTCCAGGCAGCAGGATAGAGTGGGAAAGAAAGAAGGGTCTGTTGAAGGAAAATTCCCCCAAGTTCAGTCCTACTTCATTGGCCAGAACTTAATCACATGTCAGACCTAGCTACAAATTGAATGAGAAAGTCAAGTATTTAAGGTGGGTCCCTTATCTCTCAAAACACTGGGCTTCAGATAATAGAGAAGGGAAGGGGTGTCAAGAGGAAACGGCTACCTGTGTCACTGTGCTTATCAGGATTCTTACCCTTCTCAAAATTTCCCATTGCAGTATCTTGACTACCCTATCCCAAACCTAGCACACTTTTACCAAAGACAACTTAACTGGGGAAGCTGCAGCATGGCAGGCACATCATCTATTGGTCCAACTTCTATAGGGTTTTCTATTCTTTACATTGAAGAAATGCAATTGGGTTTGGCCTTTAGGATCAGTAACAGCAGCTTCTGGTTCTGATGTCCTCCATCCTAGTTTCAGTGCTTCTTCCTCTCAGAATCAGTGCTGATTCACTTTCTCTTTATCAATGAGTTTAATATAGTGGCTTCATTTATAAGCAATTAGCTAACTCTAGTATTTCATCTGTTCTCATCATTTAATTCTCAGCTAAGGTGCTAAGGTAGGGCCCAGCCATCTGTTAGGTGATTCTGCTATATC
This sequence comes from Homo sapiens, assembly GCF_000001405.40. Taxonomy (NCBI): domain Eukaryota; kingdom Metazoa; phylum Chordata; class Mammalia; order Primates; family Hominidae; genus Homo; species Homo sapiens. The sequence continues at coordinate 23,355,296 of NC_000020.11, read as the reverse complement.
CTAAGGTGATGTATCCTAAAAGACACCTAGGGTGCTTTTAGAAACTGCCCATGCCCAGCCGTATCCTCAAAGATTCAGGCAAACAATTAGCCGGGTGTGGTGGCATGTGCCTGCAATCCCAGCTACTCAGGAGGCTTAGGCACGAGAATTGTTAGAACCCGGGAGATGGAGGTTGCAGTGAGCCAAGATTATGCCACTGCACTCCAGCCTGGAACAAAACCAACCCCCCTACCCACCACCACACACACACACACACACACACACACACACACACACACACACACACACTCAAGCATGGTTGGGTCTGGAGTATGGCCTTGGCATAGGTAATTTTCAGTGTCCCAAGGGATTCTAGTGTGCATGGGGCTGTGAATCACAGCTCCAGGTGGGCCAACTATGTGCACACTGGTGCCTGGGGTAGGTACTAAGCCCTGATCCTCACCCCTGTGCGGGTGCTTCCTATTATGCTTTCTGCCTTTAGCCCTCCTCCTCCCTCACAACCTGGTCAAACACATCAGACAGGGAAAGAAGCAACATGTGTATTATTAAATTATTTGTCAGAATTTCCAGAATCAGAGTCTCTACTGGGCAAGTAGAAAAATAGAAAAGTTTACTACTTTGAAAAGGAAACTATGACAAACAAGTATATATTCAGGAAAGGGACTCCTAGAACTTGAGCAACAAAAAAGAGTTCAACCTCGGCACAGTGGAGTCTGCAGTGTCTCCGCAACAACAGAAATGAACTTGTGTTCCTCACATCCTTGAGAGTCGAGGTTTGCATTTCTCTACAGAGCTAGGGCTGAATGAAGCAAAGAGACCTCTGCCACCCCCACTAGCTGGCCCAGTCCTGGAAGCGGAAGCAGTCACTTGCGATCTTCCACACTGTGTTGCTGGGTGAGGCCTGGGCGGTCAGGATGAAGTTCTGGTTGAAGTCCCGTTGTTTGTTCCCCTCAAACTTCACTGATCCACAGATGACAACAAGGACCGTGGTCTGGCTTGGTGTGGCTTCATCATGAACAGGCTGGCAGTCTACCACGCTGATTTGGAACTCGCTGGAAGGCAACATTTCAAAAAACTCACTCAAGGATTCTTGTCCTGAAACAGCATTGCCATTCCAGACCAGGGTGGCTGTGCCCATGTACAGGCGGGACAGCAAACGCCGCCGCTTATCCATGGTGGTGTAGTAGACATTGACAAACTCCTCAGCAGCTCTGCAGGCCTGATCCACATAGGTCTTGAAATCCACAGATGCCATCTCTGGTTCTATGGAAGGAGGGCTCCACCAGGGTATTTCCTCTGCCTTGGGGAACCAGGGGCTGCAGGGAAGTAAGGTTGAAGAGAAGCCACGTGAATGCCAAAGTTCATTCTGCCCTGACAATGGAACATTCCTCCTTTTCTACTACTGGCAAAATAGTTACAGACTGCAGAACAATGACTGTAGGCTCAAATAGTACCCAATGCCTAAAAATGCCTAATTTTACTAAGACTCAGTTTGCTCACTGTTAAGATGGGATTACCACTGTGGCAAACTGAGATAGTATACCTTAAGTGTTTAGTTTAAAAACATTTAGTTATAGTCAGCACTCCATATCTGAGGGTTTTGCATCCACAGATTCAGCCAACCTCAGGGCGAAACCTGCAAATACGTTGGGCTGACTGTGCTATGCCATTTTGTTTTTGTGACAGTCTCACTTTATCACCCAGGCTGGAGTGCAGTGGCGCGACCTCGGCTCACTGCAACACCTGCCTCCCAGCTTCAAGCGATTTTCTTGCCTCAGCCTCCCAAGTAGCTGGGAATACAGATGCCCGCCACCACGCCTGGCTAACTTTTGTATTTTTAATAGAGACAGGGTTTCGCCATGTTGGCCAGTCTGGTCTCAAACTCCTGACCTCAGGTGATCTGCCTGCCTCGGCCCCCCAAAGTGCTGGGATTACAGGCATGAGCCACCATGCCCGGCCTTAACGCCATTTTATATCAAGGACTTGGAGCATCAGCAGATTTGGTCTGTTGTGGGGCTAGGGGGGCTGCTGGAATCAATTCCCAGAGGATAAGGAGGCCTGATTGGACCACGAATTTTTAAAATCACATTTTATAAAATAGAGTACATTTGAGTATGGAAGGCCACTCTTTCCTGAATGCTTGCAACAGACATGACAGCCCCTTGGTAAAGACAGTGGACCATGTTGAAGGGAAGAGTGGTCACTGGCCCAATAAAGGCCAACCAAACCAATGAAATGCTCGTCAGCTGCTGAGTCTAGGAAAGTCTATCATGAGCTCACTCAGGAGGAACTGGGAAGGCAGAGAAGGCAGGTTTCTTAAGAGGGTAGAAACACAAATGACATGAGGACAGAATCAAAATGGCAGCCATAATCCCCATGATAAGCTAGAAGCAGCAAACCTCTTGGGTGAGTGGGGATTAGAAGGGAGGACACCCAGCTTACACAGGTACTAACATCCACCAGATAAGTCCTGTGGAGTCACAGTGCCTCCACAGAAAGGCATGTTAGATTTCAAAGCTCTTGGGTGTGTGGACACAGAATATGAACTATAGCTGAAATGTCACATTGTCCCCCAAATAAAAAAGTCCAAAAGCATTTAAAAAATTGACATTTACTTTTTTCAGGGTACAGGTACAACTGTTATGTTCTTTTCTCCATAATTAAAATATTTCACTTAAAAAAAAGAGGACATTACTAAAATAGAGGACATTACTAAAATAGTTTATACTTACAAACTTAGTGAACAGTTTTTTTTCATTTCAAAAAAAAGACTTTTTTTTTTATAATGATTAGCTTATGAAATAAATAAAACATTCCACATAGGGCTGGAAAGAGCCAGGTACTTATAACGGCTGCAAAGATGGTGCATTGCCTCTGGTAAAGGGCTGGCTGGGAGGGAAGCTGTCCTAAAAATGAGCAGTTAAGAGCCAATTTCAGACGTGGGTCTTTCCACGCCCTCCACAGACCTCATAGTTAAGCCTCAACTGTACTCTGGACTGAGTACAGTGGTCCCTCGGTATCTGTGAGGAACTGGATTCAGGACCCCCGAGGATACCAACACCTGCAGATGCTCAAGTCCCTGATAAAATGGTGTACTGTTTGATATAACCTATGCGCAGCATCCTCCTATATACCTTCATCATCTGTAGGTAACTTATAATACCTAATACAATGTAGATGGGATGTAAATAGTTGTTATACTGTATAGTTTAGGAAATAATGACAAGAAAAAAAAAGCCTCTACATGTTCAGTACAAACGCATTTTTCTTTTTCTGAAGAATATTTTTGATTTGAGGTTGGTTGAATCCACCCCACGCGGAACCCACGACTAAGAAGCGCTGTGTTTGCTAAGGGCTTCACACAAATTACCTCATTTAAATGTTACCACAAATGGATGAAAAAGGTATTACTATAACAATTTTACAAATGAGAAAAGGGAAACCTAGGGCTGGATCAAAGTAACGACGGTTAAGTACACTCCTGATCTATCGTTTACAAGACTAGACTGAGGGCTGAAATTTTGTCAATACAACGCTGTCCTTGTACTCGCGTAAGCAAGTCTCCATGAGCACAACTCCAGGACTGCTAGAGTGGGAATTTTCTCCCAGGGACCCCATTTCTCTTTGGCTGGAATTCCCGATCTCCACCTCACTCCTCCTCCCTCCATGGCACCAGTCCCCCCATCATCTCAGAAATGCCCCTCTTCTCCGCCCCTGGCTGTCTTTCCAAACACAATCTAACAACTGGCCACGCCCCCACACACCATAGAAGGACCATCTCCACTTACGGTTTTCAGCTACCTATGAGGTCGTCAGTCCCGCTGTCTGTGTCAAATCAGAAAAAGAACCTGACCGTGAGGACTAGAGTAAGAGGCTGTGAAGACTGCCGCCTCCTCGCACGACCCACACCGTCGAGTGTCCGGAGATGGACGGGAAAAGCTACCACAGTGGCATGGCCTTATTTCCTGTGAGTCGCCTTTAATTCAAACCTAGACAGACGCACGCCCTGCCCGGCCCTCCTCAGACCCGAGAGCTGCGCTGTGAGGGGACGCGCCTCCCCTCGTTGATGAGAATTCGCTGCCACGCTTTTTGCACAGGCGAGAGCCTCACCGCGGCGGCAACTCTACCACGTGGACAAAGGCACAGCCGTGTCTCATTCTCGACAATGGAGGAGGGCGTGGGGTATGCACTAGGGGCTGTCTCGGGGGTCAGACCGCCGGGGGACGGCAACGTACCTGCGCGGCGACGTCCAGGGTCAGCGCGGGCCGCGGCCCCCACGGTCGGGACGCCCCCCGCGTGGGACGCAGTTCCACTGAGGGGCCGGCCGCGGAGGTCACAAGGTGGGCCCACCGAAGCCTCTGGTAGGGGCACGGGAAGAGCCGCCTTTCTCTCCTCCTCCTCCTTCTTGGAGGCTTACTCTGGGTCACCGGGGCCCCAGAGCCGGGGGACTTTCCGGCGCAGTTCCGCGGCTTCCCGCGCGCGGCCAGCCGGTCTCCACGCAGACGCGAGCGCCCCGGCGCCGCCCTCTCCCGCATTCCCGTGACGGGCAGCGAAGTCAGCCAGTGGGACTGCGGGCCGGAAGGCTAACTCCGCCCATGTGTGGCTTATAAGAGGCGGTAGCTTCCGGGAGTGTCACTTTCCCAGAAATCCCGGCAAATCCGCCCTAGAGTTTTCGTTGGTCCAACCGGGCCACAGACTCCGGCCCGTCTGGTTAGGTGGGATGCCTGATTGGGCCAAACCTCTTAGGTCCCGCACCTAGAGCGGGGAGTAGCGTCTGCTTTTTTTTCCGCTGAGCGGAGGCCGCTAGGCTGGAGAGGGAGGGGAAGGTGTGTGGGGTCGGGTGAGATGCTTTCCCCTCGTCCCGCATGCGCCTGTATTGGAGTGATTTCAGTTAAAAGTCTCGTGAAACGTCACCAGTGATGTAGTCACGGCCAGCAGCAGCTGCCTGACCCCGCCGAGGCCTTCCGTCTGGCAACATGTGGGGCGCCGCAATGCTTGAGGCCACGGCGAGGGCAACGCCGGCCGCGCCCCGTGGAAACCGCGTGGCGGAGTGCTTGAGCCGATCGCGCTCTTTAGGAGTTAGGCCACTTAGAGGCGACATCTTGGTGGACACGGAGGAAGCCAGTTTTAGTCAGATGGGAAAAGTAGCTAAAAGTGGGAGGAGACTGGGGCGAGGGTGGGACGTGGGGGAGGCGGGGGCGTGACGGCGGCTCTCCACTGCCCTGAGGCTTGAGGGGCCCCGGGAAACCCGGGCCCGGCTGGGGTTGGGACTCTGTTCTTCCGCGTTCATAGCTACGATTCAGCTGTTCTGGAATGAGAACTGGATTTTTACTGAACTTTACGAACAGGCTCAACAGGATGTAACCATTCAGTGTGGAGGCATGAGAAACTATAGCTTGTAAATTAAAAGAAAAACCTCATTTCTTTAGACAACATTTTCAGCTCCATCTGCTGGTCTGAGGCTGAATAATTAATTGAAAAGCCAGGAGAGAAATGGGGCTAGATGAAGTGAGGTAGTTTAACCTGTGCTTTCTTGGCGTCCCGTCGGCTCCCTTTGCTTGCATTCCTAAGAGAATCTTGGTCTCAGATTTCAGGACAAGTGGAAAACAGTTGGGCTATTTAGTATAGGCCACCCCTTCCCCCCCGCACCCTCTCCCCCCACACACTTCAGTTAAGTAGGTGGAAAGTTTGGATTATTAAAAAGACACGTTGGAGGCTGAGCAGAGAGTGTGAAAGAGCATTTTCGGGGCTTTGTGAACTAACATGGCCTTTTGAACCCCAAGGCAGTGATACTTGGATTGATCTAAATCAGCGTGGATGGAATGGAAGTGGGAATGCGTTGATTTACTGCACGCTCAGTAGTTTGGATGCTGTGCTGCTTTTGTTTCCTGTATAATAAGCCCCTTTAATTTGTTTCACATAACTTATTGGGGGAGGTACCATTATTTCTGATTTTATAGACAAGGAGGCTGACAAAGAACCATCCTGGTGTCACAGGGTCGATTCATACCTAGAAAAGTATGAAGATTCATACCTAGAAAAATTAGAAGAACATTAATGCAGCTCCAAGGCCTTTTAAAAATGCGAGACTTTAGCTTTGAAAGGCAGCTGTTCTGCCTTTTAGGTTTGTGGGGTCTGCCTTTTAGGTTAGGGTCCTTTTAGGTTTGTGTCTCCAGCATATAAAATTGTGCCTGACCCAAAGCAAGGGCTCAATAAATACTGTTTGAATGAACAGACAAACCTGGGTTCAAATCATGCTCCTCAACTGCACAGTTGTGATGATCTGTCCTCAACACTCACTCCCTGCTCTCTTTGGAAGCAACCCTGGCTTTTATTCCCCCTATTTGTAGCAGGACAAGCCGCAGACAAAACCCCTCAGAAACCAAGTTAAAGAAGGAAGGGCTTTATTCGGCCAGGGAACTTCAGCAAGACTCACGTCTCCAACAACCGAACTCCCCAAGTGAGCAATTCCTGTCCCTTTTAAGGGCTCACAACTCTAAGGGGGTCCACGTGAGAGGGTCATGATCAATTGAGCAAGCAGTGGGTATGTGACTGGGGCTGCATGCACAGGTAATTAGAACGGAACAGGACAGGACAGGGATCTTCACAGTGCCTTTTTTATGCAAACAACCAATTAGGTCAGGAGTCAATCTTTACCAGGCCCAGGGTGTGGCGCTGGGCTGTCTGCTTGTGGATTTCATTTCTGCCTTTTAGTTTTTACTACTTTTTTCTTTGGAGGCAGAAATTGGGCATAAGACAATATGAGGGGTGGTCTCCTCCCTTACTATGATCCTGGAGTTTGGGGAGGTCAGAGACATCCCTGGTTCCAAAGGACACACGACTGGCACTGTATGCGTTGAGCACAGCTGAGGGTGGTCGGAGGCCCAATTAGGGCCACTGAGCCTGGAGGTGTTTGCTGAAGGATTCTGGGGAAGGAGATTTTTCTCCCTTCCCTTCTGGACTCACAGTGTGTGGATAGCACTGTTGCAGCCATCTTGCTGCCCTGAGTGGTAGACCCTTGATGAGGCAGACAGGAAAGCTGGGAAGAAATCAGGCTCTTGATGACTATGTTGGGAGTCAAATCATCCCTCAAGTTTGGACTTTTCAGTTTCAAGAGCCAGGAAATCCTTTTATCTTTTGTACTATTTAAAATTGGGCATAAGCATAAAGTTATTTGCAACCTGACTAGTGTGGCTTAAGCATTAGCAGGGTGGCTGTGGCAAGTGAGTTAGCCTCTTTGAGGCTCAGCTGCCTCCTCTGTAGAATAGGGGCAATGGTCATATCCATCTCCTCGGGCTGACGTGAAGAGCGAACGAAACAATGCATGCTAAGTGCTTCATATGGGGCCGAGCATGAAGTAGCATCCAGAAAGCGTTGGGAAAGCAGAATCATGCTTTGACATTTTGCATCTATAGCAACTTCCTTATTTGCCAACAATCCCTCCAATGACTGGCTTTTAAACTTGGAAGAAGTGTATTGACAAATTGGTGGGATTTGTCACCAAATTGCATGGGCCCTTCTGAAGATGAGCCCAGTGGTCCCATGTGCAGCGTGGAGTCCGTCCAGGGAGGAAGGGCACATCTGGTCACACAGGCAGAGTCCTTGGCAGCTCTGATGACAGGCTTGATTTAAGGATCTTTAAGTCTGTAAATAGAGGATTGATCTTTTCCCTCATTGTCAATGTTGTTCTCTGGCGCAGGATCTTAACAGCATTTGTTTGCCATGAGAGGCTGCATGACTTGGAGCCAGTCAATCTACGGTGACAGCAAAGCAGTTGTGACTCTAATGTACTGCCACCAAAAACACTTTCTTTTCCGTCTCTCAGCCTTAGCAGGATCATCTGAGCCACTGCCAGTTCAGAGTGAGCTGGGGCTGCTTTTCCAGGAGGGCAGTTGGGGACCTGACTTTTGAGGAGATTCTGAGGTTTACTGAAGGAGCAAACCCTATGGGGTTAGACAGAGTTTTGTGAAATCTGAGCTCTGCCTTCTCTGTACTTCAGTTACTGCCTCTGTAAAATGGGGGTGTGGACACTGTAGACATTAAATGGCAGTGTATAAAGGAGGCACCATCTGGAGCATTTGTCCAGCCTGCAATGATGCCGTTTGTCTGAGAAGGTTGTAGGGATCATTTCTGGTTTGAATCTCAGCCCTCTTCCCAGCTCAGCCACCAGCCATCTGGAATTGTGGGAGAGGTCAGACGGCTGCAAAGCCTCTATGTGGAATTGGAACTAAATACACATATTTATCAGTATTTAATGGAAGACTGCAGGATGCTTGCAGAGTCTACAGAAGGCACTGGTAAGGTGGCTCTTTTAGTCTGGGAACAAGAACTGGGCAATGGATGCCTCAGAGGCTGAGTTGGACTGACAGAGCTGTGACCAGTGTCTAGAACCTGGGATTCTCCACTAAAGTCAGATTCTCAGGAGAGAGTTGGATTGGCCCAACTTCAGTCATGTGCCACCCCTCTGCTGCCCAGGAGGGATGGGTGGCTTGAGGGACAGTCCTGCCAAAAACACCTGGGGAGGAAGTTTCTCAAAAGAAGTAATGTGGAGGAGCTGTTCCCAAAGGAAGCGGGGGATTCTGAGAAGGCAGGAATAACTGAGGCCATGAGCACAGACAGAGGATGAAGCAGAGGTCAAGGTCATGTGACCAGAGGAGAGAACTGGAGCAAGACATGTATGCACACACACATGCACACATGGACACTCACATATGCACACTTACATGTACACATGCACACTTACATGTACACATGCGTACACACGAGCTATGGAGAATGGTTGCCTTGATTCCTTACTATGATGGATTACATTTTCTGAAAATGGACACAAAATAAATTTCTGGTCCCATGTCCTCATCTGGAACCTTACCTTGCCACCCGCTGTCAGGACATGGTGTTGAGTCCTTCCCTTGATCAGGGAGGCCTTTGTGACTGTGTGAGCTCAGGCTAAATGGTGTTACATGTCTGCCAAGGTTGGCCTGTAAAAGGAGATACAGCCGGTGCTGCTCTCTAGCTATACATGTGCCTGGAGCCCAGTGCTGTGCTGCAAGCAAAGCCCAACTCCAGCTGAGCCACCCCACAGCAACGCGTGCCCAGTAGCCAGTTGTGTGGCTTGTGTGAACCACCGTGGTCCTAGGTTGGCAAGGCTTGAAGAGAAATGAGCCTACCCTGCCTTGCCCCACCCAAACTGCAGATTTGTGGGCAAAATAAATGATTGTTGTCATGCTAACCCACTAAGTTTTGTAGTGGTCTGCTATGCAGCAAGACAGAGTTCTTACTCATTACTTTCCTTCTCCAAGTCCTTGCTGTGGTCCTGCCCCAAGGTTCCAGGGAATAGCCTAGTGCTGGCAATAACTCCTTTTTAATTTATGTCTGACCTGGGTTTGCCACTTGCTGCTAATGGAACCTTGAAAATAGGGCCCCTTGGCTGGGTGCGATGGCTCATGCCTGTAATCCCAGCACTTTGGGAGGCCGAGGTGGGCACATCATGAGGTCAGGAGTTTGAGACCAGCCTGGCCAACATGGTGAAACCTTGTCTCTACTAAACATACAAAAATTAGCCGTGAGTGGTGGCAGGTACCTGTAATCCCAGCTTGCTCAGGAGGCTGAGGCAGGAGAATTGCTTGAACCCGGGAGGCGGAGGTTGCAGTGAGCTGAGACCATGCCATTGCACTCCAGCCTGGGTGACGAGACTCCATCTCAAAAAAAGAAAAGAAAAGAAGGCCCCTCAAGGCCTTACGTAGTGACGCCACCTCAACGAACTCACCACAGTCCTGAGGCTGGCTTTGTCCTGATTTCTGAAAATGGGTCCATTGGCTAGGACCAGTCACAGGAGGAAGCTCACAAGGCTGCACTCCAGAGCAGGTGTTGGTTGGTTCATCTACAGCCAGAACCAACTTCCCAGGGACTAAGCAGCATGTGTTCATGTGCTCTCTATGTGAGCAGGTGCAGGTGGCTATAAGAGCATGGGTCAGAACAAGGAAACACAGTAGATGGCATGATCCCAGTGGCCAAGGGCACAAGTTGACAGGGCCTGAAGGATCTATGTTCTCAGGAAGGAACATGGTCACCAGGGAGACCAGATACCCCACAGTGAGTCTGGTGACCACATTCCCTTCTCACCAGCCCTGCCCACATTTGCCCCTGTGAATTACCCTACCCCTTTTTTTGGGCGTTTCCACATTCTGGTGGTGGATATTTTAATTTGTTCACCTCATGGGCTGGGAATCTCTTTTCTCTTAAAGGTGACATTGCATAGGTATGTTCCAAGTCTTATTGACTTTTAACTCTCAGGGACACTGTTATTTCTCTGCTTCTAAGCCAGTTTTATAAATTACTGTGTAGGAAGTGCTTAGCACATGGTACATGTCTTAGTTTGGATTCCCCGAGAAGCTGATCCGAAGCAAGTATTTTGGTGCAAGTCATTGGTTTGCTAGGCAAAGGGGTGTAGGGAATTGGGATGGGTGAGGAGTAGATTACCCAGGCTGCTACCACTGTGGGTGACTGGATCCTCATCACGCTGTGCAGCTCCTCATAGAACAGCATAGAACATATGCTTCAGAATTATTCCCCCTGGAGGGCCAGGAGCGTGTGGGAACTGTGGAATTTACACACAACTCCTGAGAGTGAGGGCTGCCGGGGAGGTGTCGTTTTCTTGTCTGGCAAGAGGGACAGAGAAGCTTTTCTTCCACTGGCCTGGAAAAAAAGCCCTTAGGCATTTGGAAATCAGCTAGAGCCCCCTGAAAAGGGAAGTACCAGGCCTCAGACAGGCACTGAAGGTGTCAATCATAGCAGGCATTTTAAGTGGCTCCACAAGCAGCTTCTGGAGGACCCAGCACATTCAGTGTACTTCACAAGCAACCCCGTGGTGACCTTGGGCATAGCCTCGGAGGTGGCTATTCCTATTGACCCAACCATGTAGGCCAACTGTAGATCTGAGTGGAAAGGGGCTGTGAACCTCATTAAGCCATGGGTGCTCAAAGCTGATGACACAAAGGAAAGGTAAGATGTATGATCCCTGCTCTCGAGCTGAGCTTCGAGCTGAGGGCATGACACTTATAAACACTAGGCTCTTAGGGAATGATGGCCTTGTAAAATGGCCTGTGCTGCTTTGTTTACCAGGAATGCCCTTCTCTGGACATGCAAATCAAAACCCCAATGAGGTGCCATTCTGCAATCTTAGGATGCCTAGAATCAAAAAATAGAAAATAACAAATGTTGGTGAGAATGTGGGGAAATTGGAACCCTTGTGCATCGCTGGTGGGAATGTAAAATGGTTCAGTTACTGTAAAAAACTGTACGATGAGTCCAAAAAAAATTCAGCATAGAACTGCCATATGACCTAGCAATTCTACTTCTAGGTAAATACCCAAAAGAATTGAAAATAGGTACTCAAGTGAGTATTTGTTCATGATTGTTCATAATAGCCAAAAATTAAAAACAATCCAAATGTCCAATGGATGAATGAATAAACAAAATGTGGTATACCCATACAATGGAATATTATTCAGCCATGAAAAATAAAGTACTGGCCAGGTGTGGTGGCTTATGCCTGTAGTCCCAGTGCTTTGAGAGGCTGACGCAGGAGGATTGCTTGGGGCCAGGAGTTCCACACCAGCCTGGGCAACATCATGAGACCTAGCCTCTACAAAAAATAAAAAAAACTTGCTAGCTGTGGTGGGTCACACCTGTAGTACTAGCTATTTGGGAAGATAATGTAGGAGGATCTCTAGAGCTCAGGAGTTCAAGGCTGCAGTGAGCGATGATTATGCCACTGCACTGCAGCCTGGACAACAGAAACCCCATTTCTAAAATAAATAAAAATAAATGAAGTACTGATACATGCTGCAATGTAGATGAACCTTGAAAACATGGTGAAAGAAGCCATACACAGAAGTCACCTGTTGTAGGATTCCATTTCTGTGGAATATCCAGAATAGGTGAATCTGCAGAGAGAATGCCGAATGATGTTTGCCAGGGGCTGTGGGCAGGGAGGAACGGGGAGAAGCAGCTTCATGGGTACCAGGCTTTTGAGTCATGAAAATGTTCTGGAACTGATAGAGGTTGGACGATATTGTGAAACTGCTAAAAGCCGTTGAATTGTTTGCATTAAAATAGCCCATTTTATATAAACTTCACCTCAAGAAATTATTAAACAGAAAAAAAAAATTCTCTTTCCTCGAGGCTCAGTTGACATGCCAGCTGCCCAAAGGCATGTCTTCTGGTCCAAGTGACTGGAGGTGACTTTCGTGACCTCATGGCCACTGGGTTCCTCTGCTTCTAGATGCTTTGTCTCCTAGCTGCCATATGTCCCTTCCTCCTGACTCTGAGAGCTGAGGGCTGGGGCCAGTGTCTGTGTCCCTTCCTCCTGATTCAGGACTGGGGGCTGGGGCCAGCCATTCCTCTCATGCTCTGAGGCTCACACTTACTTCAGCCTTGCTGAGTCGCTTATGCCCCTGCAGCTCCTACTGTGGGTCTGGAGTTTGGGCTCAGCTGTCTTTCTCTGGGGCCATTTGAACAATCCTGGTGGATAGAGCAGAAAGAGCATGCGAACTTGGAGTCAGATAGACCTGCGTGACCTCCTGTGAATGATCTAACCCTCTGAGCCTGTAAAATCAGGGTACCTGCTCCCTGATGTTGGCATGTGGATACCTGAAGAATGCCTGAGTAGTGGGTGCAGCTCTTGTGGCACAATTACCCCAACTCCACTCCCATCTTCTCTTCCTCTCTTAACGGGTCACTGACTTTTCTGGTCCTGAAACACACATGCTCCTCAAAGGGACTTGCCTGGGGCACAACTCTCACTCTGCAGTATCCCTACTTGTGAGCTCCCCATATCCTAGACTAGGGTCCCAGACCCGAGGCCCTCCATAATAAGACATGAGCTGGGTTCCCACCATTCTCCCCCGTGCCATGTTTCGGCCACGCGGAATCCATGCTGCTTGCCGCAGTCCTTAGGCTGCCCTCTCTGCCTTGTGTACCTTGCCCCCATTTCTGCACACATTTCCGCTATCCTTCAGGGACTGGCTCAGATGCCACCTTCTCTTTACAGCCATCCCACTTTGTGGAAAGGTCTGTGGTGTTCCCCCCTCTGAACATTCCTGTGCCCCTTTTGTGGCATTCATTTCTCGCTCTCTCCCCAGTGTTCGGCCAGGCCGTGTGGGCCCAGGGCGAGGCCCTGGTTTGCCCAGCATCAGCAGAGACGTTTTAGTGATGCATGGATCTGAGGGCTGGTCTGTGTGCGGAGAGAGGCTGCTCCCAAGTGGGAGATGCTGAGGTGCTTGGCAAAGATGGGACTTGAGAGAGGCCTTGATTGATGAGTGGGCTTTGAATAAGGAATCAAAGAGTCTTGAGAGCTCAGAAGTGAGCGGCAAGCACTTTTTGTCTCCCCCTGCAGCCTGGGAAAGCTGAGTGGAGCAGACAGTGAGATACCCTCTTCACTCCTTTCCAGACCAGGGTTTTCTGGCCACAGTCTTGGACCTTACTCATGGCAGGGCAGGAATGCCCAGAGTTAACACCCAAGAGCATCCTTCAGTAAGGACAGATGGGAATTGGAGGGTTCCAACCCTTCCAGTCCCTCAGGCAGGACATCTCTGAGGCACACCCCGCATCATCCCGGAGCTCCCCAGGGACTGAGCCAGGCACCTGCAGTGCTGCCCCTGTACTGGCTTCCCCCTGCCCTACCTCACATCCCCATACCCCAACAGGTGCCCCTGGGATCACCTCTCAAATAAGTGGCTTGCAGTGCAATTGTTGTCTCAGGGGCTGCTGCTGGGGACTCTGTCTAAGCTAGGGAGCAAAGAAAGGACTTTCTCTCACTGTTGAAACACCTGAAGAATGTCTAGATGGGTTTTCCTGGTCCCTTGAAGGGTCAATGCCTTGGCTAACAGCTCTCTTTTGGTGCCAGACAGTAACAAATCTAATGCAAACTACAGTTCTCAAAGTGAGGGAGCGTCAGAATCCTTGCTAACACTAGGGTGCCAGAGCCTTAGCTTCAAAGTTTCAGACATAGCAGGGCCAAGGGAGGCCAGAATTTGCATTTCTAACCAATTTCTAGTCATACTGGAAAGCCGGGACCACACTTTGAAAACAACTGCTCTTGACTAGAGAATAAAAGTAGCCTGGGTTGAAAAGTGCTCTGCAGCTTTTTTAATGAAGTAAATTATTATTTTACACTCTTCTGCAATTAGTTCAGCCTTGACTGTTGAGCTTAGTTTTCCTTTTTTTTTTTTTTTTTTTGAGACGGAGTCTCGCTCTGTTGCCAGGTTGCAGTGCAGTGGCGTGATCTCAGCTCACTGCAACCTCCACCTCCTGGGTTCAAGCAATTCTTGTGCCTGAGCCTCCCGAGTAGCTGAGACTACAGGCATGTGCCACCTTGCCCAGCTAATTTTTCTATTTTTAGTGGAGATGGGGTTTCGCCGTGTTGGCCAGGCTGATCTCAAACTCCTGACCTCAGGTGATCTGCCCGCTTCGGCCTCCCAAAATGTTGGGATTACAGGCATGAGCCACTGCGCCCAGCCAGTTTTCCCGCTTTTGAAGCTGTCTGATCTGTCTTGCTCTTCAAATCTGAATTGCCATTCACAGAAGCAGCCACACGAGGGTGGTCTAGCCTTTGACAAGAGCCGCTCTGCTTGCGTTGTAGACAGGATCTGAGTGACACCTTTTCTGATCAAGAAACCAAAGTGTTCCTTCCCTATATCAAACATAGGGCATTTAAAAAGTCCAAGATAATCTCCTTTGTCTTGACAGGTGGCTGCTCAGAGAGGCTTTTTTGTTTTTCTCTAGGATATTTTAGAAACGGTTTGGGAAAGCAGAGGTCTCTGCCTCTCCAAAGCAGCACAGCTTTTAGTGTGGTTCTATTTCAAATTCTGAGGTACTGTCTCAAAAATGCTTCCTGGTGAGCATTTTGGTCTAATGGCTGACTTTGGCACTTTGTCCCGGGATGGTTCCGAGGCGATGAATGCACAGTGTACAATGGGATGACCGCGATGGCATGTGGGGGATCAGCTCAGGGTGCCGGCGCAAGGCCCCAGGCAGCCCGTTCTTGCCAGCCAGTGCCTATGACCAGCGAGGGGTGGGGGCATCGAGAAGATCCTGCCCCTCCCCACGACCCTACCCCTTCTCCCGTGACATCAGAGTGTCATCCCAGGTGGAATATTCCCAGTATCCCTTCCTGCTCCCAGCTGTGGGCCCCTGGAGGGCACTCCGGGTGATGAGGATTCTCATCCCTGCTGAGTTGGAAAGGGGCACCCTGACAGGAGAGCTGGCCATGCCCCAAGCCTCCCCAGCCTTGCCCTCTGCATTCCTTGAGGGCCCTGTCTTCATGGGGATGGGGGATGGCAGCTGTCAGCAACAGGCCAAGTGGTTCTCTCTTCTGTCCCCAGCCTCGAGTGGAAGCAGAGGCTGCATTAATTTAATTTAAAAATTTAAGCCAAAGTTCCAACTCGTGGTACAGAGATCCAAGAGCATAGAAGGTTTGTAAGGAGAGCAGGTACCTCTTGTCCTGCCCCTTGCTTTCCCTCGCATTCAGGCTCGTGGGGTAAACACTTGCAACTGTTCCTATGTTTTTGTTCTTTTGGCAGTTACCTCTGTAATTCTAAATAATGAGCTTGTAATTCAATTGCTTGACTTATCAATTTTGGACAATCTTCAATGACTATTACAATGGAATCTTACAAAATAGTCTCTTAGCTAATTTCATTAGATTTAGTTCTAGTGATGACCTTTATAGCTTTAAATATGTAATTCCTCTCTGCTTCTTATTCCATCAATGATAGAGACTGTTGTCTAACTCTCTGCCCTCTCGGACGGGGATAACAGTTCTCTCAACCATCTCTTCCTAAGTCCCATCTCTGTGACTAACCCTTGAGCTGCTGTCACCTCCATGCTCTCCTCCACCTGTGGAAATAGAACCCTGACTTGCGTGTGGCCACTCAGCCTGAAGACCATGCTTCCTACTTTCTCTCCCACTAGCTGTGGCATATACCTCATCTGGTTGATGAGATGTAGTTTGAAGTGTTGTGTGGGACTTCCTAAAACTAGGGAGGCTAGGCCATCTCCCATGTCTTCATTCAACTGCTTGAAATGCAGATGTGATGGCTGGCACTTTGGCTGCTATTTTGGACCATGCAGATGTGGGCCAGATCCTAGGGATGGTAGAGAGGAGGGTGGAAGGACTTGGCTCCCTTTATTTCATAGAGCTATGATAAGTTCTCTTTTAGGCAAGTGAGAACTACAAGTCTATTTTGTTTACATCATTTTGAGCTCATCAGTTAGATGCCATCAAAACTAATTCTAGATAATATGGTAAAAACTGTCTTCACATTTACAGCATCAAGGATGACTACATTTACCTTCTGTTCTACAGCGATGATTAGGTTTATTCTTTGTCTAGATTGAGTCTAAGCATTGAAAAGAAATAAGAAGCATTTTCACTATTAGGCCTAACTGTTGATTACTATAGAAACACACACATGTAGGACTTGCTCTGTTCTCTCCCACGATGTCTGTACCCCCTAAAGGGTGACTTTCCCAGATTCAAAGTCCAGTGTACAGCCTTCTCTTTTCCAACCCTCCTTACACCATGCTTATTTTAGTTTACTTTCTATTCGGCTATATCTTTATGGAACAGGATCTTGTTTTTCTTGGAATTCCTAATTGTTTTTGTCTTTGTTGCTTTTGCTGTTGACAAAATAATGTGCCTTAATCCCTTCATCTCATGGGCCAGCCTTTCCAGAGCACCCCTCATTGCTTGAAAAGCCCTTTACCCCTGGAGTCACTCCCTAATGATCCTTGGACCTTTCCAGTCTGTATGGGTTTCCTTCATCCTCTGGAAAAGTTATTCTATTTTTTTTATGGCTTTCCCCCATTTACTTTCTCTCCTCTTTCTCTTGTTTTTGCAATTTTGGCCTCTCTCTTGCTTGCTTGCTTTCTTTTTTTTTTTTTTTTTTTTTTTTTGCCTGTGCCCTGGGAATTAAAAACAAACAAATAACTTTATTGTGTATCCTTTCTATTGACTTATTATTTGCCTTATCTGGCCAATTATATCTTTATTTTCTAAGCTTACTTTCATGATCTCATGTTCCTGACTGGTCCTTTTTTCTAGTATTCTGTTCTTCTATTGTACTTTTTGCCTTGTTCCTTTTTATATATAAGGAATGCAATTACCTCTCAAAATTTATGAGAACAAACTCAAGTCCATAGAAACCTCTGGAGCTGAGAATCCTCAGTTCAAATGCTGGCTCTGCCACTTACCAGCTGCATGATCTTGGGCAAGTTAATCTGCCTCAAGGCTTTGGCAAGATCAAAGGGTTGCTATGACCTGATGCACACATGGTACCTGACTTCAGGTAGGTACTGAGTGCATGTCACTGGTGGCAGATTGCATTGCCCAAAGGCGTCTGAACAATTAAAGATGTCCCAGACCTCCTGCTCTAACAACATGACTGACATTGCTCTCACTGAGAGGTGGCGTCTATGTTCCTCCCGTTTAATCTGGGAAGAGAGGAGTTCCCAGGCTAGGTCATAGAAGGTGATGCAGGTTCCACTCAGCTCACCTGTGCTCACTCCCTCTTCTTTTTTTTCCTCTCTCTCTCTCTCTCCCTCCAACTCCCCATACCTCTGTCTCTCTCTGCTCACCCTTGAATGCAGCTACCATGCTGTGAGGAAACCTGGACTAGGCCAGCTGGAAAGAGGACATGGACAGGCCTATTTGGGGAGGAGCTGAGTGAGGCCCCAGTGACAGCAAACATCAGTTGTCAGATGTGCAATGGATGAGCCTTCAGCAGGCTCTGCTGTGCCCTTTTCAAATGCATATTTATTATGCAGCCAGAGTTGGCAGCAAGCACTAAGCTGTGACAGTGCATGAAGTAATTTAATTGGTGAGGCCCATTCTTGCAACTACCTCTGTGACTAGTGGAGACAACTCAGATCCCAGATAAAGGATGGGGTGCTGGGTCAGCATGCCAAACCCAAGCTACCCCAGGGGGCTCAGAGGAAGAATAATGTGCTGGAAAGTGCTCTGTGGCATGTAAAAATGGGTGTCTTCTCAGGATCTAGCAGTGGGACTAGATTTGGGTAGAAGTGCCAAATGAGAGAAAGCAAAGACCCTAAGGATGAGATTTAATGAGGTTGCTGCCCTGTGTCTGGCCTGTCCCCCGCTGGTGCTCCTCTTCCAAGGGCATTCCTGCCCATGGGGAACAGAGGCTTTGGGTAAGGAACACAGCCATCATATTGTATGAACAGCCACACAGGGAGGCTGGCATGAAGCTAATACAGGCTAGAAGTCTCTCCTGGGAGGAGGCTGCCACGTGGGGGTCACAGAGTGCTGAGGGCCACTTGGAAAGTTGTGGATCCAACAAGGATCCTGGGCCCTGGAAGCTCCACAGCATCCCTCAGTAGCAGGCTGTGAAGTATCTGACCTGTGTTATCAGTAGACGGTCTTGGTCTTGACTGCAAGTTGTCCAGGTTCTTGGTGTTTTGAACAAAGAATTAGATAAAATGCACAGCAAAGCAAGGAAAGAATGAAGCAATGAAAGAGCAAAAACAGATATTTATTGAAAATGAAAGTACACTCCACAGTGTGGGAATGGGTGGAGCAGCAGCTCAAGGTCCAGGATATAGAATCTACAGAGTCCAAATGCCCCTTAGAGGTTTCCCATTGGCCACTTGGTGTTCACCCGGTGTAAATGAAGTGGCGGCCTGCTTTCTGCAACCAATCAGAGGCTGAAGTGAAGTTACAAAGTTACGCTCCTATGCAACATCTGATTGGTTGCACAAAGCAACCAATCAGAGGTATTTTCAGTTTCGCATCTGCTGCACAGAAAAGGTGAGGGTTTGCAAAGGGAGTGATTTCTGATCTTTTTGTTACTAAGGTGTGGAAAGTTAGGGCTTTACTTTGAATTTAGTACTAGGAAGTCAGCTTGAAATGGCCTTAGGTTCCCTGCCTCCAGACCCTATTCTTCTGCCTCATCTGGACCACCCATGTGAGGGCCGCTCTTCGGAAGATTTATCCTTAGAGAACAAAGGGCTCAGAGAAATACTGCCTCAAGCTGCACATTGGCCCAACTCAGTTTTATTTTATTTTATTTTATTTTATTAATTTATTTATATATTTGTTTATTTATGACAGAGTCTTTTTCTTGTCGCCCAGGCTGGAGTGCAGTGGCATGATCTCGGCTCACTGCAACCTCCACCTCCCGGGTTCAAGTGATTCTCCTGCCTCAGCCTCCTGAGTAGCTGGGAGTACAGGCGCCTGCCACCATGCCCAGGTAATTTTTGTATTTTTAGTAGAGACGGGGTTTCACCATGTTGGCCAGGCTGGTCTCGAACTCCTGACCTCAAGTGATCCACCCGCCTCAGCCTCCCAAAGTGCTGGGATTACAGGCTTGAGCCACTGCGCCTGGTCAGTTTTTTTTTTTTTTTTAAGTTTCTTCTTGGCATCACCAGTTAAAAGAGATTGAGAACAAGAACGTTCTTTCAGCGTGCCCACACCCCTGCCTGGCTTAACGGGTTTGAAATGTGAGGGGAAGCCAAGTAGCCAGCTTGCCTCTGTTACTCATGGCCCAGTGGGTCGGCTCATGACCCTCAGGCCAGCCTGTGCCACTTTGGTGACTGGTGGCTACTTTGTGGTCAACTCTTGAAGCATCAGCACAGCATGAACAAACCAAAAGTGAAATTCAGAAATGGCTGCAGAAGCCAAACTGTTACCCAGCCCCTCTGAAATCCCCCAAGCACTGGGGGAGCCACAACCAGTTTGGGGGCCATTAGGAACATTTTAATCTATAAGGCTATGTGCTATGGAGGGGTAGGGGAGAGATGGTTGCAGGAGGCCATGGGAGGGTTGAGACCCACAGGCCAGAGTCCAGGCCATAAGACCCTCATGATGAGAATGTTGACAATAACAAAATACTACTACTACTACTGCTGCTACTACTACTGCTGCTGCTGCTGCTGCTGCTGCTGCTGCTACTACTGCTACTACTTACGTTTTAACATTTTTCAGAGCTTTGCTATTTATGATTATTCTGTCCTAGATGATTGCAGCAACATTATGAAGTACGTCTCAGGTTGAGTCCCCTAGAAACAGACCCTGAGATGGAGATTTGCATGTAGGGGTTCGTTGGGGAGGGGATCTTGGGAGTCCCACCTGGGAAGGGTAAGAGAGCAGTGGGGCTTTGATGCTGCTGCAACAGAGGCCTCCACTGGCCCCTGGGGAGCTTGGAGCTTTGGAAACCTGCAGAGTTGAAGCAAGGGTTCCCCGTGTCCCTTCCATAGGCTGCTCATTAGACCAGCGGGGGGTTTGGTGAGGATGCAGAAGGCGCTCAGCCACCAGTGTGGAAGGGGTACCCTGGCCTTGGAGCAGAATCTGAAGAGGACACTGAGCACCCACCACACATGGGCACTCTCAGGATCTCTGCTACAGAGCAGGTGCTGAGTAGTGAGATTTGCCCAGGGAATGAGCCTACCTGGTGGGATCATCATGTGGACCTGGAGGTCCTGACTTACTCAAGACCACTCAGCTACTAAGTGGCCACACTGGGATTCCAGCTAAAGACTGTTTTAGGTTAGAGCTTCCTGATCTCAGAATGGACCCCCTGACCTAAGAATAGGACCCCCCCCCACCTCAGGATGGACTCCCCAACATTAGAATAAACTCTCTGACCTCAGAATGAATTCCTGGGCCTAAGAATGAACTTTCTGACCTCAGAATGGATTCCCTGACCTCAGAATAGACTCTCTGACCTCAGAATGGACCCCCTGACCTAAGAATAAATCCCCCACCTAAGAATGAACCTCCAACCTGAGAATGAACTCCCGAAGCAATAATGGATTCCCTAACCTAAGAATAGACTCTTCAACCTAAGAATAAACTTCCTGACCCAAGCATGAATCCCCTGACCTAATAATAGACTCCCCAACCTAAACAGGAACTTCCTGACCTAGGAATGAACTGCCTGACCTCAGAATGAACTTCTTTACTTAAGAATGAACTTTCTGCCATCAGAATGGACCCTTGACCTCAGAATGAACTCCCCGACCTCAGAATGAACTCCCTGACCTCAGAATGGACTCCCTGACCTCAGAATGGACTCTCTGACCTCAGAATGAACTCTCTGAACTCAGAATGAACTCTCTGAACTCAGAATGAACTCCCTGACCTCAGAATGGATTCCCCGACCTAAGAATGGACTCCCTGACCTAGGAATGAACTCTCTGACCTCAGAATGAACTTTCTGAACTCAGAATGGACTTCCTGACCTCAGAATGGATTCCCTGACCTAAGAATGAACTCCTTGATCATTTTGCAGGTGATGCTCGGGAGCACCAGTAGGGAGTGGGAAAGCAAACAGGGAAGGGAAAGAAGGCCAGCCAGGCACAGTGGCTCATGCCCATAATTCCAGCACTTTGGGAGGCCAAGGTGGGTGGATCACCTGAGGTCAGGAGTTTGAGACCAGCTTGGCCAACGTGGTGAAACCCCATCTCTACTAAAAATACAAAAATTAGCCAGACGTGGTGGTGCACACCTGTAATTCCATCTACTTGGGAGGCTGAGGCAGGAAAATTGCTGGAATCTGGGAGGTGGAGGTTGCAGTGAACCATGATCATGCCACTGCACTCCAGCCTGGGCGACAGTGACACTCTATCTCAAAAAAAAAAAAAAAAAGAAAGAAAGGAGGCACTGGGAATGCTGAGGGGCTCTGGCAAATGGTGATTATCTATCCAGAGCCCTTTCTGAAGCATTGCTCTGCAGACCCGCCAGCCAGGGTTTTCATTAAGTAGCATTAAGTCATAACCTTAAGTAATAAAGCAAGCATGCATAGAAGGGCAAAGCCAGTCACTTCTCAGACCCCGAACCCCTCAGTGAAGGTTGGTGCATGCAACGGGCTGGCCCTTTGGTGGAGACTGAAGAAAGAGTTTATTGCAGGTGGGAATATTATTTAAACAGGGATTGATGGAGGACAAAAGGGGCTTCTGGTTCCATGAGGCAGGAGATAAATGAGATGGGAATCCTGAGTCATGCATTTTATTCACTTCTCTGGAACGAGTTTTGGGGGCTCATTTAGCAGAGAAAATAGGACAAGAAAAATGGACTCAGCTGGCATTGGACAGAGTCAAAGCCAAATGACTTCTGGGTTCTAAATTTTTTTGTTTTGTCTTTATTCATACGTGTTGGTTGTTTGGATTGTTTTTCATTGACCATTGTAAGCTAAATCCATATCAGGAGGATCTGAAAAGCTCATAATAAAAATATAAAGTAGAGACCAAGGGTTGTAAAAGTGGCATTTTACTCAAGATATAGTAAGGCTGTTTTACAATAGTGGGTAGTAATCAATAATTTAAATGAAAACCCTCAAGGGTTAGATGATGATAGAGCTGATGTTCTTCTTATTGACCAAGATGCACCAACCAGTCTTGAAGAGGATCTCGTTTTGTAAAGGAGCCATGCAGAAGAAGAATTCCCAGAGGGAGCCTAATGTCTGTGAAATGTCATATATTGCTTACACAGAAACCAGTTACTCAAAGAGCTATGCTGTTCTTATGCCCTGTGATGGATCTACTGGGGATAGAGATAAGAGCCTGTCTGCCTGCCTCAGCCTGTGCACCTGATCGTTCTTTTCCTGAAGCAACTTGTCATGCCTTCACAGTGCACACCTGACCAGTTCCAAACCAAAAAGGGATGTGCCTGGACGTGTGTGGATAGATGGCTGAGGGAGACATTATTGTTGTTGGTGAGTGAAATTGTTCTTTCTTCCTGGGTCTGGCATTTTATTTGAATGATTCTTTAGAAATTATTTAAAAATTTTCTGCCAGGCAAAAGTTTGTGCAAATGTCAACAAATAGCTTACCCTTACCCAAAAAAGGTGAGATTTGAGGTCTGGAAGTTTATGTAGTAAGGAAGACGCTAATTCTTATGGTTTTAAGATTTATAATGAGAAGTAATGGGGATTTGTCAGCATTGAATTGTGGGGTTTTTAATGAAGCTATTGTGAGAGAAAGATGAATTGACGATCTCAGGATTGAGTCCCTCCTGAAGGAACTTGGTTGGTCAGATATGGCTCTAGTGAACATCTGAGAAACAGAAAAGAAGACTTGAATGTGGTCCTTTCTGTTCTGATACTGTTATCGTCCCAGTCAGTCATGCGTAAAACATCAGCTTAGTCACTTCTTCCTCTTCCCTTTCCAGTCCCTGCCATGGGTCTCTTTTAGTATTTTCCAGTAAACTTTGCTTAGAAAAAACACCAATAAAAATCCTTGCAAATGAAATCATCAGACCCTGAAGAAGTAGCATCTTCTCTAGGGATTGATTCCTTTTCTCCTTCTAACACCACTAATACCTCCCTTGGCCAGCCACTGACACCCTTTTGAGGACTGTATTTTTGGCTTGAAAATTGGCCTGTCAGTAAATTCGAAGGGGTGTGTATTGTTCCAGGGTTGATGTATTATAACTCTGCAGGTGCCCTGCCCAATTCATTTTACTGAGTGGTCACACCCCCAGCTGTTGTGTGTGCTGGCTGGAAATAGCCACATTACAAACATGGTGCCTGTGAGTCAAGGTGGATCAATGCCACAGTGCAGCCCCTGCTCCAGAGCCCCCAGCGGGGCCAGGCTGAGGTGTGACTGCAGCGGATATGAGGCCATCTCACTCCTTCCCTGACTTGTTCTGCTTCCCTCCGTCTCTTCCTCCTGAGTCCTCCCTCCAGTCATGGGCACCCACACCCCTCTCTCTGGCTCTGCTTCTACAAGACCTGACTCGAGGCTCTGCCTTTACACTTGGATTACTGCAAGTGCCTCCATCCTTCTTTGATCTTCTCCAGGTGTCCAGCACCCCCTCCCCTTAGTGCATATTACATAAACTGCTGGACTTAGCTTCCTAAAATGCAGCTCCTGCATATGTCCTTGTTCCTGAATATCTATGGCATTGGTTCTCAAACTTGTGTGCAACCACAAGCAAACAAATAATGCAAGTTTGCTCAAAATGTTGAACTCAAGACCCATCTCTAGTGTTTTGATTCAGTCCATCTGAGCAGGACCTGGGAATGTGAACTTCCACAAGCCCCCACTCCCACCCTAGGTGATTTGTATTTTGAGAAATATACTTTAACACTGATTCTTTCCTGATTCCTATTCAAGTTCTGAAACTGTTTTGATTTCCTTTCTGGAGCATCTTTGAGGTGAGTTTATACAACTCTTTCATCTTTGTGGGAGACAAGCTTGGCCCTATCTCTGAGTATAAGTAATCCTATGTCATAAATATTCGATAAGGAAGAAAGGAAGAAAAGAGAGAAAAAAATAAGGCCAGGAAAGGGGCAGTTGTAGCATGTATGTGGGTGATCATCCTGGGATATGGTGGGTTACCCAGAATGCTACTACACTTGGTACAGTAGTCAGGGTTCTCCAGGGAAACAGAATCAGTAGGATAGTGGAGATATAAATCTATATATCTTCAATGTGTGCTGTTATATATAATATATAATAATAATGTGACAAATTATATGAATATAAATTATAAATGTAAGAATTATATGAATAAATATATTTCCAGATATATATCTAGAAAAAGGAGATTTATTATAAGCCATTGGCTCACATGATTATGGGGGTCAAGAAGTCCTACAATTTGCCATCTGCAAGCTGGGGATTCAGGAAGCCTAGTGCTGTAGTTCAAAGGCCCAAGAACTGGAGAGCCAATGGTGTGGATTCCAGTCCAGTCTGAAAGCCTGAGGACTAGAAGCGCAGAGGGCAGAAGATCCATGTCCCAACTCAAGCAGTCAGGCAGTTCTTCCACCCAAGAACTCAGAAGCCAATGTGCTAAGACCTGGCTGAGACTGGAGACCCGAGAACCAAGAGCTTCAATGTCTGAGGATGGGAGAAGATGGATGGCCCAGTTTCAGAAGAGAAAGCGTTTGCCCTTCCTCTGCCTTTTTGTTTTATTCTGGCTCTCAACAGATTGAATGATGCCCATCCACACGGGGGGGAGAGCCATCGGCTTTACTCAGTCCACCAATTCAAATGCTGGTCTCTTCTGGAAACAGCTTCACAGATACACAAGAAACCACGTTTAACCAGCTATCTGGGCACCCTGTGACCCAGTCAAGTTGACACACAAAACAACCATCACACTTGGTGAAGTTTTATTATATCCTTGACTTGTGTGTGCTGGACTGTTGAGAATAGGGTGCAGCCATGCAAAAGCAGACTGAGTTCCACAAATTGCCTTTGATAGAGAAATTCTCCCAATCTTAATCATTGGGTGGTGGCAACAAGGAATGACTCCAATAGGCACTATGGAGCAAAGAACAGCATCTCACTTCATCAGATACAATTCTTCAGCTAGGGTAGTCGTTTCAGCTCTCAAGGACCTAATCTTTTAGCAGATGGCAAATAAAGGCATTCGTTTAGGTAGCAGCTCAGCAAAAGAGATGGTATCCATCCAAACCAGGGAACTCGGCCTTCCTCATTTTATCTAATTTTTAAAAACTGATAGAGCCCACTGTTAACCATAAAAACAGCAAGCCCCAGTGGGGTCTTGTTGGCCCCATGTCTTATGGGCTCCACCATGAAGGAAAAAGACTGAAGAGATGGGTCTGGGCCCACCAAGAAGAGTGGACAAGGACTGAATGAGAGCCTGCTGGGCAACTACAGGCATGAGGAAGAGATGGGGTTCTAAAGACTTGGGCTGAGAAGGGGAAATGCCTTGGTGGTACCATGGTCCATGAAAACCAAGAGGTCTCAGGAGGGCGGTTCCACCTACGTGTGTGTGTGCAGAGCAGGGGCCCCAACAAGCCAGAAGTTGGCCACCTGCACTTTGTAGGTGCAAGGGCCTGCAGAGATGCACTACCAGCCCTGAATAAGAATGTGGTACATGAACCTTGGGGGTTTCGTGAAGGACCAATGGCTGGGAGCAGCAGGGAAGCCAGGGTAGAAGCCGATGGCCCACCAGGCCAATGTGTCAGGAGTCAACTGCCTCCCCAAAGAAGAAGAGAAGGTCACTTTCTTCTTGAGATCCCTAAGGCAGAGGGCAATGGTGAGGGAAAGGCAGACATCCTTGGCCAAGGCTTACCCTTACCCAGCACAGCTGCTGCTAAAACACAGCCCTGGATTCTCTCTGTTCTTGTGCATATTTCTTAAAGCCTGTGCTGTTGCTTAGGAACAAGCCCTGTAATTTGGAAATCACATCAGATATTTTATTTTAAATAACTTGTGTAAAACAATTGCAAAATTATCATTATTCACTGTCAGGATTCATGATTGGCAGCAGCTCCTAAATTGTGGAGTTTTTTTAGGGGGAGGGAAAAGCAAACTGATGCTCCAAACTGAACATTGTTCTTCAAGATTCTGCTTTTCTCATCTTAAATGGTGATGATTGCTTTCATCTTGGTATGGCTTTGTAGTTTTTGAAGATCTTTGCAATGGTCCTGTCAGATGGGTTTTATGACTGTCTCCATTGTACAGATGAGGAAACCGAGGCTGAGAGGTGAGGTTGGGCCACTGTGAGGAGCAGCGTCATGCTCTTTGTTGGGGTAGGACTCCAGGGAGGGGCTGCACACGCCTGAAGAACCAGCCAGCTACACCTCAGGGCTCTGGCTGGATGGTGCCTTTTGACCTGGCCAAGCTCTGTGACCTGAACCCCTTCCCTGCGCAGCTCCAGGTTACAGCTGGCCAAAGAAAAACTTGCCTGAGATCCAGGAGGCTGCAGTGAGGTGGCAGTTGTCACTCTCAAGCATGGTTGAGGTCGGATATGGCGATGGACAGATGCAGAGATGTCCAACAGGTCCCAGCGTGACATGGCCCTCCTTTGCTCAGGTCCAGCCTGTCCTCTTGACCACCAACCCTGATGACCAGCAGTGGCTCAGGCTTGGGAACTGTGAACATCAAGCAGCGTGAGGTCTGACTGCCAGTTAGAGCAGAAATTTGTTTTTACCTTGAGTTCTTAAATAAAAGAAGTGGACAATTACATAGGAGAACTTTTTGACCTGCAGCTTGAGATGGCACTTTGCTCTTTTGCCAGAAGGGAGAAATCTAATCTCTAGGGGCCCACTGAGGCCCAGTGGCTGGTGCCAGTGTGGTGTCCCTCTGCTCCTGCCGCAGTCTGTGTTGTGCAGACACTGAGCCTCCTGTGAACCCTGTGCAGGGTGCCGGCTGCTGGGGAGACCTTCGGATGGTGGCCAGCGGCCAGAGCGGTATAGAGCTTTCAGGTCCTTGCCCTTCCAGATGCAGGTGATGCTGAAATCCCCAGGCTTCTGCTGGGATCCTATGGCCTCCTGCGGTTCCCTCTTCCCTTGCGTTGCACTGCTTAATTCCCAGAAAAAAATTCCTTGCTATGGCACTGTCGAGAAATGATATCTTCTTGAGGCCGTCTGGGGAGACAAGGGTGTTTCTGTCATTCAGCAGGCTTTAGCCGTCTAAGCCATCCCCACTTTCCTGCCCCGTGGCGCTGGTTGAGGGTCTCCCCTCAAGCCTTCCCAGCCTGCAGCCTCTCTGCGTGTCTGGGGCTCTCCCGGCTCTCTTTACAGCCCTCCTGTGACTTAGGCAAAGATTGTGGGTAAGTTCGTGATGTGCCCCCCAGATGATGTGCCTCATCTGGGATATGGGTGACATCCAGCCCAGGACACTGGCTCTTCCTCATTTCACCTAATTTTTATATATTATTTATTATTTATTAATTTATTTATTTTTTTGAGACAGAGTCTTCTTCTGTCACCCAGGCTGGAGTGCAGTGGCATGATCTCGGCTCACTGCAACCTCCACCTCCTAGGTTCAAGCGATTCTCCTCCCTCTACCTCCCAAGTAGCTGGGATTACAGGCGCCCACCACCATGCCCGATTAATTGTTGTATTTTTAGTAGAGACAAGGTTTCGCCATGTTGGCCAGGCTGGTCTCGAACTCCTGACTTCAGGCAATCTGCCCACCCTGGCCTCCCAAAGTGCTGGGATTACAGGTGTGAGCCACCATGCCCAGACTCATCTAATTTTTAAAAAAACTGGTAGAACCCACTGTTGACCTCAGTAGTAGTGGCCTGTGGGGTCTTGTGGGCATTGTGTGGAGAGAATGTTTGCAATTGCTTCTTGTGTTCCACACATAGCTGTCTGCCTGTCACTGGCTGGTTCCAGAGGGGGAGCAGCTCTGTGTTGAGACTGGAGAGCAGGAGGTTCACCAGGGAAAAACAAGGCTGCAGGTGTCTCCACAGAGGCCTCAGCCACCCCCTGGGGACCTGTCAGGCTATAATGGCTCTTCAGAGCTGGTCAGCTCAGGGGAGGGCCTCCACACTCCAGGTGGATCAGTATTGGGTGCAGCTGCTCCCAGGAGAGACAAGACTTCATGTGGACTCGGCTGGGCTGAGGTGGCTCCTGGAGAGAGCTGACAGCTGAAGGTATCGGCCAACACACCTCCCAGCGGCTGTGGGACAGATTCCTTGGTCCTGAGAGCAGCATGGCTACTGCCATCATCAGCGCGCGTGAGAGGCCTGGCTCGGGAGGGAGGACACCGTGTGTTTCTCTTACTTGTGGGATATGCCAAGTCCTGGGTTTCCAGTGGCTGCCCTGGTGGACAGGGAGGTTGGAGACACGGAGGCTCCATTCCTTCCCCACAGCTTGTCTGCTAATTCCTCATGTCCTCTGAATGAGGAATTGCATTGTGATAACCTCCTGAGAATCTGTGATTTCAGCCCCCTTCATCCCCTGAACCTGAATTGGTTAGGACCTAGATTTGTCTGCTCTGATAGCCACCCCAAATAAGAGAGGTTCCACAAAGAAATAACTTGCATAACTTGCATTCTTTCCACATAATAGTGCAGGTGTAGGAAGTCCAGGCAAATGTGATGGTCCACGGTGTCTGGTACTTTTTTGTCCCATTCCTTATCTTCTTGACCCAAGCAAGATGGTATATTTTGACCAAGGTGGGAAGGAAAGGGGAGACAACTCTTCTTTTTCGGCATCAGCAATCTTGGTGGCTGGAAACGTCCTCATCATCACTCAGATGGCAAAATCGTTAACTCTTCTTTTTAAAGAAGTTGTACACTTCTTCCTGCTTACTTCCTGCTGGCTGGAAATTAGGCACATGGCTATGCACAGCTGCAAAGGATGTTGAGGAATGTGGCTTTTATGCTGAGTGGCCATGTGCTCAGAGGAATATTGGGGATGGAGAAAATGGATATTGAGGGACCATTTTCTTCCTTGATAGACAGCCTGCATTTGTCACTGTGGATTGGGTGTGCCTCTTCTAGAGCTTCCCATGGGGAATTGCACTTATATGTGGTCCTTTGCACTTGGGTTCTTTTGTTCAGCATAATATCTTCAAGACTCATCCATGTTCAGTGCATTGATGGTCTGTCTCTTTTCATCACCGAGTAGCATTCCATATATGGCTATTCCACAATCTCTTTATTTACCTGTGGGCTGTTTCCAGTTTTGGACAAATAGAGCTTCTAGGGGATATTGTCTAGAAGCCTTTTTGTGGTGTTATCTTTTTATTTCCCCTGCCCCCCACACCCCCCCTTTTTCTGAGACAGAGTCTTCCTCTATGCCCATGTGCCCAGGCTGGAATGCTGTGGCACGTTCTCGGCTAACTGCAACCTCCGCCTCCCAGGGTCAAGCAATTCTCCTGTCCTCAGCCTCCCCAGTAGCTTGGACTACAGGCGCCCACCATCATGCCCAGCTAATTTTTTATTTTTAGTAGAGACGGGGTTTCACCATATTGGTCAAGCTGGTCTCTAACTCCTGACCTCAAATGATCCACTTGCCTCGGCCTCCCAAAGTGTTAGGTTTACAGGCATGAGCCACCGCGCCTACCCTTTATTTCCCTCGAGTAAGTATCTAGGGGTAAAATTGTGACCTTGTGGTTAAGTGAACATTTCACTCCTTAAGGAACAGCCAGTTTTCCAAAGCACTTGCACCATCTTACATCCCACCAGCACAGCATGAGAGCTCTTGTTCTTCCACGTCCTCACCAGGACTTCATAGGAACAGTTAAAACACAAAGGACTTTATCTGAGGTATAAGCTAGCAAAACAGCCTCCTGCAGGGATTGCAGTGGATGGAGGGTTTGCTGTAGCTGGAGAGCAGGCTGCATGCTGGAATCAGCAGGAGAGCCATTTAAGCTTGCCCTATCTGGGCCTCGTCCTAGATCAATTAAATCCAAAATTCTGGGGTGGTTCCCAAGCATAAGAACTTTTCAAAGCTGCATAGCTGAGGCTGAGGTCCACTGTTGCAGGAAAGGTAACATCCTACAGAAAGAGCTATTTTGCAGAGAAGGATGGGACCTGGTGCCAGGGAAGGTGCTGCTGCCACCCAAAAGGTAGGAGCTGTCAGTCCCAAAAGACCTTGTTACCCCTTCTCACTCCTAAGGTGTATTCAACCTCCCAGCTGCCCTCTGTCCTGTTTCTGCTGCCTCAACCGATTGCATTTCTTCCTGAGCAGGGGGTGCAGTGGCAGGGTATTGGGCAAAAGCCAGAGAGGGAGCCCTTTTTCTTACTGTTGCCAATGAAACTCATAAAAGAAACAAGAAACACTCTCTGGGTCTCCCTCTCCCCACCAGAAGCCCCTTATGAGTCTCCTGTGCTGGTTTTTCCTCATGGCCCAGTCTTCTAAGCACTGGCATTCAGAGTTCAGTTCCCACACCACTTTCTTTACATTCCCAATATAAACAGAGCCCGTCCTGGGGTCGCACATCCTATCCAATTGTTGCTGACCCCACAACTTACATTTCCTGCTCAGATCCCTGTATTTCATATTGAACCTCCCACCAGCCAGCTCCACTTCTCTTCATTGGGTGCCTAGTAGGATGTCCCAAATCAACACCGCCAAAACCAGGGCTTGACTCTTGCCCTTCCCCACAAACCTTCTTCTTCTCCATCTCACTAAATGACAAGTCCAGTCTCCTGGTTATTCAGCTAAAACTTCTGCGGAGGCAGAATAATGCCGCCTAATGATGACCATGTCCTAATCCAAGGGACCTGTGACTACGTGACTTTACATGGCAAACGAGACCTCTCATGTGTGGTTCAGTTGAGGATCTTGTGATGGGGCAATGATCCTGGCTTCCCCGTCTGGGTGGGCCTGATGTTCTGATAGGAGGGAGGCAGGAAGATCAGAGTCAGAGAAGGGGAGGTGACTACAGAAGGAGAGGCTGGAGTTAGGTGGCCATGAGCCAAGGAATGCAACCAGCCTCTAGAACTGGAAGAGGCAAGGCAAGGATTCTCCCCTAGAGCCCAAAGAAGAAGCCCAGCCCCATGCACACTTTGAGTTCAGCCCAGTGAGACCTGCACCCAGGTTTCTAGAGGGCTGTTTGCTTTATCTGTGTTGTTTCAACAGACTGGTTTCTGGTAATTTGTTGTGCAGCCATGGAAACTGAAAACAATTTTGATTCCTGGCTCCCCTCTGTCACTCACATCCACACCTAAGTCATCAGCAAAACAGGTCAGCTCTGCCTCCAGAATATTTCCAGAATTTCACCACTTCTAAATATCCACTGTCAATCTAAAAAGAAGAAGCTGGGGCACAATTTATATAAGTAGGGTTGATCCGGGCCAACCTTGAGGATTGCAACCTGGGAACATTGATTCAAGCTGCCTGAATACATATACCCCCTCAGCAGCACTCACAAGGGGATTTTCAAAGGCAGAAAAGGGGGACAGGGAGTGGGCCAGTATGAAGTTTTTTGTTAGGAATTCTCATTGGTTTAACTGCAATAATATTGGTTAGTGATTGATTGGCTACACATTGTTAAGTTATAGAGTGTGGGTTATAGTGTCTGCTGAAGCATTATTATGTTAATTAGCTACATAAGACATAGCTACTTGTGGCAATAGCAAGCAGTTTCAGGAGATAAATTCATAGCTCAAGGCAGAAGTAGCACATGATTGCTGTCTCATTTTAATATCTCTCTGGCCTGATGTTTATTTATTTCTATTTTTTATTATTTTTATTTTAATTTTTAAAATTCTTTTACATAGATTTTATTCTTTTACATAGAGCAGTTTTAGGTTCACAACAAAACTGAGCAGAAAGTACAGTGAGATCCATGTACTCCCTTACCCTCAACTTATTATTATTTTTAAAAATTATTTTTTAAATTTCAATAGCTTTTGAGTACAAGTGATTTTTGGTTACGTGTATGAATTGTATAGTGGTGAAGTCAGAGATTTCAGTGCACCTGTCACCTGAGTAGTGTAGTGTACATTGTGCCCAATATGTAGTTTTTCATCCCTCATACCCCTCCCACCCTACCCCTTCTGAGTCTCCAGTGTTCGTTATGCCACTCTGTGTGCCTCCACGCATCCACAACTTAGCTCCCACTTATAAGTGAGAACATGCGGTATTTGGTTTTCCATTCCTGAGTTACTGTACTTAGAATTATGGCCTCCAGCTCCATCCAAGTTGCTGGAAAAGACACATTATTTTGTTGGTTTTAATGCCTGAGTAGTATATTCCATGGCACATACATCCCACATTTTCTTTATCCACCCGTTGGTCAATGGACACTTAGGTTGGTTCCATATCTTTGTGATTGTGAATTGTGCTGCAATAAACATACATGTGCTGGTGTCTTTTTGATATAATAATTTATTTTGCTTTGTTTAGATAACCCAGGAGTGAGATTGCTGGATCGAATGGTAGATCTACTTTTAATTCTTTAAGAAATCTCCATACTGTTTTCCACAGAGGTCGTACCAATTTACATCCCACCAGCAGTGTATAAGCATTCCCTTTTCACCCACACCCACACAAACATCTATTGTTTTTTGACTTTTTAATGTTATTCTTGCAGAGTAAGGTGATACCTTATTGCAGTTTTAATTTGAATTTCCCTGATGATTAGTGATGTTAACCATTTTTTTAACATGCTTGTTGTGGGTTTGACATTTAAAAAGACTCATATTCCTCAGATAAGTTTTTTTCTTTTTCATCCCCACCCCCACTCTCCCCGTCCCAGTTGAGCCTCCATCATCTCTCACCTGGACTGGTGCAGTCTTCTCCAAGGTAAAGATGGCTAATGGTCTCCCGCATTCATCCCCCTTTTTCCTTAGGAACAGAACTCCCGATTATTTTGAAGTGGGAGGGCACATGGTAGCTCAGAATACAGACCTGCATTTGCCAGCCTCCCCTGGAGCTCTGGCCAATAGGAAATAAACAGAAGTGTCCTATACGACTTCTAGGAAATACACTTAAAAGGACAGAATGGGTTCTTCTTTGACCTTTCCTTACAGCAGCTTGCTGGAATGCAGGCGTGCTGGCTGGGACTGAACCACCCTCTGGGACTGTGAGGCAGCAATGTTGGATGGCGGGGAAGCAGGCTGGAAGAAAATTTAAGGTCTCCATTACCAGCCTCAATCGGCCTATCTCTATACTTGGTTTACATTAGAGAGAGAAGCAACTGTGTTACTGAAGTCATTGTTATTTGGGAATTTTGGCCCCATGCAGCTGATCCTAATTAGCTACATCTCTGATATAGTTTCCTGCCCCTGCCCTTACCCAACCCCCTCATTTTTTATTTCCAACATAGCAACCACAGTGGTTCTTTAGAAACTTGTCAGTCCCCCCCAGCTCAAACCCTCCTTTGGCTTCCCGCTCACTCTGACTATAAGCCAAAATCGAATCAAAGCCAAGTCCCTGCATGGCATGCACCTTCCATCTCCCCACCTCATCTTCTCCCCCTTGTACCCTTGTTCACACCAATTCAGCTCCAGTGCCCTGTTTGCTGTTCTCAGAGCAAGCTGTGTTTGCGCCTTTCCCAGGGCTGAGGGTTAGAGGTTAGCTGTTCTTGCAGTGGACGCTGACAGGGCTGGCTTTCTCTTTTCATCCTAGTTTCTGCTCAAATGTCACCTCATCTGAGAGACCTTCCCTGACCCTCCTACCTAAAACAGCTCACACCTTCCCCATCCCTCTCTAGCTGAGTGCCTTTTTTCTCTACACGTGATAAGGACAGGAGACAGGGAAATACTGAGAAGTGGGCGGTTCCCCAGCAAAGATCCCACCCTCAAGCCTGGAAACCCGTGGCCCTAAATGGGAACAGCCCTTCCTGTTTTCAAGCCCAAAAGTTGCCTTTTGGCCTGCTGTGCCCCCCTATCCTGTACTTGTACAAACCCCAGACCCTAGGCTTCAGAAGCAGACGAGGGAACGAGCAGAAGAACAGAAGAACAGCAGAATGGCATGGCAGAGAGAAGAAAGGGACCATCTGAACGCCAAGAGAAATTCAGCTGGGGGAGGTCAGAGAGGAGATAGACTGCAGGACAGCCAAGCTCCAGGGGAAGATCATCTTCCCACTCCATCCCCTTTCCAGCTCCCCATCCATCCCGCTGAGAGCCACCTCCACCACTCAATAAAACCCTGCATTCACCATCCTCAAGTCTGTGTGTGACCTGATTCTTCCTGGATGCCGGACAAGGACCTAGGTACCATGAGGGCACTGAGCTGGTTAACACTTAAGCTATCTGCAGGCAGCACAGCTAAAAGAATGCATGGTAACACATGCCTACTTGGGCTTTGGGAGTTGCAGGCACCCACCCCTAGAAGCTACCATGGGGCTGGAGCCCCAAGGTGCTTGCCCTGGCTCCTGCACCTGCTTGTCTGCATGCTCCCCTTCCTGTAAGGGGTTTGCACAGGTGAGGTGGCCAAACAGATGAGCCACACCCCTATTGCGTGTCATGTGAGGAGGTTCAGGGAACTCTTCCATTTCACGTGGACTTCCCACTGAAGTTGTATATTCATTTCCTTGTGTGCCGTCCCCTTCCTCTCCACTAGAGGGAAAGTTCTTTGAGGCTGGGCTAGCCTCCGTCTTGTGTGCAGCTTTATCCGCATTACTCAGAGCAATGCCTGATGTGCAACAGGTGCTCAGCTAGATGAATGCCGGAACAAATAAGCAGCGTGAGAGGGGCTCCTGGCTTTTATGGGGAGGAAGACACAACAACCGTGGAGAACCAGGATGCTTGGACCAGATCACTGTGGAGTCTGGGATCTTGTTTCCAGCTGGCCAATTTTTATTGAAAAAGGGTCTTGCAGGCCGGGCATGGTGGCTCAGGCCTGTAATCCCAGCACTTTGGGAGGCTGAGGCGGGTGGATTATTTGAGGTCAGGAGTTCAAGACCAGCCTGGCCAACATGGTGAAACTCGTTCTACTAAAAATACAAAAATTAGCCAAGTGGTAGTGGCATGCAACTCTAATCCCAGCTACTCAGGAGGCTTAGGCAGGAGAATTGCTTCAGCCTGGGAGTGGGGAGGTTGTGGTGAGCAGAGATGATGCCACTGCACTCCAGTCTGGGTGATAGAGTGAGACCCTGTTTCAAAAAAAAAAAAAAATAGATAAAAATGTTCTTGCAGATCTGAGTCAAAATAATTCAGAGTTCTTTTCTTGAATAAATATTTAGTTCTTCTGGGTCATTGCTCTAAATCAGTGGTTCTCAAGGCGGGACATTTTGCTCCCAGAGGACATTTGACAGTGTCTGGAGACAGCTGGTCACACTGGGACTGGGGGTGCTGCTGGCATTGAGTGAGTAGATGTCAGGGGCATTACTTAGAAAATACTTCAATGCACAGGACAATACCACACAATAAAGAATTACCCAGCCCCGAATGTTAATCATGCTGAGATTGAGAAAGTCTGGTTTAAACATCTCATGAAATAACAGGATTCAAATCATATCATATGCTGCTGGTATAAATACAGAATTCTGTGAGATTCTTCAAGTTCAGGAGAAGTGGGAGGAAGACTATATTTTGCTTTCAGGATCATCAGTCCTTAGTTATTTACAAGTGTTTCCATAAATAGATCAATAACCCAACAAACATTTACTGAGTATCCCAAGTGTGTGGCGTACTGGTTTATTGCATTATTATTTCTTTCTCTCTCCACCTCTGCTCCCCTCCACACCCCACCTCTGGGCCTTGTCACTGGACTTTTGCAATCTTACTGTACCATGGAACCTCTTCTAAGAATGAATAAAGGAAATTCACATCAGAAGGTAGACAACATGGAACTCAGGTGGAGGGGTGGGCGTTGGGCCACGTGGCTGTCTTTAGGCCAAGGAAATTTCCCAGACGGGCTTAGCAGGGAGCCTTTGGCGCCACCATCGTGGTCTGTTAGGGGATGAGGGGTGTCTGGGAAACCACAACACAGCATTCACCATGGCCTTTCCCATTCCATGATGGCTTATTTAACTGAAGCTCTATTCTTCCATTTTATAGGGAAAACCCAAACATGAATTGTTCCTAGTTATTCCCAGATATCAACTTCTCTTCTTTCTGATAGATGAATAACCAAAAGACATATTGTTTGAAAATTGTTGCTGTTTCCATTCTAATTAACAAGATCTTACTTCACAAGAAAATCAAGATTTAAAAAAACACACCTGGCAGGGCTGGGGCAGGGAAAGAAGGCAGGTGAGGATTGACATTGGCACAGCAAGATTCATGGGACTGCTTTAAAGAGCTCCATCCTCCAGCAGCCATGCTTTGCCGTAATTGCATTGCCATGTGCCCTTTGAGGAAGTCCACTTCTCGATTTCCACAACAGACTATATCATCCCTTCTGCCTTCTTCCAGTGTCTTCTAGATATGTAATGCATTTAGTTTGCACTTTAAAACTCAGAATGTCTGAAATTAGCAGAAAAGAATACGTCCATGTGGTTAACTTTGCCTAAACTTAATGAAAACCAGAATTCTTCCAGCACTGGCCCCCACCCTCCACACAGCTCCCTGTGTGGGCTTCTCCTGCAGAGCTCAGCCGCTCGTCGCTCTAGGACCCATTTATAATATTGCATCTCACCTTGGGGAATAATGTGTTCAGTTGGTAAGGGTGAGGGGTGGATGAAGAAGCATAATTCAGGGTGCACGATGCCTGCAAGGTCTGGATGCAACAAGAACACAGAAAAGATTATGTTGGTTTTATCCTCTCACTGCTGTTAGCTTAATTGTTGTTTATTTAGAGGATTAGGGCAGACAAAAAAAAAAAAAAAAAAAAAAGGACTGAGCACAGTGGCTCATGCCTATAATTCCAGCACTTTGGGAGGCTGAGGCAGGAGAATCCCCTGAGGTCAAGAGTTTGAGACCAGCCTGGCCAACATGGTGAAACCCCATCTCTACTAAAAATACAAAAATTAGCCGGGTATGGTGGAGGATGCCTGTAATCCCAGCTATTTGGGAGGCTGAGCCTGGAGAATTGCTTGAACCCAGGAGGGTGAGGCTGCAGTGACCAGAGATTGTGCCATTGCACTCCAGCCTAGGTGACAAGAGCAAAACTCCGTCGCGAAAAAAATAAATAAAAAATAAGACAAATACAAGTAGTTTGCAAAACAAGCCTGTCTGCAAGTGGTTCCCTCTATACCATATAGTTTTGCTCTTGCAGCTTCTCACAGGGGCTTCTGCTTGGGCTTAGGACAGAGTCTTGTAGTGACACAGGCAAAAATATTATAGGGAAATCATCGAAGCCCTTCCAAAAAATATCTTCCCCCATGGAGATGGAAGGACAGCCGGGCGATTTTGCTTTATGACACTTTTGAAGGTGCTTGAGTTCTCACTTTCAAGCAGGGATCTCAATTCTGAGCGTCTGAGTTCAGGTCCTATACTTTCTGGTTAATTTACCAATCTTGTGTTGACACAGGCGAATCTGGAAACTGGAGAGGACATTTGCAAAATATTTTGAGAAAGTCACTCAAGAGGGTGGGGCACGAGCTCCCTAGCAAGGATAGA
Organism: Homo sapiens; assembly: GCF_000001405.40. NCBI lineage: Eukaryota > Metazoa > Chordata > Mammalia > Primates > Hominidae > Homo > Homo sapiens. The sequence continues at coordinate 23,317,615 of NC_000020.11, read as the reverse complement.
AAAAGTTTCTGGGCTACTCTGACCTAGTTATAAATTTAAAATTATACCTTTCCCTTAAGGCAAACAACTCCTACAGCACAGGGTTGGCAGTTGGGAAGAGTGGAAACAATGAAGAAGGAGCCAGGAAACCCAAGCACCAGTCTTGCTTCCTGCCAACTCATAGGTTTGTTCCTCCCCGCTTTCATTCAGTTGTTAAATTCATTTGCTGAGCACTTTGGAGGGGTGGAGTGGAAGAAAGCCATGGGAAAGTTGCACAAACATAGAGCATCTTGGTTTTCCCACATGGGATCTTTTGGCCTTTGACATGCACATTAGATCCTCCTCACCACCCGTGCATGGCCACCCAGGTGCCTGGCGCCAGGGCTGACTTCCCAGCACATGGTATGTGCAGTCGCACAGGGCTCAGAAGGGCCCCATGCTAGGTTAATGCTTTGTGGTCATCGTCTTGAGATTCTTAGTCAGTTTTGAACAAGGGAACCTGCATTTTCATTTTGCACTGGGCCCTGCAGATTAAGTGACTTGTTCTGTCTGGAACTTTGGTTTTTTACTCAAAGGAGGAAAGAACAATGTGACTGTGCATGGTGGCCCTTAGAGAAGATGGAAGGACATTTGAACGCAGTGCTGTGGACAGGGTCTGGGCAAGGCAGAGTTGGAAGAATGGGCCTTAAGAAAAGAACCCCATGAGGCATCTGGATGAAGGCCAAGTTGCCTTGGGCCCAAGGGACCACATACATGATAGAAGAACCCCTCACCCTGCACAGAGCCCAGCCCTGCCTCAACATCCAAATAGCTGGGAGAGCTCAGGATGTGGAGCGTGGTGTGCCTGTGACAGGCACAAGTGGCAGGTGGTTTGTGGGCAGCAGAAGTTAACAAGGAACAGCCACTGAGGGGACAGGGAGCATGGTGGACACTCTGTGCTGGCTGCTGAATAGTCTGTGGACTCAGGTATGGTTGCCATCTGGGAGCGGAGTGGGGATTGGAACCATTTTATTTGCGCATTGGGATAATTTGTACTGTGAGAGTTTAGTAGCCCAGAGATATCTGGGGGACAGGTAAACAGGAGTCCGGGGTCCTCTGGCTCAGGGTTGCTGTGAAGCTTAGGAACCTCAGTGTTACCTTCATTAGGGCACAGCCTGTGGTTGACTAGGTGCTCAGTAAGCAGTAGTAGTCACAGTGACTACTCTGCAAAACATGCCATGATTCTATAAAGCTGGAGGTAGAACACAGAGAAGCTGGGATTCTCTGCTGCTAAATAGAACATAAGACTGGGTGGGCCTTCAAAGTCACAAAGTCCACATGCTTCCATATCTGGAAGGAACTAAGCCCATAGCTGAGTAGTGTCATTCCCTGGATCCTGGGGCAGGAAAAAATATTTCGACTTCCTGACTCCCAAAGGAGCACTACTTCCCCAAGACCAGACTAGGACATCCCTAGGTGGTGTAAGGTCTGGAAGCCCAGTGATGTCTGGTGCAAGAGAGCTGATGGAAACTGAGGGAGGCTGGCAGGGAGTGGCTCTGCTGGGTCCTCCTGATACCTTGCACTGGTGAGTCTTGTACATCTCTCAGGTCTCAGTGTAGATGTTATTAAACAGCAGAGGCTTCTTGGAACCTCTCAGCCACATTAGGGGTGCATGATATACCCAGAGGAACATGTAAGACTGGTTGCCAAACTGTGCATTGATTCTGTGAGCTCTTAGACAGCTTTCTATTGAAATTTCCCTTTTGGCCTGCCTTAGCCAGCTTCAGACTCTGTTGCTTGCAAACAAGGTCCCTGACTGTTCCAGGTACCCTGGATTGGTCTGTGAGGACAGGGGAAATGAATGAGGGTGGATGTGTCGGGGATACACAGGAATGATCTCAGCAGGAGGAGCCTGCAGCCAGAGTGCATTGAAATCTTGCCAGGTGATGGTGGGACCAAAATGAACGAGACAACAGCTCTTCATGACTTGCCAGAATATTGTTGAATTCAGTGTGCTTGTTTAGAAAGTGGGGCGAATGTCCCTGCTTGGGCAGGACTGGCTGATGGGAAAGGGCACGGAGATGGGACTGAAGCTGGTTCTCACCTGGTGTACATGGCTCTCCATGTGTGCTCATGTTCTCAGGAGGGGTATATTTTGTGCTGATCAAAACTCTGTGTCTTGAGCAATTTCCCTCGTGGCCCCATTTTGGAGATGGAGCATGAAAACGCTGGACTCCAGAGAGCAATCCTGCAGAGACAGGAGTTTTGGTCTGCCAAGAACAGCATGTTTGTTTGGATCAGCCAGGGTGTGGAGGAGCCTTGGGTGACCCGACGCTCTCTTTGAATGGGAATGAAACTGACCTTCAGCCCAAAGTGAGACCAGAAAAACACGTTTTCTCATAGTTCTATTCACTGAACCGGCGGCTGATGCATTGACACATGCCGGCTGGGGTTGTACTCCCTGGATGCATGCTTGTTTGTAATTGTATTTCTGAGTGAAAAAGCATTTCTAGTGAAGGCCATAGGGAGACATGCCGATGGTCATTTCCCCAGGAATTTGAAGGAAACACCTTAATGAGACATAGCAAATGTGCAGCTTTGACACGGGAGCCAGGCATCCCTCCCATGTGTAGCAGCCTGTCCCCTTGATCATCAGAGGATCTCTTGGGGAATATCTCCCTTCCTTTCAACCTTTAGCAGAGGCCTAAATGTTGCACATCCTGAGGTTCCTTTGTGCTTTTCCTGGCACTGTGACACATGCTTATAGTGAAATGGTTCCCAGCGAAGCCTCTTAGGGCTACACCCCTCTGCGACGTGAAGTTGCTGTTCTTCCCAGCAAGAAGTGAAGCCTCTAATTTGGATTAGCCCTGGGAATTGCTTTGACCAGCAGACTGGAGGAATGACATTCTAGTTCTGGTCTCGAGAACTCCCATTCTCACTCTCTTGGAGCCTGAGACCTCCATGATAGGTGGAAGTATGGTGCAGCCTGTGGGAAGAAGACTGAGACATTCCAGCCAGCAGCCACCACCAGTGCCAACCAGACGTGGGGGCAAGGTCATCCTGGGCTGTCCAGCCCAGCCCAGCCCAGCCATCAGCTGAAGATAGCCACAGCAGCAAACCCTGACTAGTACAGGAGAATTGCCTAGGCAACCCACAGAACTGTGATATATATAGTACATTGTTATTTTAAGCCACAAGCATTGGGTTGGTTTGTTACACAGCAATAGATAACTGAAACAGACAGACACTAGACCAACTTATTGAGAGTGGCTGAAAGGTTCTCTGGGGCTATTTCTTCTACTTTGACAGCAGCATCAACTACTCTGTATTGAGAGTAAGTAAATAAATGACAATCTAAGTTTAACTGCTGTTGCCCGGACACAGTGGCTCACATCTGTAATTCCAGCACTTTGGGAGGCTGAGGCAGGAGGATCTCTTGAGGTCTCATACCAGCTTGGACAACATAACAAGGCCCTGTCTCTAAAAAAAATTAGCTGGGAGCAATGGCGTGTACCTATAGTTCTAGCTACTTGGGAGGCTGAGGCAGGAGAGTCAGTTGAGCCCAGGAGTTCGAGGCCGCAATGAGTTATGATCACACCACTGTACTCCAGCCTGGGTGACAAAATGAGAGCTTGTCTCAGAAAGTAAAATAAATAATTAAATAAAGCTTCAATTACTCACTCCATGAAATTCACTCTCTATATAAAAACTTGAAGGATATATATATATATAAAAAATGTATAGATATCAAATATATTTATATATATTTATGTATCAAATATATATATATCAAATATATTTATATATATATTTGAACTCCTTAGCTCTACACCAAAAATCTAATTCCTTCTACATGTTATTTCAGTGTCAAAGATTATTATTGTTATTATTTGTTCTGAAGATATGGCCCTGAATCTACCAGAGTCAGTTTTTAAAATGTCCTCATACCAAGTATTTAGGGGTGACATATCACGATGTCTGGGGTACGCTTCACATATTTAACAATTATAAAAATTCTTTATTCCATATTCCAATGTCATCACAGTCAGTATAATCATTTTTTAAGTGTTTATGACATCTGACAAACATGGTGAAAGTTTCAGCATTGCTATTTGTCGTCCACTCCCTTGCTCTGTGCTCTCTGCTTTCTGGAAGTGTGTTCCCTGTGAATCTGCCATTGGCTGGAATTCAGGAGGAATGAAGGGAAAGACAGAGTTGGGGAAGGAACTCAGCCAACAATGATTTGTAAGTTTCCCATTTTATTTTATGCATGCAGTGGGGGTTTAAGGAGATAAAGGAAGTCCTGGCCTTCAAGGTCTGCTTGATTGTTGTACCTGAGGGGTGATGATGGCATCTTCCTCATCTTTGTGTCCTCAATACCTGGCCCTGGGCCTGGGCTAGGATTGTCTCCAAAAGATGTTTGGTGGTGGGGGTTAGTGGTGAAGGAAAGAGCTTTCCAGGTCTTTGGGAAGATGGGGCATAACCAAATAAAAGCATGTCTTCATTGAGTGCTCTACAAAGAGAAGGTGCCATACACTATGGCCACCGAGTTCCTATAAAAGGTATGTTTCCAGCACTGACCATTCCCTTGCCTGGCCTCCTGTGGGCAGAGCTCTGCATTTAAACATGTTAGATGCCAAGCCTTGGACAAAGAGCATAGGCCAGTCTACTGAATCCCGTCACCCTCCAGCACTGACATTCTTGGCCTTTGCCCAGAATGAAGCTCCTCCAGTCATCCATCCCCCCCGAGAGCTCTCTCTGCCTCTTCTGCTGCTACCTTCACTCACTCCTCCACTTACCCATCTGGTGAAGCCCTGGGAACACCTCCATCACAGTCCTATCCTGCCATTTTGGGATCTTTTGCTTATTTTTCTGCCTTCTTCACTTACCAGCAATCCTGATCATGGAGATCAGGATTGTGTCTTGGTCATTTCTATTTCTTGGGATCCAGTTTAGTGTTTGGCTGAAGATGGGTGCTCAAGATGTTTTTAAAGTAAATGAACAGGGCAATCTTTGAAAGAACAATCTGATTCCCTGTCTTTGATAGACAGGATGTGGGGACACTAAAATAGTCTGTGTCTGTCATTAATTGTATTTCTAAAAAGTAAAGACAGATAAGCCTATATCCTTTTTTCCAAGGATCATTTTGGGAACCTGACAATATTTTACAAAGAACTTTCTGATTTATCTTTCTCTGCTTGCCTCATCGTCCAGGACAAACACAAAGAAAATCACTTAGGTTTCCAGAGCTTCATCAGTCAAAGCAATGAACCAAGATGTTGTTAGCTGAGAACCCTGGTGACAAAGGTTACCAGGTTGCTGTTAGTGCAGTAACATCTATGGCTGTCCTTACACCAGGAATGCTTTTATTTGAGGCAGCCTCCAGTGTGGGAAATACTGACAGCTCCTTCTTGCCTTACCACTCCTAGGAATAAAGACAGCTGTTACCTCAAACACCTCCTAACGCACAAAATGACAGCCGTCTGAGTTGACTTGATTTGTCAGCTCTTTATCAGAAGGTCGCAGACAGAGTGCACAAGTCAGAGTGACGCCTCCTCCCCTGAGTCCCTGGAGAAAGGGCAGCTCTTTTCCTGTGATTAACAAGTCTCTACATTTTTGTCCTGTTTATCAATGTCCCTGAGAGGTCGCACACAATAGAAAACATTGATGACAACGTTTTTCATCCTTTTTCATCTTCTGGGGTTCAGGATTACAAGGAAAACTCTGCACTGTCCTTGGTGTTGCTCATGACATACACATATTCACTCTTTCACTCGCTTGTTCAACAGATAGTAACTGGGCATCGACTTACTGCCAGGTGTGTACTTTTGAATGTGAAATACAGCAATAAACAAGAGTCATGGCCCTGCCCTTGGGTGGCAAAACAGATAACACACACGCTCACACACACACACACAAACACAGAAGATGATAAAGAAATTTGGGGCACATTGTATGTTATGAAGGGAACAGAACCTAGAACCCTGCATGATCTATTTATAAATAAAGGAATTGCAAAGAAGGAGTGACTAGCAAGTAAGAAAGGGAAGACTGGGTGTAGACAGGATTGTCAAGAGAAGGCCTCTAAGAGTAGGCTTTTAGCCAAGTCCGTGAAGATCGGGGGAAAGATCATTGTAGGCAAAGAGAATAGCTAATGCAAAGGCCCTGTGGTAGACTAGATTTGGGAGTGTTCAAGGAGCAGAAGGAGGACCCCATGGCTGGTGCACAAGGTTGGTGGGAAGGCATTCCTGCCACAGAGTGGCATAGGATGAGGCTGGAGGAGCCTCTGGAGACAGGTCACGCCTAGCCTGGTGTGGCAAGGAACAGGGAGGAATGCTGTTCATACCTAATGGGAGCTGTCAAAATAGTTGCAGGTGCAGCAGTGATGTAATGCATGCACATTAAAGGGCACCCCCCTCCCCGGGCTCTGTGGGAAATGGGTTGGAGAGCTGGAGTGGGAGGGGAGGGGGACAGGGCGGGTGGTGGTGGGTAGGAATGGATGGGCGCAATCTGAAGCACTTGAAGAGAGGTCGTGGTGGTCAGGGAAGGTGACAGGAGTGAAAAACGGAGCAAAGGGGCCATGGGTGAGATGCATTTTGGGGATTTCATAATCTGGCATTGCTGTTGGGGTGAGGAAAGGGAGGAACCGCCTTTCCTGCCTTGACCTACCGTGTGTGGAGGAAACCAGAGCACATGTGAGCCCTTCTGTGTATAAAGTTCATGAGGCATCCACATGGGGTAAACCCTGGAAAATCAAAACTGGAGCTGAGGGGAGAAATGGGTCTGGATTTATAACAGGGAGTCATTAGGCTTATAGGGTTATTTGAGTTTATGGGAATGGGTGAACGTGTCTATAGTGAGAACTTCCACGGGTAAGAAAAGAGCATTTAGGGCGAGAGAGAAGTGGAGAGCAGGCCAGACTCTGATGGGATAGCCAGGGCCAGGGAAGGGGCACAGCCCCAGAGAAGCTGTGGGTGGGTGTGAGTCCCCGAGGCCAGTGGAACCCTCGGCTTACCAGCAACTGGGGGCAGCAGAGGCAGCCAGGCCTAAGGGTAGAGCCAGCCCCTGTTTCTACTTTTTTGGGGTGAAATAGGAGCAAAGGTCGTGAGCAGGGGTAGGACCAAGTATGGGGGGAAGATGAGGAATGCACAGTCCTAGGCCTGGAGGGAGAGTCCGGCCCAGGGCAGGTGGGATGCACCCATGTCGTGGGGGCTGGTGGGCTCCCTGCAGGGTCTTGCAACCCAGGCTGGTGCAGGAGGGACTGTTGCAGGGTGAGGAAGTGGGGGTGGGGTGGGATGGTGTCTGGGTGAAGCTCTGGATGGATAGCAGGAGGTGTCAGAGTGGATGAGCTGAAGGAGAAAGGAGGTAGTGGCTGCAGACAGGTGTGAAATTAGAATTTAGATGCTGTCAAATGTCATGTTCACATGTATTTCTGGGGTGAAGATGATCCCAATTAATGAATTCTTTCTAGCAGTCACTTTGTTATCTCTGTGATTATTCACAGTGCGTCTTTGTGCGGAGGCTGCGGCTCCTGGGTTGACTCGTCTGAAATGTCACCTCTAATTGGGAAGCCACATCTCTCACAGATGGCCAGGCTGTACGCAACTCTTGGCTGCTGGATCTGTGGCCTTGCAGAGACGGCTGAAGCAGGAACACCTGGCGGCGATGACTGCAGATGGGTCCACAGGAACTGGTAGCAGAAACAAGAGAGCAGCCTTACCAGGCATGAGAAGTGGGGCCTTCCGTGAGAGAGTGAGCAGGAGAGACAGGCAGAGCATGAGAAGCTGGCGGGTGGCCTGGGCAGAGGTGAGGGGGCAGGAGAAGGAGGGTGTGGAGCTTTGACCCACTGGCATATCATCTCCATCTCCACTTGGATTGGTTGTCCTTTACTGCATAACATATGTCCTCTAAACATGGGGGCTTCCAACTACAGTGATCATTTTACTATCTCCCACAGTTTCTCTGGGTCAGAAGTTCAGACATGGCACAGTGGGATGGCTTGCTTTTGCTCCATCATGGGCCTCAGCTGGAAGATGTGAAGGTCATAGACTGGAATCTCTGAAGACTCATCTAGCCACAAGCCTACAGGGTGCTGGCTCCAGCTGGGACACCACATGAGCCTCTCCATGTGGACTGGGCTTCTTTATAACATGGTGGCCGGTTCCATGGGCAAGCATGGAGGAGCGGGGGAGAGAGATAGAAAGGGAGATGGAGGAGCAGGAAGAGGGAGACAGGGGGAGAGAGGGAGAGATGAAGAGAGAGAGGAAGGCAGGGGAGGAGGAGGGTGAGAGGGAGGGAGACAGAGAGGAGGGAGACAGAGAGGAGGGAGTGGGGGAAGGGGAGGAGGAGGGAGACAGGAGGGAGTGGGGGAAGGGGAGGAGGAGGGAGACAGAGAGGAGGGAGTGGGGGAAGGGGAGGAGGAGGGAGACACAGAGGAGGGAATGGGGGAAGGGGAGGAGGAGGGCGAGAGGGAGGGAGACACTGGTGGCCTCTGACCCCTTTTGTTGTCTTGCTCAGTTGAGAAGTCACACAGCATTGTGTCCATCCTGGGGGCATCAAGAGCCCGCATTTTCAGGGGCGGGGGTGTAGACCAACCCTGGGTGGGAGGAACATTGGTCACATCAGAGAAGAGCTTCAGGACAGGACTGCTATGGCCACCGTTGAAACAGGGTCTCTGTCACACCCTCTCAACTCTACAGAGCCACACCCCAATTGACTTTATTTATTGACCCACTTCATTCTCAGAACCTGGTAATCTCAGATCTTCTGGGAGACTGACAGAATCTTTCACAAGCATTGTAGATGCTCATCATTCAACCACAGAGGAAAGGCCTCTGAGATCTTGCAGGGGAGGGTGGTGAGGTAGTTGTGACACTGAGGAACACTGGAACACTGTGCAAAACTCAGGAATCGATGGATTGTGCACGACCAGAAGAGTGGGGAGATTTTGGCTCAGAGTGAGTTGGGATGGCTTCAGCACTTCTTCATTCACTTTCTGATGCCCTGGCACCTCAGTTTCTCTCTCTGCCATTTGCTCTCTCTTTCTGGTAATAGTAATGCTGTACAGAATTAGATCACGCAGGCAACAAGGGGCATGGCAGGTGTGTGTGCGCAGTTGCGGGGATGGTGCCGACTACTGTCGATATCATGGCTGTGACGCACCAAATGAAAACTAATCCGGTCTTAGTAAGGAGAGACGTTATTGGAAAAGATTCTTGCATGGGGAAGAGGGCTATTGCCACAGGAAGGAGATCACTCCAACTGTGGGGTCTGCCAGCGTCACAAGGGTGAGGCAAAGAGGGCGTTTCTTTTATGAAGGGGAGCCAACAAGGCCAGAAAGAACCAAGTGGGGAAAGTGGCTTGAAGGAGTGGAGATGGCATGATTGAGACCAGACGGTACATCCCAGAGTGTTCTCAGGAGGGGCTGTGCACTGGCTCAGAAGGAGAGATGTTTTGCCACAGTGTGGTTAGCCAGCATTTTGTTCCAATTGATCAGTGGGACAGGAAGTTCAGTGCATCACTTATGACTCAAGGAAAGGGAGTTTGAGGGTCTGTATCTGACCTTATCATAGGTAAATGGGGGTGGGCAACTGTGACTCTTATCTAAGTCATATGAGGGGTTTTTTCAGTGTTCTCAGAACATAAAAGGTGGGGCGATTTCTTAACCTTCGCTGTTTTCTTTTTTTTTTTTTAGCTCTAATTTTTTTCTTTTTATTTATTTTTATTTATTATTATTTTTTAAATTAACCTTTAAGCTTTAGGGTACATGTGCACAACGTGCAGGTTTGTTACATATGTATACATGTGCCATGTTGGTATGCTGCACCCATTAACTCGTCATTTAACATTAGGTATATCTCCTAATGTTATCCCTCCCGCTTCCCCCCACCACACAACAGGCCCCGGTGTGTGATGCTCCCCTTCCTGTGTCCATGTGTTCTCATTCTTCAATTCCCACCTATGAGTGAGAACATGTGGTGTTTGGATTTTTGTCCTTGCAATAGTTTGCTGAGAATGATGGTTTCCAGATTCATACATGTCCCTCCAAAGACATGAACTCATCATTTTTTATGGCTGCATAGTATTCCATGGTGTATATGTGCCACATTTTCTTAATCCAGTCTATCATTGTTGGACATTTGGGTTGGTTCCAAGTCTTTGCTATTGTGAATAGTGCCGCAATAAACATACGTGTGAATGTGTCTTTATAGCAGCATGATTTATAATCCTTTGGGTATATACCCAGTAATGGGATGGCTGGGTCAAATGGTATTTCTAGTTCTAGATCCCTGAGGAATCCCCACACTGACTTCCACAATGGTTGAACTAGTTTACAGTCCCACCAACAGTGTAAAAGTGTTCCTATTTCTCCGCATCCTCTCCAGCACCTGTTGTTTCCTGACGTTTTAATGATCGCTATTCTAACTGGTGTGAGATGGTATCTCATTGTGGTTTTGATTTGTATTTCTCTGATGGCCAGTGATGATGAGCATTTTTTCATGTGTCTTTTGGCTGCATAAATGTCTTCTTTTGAGAAGTGTCCATTCATATCCTTCACCCACTTTTTGATGGGGTTGTTTGTTTTTTTCTTGTAAATTTGTTTGAGTTCTTTGTAGATTCTGGATATTAGCCCTTTGTCAGATGAGTAGATTGCAAAAATTTTCTCCCATTCTGTAGGTTGTCTGTTCACTCTGATGGTAGTTTCTTTTGCTGTGCAGAAGCTCTTTAGTTTAATTAGATCCCATTTGTCAATTTTGGCTTTTGTTGCCATTGCTTTTGGTGTTTCAGACATGAAGTCCTTGCCCATGCCTATGTCCTGAATGGTATTGCCTAGGCTTTCTTCTAGGGTTTTTATGGTTTTAGGTCTAACGTTTAAGTCTTTAATCCATCTTGAATTAATTTTTGTATAAGGTGTAAGGAAGGGATCCAGTTTCAGCTTTCTACATATGGCTAGCCAGTTTTCCCAGCACCATTTATTAAATAGGGAATCCTTTCCCCATTTCTTGTTTTTGTCAGGTTTGTCAAAGATCAGATAGTTGTAGATGTGTGGCATTATTTCTGAGGGCTCTGTTCTGTTCCATTGGTCTATATCTCTGTTTTGGTACCAGTACCATGTTGTTTTGGTTACTGTAGCCTTGTAGTATAGTTTGAAGTCAGGTAGCGTGATGCCTCCAGCTTTGTTCTTTTGGCTTAGGATTGACTTGGCAATGCAGGCTCTTTTTTGGTTCCATATGAACTTTAAAGTAGTTTTTTCCAATTCTGTGAAGAAAGTCATTAACCTTTGCTGTTTTCTAAGATTGCAGTGTTCCTGTGAAGTTTAGCCTTGTCGTGTGGTTCCAAAGGACAGGCGTGTATGAGATACCACCTTGACACCCACTTAGAGCAAGGCTGGGCCTGAGAATGTGGTGGCGAGTGAAGCCTGCCTGTCCTCCACTCAGCATCATGGGGAGTGGGTTCTCCACCCTGCAGGCATTCAGTGCAGGCTGGGCAATCTCTATGAAGGCCTGTGGCTTAAAGGTCCAGCTGTTGCCAGGAGCTCTGGGCTCCCTGAGGTCTCCGAGTCGGCTGTTTCTGTCTCTGCAGCATCCCAGGTGAGCTGGTGTATGTGCTGCCGGAGTAGGGAAGGCTTGAGTTCCTCCTCGCTTCTGGTCATTGGCTCCTAGGAATTCAATGTTACTCTCAGAATGGGAGTAAATAACTGAGGAGATGTGTTTTTTCCTTCGGCAGCAGATGTATGTCTGGAAAACAACTGTCTGAGATTTTCATTAAAAATCAAAGCCTGTTGTCATTTTTGAGACTTTATTTCATGCTGTGATATAGTATTGGAATAAAAAGCTTGCCGTAATTTAATCCCCCAATTCTCCTGCGTAAGAGTCACATAGTCTGGGGCACTACACTTCTGATCCAAGGCACTGCTGATAAAGGGGAACCTCATTCCTATCCCTGTGAGGGGCTCCCTGGCTTTTATGTGAGCAAGCTACAGCATTATGTTTGGACCAGTGCATCAGTTAAGCTGCTACTGCGGATAAAAATCCAGGCTTTGTGCATCACATGGAGATCCCATTAAAAACACAATGGATAAGCAATCAGCTCCCTTGAGACTCCTTGGGTGAATTTGGATTTTTGTATATTTCATCTTTTGTACATTATAACTCAATGATGGTGACTGTCCTTGGGCTCTGGTTCTGGTTTGAAAGCACAGAGTTGGGCATACAGTGCTGTGTGCACCGTTCCCAGAGGTCTGCAAACTTGGCATGAAAGAGGCTCCTAGGTTGGCTGGAAACTTATCTCAGCCACACACAGTTTGTGGAAGGAGGCAGGCTCTGGCAGTCCCTGCCTGCTGGAATGAGTAACTGTGAACAAGAAGTTCATAGAGTTCTGTGGTTTGGTAGATATTTTCAGTTGGCCAAGTGTTTCCACCCAAGACAGCATGAGTAGAGAGCAGACAGTGATGACTTCAGGGCCTTGTCAGTGGCACACCCTCAGCAACAGCTAGTTCTGGCTGCGGTTAGTGTCTTGAGAGGAGAGTGTCGGTGGGAGATAGATGCTTCATCTTGAGGCCTGTAGCATGAGCCCAGAGAGGGATGGAGGGAATCTCAAGGCTGAAATCTGAAAGTAAATTCTAGGGGAATCACAGGTAAGGCTCCAGATGAGAACAGCAGCAAAGGAGATGCCCAGAATCACACCTGTGGTCTTAAAGAAGGGAGATGGGATGCTGCCGGGAATGTGGGATGCTGTCGGGGAGGCAGGATGCTCTTGAGAATGTGGGATGCTGTTGGGGAGGCAGGATGCTGGTGGGGAGGCAGGCAAGGCGGGATGCCATTGGGAAGGCGGGATGCCGTCGGGGAGGCGGGATGCCGTCGGGGAGGGTGGATGCCGTCGGGGAGGCGGGATGCTGTCAGGGAGGCGGGATGCCATTGGGGAGGTGGGATGCTGTCGGGGAGGTGGGATGCTGTTGGGGAAGCGAGATGATTTTGCAGAGGCAGGATGCTGTTGGGGAGGCGGGATGCTTTTCTCACTCTGGCTGTCCCTGTACACCAGGGCACTGTCTCTGCCCAGTGCTCCTGCAGACTGCCTTCCCCATGAGGCACAGTCAGTGCGAAGAACAGGGGGAGCAGGCCAGCAGGGAGAGGGGACAGTGTGGCCCTTCTTTCCCTGCCTCAGACCCTGGGGGACAGCACCTGCACCCACATGGCCCCACCTCTCTAGGCTGCAGTAACGCCAAGCAGCCCTGCCCTGCAGCGTAAGGCTTTGACAGCTCCCAGGCATTGCCCATCCCGGGTGCTCGTCATCCTGGTTGTCTCTTTCACACCTGGAAAAGTGCCCCTCCATTAAAGGTTCCCATCTGAACCCTCTGAGTAGAAATCTGTTTTCTGCCAGCATCACAATGATACAGTAAGAAATAACTTTAGGCCAGGCACGGTGGCTCACGCCTGTAATCCCAGCACTTTGGGAGGCTGAAGCAGGCAGATCACTTGAAGATAGGAGTTCGAGACCAACCTGGCCAATATAGTGAAACCCCGTCTCTACTAAAAATACAAAAATTAGCCGGGTGTGGTGGCACGTGCCTGTAATCCCAGGCACTCGGGAGGCTGAGTCACAAGAATTGCTTGAACCCAGAAGGCAGAGGTTGCAGTGAGCTGAGACTGCACCACTGCAATCCAGCCTGGGTGACAGAGCAAGACTCCATCTGAAAAAAAGAAGAAAGAAAGAAAGAAAGAGAGAGAGAGAGAGAGAAAGCAAGCAAGCAAGAAAGAAAGAAAGAAAAAGAAAGAGAGAGAGAGAGAAAGAAGGAAGGAAGGGAGAGAGAAAGAGAGAGGGAAAGAAAGAAAGAGTGAGAAAGAAAGAAAGAAAACTTTAAATCACATCAAAGCAGAACAGGCTTCCTGGTGAGTTTCTTATCATTAGAGAAGCTCAAGGTAAATTTGGATGATGCATTGGTTCAAGAGGCAGATGCCAAGATGAAATGTGACTTGTGGAAGGTCTGCTGGGGAACCATGCTGTGTAGCCTGACCCTGGGACAAGGAGAGGGTGAAGGATGAGGGATGGGTAGGAAATGCTGAGAAATCCTCAGCCAGCCCCGCGGGGGGACCCTGGTGCACAGGCTGCTCACTGGTGGGGTGCTGCCTTGGGCAGATGGCTTGGCTGTAGTCCCCCACCATGCTCAGTCATATTGGGTGAGTGGGGCCTCAGTGTGAACGCCTCAGCAGAGCCAAAGGGGCTGAAGGCCTCCCACTGCTCTTCTGGAGAGAGAGAATGAGAGAGAGACAGACAGACAGAGAGAGAGAGAGAGAGAGAGAGAGAGAGAGAAAGAGAAAGAGAGAGTCTGAGCTCAAGTTAGGTTACGTAGAGGCTGCTCCCATCACTGCCTTCCTGGGTCAAACTTGTCCAGATCAGCTTTCCCATCACCAGTCATTTCTGCGCCAGGTGCACTAGAATGTGAGGCCCCTACCCACTCCCTGGAGAAGGACAACAGGTTCCTGATTGGTCACTGAATTCTTTGTCATTTGAAAACAAGTCAGATGTGCAGGCAGCCTGGCACATGCAGTGTATAATTTTGAGAATGCAGCCACAAGTCAGCACCTAGAAAGAAGTTTGGAAATGTTGATGCTCAGCTTCTGGGGCTTGTGTTGCAGAAGCCGGCAGAGAGGGCTCCTTGCCGGGGACCCTGGGGTCTTAGCAGCGACTCCTGCTCGGACTTGCGGAAGCACCCTGAGAAGCTATCGTCAGTCCCTTCTCCTTCAACCTCTCCATCATCGCCACACTGTACACACTACTTTCCTTCAACCTCTCCATCATCGCCACACTGTACACACTACTTTCCTTCAACCTCTCCATCATCGCCACCCTGTACACACTACTTTCCTTTATAAGGACTACTGGGAAGAGAGGTAGGAGGAAGTATCAGAGGTGCCGCAGGAATTTTGTCTCTCTGCTGTTGGCTGCCGCCCCTGTATTTGTTTAGCTCTCTGCAGTGTGCTTTCCCTACAACCCTGTCAGCAGGGAGAATGGGGGCTTTGATGTCTACTGGAAGACTGAGCCCCAGAGCCACATCCTCCCTAGCACATCACAGAGGCCCTGGCCCAGCAAGTCCTCACCCCAGCCCATTGGCTCCAAGACAAACAGGCCCTGGTGAGGCAGCACTGCCTGGATCTGTGATGCCCTGGTTCAGGACAAGCAGCTGGAGTAGGCGGGGGAATGGTGGTAGGGAGTGGGGGCGGGGGGCGGCAGGGAGGGGGAGGAGGTAAGCCCACCTCCCTACTCTCCACCGAGAACGCAGCATGAAGAGCACCTGTGCTCATGGATGCAACACGAGACTTCAGACTCAGGAAGTGCCCTCACGTTTGGTAGTGTTTTGTATGGAAATCCCTGATTCATGCTCATACTATTGAGAGTTTGGTCTCGGTGGCACATTATTTTTTGGAAATGGGGTCTCTCTCTGTCACTCATGCTGGAGTGCAGAGGTGCGATCATGGCTCACTGTAGTCTTGACTTCCTGGGCTCAAGTGATCCTCCCGCCTTGGCCTCCAAAGTAGCTGGGACCACAGGTGTGGGCCACCATGTCTAGCTCTGTGGCCCATTGTTAGTTAATGATGTTTCCATGTGGCTGCATTTTAGTTCATGGAATATATTCTACTGCGGTTCATGTCACTGGACCTTTCTCTTAAAATAGCTGCCCCTGTTTCTCTGTCCCCCTGGGGGACAGCCTCATATAGGTCCCAAATGCACAGACTCTCCTCATGGTAGGAGTAGATACCTTGGATCTCCTCTGACCTTGCTCTCCCTCCACGTCTCCTGCCAATAGGACACTTCCCAGCACAGATGCACACGTCGATGTAATGTCCATTTGTTAGTAGCTGCTTGCGGCTGATAAAGAGGGCTGAAAACCCTTTGCTGCTCTGTCCACTGAGAGGTGGTACCTCAGTCCCCTCCCCTTGAGTCTGGGCTGGCCATAGCGACCCACTTGACCAGCAGACTGCAGCAGAGAGATGTTGCAGGACTGCCAAGGTGGGCCAAGAAGCTTCACAGTCTCCACCCTGCTCCCTCTCCAGATGTTCCCTCTCGGGACGTTCACTCTTCCACCTGGCCACACTGTGAGTCGCTCAGTCCCATAGGGAGGCTGCGTGCAGGTCCTTGCTTCGGGAGCCCTGGCTGAGCTCCCACGGTGAGCCACATAAGAAAGACACTCAGCCAATCCACTAGGGCTGCCCTAAATGCTACCTGTTCTGGGTGGTTCAGACAATAGAAATGTATCATCTCTGGGGGCCGAAGTCCGAGATCCAGGTGCCGTGGAGCTGGCTCCTTCTGAGGGCTTGGAGAGAGTCTGTTCCATGCATCTCCCTGGCTTCTGGTGTTTGCCGCCGTCTTTGGTGTTCCTTGGTTTGTAGACACCACATCACTCCCACCTCTGCGTTCACCTTCACATGGCGTTCTGCTGTGTATGTCTCTGTGTTTACATTTGCCCTTTTTGGGTCTTTTCTGCTCGGAGACCCCTCTCTCTGGAGAGAGAGAGAGCTGTTTCTCTTTCTCTTCTCTTCTGCCTGTTAAACCTTCACTCCTAAACTCCTCGTGTGTGTTCGTGTCTGAAATTTTCCTGGTGCAAGACAATGAACCCCAAGGTATATACCCCAGACAATGTAGCTGCTTCATACTGGGGACCTCATCCGGGGTACCAAGGTACAATACTCATCGAAACAGTGAGTAGAGGGGCAGACTCCAACTCTGTCCTTGCATTTCGAGGCTCTCAGCCTCCATTTTAGAACCAAATCAAACCAAATACGGGGTCCCCTTCAGCCATTTAAAAACAATAGCATGGCTGCCAACCTTATAAGACTTGGGGGACAGGCTTATTGGGGAGAACATGGAGAAACTCCCAGCACCCAGGATTGCTGGGTATATAGGCCATGTTTGAGCCAGCTTTCTTTCACAGAGGACTTAGCTATTGTGTGGGGCTGAAAGAAGTCCTGGGGCAACTGAAGATTTCTGGCTGGGGCTACCTCCTACCGTTGTTATCCAAAGGCTTCTGGACTGACCCCCGCCTCCCACTGCCCGATGAGGTGTCGGCAACGGGATCTCCAAATTTTGTATCATAATTTCCTCCTGTCCTGTCAGCGGCCATCATATCTCTTATCCCCTCTGTGTATGCAGTGTGTGGGAAGTTTTACAGTTCAGGGAAGTGATCTTGTTTGGCAAGATCAGGGAATGTCATAGTAACCGGAGGTATAGCTCAAGGGAAGGCATCCTTGTGGTTTTCTAGGAACAGAAGGTCCTTGCCCCAAAATAAGATTAGGGTGGGGTGACCAGCCTTCCCCACATGCTATGTAAATGTCACACCTGATGGAACTAATCTGTGAGCCTTATGTAAATCAGACACCGCCTCCTCAAGCTGGACTACAAAATCTGGCGCATCTGCCAGCCGGTCTTTTCCACTTGGAAACCCCTCCTCTCTCTAGAGAGAGAGCTGTTTCTCTTTCTCTTCTCTTCTGCCTATTAAACCCCCACTCCTAAAAAAACCCACTATTCCCCTTTTTATTAGGACACCAGTGTATCAGGGCCCACCCTACTTAAGTATGACCCCATCTTAACTAATTATATCTGCAATAGCCCAATTTCCAAATAAGCTCACATTCTTAAATACTGAAGGTTAGGTCTTCAACATATGACTTTTTTGGGTGGTAGGCACACTTTGACCCATAACAGCCGTCTTGGGTGTTCAGCCTGGTGGTGCCTCCAGACAACTCCAGCTCCAGACACCATCTGATGGAGATCTCCTGAGAGCCCGTGAGTGAGAACCGCCCAGCTGAGCCCGGTCACCCCAGAGTTGCGGGAGTCGTTTTTCGCTACCAAGTTTGGGGTGGTGTTTACATTGCTGCAGATGACTGTGACCCTCCCTGGTTTTGAGAGAACAATTAAATATCAGGCTGAGGACATCAATTCTGAGTTTTTTAGGATGCCAAGGTCCAGTGTGGGTCAACTCCCATACATTTCAGCAGTGACACTTGACAGTGCTCTGACTGTGTAAGATTGAAAAAGAAGTTCCTGTGAGCAGCAGCTTATGTTACTGGGTGCTGTTATTTCTAACAACAGCAGCACTGTGCACATGGCTGGCAGCTCTGGTAGCTTCTTTCTTTTATCCCCTGACAGCCAGCCAGCTCCTGGGCTGCACATGAAATCCCATGGGCCCTGTGGTCAAGCAGACATGATCCCAGGCATGGCCTTGTGGTGGGGCTTGATTTCTTCTCTTCTCAGCCTATTGATTCTGACATCACCATTACCACCATCGTCAGCAGCAGCCTTACTGTCTATTTACTGCTCACCATGGGCAGTGCAGCCAGGCTGTGCCCCGGCCATCAAAGTAGGCCAAGGGATGGCTTGCTCTTTCTGCTTCGCAGATGTAGAGGCTGAGGCTCACCGGGGTTGAGTGTGACTGACTGAGACCACACAGCCTGTGGGCAGGGGAGCTGGGATTTGGACCAGTCTCACCTGCATGTGGGGCTAGCACTCTTGAATCAGAAACAAAGCAGGGTGGGCTGAGAGGAAGGGCACTGAGGGATGGAACATGGGGCTATGTCCTCCTAACTTCTCTGGTGACGACAGTCTCCTGGGCTGCTGTTGAACACGCAGGGCACAGGGTCTCCTCCTGGAAATCTTGCTTGGGCTGGTGGGGGCCTGGGGATCTGTTATTTGGAATTAGGGGATTCCAAATTGCAGACCTGGCTGTTGGAGGAGTTCTGTCCGTGCGTTCATCCTACCCCTCTGATCACAAAGCCTAGGTGGCCAGGGCTGGAGATTCTGTGAATTATCAAGACTGGCCTTTATGACTCCAGTAGGTTGTATGTTTAAGTACATTGTAAGCATTGTGTGTAATTTAGGGACGACTTATACACTTACATCAGGTGAATGAAAGGCAGTTGGCATTCAAGATAGGGCTTTGGTCATGAAAACGTGTCTGAGAAAGTGACAGAAACCATTTGAAACAGTGATCAGGCAGGTAGTTTTGATTCTGAGGACTGTGGCTTACACAGAAGGAAAGACACAGTGGGAGGGGCCAGTCTCCCCCAACTCCAGATTGTCAGTGGGTGCCCAGTAGTCATGAGGGAGGGAAGCACAGGGCAGAGCATGGGTCTTCTCACAGAGAGGAGAGCAGGAGCTCCCTGGAGCATGCCTGCTGAGGAGAGCAGGAGCTCCCTGGGGCATGCCTGCTGAGGAGAGCAGGAGCTCCCTGGGGCATGCCTGCTGAGGAGAGCAGGAGCTCCCTGGAGAATGCCTGCTGAGCTGCTTCCTGCTCATGGAATACCTGAGCTCTAGCTTTGTCATTTCCAGGGCGTGTGTCGCCCTGGCAGGGGAAGCATCCAGAAGTGCGGCCAACTGTCTGCTTGGAGCCCACATGTCTAACAGCTCCCTAGCGTTCTCTACATTGCATGTGACCACATCGTATTTCTCAGGGAGTTATCAAGTGGGTTTCGCTGCAGACTATTATTACTGTCTTTTTCCTGGCATGTGCTTCCAAAAGCTACCTACTCATAAAAGAATAAATTGTTCTTTCTCCAGAGCCTGGCTGGCCTCTGGATGCTGCTACCACTGCATCAATCTGGTGCCAAGGGACTCACCTCTGTGTCTGCGGCCTCAACACCTGAATCCTCCTTGCAAGGTCCAGGGAGCCTCCCCTTCCTAGGCTTTGCTGTGGGAGCCCAGCACTCCCTGCCTGTAGCCCCTGGGAGGCTCTATGTTTTTGTGTCCTATGAAATCTTCCATTTCTCCTGTGTTTTCTTCTAGCATGTAGCATCTTTTGATTCTAGCTTGTGTGTAGGGATGTGCATGTGCATGTGTGTGCCTGTGTGTGCACATATTTGTGCGTGCCTCTGTGTGTATGCCTGTGTGTATGTGCGTGTGTGTGTATTCGAGGCTGTCTCCCTAATCAGCATCAGACTGCCTTGAGGACAGCAGTCACAGCTCAGCCAGCTTTGTCTCCTCCGTATGCTGTAGTCCCCTGCACAGTGTGGCCTCCGTGACTACGGATGAGCCATGACCAGTGACAGGCCCCTGCGGAATGTGTCTTCGGCCATGCCGAGCTGGCTTGCCAGTCTTCTCAGCCCAGCACTGGAGAAATGGCTCTATTTTTCTGGCAGGCTTGCAGACCTTGCTCTTGTCTGTGTTCCCAGCTCATACCAGCCTCTCTCCAGTTCGCCTTAGAGTCAGGCAACCTCTCCAAGTGGAGAAGGCATTTCAGCTACTTCGTGTCCCTTCTCTGCAAGCGTCATGACCTTTCCAAGATTCTCTAGGGGTGATGTCAAATGCACGAGCATTTGGTACTTGAATCCTTCCACATGGGTGGTCCACCTTGTCCAGCCAGCATCCCCAAGTCTGTCTGTAATGGCGAGGGGGGAGTGTGTGTCTTGCACAGTCTCCCCTCTGCTTAGTTCAGTGGGTGTCTGAGCACTTACAACGATGCCAGCTCATTAGCCCCTGACTTAAACCCTCTAAGCCATCTATATTTGTTCACAGCAGGAAAAGGCATTCATTAAACACAGATGTGGCGGGTCCACACAGGCTGCTGTGTCCCATGTGTTTGTTCTCCTTGGAATTCCCTTGTCTGGTGGACACTTTGTTCTTTTGAAAAGTTTTCCTCTGAGGTTCTCTGCCATTGGGTTAGTAAACACTTGATTAACTCTCAGCCAAAGATAAACAGAAGCAGGAACGTACATGACGCTGTAGATGAAACCAGGCCTGGCTGTCTGAGGGGGCGCCTTCCACTGAGCCAGTGCAGGGATGGTCTGAGGGGCTCGGCTTGCACTCTAGGTGGGTGGAAGCATTTTTTTCCCCTGACCCTGGCCTTCCACAGTTCATTCCTTCCCCAGACTTCTCTTGTTCTATGCTAGCTAGAGGATATAGCATTTCCATGCAGATAGAAGTTGTCTATGTGGATGTTTTGCACAGCCCTTGGGTAGGATCAGCCTCCACAGGTGCCTTCAACAAAGACCAGTTCCGCCCTTCACCTGGGGGTGCGTAAGCATAGGGGGCTCCGTAAGCATAGGGGGCTCAGTGTTGTTAATAAAGACAGCAGAGTTAGGCTACAGATCCTGGCACAGCTGCAGCACCCCGTGGGGGCACACGGTGTGTGCTTTGATTTAGAATCTTTAAGGTGGAGAGCACCCCCCCAAAGATTAGAAGAGACACAGACAGAAATAAAGGTTTTATTACTTTTTTTTTTTTTTTTGAGACAGACAGTTTCGCTCTTGTTGCCCAGGCTGGAGTGCAATGGTGTGATCTCCACTCACCGCAACATCCACCTCCTGGGTTCAAGCGATTCTCATGCCTCAGCCTCCTGTGTAGCTGGAATTACAGGCATGTGCCACCATGGCTGGCTAAATTTTGTATTTTTAGTAGGGATAGGGTTTCGCCATATTGGCCAGGGTGGTCTCGAATTCCTGACCTCACAGTGATCCACCCACCTTGGCCTCCTAAAGTGCTGGGATTACAGGCGTAAGCCACTGTGCCTGGCCTCTAGGTTTTATTACTTATGGGCCCTGGGCATACACGGCACTGCTGGAGGCCACACACATGGGGGTCAGGAGCACAGCCAGTGGGGGAGGAGAGAGGGAGTTCTCTGGAGAACATACTGGGGGCTAGGGTGTAGGTCACTGTGAGTTTGTGGGAAAATGCCTAAATGGTGCATGTATAGGAAGCAGCAGAAAAGCGTGAGCCCCATCTGTTAGGTGGAAGAGATGTCTCTAAGTTCTTAGCTCTAGCCGCTGGCTTGAGCCATTTGGGCATGGTATAGAACTAGGGTGACTGAGCCCTGCCTCTAGCAGGAGAAAGCTAAGCCTGCATTCAAAGTGGGTGCCGAAGCATGGCAGGTTGCTGGCCACCACACGCAAAGGAACTCTTCACATTCATGGTGGCTTTACGTAAAGACACACAAGGAGTGGTTTGGTCTGCAACTGGCCTCGATGTTCTCAGATCTGGTATTTTGATAGACGTATCTGGAAGGATAGACAAGGAACAAGTTGCCCTTTTTCCCTCCAGGGAGCTAACTGGGTGGCTGGCAAGCTGGAAGGAGACTTAGTTTGCACTGTGTAGCTTTTTGAACTTTTTGAGCGTTATGCCATATAAATGTATCACCTATTAAAACATAAACAAAATAAAATTAAAAAGAAAATAAAGAAATTAGCCTTCTTCTCCATATTCAAGTTTCTGGGCATAAGACAGCCAAGCAGCCCTGAGGCCAGCAGGAGAGAGTTTCGGAAACCCTTCCTTTCCTGGTCTGTACTCACAGCACATGACACTATACCTCACACATAATAAGCAGCATCTCATCAATAGTGGTGGAATCTCCTTAAACTTGATATTGGCCTCAATTTCAGATGAGGCAGCTTTTTGTTTGTTTTAAAGAGATGACATTTAAAAAGGCAAATCATGCCTCTTTTGTGGGCTCTGTACATAATTTCAGAGAGACTTTAAGTCCCTCTGGTGCAAACCTCCTCAGCAGAAAGGTTACACCCTTTGACATCATGGGGAGAATGTCTTGTTGAATGTTTCTCTCTACATTCATTGACAGATACTCACGTCTGCTGGGCCCCACTCCAGGCCTCAGGTATACAGCAGTGACCAAAGCTGTGGCAGGCCCTCCCTCTCGGAGCGTCCACGTTAGTGGAGGTGGGGTGGAGAGACAGATGGCACATGCATGGATATCTACCGTGCCTGCAGGTGACGAAGGCTGTGGAGAAAGTACTGGTGGCCCAGGAGTCATAGAGGTTTGGGTGGCTGCTGTTTGGCAAGAGGTGGGCAGGAAAGGCCTCCTGGAGGGAGTCACATTTGAGAGCTGGAGGAAGTGGGGTAGCCCATCCTGGAGATCACTGTAGCCCGGCAAAGGACCCGAGGTAGAATCGTGCCCAAGCACGATCTGAAAACCAACAGAGGCTGATGTGGGATTGGAGGGGGAAGGAGAGAGCAAGGAGGTGAAGCAGAGGGTCAACGGGGCCACATCTTTTGGCAAGGACTGAGGCTTCTCCTTGGAGGGACAAATGGCACCCTTGCAGGCTCTGAGTGGGGAGTAACAGGATCCAACTGAAGTGTAAGAGGATGGTCCAGACGGCTGGGAGGAATTAGACTTCTCAAGTTTGGGACCAGTCAGGAGGCACTGAGAGCCCTGGCAGGTGAGGGTGGGGCTGGTGAAGGCATCCGGTGTGGGGCTCCAGAGAAAGAAGATTCAAGATTGCTCCAAGCTTCAGCGATGATGAAATTGCCATTCACTGAGTTGTAGGCGATTGTAGGGCAGCTGCAGTGGTGGGATGGGGAGGAGTCAGGTCCCGCCCCACTTGGTGAGTCTGAGCTGCTGGAAGGCACCTGAGTGGGGCTAGAGCAGGCTTCAAAACCAGCAAGGAGGGGACGGCAGGGCACAGTGCCCCAGGCTGCTTTATTCCTTGGACACCATCTATTCCTCCTTTCCCATACTCCCTGGACATTGGCCAAAGAGCCACCTAGCTTTTTTGGTAAGTCACAGCTAACTCTAACTGTGGGTCAGGAACAAGTTGCATGGAGGAGAAATGTGCTGAAGATGCAGTAAAAGATCCTGACAAGCATTTCCCTCTCATCATTCAGAGACAGGAGGTCAAGTGGCTGGGCTAAGCACACTAGTGTGTTTCCAGAGTGCCCCAGATTGTTTGGATGGGTTGTCACTTTCATGTCAGTGTCCGTTCCCCGGCCTTAGGAACAGATGGCTTCCTTAGCTAAACAATAGTGTGCAGCAGAGCTTAGTGAGCTGTGCTGTGTCTTGCCAAGGACTTTCTGGAATTGGGTGTTTCAGAAGGTCATGTGTCACTGGCCCTCCGTTCCCAGTCCAAATTACGTTCCCTTAATGCTGAGCAAGAGAACTGAAGCAGGGCGTACTCTGTGCTTTCCTTTTCCATGCTTCTCGGAGTTCCTGGCAACACTTGCTTGAGCCCTGGTAGAAGCTGGGAGGATCAACAGCAACCTGACTGCTCTCCATCTGTGGAGGTAGACAAGCTGCCTGCTATCGAAGAACCTGTTGGCAGGAAGGTTCCTGATCTTCTTGGATGGGGGATCCATGTTGGCTAATTCCAGTGCTCTTGTCTGGGAAGAGGCCTAGGAGAAGCTTCCAGACATGTTCCTCCATTCATACAAAACTCATTCTAGAATCTCATTGCACCAGAGTATAAGCCAAAGGGTTTGCTCCTTTATAGGAAAAACCCAGATTAACTCAAACCACTCAACTTCAAAAAAATAGGAATTAGATGACATGGAAGAATATACATGCACCCTGGTAGGTCAAGGCCCACCATGTGGGAGGTGCCACTAAATGTCAGTTCTCCTCCCTGTTACCAAAAATGTGGTGAAAAGTGAAATCAAACACGCTCAAGCTGAGAGCTAGAGTCTACCCAGGATCTGATACTTTGTAACAATGATAATCCAGTAATTGAATTATTATTGCATTTGAAAATTGAGCTTTGAAGGAACATACTTTTGGACTACAAAAGGCAATTCTTAACAACTTTTAACACAAATTTTCAACAAAGAGTTTTCTGTTCAACTAGAATTGAATTTATCACAGACACCTGGATTATAAATAGATGAAATTTTACAATGTTCCCGAAAAGCAGCTTGCCCATCCACTCGCCCACACTGTATAACTCAGAGCTGGGGTCAGCTGTTTCTTTTCTTCATTTTAGAGACAGAATCTCACTCTGTCACCCAGGCTGGAGTGCAGTGACACCATCATGGTGGCCTTGAACTCCTAGGCTCAAGTGATCCTCCTGCCTCAGCTTTCTGAGTAGCTAGGACTACAGGAACATACCACCACATCTGGCTTTTTTTTTTTTTCTGAGTTAGGGTCTCCCTCTGTTGCCCAGGCTGCAGTGCAATGGTACAATCACGGCTCACTATAGCCTTGGCCTCCCTGGGCTCAAGTGATCCTCCCACCTCAGCCTCCCAAGTAGCTGGGACTACAGGTGTCACCACACCCAGCTAATTTTTTTGTATTTTTTGTAGAGACAAGTTTTCGCCATGTTGCCCAGGCTGATCTCAAACTCCTGGGCTCAAGCAATCTGCCTGCCTCCACCTTGAAAAGTGCTAAGATTACAGGTATGAGCCACCGTGCATGGCCTCTGGCTAATTTGTAAACATTTGTAGATACGGGGGGCGGGGGTGCTCCCTATGTTGCCTTGAACTCCTGTCCTCAAGCGATCCACCCACCTTGACCTCCCAAAGTGTTGGAATTACAGGCCAACTGGAAGTAAGCCACTGTGCCCAGCTAGCTGGTTTTTTTTTAAATTTTATTATTATTATACTTTAAGTTTTAGGGTACATGTGCACAACATGCAGGTTTGTTACATATGTATGCATGTGCCATGTTGGTGTGCTGCACCCATTAACTCGTCATTTAGCATTAGGTATATCTCCTAATGCTATCCCTCCCCGCTCCCCCGACCCCACAACAGTCCCCAGTGTGTGATGTTCCCCTTCCTTTGTCCATGTATTCTCAGCTAGCTGTTTTTTAAAAAGCCAGGTAGTAAGTATTTTCTGATTTGCTTGCCAGAGGGCCTCAGCCTGTAGTCCTCAGCTCTGCCACACCGTGCATGCACAGGTGGTAGGCAAGTGGGCGGGCAGGGCTGGGCTCCGGCAGGGGCTCCCGCCACGGGCCTCAGCCTGTCGGCTCCTGGTGTGAGAGCAGCACTGTCCACAGAAATGCAGTGGGAGCCATTTGTGTGATTTTACTTTTTAAACCACATTTAAAACAGGGAAAAAAAGAGCTGAAGTTAATTTTAGTAATATATATTTTTAACCTGATACATCTAAAATATGATCATGTCGACAGGGACTCAATAAAATGAAACAGTTCACTTTCATATTTCATACAGTCTTCCAAATCCTGTGTGTATGTTACATGTTTTGGAGTAGCTCAGTAGAACATGTGTCCGGTCTGTACCCACTGGGGAGAAGAGCTCTTGAGAGCGTGTTTCACAGACTGTGCGAAATCCATCATTTCCTGCCACGTAATTCTCCAGTTAGCTTTGTTTCTTTCGTCTTCAGAAACACATTGCATGGGTCTTCTCCACATGCAGGGCTACGGGGTGTGGTGTGGTGAGGTTGTGTGTGAGGGTATGTGGGTGTG
The DNA here is from genome assembly GCF_000001405.40 of Homo sapiens. NCBI lineage: Eukaryota > Metazoa > Chordata > Mammalia > Primates > Hominidae > Homo > Homo sapiens. Next base: position 23,291,526 of record NC_000020.11, on the reverse strand, counting down.
GGTGTGTATGTGTATGTGCACGTGTGTGTATTTGTGTATGTGTGCATGTGCATGTGTGTATATAATGTGTGCTCATGTGTCTGTGTATGTGTTTATGTGTATATATGTATGTGTGTTCATGTCTGTGTGTGTTTATGTGTGTGTATGAGTTTTTGTGTGTATGTGCGTGTGTGTGTTTAGCAACTTCATCCTCTGTGAGAGTTAAGATTATGAGGACACAATCTCCGTCTACCAGGAGGGAAAGGGGGATGAAAGGAACATCTGTAAAGTACAACACAAGGCACAGTGCCCGCAGGGAGGGGTGGGCAAAAGTGCTGTGAGACCTGCAGCATTGAGAGGGACTGTTCAGTGTGGCAGGTCAGAGAATGGCAGGTTCTCACGGTGTGGGGAGCAGGGGCTGGTGGCCATTTGTAGGACAAGGACGGGCACAGCTGCCTCTGTGGAGGCAGGGAGGTTCCGGAGCATCCAGGGAAGTGTGAGGTCTTAAAAGGGAAGAGGTTCCATGTGAGCAGTGCTTTGAGGAACGGATCTAGCATCAGTGGTTGGAAGAAGTTGAGGCTGGGGACCAGGAGACCAGATAGGAGGCTGCTACAGCCCAGGAAGTCCTGGGTCAAGGAGAGGAAGTGGCAGGAGCGGGACAGGACTCTGGTCAAGGTCAGGTGGGCACAGTGCAGCCGCAAGTGGGACTGAGAGAGAGGGGCTGTAAGAAATGAAGTTTCCTTCTCCAGAAGCAGATGCCATGGGTTTGGGTTGGGACCCCTGGAGTCTGAGATGTGGCTCTGACGCCTACAGAGATGTGTGGGAAGGGGCGGGGATGTGTGCGAAGAGGGGCCCTGGGAGAGTGACAGGAGGGGTGGAAGGGAAGCTGTAGAGACCTTTACATTGAGGGAAGAGAGTCAAGGAAATTCAAGGTAGTTACCTCTGCTTTTCTCCAAAACAGCAGGATGTTATGTGCAGGCAGAGGTTTCCAGAAGCCAGTTTGGAGTGTAAAGCGATTGAAAAAGGGCACACCCAATGGAACACCCAATGTATTTAAGGCTTTTCCAGCAAGAGGGAGCTCCTGGGAGAGGTTAGAGAGGAGCGTTTATTACTGAGTGGCCCAGCCTGCACAGATGCTTGATTTTCTCTGGACACGCACCCTGTCTTCCAAGCACCCTGTCTTCTGCCAGAGAAGGGATGAAGAGGGTGAATGTCCCTCAGGCTGGAATTGGCAAGGGGATGAGGGGAAAGCTGTGGTGGTGGGGCTCCATGATGCATTCCTTTTCTTTAACGGCACGGCTTTGATTTAGTTTAAAGGTCACTTCAGCATCCTCTTAATGAATGGAGATTAATTCCTTTCTGTTTACTTAACATCCTGACCCTTGTTATCAAGCACTTTCCTCTGACATTTGCTAATATCAGATGAAGTTCTAAACTTTCTTGGGTATTAATGAGGACTTCAAAGCCTTTCCAAGATGTGGCTGTATTGCAATATTCTCTTTCCTCACCCTGCATCAAAATTTAAACAGAATTATGTAATCATATTGCATAGTATGTTATTTGAAGTCCATGACGGGGGATGATTTTATCAACTCTGCTCTCTTTTAAAAGTGCTATGGGTCAGTCCTAGAGCAGGCAAGTCATGGGACTCGTTCCTGGCCTGCCCCTGCCAGGGCCAGGAGACCCCAAGCTTTGCCGGGTTTTTCCAAGTGTGTACGAATGGGTGGGATTTGGACCACATCCTTGGACAGTGCCCTCTGTTCCATTGCTACAAAGGGCTGAGGAGGGTCCTTCAAGGATGGGATGGGAAGAGGGGGTACCAGGGAAATTTCCCTCTCTCTTAAAAAAGAGAAGCACTCAGTTTGGAGTTCTATGTAAAGTTCTATTTGGGAAAAACAAGTATTCCACTCCCTGATGAGACTTTACAAGTGCTTAGCAACATCTGAAGCTCCTTTTCTTCCTAGATGTGGGGGAGACAATGCCTGTCAGCCCCCTTGGAGCACGTGAGGGCACGTGGATGTTGGGGAGTTAGGCTGAGGCAGTGGAACCCCCGCTTGGCCCTCCCCTTCTCTTTCCCCAGCTGTAGCAGCCCTAGAGAAGCCTCATGTGGAGATGGCGGAGACACCAAAACACTTTCCCTGAATTGCCAGGTCCCTGCACCAGGGACAGTCGCCCCAAACAACTGCTGGATATGTGACAGCCTCTGAGTGAGCAGAAAATAAAGACCCTCCGTGTAAGCCCCTGCAATGTTGGGGGAGTTTGTTTCTGCAGCACAGCTCAGCCAATTGCTACTACGAACACTGCTGGAAACTGTTACCTGGGCAAGTCCCTCCCAGCCCTAGGAGTCCAGGAAATTCTCACTTTCTCTTCTACATACAGAGCTTTGCTATTCTTCAGCTGTAACCTGAGTGACAACCATTGTGACAATCAGTGCAACAAAAGGACGCTGATCAAATGGAGCAGACCGGCTGGGCATGGTGGTTCATGCCTGTAATCCCAGCACTTTGGGAGGTTGAGGCGGGTGGATCACCGGAGGTCAGGAGTTTGAGACTAACCTGGCCAACATGGTGAAACCCCGTCTCTACTAAAAATACAAAAATTAGCTGGGCATGATGGTGTGTGCCTGTAGTCCCAGCTACTTGGGAGGCTGAGGCAGGATAATTGCTTGAACCTGAGAGGTGGAGGTAGCAGTGAGCTGAGATCATGCTACTGCATTCTAGCCTGGGTGACAGAGCGAGACTCTGTCTCAAACAACAACAAGAACGGCAACAACAAGAACAACAACAAGAACAACAACAACAAAACAAAGGGAGTAGACCAAGACCCTAGAGGAACTTGTAAGGCCTGGCGGATCCCTGGAATCAGTCCCAGCTGAAGACCCTTGGGGGAGCGCGGAGTGGCCAGAGGGCCTGTGAGGGGCACTGGGAGGTCTGGGGGTTCTTCCAGAATCCAGGAGAATGACCTCCCTCCCAGAGGTGCCAGGTGCAGTCCTGTTATGTCACTGGTCCACGATCCTGGCATCCGGGGTCCCGCTCAGGATGAGAGAGTGGTGGCCAGGACTGAAGATCATAACACTCTTTCCTGTGGGCTGGATGATTTACATGTGTGTCTCTGTTTGCTGCCACATTCCTGCAGGGGCAGGGGCATCATCTCTATTTACTCACAAGTGAAATGCAGCTTGGAGAGTTTACACCATTCAGTGTAGTGCAGATCTGAGGCCAGGGCCCCTACCCTTTCCTCCTCACCAAGCTGCTTTTCCTAGGAAAGACTCCCAGACAAGGCTGGATTGCCATATTCTCTGTTGCGTTGGTGGCAAGAGGGATTTGAGGGTGAGTCCCTTAGGTGTCCTGCGAGCGAGCTTCAGCTCCGGGATCCTAGGCCAGAAGGCTTTTCCCTACTGGGGTTTGCTGGATGGGTCTGACACATGGGGTGCTGCTGTCTTTATCCCTCTTCTACTGACCAGGGGCTCCAGTACCACAGTGGGGAGCGGCACAGTTCTCCGGTCTTTTGATCCAACAAAACTCTTCCTCAGGAGCAAGGTCTACACAAAGCCATGTGCTGCCTCTGGGAGTGGTGCTGGTACTCAGCAGGTGCCTGCGACCCCTCTAGGATGGGGGCTCCCTGCTGGCTGCCAGCCCCTGTTGCTGAGGTGCCTGCATCCCTCTAGGATTGGGGCTCCCTGCTAGCTACTGGCTCCTGTTGCTGTAGAGCCCTCTGCCTGCGTGGCTGCTCTTGTCAGGCTGCTGCCTTCAGGTGACTAGCCTTGCTCTGCTGGCTAGCACGGACTTGAAGTCTGCGCATTTTTGTTCCCGGGCCCCCACCCCATCTACAGCCCCTACGCAGCACCTGGCTGTGGCAGTAGACAGGCCAGCTCCTGGGCCCCAAGGCCTGACAACTCTGAGATGGAACTTCCACTTTATTCCCTGTATGGTGTGGCCTAAAATGATCTGTCTCTCTTCCACACAGTGCACCAGTTTCCCCGGGGAGTCCTCGCTTAGTTAATTATTGCTCAGGAATCTCTGTCTCAGGGGCACCTTCTGGGGAGGCCACACTAAGAAAGCATCTCTTAACTCATAGCACTGTTGTCCCCTACGCTGTGTTCTCGACACAAAGCCCACTGCTCTGAATGAAAGACTTAGACATGTTAGGTGGTGTGAGGCTAATAATTTTCTGTCCCTTTAAAATGGCATTCTTCGATTGCAGTTTGGCATGGGCACGGGGTGATCTTTCACCAAAAAAAAAGCTGCACCTAGAAACAGACTCACTGGAGTAGAGTCAACGCTCTGTAATTCCCAGCAACGTGTTTCCCATTTTTCTGTACTTCCTATTCTCTCTTCAGTTTTCTTCACAATGACCTAAACCAACCTGCCTCTCAGGAGGCAGATTTAGGGGGTTAAATCTAGTTGGTAAAATAAATGACTATTTTCTGATGCATGGCGCCAGCCTTGCTTCTCCGTGGTCAGATATTCAGTGGTGGCCACCGCTGGTTTTCCAGGCGATGGTGGCTGTAAAGAGAGGTCTGGGAGTCGTGGTTTTCCTTGAGATGAGGAGGCTGTGCGCGGAGGTGGGAGAGGGTTCACTGCGGGCAATTTCTTCCAATGGCACTGAGACTGTCCCTGGCTTCCTTCACCTCACTAACGCTGGTGGTGATACTAACCCTGGCAGTGACAGCCACCCTCTGCATTTTAGCAGCTGGTGGGGCTATTTCTGAAAAGATGGGCCTTGTCAGTCTCCCTCCATCTAGGTAAACTCCATGCCCATCGTATTGACATTCTGCTGACATCTTTTTGAACATTTGTTCTTTAAAATCCTCTAAATCTTTGTTCCTTTGGAAATACATCACACTTTGAAAGCAATGACCCTGCTGAATGAGCCCCTGATTTTGTCATTAGATAAACATGGGGCCTGGCTCAACGCTGCTCCCTGGTGCGGGCTATTATAGGGCTGGGCACCTGTGTTCTGTCTCCCTCCCCAACTCCAGGCGGTGCTGCCACCCAGGAGCCCTGCCGGCTCCTTGCACAGAAGGTGCATGACCAACGCTGCCAGTCCGGTAACAGATCCCACTGTGGCACTCGTATCAGTGCTGCAGTGGACCAGTGACTCAGGCAGGCCCAGCCAGAGTCCTTTTGAAGGATCAATTGGAAAAGACAGAGGGCATCCGATGATCCCCAGGTCTGCCCCATGGACTTGTCATTGAAAGAGCCAATACATTCTCTCCCTTTTTCCTTAAATTTTTACTGAGCATTTGTCATTTGTATCTTAAAGAGTTCTAACTAATATCCACTTAATTATACCCTTTCTAAAATAAAATTCTTTTTAATTTTTTAATATTTATTTATTTTTAGATACAGGGCCTCATTCTGTCACCCACACTAGAGTGCAGTGGTGTGATCACAGCTCACTGCAGCCTTGAACTCCTGGGCTCAACTGAGCCTCCTACCTCAGCTCCTGAGTAGCTGATTCCATAGTAGGAGCCACTGTGCCTTGCTGGAAGAAAACTCTTTCTATTGTGGTTAGACATAACAATCTCCCAAGGCTATCATGTCATACACATTTAAGAAAAGTCCCATTTCAGAGACAGATGCAAATTGATGTGACTGGTTAAAGGTTCTTTGTTACTAACAACTATTTAATCACTTTAATCTATTGACTCATGCATTCATTAATTTTAAAATGTGTAGTGTGGCTGTATGTGTGCAAGACACTCTGTGTGGTGGTGCACAGCCTGGAGTTTTTTCCTTTCCTGCCAGCGGGGTGGGTTTAATTCTGTGGTGTCTGGCAAACATGCTGAGTCCACACAGGAAAACAGCAAGGCCATCGCTGGTGAGCCCTGACCAGTTGTGTATCTCTTCCCAGTGAGGGTGGCCAAGAGCTGGTGGTTTAGATGAAGCCAGAACCTAGTGGGCCCCTCACAGATCCTGGGACCAGGTGAGGAAATGCTCACAGAAATAGCTACTTGGAGGACACAAACAAATGGAAAAACATTCCATGCTCATGCATAGGAAGAACCAATATCATGAAAATGGCCATACTACCCAAAGTCATTTATAGCTTCAATGCTGTTTCCTTAAGCTACCATTGACATTGTTCCCAGAATTAGAAAAAAATATTTTAAAGTTCATATAGAACCAAAAAAGACCCTGAATAGCCAGGACAGTTCTAAGCAAAAAGAATGAAGCTAGAGGCATCATAGTACCTGGCTTCAGGCTATACTACAAGGCTACAGTAACCAGTACCAAAACAGCATGGTACTGGTACCAAAACAGATACATAGACTACAAGCCTCCGGTAGCCAAAACAGCATGGCACTGGTACCAAAACAGACACATAGACAAATGGGACAGAATAGAGAACTCAGAAATAGGACCACACACTTACAACCATCTGATCTTCAACAAAGCTGACAAAAACAAGCTGTGGGGAAAGGATTCCCTATTTAATAAATGGCGCTGGGAGAACTGGCTAGCCATATGCAGGAAATTGAAACTGGACCCCTTCCTTACACCTTACACAAAAATCAACTCAACATGGATTAAAGACTTAAGTGTAAACCCCCAAACTATAAAACCCTAGGAGAAAATCTAGGCAATACTATTCAGGACAAAGGCACAGGCAAAGATTTCATGACGAAAATGCTGAAAGTAATTGCAACAAAAGCAAAACTTGACAAATGGGGTCTAATTAAACTAAAGAACTCTGCACAGCAAAAGAAACCACCATCAGAGTGAACAGACAATCTACAGAATGGGAGAAAGTTTTTGCAATCTACCCATCTGACAAAGTCTAATATCCGGAATCTACAAGGAACTTAAACAAATTTACAAGAAAAAAATAAACAACCCCATTAAAAATGTGGGCAGAGGACATAAACAGAAACTTCTCAAAAGAAGACATACATGTGGACAAAAAACATGAAAAAAAGCTCAGCATTACTGATCATTAGAGAAATGTAAACCAAAATCACAATGAGGTACCATCTCACACCAGTCAGAATGGCAATTATTAAAAAGTCAAAAAACAACAGATGCTGGTGAGGTTGTGGAGAAAAGGAAGCACTTATACACTGTTAGTGGGAGTGTAAATTAGTTCAACCATTGTGGAAGACAGTGCAGTGATTCCTCAAAGACCTAGAGTCAGAAATACCATTTGACCCAGCAATCCCATTACTGGGTATATACCCAAAGGAATGTGAATCATTCTATTATAAAGGTACATGCTCAAATACATTTATTGCAGCACTATTCAATAGCAAGGACATGGAATCCACTTAAATGCCCATAAATGATAGACTGGATAAAAAAATGTGGTACATCGCACCATGGAATACTATGCAGCCATAAAAAGGAATGCTATCATGTCCTTTGCAGGCACATGAATAGAATTGGAAGCCATTATCCTCAGCAAACTAATGCAGGAACAGAAAACCAAACACCACATGTTCTCACTCATAAGTGGGAGCTGGATGATGAGAACATGTGATAGACACATCAGGGGGAGGGATCAACACACACTGGGCCTGTCGGGATGGGGGTGGGGGAGGGAGAGCATCAAGAAGAATAGCTAATGGATGCTGAGCTTAATACCTAAGTGATGAGATGATCTGTGCAGCAAACCATTATGGCACATGCTTACCTGTGTAACAAGCCTGCACATCCTGCACAGGTACTGCAGAACTTAAAATAAAAGTTGAAAAACAAACAAACAAAAATAAATAAATGGCCACTCAGGGGAAACTCATCTCCGTCAATTCTAAGGTGGTTGCTGAGGCCCTGGGGAGCCCATCCTAAGTCGTCTTTTCTAAACCTAGGGTGCCCAAAGTGGGGTCCCTGGGATGAGAGTCTGAGGTAAGGCTCTTAGAGGACCTAAAAGGTCCTCATGGAAGTGAGAGGGGCTGCTCCGGAAATCTATCCCGGAAGCCATTCCAGACACCAACTGCAGGCAGCAAGGTGCCTGCCCTCCCTTGCCCAGAAAGCTGGAACCGCTAGGCCATCACCAAGTTGCCAGGTCCGTGGACTTGGACTGTTATTAATGCTTAACTTCTGAAGGGCTTGTGGTGGCCTGGACAACCACAGGGAAAGGATCTAGATTTCCCTGAAACTCTCACCTTGAGGAAGACTCACAATTTCCTGCAAAGTTCCATTGTCGTTACCACTCCCTCATGGCTTCTTTCCCTCAAGGGCTCTACATCCTATGGAAGGCGGGCTCCACACCATCTCTCCTCTGCAGCAACTCAAGTGTATCCAACAGGGCTGCCTTCATCATTTTCTGTGCCTGCAACCAGGAGGGAGAGGCCACCAGGGGTGTCCGCTCAGGTGTGGGCTGCGGCAGGGCACATTGCCTCCCAAAGGGCCTGGGCTCTCCTCCCACCCCACTCCAACACTGGCTTGCAGGAGGCCTAGGCGTGACACGGGGAGAGGGAAGAAGGAAATAGTGGTTACTAAAGACCAGCAGGTGCAGGTCAGGATGTCAGTTCAGCAGTAACGCCCTATTGATGTTTCTAAGAAATCTCGTGCAGCCAATAAAACAAAGGATAAAAACAAAGGATTCCAGGGGGGAAAGCAGGGCTGGCAATAGGGAATTGCAGATTCACCAACAATAACAGAGTTATTTTTGTAGCAGATGCTGTCAATGCCGGTATCCCCACGGACCACACTGGAAGTCCCCAGAGCACAGCTCTCTACCCACTTAGGGCATCCTGTGGCTTTCAGCCTGGGGACCTGTCTGCCTGCCTGCCAGGGATAGAGGCTGAGTGGAGTTAACCCCTTTTTTCTGTAGCCAGGAGGAAGGGATGGGGTTGCTGAGTAGATGCCCCAAGTAGTCCTGGTGGGACCCAGCCCGGCTACCCACAGTGTTAGCTCCACATGGAAGTATCTTCATTGGGTGTCCTCCCTGCCCAGGATCACCTCCCCCTCCTGTTTCTGGGGATTGTCTCTAATAACCTACTTGTCCCCAGATCCTTGTCCCAGTATCTATTCTGTAATAATCCAGAGTAAGGCATTTTTCCTTCAGGAATTTTATAACAAAACTTTCACTATGTTATTATGTTTTCTTTGAATAGTACAATGCTGCCTCCATAATTAAAGCCTTTGTTTTTACAAAATTCAACTCTGTTCTCTGGATATAAAAAACATAAACACTAAGAATATCTAAATCTTAGAGAATTCACTGAATTTTTAAATTTATTTTTTCCAATATGAATCTTCAGTGATAAAGTCCAAAGAGAGGAGGCAAATGCTTTCTTCTTCCCTTCCCTTCTCTTCCCTTCCCTTCCCTTCTCTTCTCTTCCCTTCCCTTCCTCCCTTCTTCCCTTCCTCCGTTCCTCCCTTCCTCCCTTCCTTCCCTGCCTCCCTCCCTCCTTCCTTCCTTCTTTTTCTTTCTTTCTGGTTATGGAGCTGTTTTCTAATACTTTCTTCAAATCAATTTCAGTTTAGAATTGGTGGACACAGCTGTATTTCTCTGGGATCTAAGGAAGTGAGTCAGTTTCTTTCCCTAAATCACTTGTAGACCCGTAACTCCTGAATTTTTTTTTGTTTGTTTGTTTTGAGACAGGGCTTTATTCTTGTTGTCCAGGCTGGGAAGCCTCGAACTCCTGGGCTCAAGCAATCTTTTCACTTGAACCTTCCAAAGCACTAGGACTAGAGATATGACCACCATGCCCAGACACTCCTGTGTTTTTTTTTTTTTTAAATAAAAAATGTCATGTTGTGGGCCATTCTTTTAAATGGGCCACACTGGTGCAAACTCGTTTTCTGACTAAAGAAAGGTCTCACAACCAGTGCAAATGAAAGGGGCCATTTTCCTTTGTTAAGAAACTGAAGACTTTCACTTGGGAAATTGCCTTTTATTTCCATTTTAAGCATATACCTATTTGAACATTCCTTGTGTTTACCTAGGTGTTAGACCTGACTTGGAACTGTGGGAAACACGGAGGGTTTTGTGAAATTTTGAAAGATTCCCTTTTAGCTCAATGGCTAATTAACATAAGAGACAATGACATCAGAATGAGAGGCATTCGTAAAGCTGCATTTGAATTGTCATAGCTCAATGTTTGTTTGAAATTTAATTTTTAAAAAATTAATTAATTTTACCTGGGAGTCAGAGGTTGCAGTGAGCCAAAGTTGCCACCACTGCACTCCAGCCTGGGCGACAGAGCAAGGCTCCATCTCAAAATAATAATAATAATAATAATTATTATTATTATTTTTATTTATTTTTTTGAGTCAAGGTCTCACTCTGTCACCCAGGCTGGAGCGTGACCATAGCTCACTGCAGCCTTGACCTCCTGTGCTCAAGTGATCCTCCTGCCTCAGCCTCCTGAATAGTTAAGACTGCAGGTGTGTGCCACTAAGTCTGGCTAATTAAAAAATTCTTTTTGTAGAGATGAGGTCTCTCTCTGTTGTCCAGGCTGGTCTCAAACTCCTGGCCTCAAGTGATCCTCTTGCCTCAGCCTCCCAAGGTGTTAAGATTAAAGACATGAGCCACTGTGCCCAGCCTTTAAATTTAATTTTATCTCTTAGGTATATTTTGCTTGTGGAGTTTTTCCACTTGTTCTGACAAAGCAAAGCAAAACAAAATAAAACAAAATGTTGCCTTACTGAAATGCAAGCTGATTAATTAATTAGTTAATTAATTAAATGCATTTATTTAACTCATACAGGATGCCAGACACTGGGGATACAGAGGATACTGTTACAAAGTGATAATTGGAGAAACAAAATGGACATTAGCTTATTTAGGAGAGGTAAAATTTTAATAAAAAATTAAAGATCAGAAATGCCAGCCCTCTTTTATACATTTTTGCTCTTAATACAATATTAGGACTTTTTCTATGTGCAAACTAATAATAGACTAACATTGGCTGTCTATTTCAAATGAAAGTAGAAAAGGTGTGTCAAGTGCTTGTTTAAATATCAGAAGAAATAATGGAGCTGCCATTTATCCCAGAGTAAGTGCTTGGAAAACTTTGGTATCCTGAACAAGGCTGAAAGAAGTTACCAGCAAAGAAGTTATCTGGGTTACCAAAATAGGTGCCTTAATATCATTGAGCTGTTGTATTTCACTCTAGAAGAGCCCGCAAGTCTGTTCCTTGGAGCCCAGTGACTGTTGCTCGACCCGCGGTTGTTACAGATGCAGTGCTATGGTTTCCTGGTGCACAGCAGGCTCCTTATTGCAACTGACCAGAAAACAGGAGATTGTGAGTGGGAGACACACGTGCAGCAGCAAAAGTGATGGGTCTGAAGGTAAGGGAGGGACAGAAAGAGTGTAAAAGGCAGGAGACCCAGTAAGAAGTGTGGCCGTCTGTGGCAGGTCTCATTGTCCGTTGTCCCGGCTGGGTCTGGAGATGGAAACAGGTTTGTCTGTGGGTTCAGGAATGCCTGAAGCTGAGAGCCTGAGTTTGGAACTTTGAGGACTTCCAGGAAAAGCTGAGGCTGAACTTGGAGAGAAGCCTGATATAGACTGGTTTCAATTGCAAGGTGACACCAGCAGTCAGAGACCAGGAACTAACTGGGCCCAAACGGAGATACGACGTTTGGAGGAACCAGAGCTGGGGCAGAGATCTGGAGAAGCCAAATAAGTCCTGCTGGGGAGCACCCTACAAGCAACAGTCACCAGGGAAGCCCTGGTGGGCAACTGCTGGAAACCCAAGAGCTGTCCCTGTTGGCTTCTGTTCCTGCTCATCCCCATCGCTGATCTTTCCTTCGCTAGCACTAAGTCTTAAAGCATCAGCATTTGGGGAAACGTTTTACCCAACTGGACAATGGTGTTCATTTTATGAGTAGTTTTATACATTTGCCCAGAGGCCCCTACAGAATAGATGGCCTTAAAAGCCATTGATTATTGCTCTGGTACAGGCACTGGTTTAGGTACTAAGGATGTAGCAGGGAGCAAAACAGATACGGTCGTGTGTCACTTAGTGATGGGGATACGTTCTGAGAAATGCATCGATAGATGATTTCATTCTTGTGCAGACATCATAGAGTATACTTCACAAACCTACGTGACAGCCTGCTACACTCCTAGGCTATATGGTATGGTTTTGCTCCTAGCTACAAACCTATACAGCTTATTATGGTGCTGAATGCACACACAATTGTAAACAATGGCATTTGTGTATCTTAACATAGAAAAGATATAGTAAAAATATAGTATTATAATCTTTTGGGACTACCATCATATATGTGATCTGTTGTTGACCAAAATGTTGTTACATGGTGCACGACTGCATATTCTCCACCCTCCTGTGGTGGTTACTTTTAGATGTGAGCTTGACTGGATTAAGTATTACCCAGAGAACTGGTGAAGCATTACTTCTGGATGTATCTGTGAGGGTGTTTCTGGAGGGGATTGGCTTGAGAGTCAGTGGACTGAGTGGGGAAGATCCACCCTCAATGGAATAGAAAGGTGACGTCCTGTCTCCAAGAGCTGAGAAACACTCTTCTTCTCTTGTCTTTGGACATCAGAACTCCAAGCTCTCAGGCCTTGGGATTCCAGGACTTACACAGGCTGCCTCAGGTTCCGAGGCCTTCAGCCTTGGACACCATCACCTGGCTCTGAGACCTGTAGGCTTGAACTAAGCCACGTTACTGGCATCCCATGGTCTCCAGCTGGCGAATGGCCTGTCATGGGACTGCTTGACTTCCATAATTGGGCGAGCCAATTCCCCCAAATAAATCCCCTCTTATATATAAATATATATATGCACATATAAAGTCATACCTCAGGGATGTTGTGGGTTTGGTTCCATACCACCCCAATAAAGTGACTATTGCAATAAAACGAGTCACACAAACTTTTTTGTTTCCCAGTGCATATAACAGTTATGTTTACACTACACTGTAGTCTATTAAGTGTGCACTAGCATTATATCTAAAAAATGTACATAACTTAATTAAAAAATACTTTATTGCTAAAAATTGCTAATGATCATTTGAGCCTTCAGTGACTCATCATCTTTTTGCTGGTAGACGATCTGCCTCAGTGTTGGTGGCTGCTGACTGGTCAGGGTGGTGGTTGCTGAAGGTTGGGGTGGCTGTTGCAATTTCTTAAAATAAGACAGCAATAAAGTTTGCTGCAGCAATTGGCTCTCCCTTTCACAAAATATTTTTCTGTAGCATGTGATGTTGTTTGATAGCATTTTACCCACAATAGAACTTCTCTCAAAATTGGAGTCGTCACTGCTACGCAACATATGTTTGTAAGAAACCTGCGGTAAATATACACATTAAAACATCCAGAGAAATAACTAGAAGACTAAACGGGAATACTAACAGTCTCTGAGTGGACTGTTATGCATGATCTTATTTTCTCCTTTATACATATTTTAATTTTTATTTTCATATAATAGTGCAATATCATGATAAAACCTAAACAGATAAAGAGTTGATTCTTATGAATGAGCAAAAAGATTGGTTTGTTGAGATGGAATCTATTCCTGATGAAGAGGCTGTATATGACAGTTAAATTAAAAAAAAGGGACATATTTAGGAGCAAAGAGCTATAATGTTTACAACTTCCTCTCAAATGGTTACAAAATAATAATATATGTGTGCATATGTATAAATGTGTATATACATATATATAAAGAGAGAGAGAGAGAGAAAGAACACATGCACACCCATAAATGATTAAGCAAATGAGGTAAAATGTTAACGATAGTGAATTTGCACAAAAGGTGAATGAATGTTGTTTGTACTATTCTTGCAATTTACTCTAAGTTTAATATTATTACCAAAATTAAAAAAAACCCACTATGATACAAGATTAAAACACAAAAACAAAAAAACAAATTTGGAGTCAATCCTTCCAAACCCTGTCACTGCTTTATCAACTAAGTTCATGTAATATTCTAAATGCTTTGCTGTCATTTCAACAATCTTCAATGGCATCTTCACCAGGAATACATTTCATCTCAAGAAACTATTTTTTTTTTTTGCTCATTCATAAGAAGCAACTCTGTAGCTGTTTAAATTTTATCATGAGATTGCAGCAATTCAGTTACGTCTTCAGGCTCGGCTTCTAATTCTAGCTTGTTGTTGTTGCTGTTATTTCCACACATCTGCAGTTACTTCCTCCACTGAAGTCCTGCATCCCTCAAAGTCATACATGAGGCTTGGAATCAACTTTCAACCTCCTGTGAATGTTGATATTCTGAACTTCTTCCATGAATCTCCCTTGATAACTTGCTGCATGAATGTTCTTAATGGCATCTAGAATAATGAATCCTTTACAGGTTTTCAATTTACTTTGCCCAGTTCCATAAGACCAACACTATCTATGGCAGATATAGCCTTGTAAAATGTAGTTCCTAAATATTAAGACTTGAAAGTTGAAATTACTTCTTGATCCATGGGCTGAAGAACAGATATTGTGTTAGGAGGTGTGAAAACAACATTAATCTTGAACATCTCTATTAGAGCTTTTGGATGACCAGCTGCATTGTCAATGAACAGTAATATTTTGAAATAAATCTTGTGTGTGTGTGTGTGTGTGTGTGTGTGCAGTATTTCTCAACAGTGGGCTTCAAATATTCAGGAAACCATGCTGTAAACAGATGAGCTGTTACCTAGGCTTTGTTGTTCCAATTATAGAGCACAGGCAGAGTAGATTTAGCATAATTCTTAAGGGCCCTAGGACTTTGGGAATGGAAGATGAGCATTGGCTTTAATTTAAAGTCACCAGCTGCATTAGCCCCTAAAAAAAGTCAGCTTGTCCTTTGAAGCTTTGAAGCCAGGCATTGACTTCTCCTCTCTAGCTATGAAAGTTCTAGCTGGCATCTTCTTGCGATAGAAGGCTGTTTCATCTATGAAAATCTGTTTAGTTTAGCCACCTTCATTAATTATCTTAGCTAGATCTTGATAACTTGCTGCAGTTTCTTGTGCTTTTACATTATGGCTTTTACAGGTGGCTTCTTTCCTTAAACTTCATAAACCAATCTCTGCTAGCTTCAAACTTTTCTTCTTCAGCTGCCTTACCTCTCTCAACCTTCACTGAATTAGAGCAGAGGGCCTTGCTCTGGATTAGGCTTTGGCTTAAGGGAATGTTGTGGCTAGTTGGATCTTCTAACTCCACCACTAAAACTTTCTCAAATTCAGCAGTAAGGATGTTTCACTTTCTTATTATTCATGTGTTCACTGGAGTAGCACTTTTAATTTTCTTCAAGAACCTTTCCTTTGCATTCACAACTCGAATAACTGTTTGGCACAAGAAGCCTATCTTCTAAGCTTAATGGTTTCTAGCTTTTGATTTAAAGTGAGAAATGTGTGACTCTTCCTTTCACTTGAACACTTAGAGGTTCACCGTAGGATTACTAGTTGTCTTAATTTTAATAGTGTTATGCTTCAGGGAATAGAGAGGCCCAAGGTGAGACAGAGAGATGCGGGAACAGCTGGATGATGGAACAAACATACACAATATTTATTGATTAAATTTACTGTCTTATATGGGTGCAGTTTGTGGTGCCCCAAAACAATTACAATAGTAATATCAAAGATCACTGACCACAGACAACTGTAACAGATATAATAATGACAAAAAAGCTTTAAATATTACAAGAATTACCAAAATGTAACATCGAGACATGAAGTGAACACATGCTGTTGGAAAAATGGCGCCCATAGACTTGCTCAACACAGGGTTGCCATAACACTTCAGTTTGTACAGAATGCAATGCCTGCAAAGCATAATAAAGCAAGAACAATAAAATTAGATATGCCTGTACATCCTACAGGTTCTGTCTCTCTGGAGACCCCGACTAATCCACTTTCTAAGACTCACTGGATGGTTGGATGGAATACATAACCAGCTGAGCACTACTTTAAACTTGTGAAACTTTATATAAGCACCTAAATAAATCAGCAGGTATTACTGATGTTTCCAGTGGGAACTCGAGAAAATCAGGACAACAGCAGAGTTGGCCTGGTGAGTTTTCTCTCTCTCAACCTCCCAAGTCCTCTCAATGAGCAAGTTGTTCTTTGTCCCATAGACACACCCCAGCTATGTCTACTCATTCTCCTCCTTGAGATATTTCTCTGTGTTCTAAGGTTTTTGTTCCTCATATTTCTAATATTCTTCCTTTCCCTTCAAAACCTCCTCTTTCCCATTCATCAGGAATTTGTTTAGAAAATGAAGTGCTGTCATGAATTAAATTATCCAAAGGCACAATGGGCCATGTGGAAAGAGCCGC
Source organism: Homo sapiens (assembly GCF_000001405.40). NCBI lineage: Eukaryota > Metazoa > Chordata > Mammalia > Primates > Hominidae > Homo > Homo sapiens. The sequence goes on along the minus strand of NC_000020.11, from coordinate 23,275,364 downwards.
AGAGACCCACATTCTCACTTCAGCTCTTCCATTCGCTGGTTATGTGACCCTGGTAAGAAATTTAACCTGCTAAGCCTCAGCCTCCTAGTCTGTAAAGAGGGGATGATAGTGGTTAATTCCGTGTATGTGTTGATTAAGTACCTGGCCCGTGGCTGGAAAGCAGAGTGAATTCCACTCTCCCTTCCTCTCCTTCACTGTCTTTGCCTTTTTGTCAAAGGTGGTGATCTATGTTTCTGACAGAAGAGACCCCCACGGTGGAAATACCTGGTGGACTGAGAGGTAAATGGGAAAGGCATGAGGGCATCAGGGCAGCAGGAGGCCCTGAGCTCACAGCCCACAGGCAACATCACCAGGCCAGCCTCTGACGCCAAAACATGGGGAATGTGTCGCAGGCAAAATCCACTTCATAAGCCCTTAAGCTTCATAAGAACGCCATCCGCTTCACCATGGCGCAGACCCAGCACCTCAGGTTAGGTAGGCGTGGAGCCTGCTGAGCTGAGGCTGCTCTGCAGCAAATCTGCAGGGAGAGAGGGTTTGAGTTTCTGGCATAGCCTGGGGACTTATGGGGCAGCGTTTTTCAAATTTGGAATTGTGCAAATTCCTTTTAAATGGGAAAATAATTTTTGTTCTTTTTTGGTGTTGACTTATTTTATTGTAATTTATCTGAATCTGTACAAACCTCAAAGTAGATGTAAGTCCTTGTTGCTTACGGGCCTTAGACCACTATGAAACCAACCCACATTTATAAATTAAATATAAATAAACCCGAAACAATTTAAATTCAGCATTTACAGTTTCTTGCAGTGGGCGTGTTTTGTTGAAACAACTTTGTCTCTGACAACATGGAGTTTGCGCCACCACTGCTTTCAGAGTTAATGTGAGCATTTCCACTGCTATTTGGTGGAATCATATGATGAGGGTCAAAGTTCTGACGTGAAGGGGCCATAATTAGAAAACCATTCTCAGACTCAGACCTGGGACACTGCGGGCCATGAGGAGCGGATGTGCCCACAGCGTTTCAAAACTGTATAATGGAGTTGGAAACATTGCAGGCATAGCACTAGTTTTCATCTGAATGATGCATGAGTTTAGAGAATCCACGGACTTCTTGAAATTGAAGGCAAAGCTTTTTATATTGTGAGTTACCTTCTAGGGTAAGGGATCCCATTGCTTTCATTGGAGTCTGTGCCCCAGTAAATGCTAAGAACCACAGAGCTATGCAGAACTTCCAACCTTCATGTCAAGATACACAAAGAAAAATGTATTTATGGGACAAGTATTTGTGATGACCTGGGGTAATCAAAGGATGTTGCTCTGGCCCCCTGAGTCTGGCTGCCCCGATGCCCTAAGGACCAAGGGGGTCCAGGCTTGGGCCCACTGTGCCCCATGCCTCGCAGGCAGTTTTGGAAGAGGTGCTCCACATCCTTGCCGCTCAGAGTGGGGTCCCTGGACCAGCATGATTGACAGTACCTGGGAGTGTATTGTCCACACATGGCATGGCCTCATTTTCCCAGGGCTTGGCAGGTCAGCAATGCAGAACCTCCATCCCACCAGACCCTCTGAATCAGAATCTGCATTTAGAAGATCCCTGGTAATCCCTGAGTTCATTAAAGGGGGAGACCACTGGGGCATGGGATTGTCCTATACAGACGGTTCCCAAAAAATGTGGTGCAAAGTCTTATTATGATAGCTAAGTGGGGCCTATTTGCATTTGGAGTTATGGGGCACTACAAATATTTAATTATAATCTATAGGATTTTAGACACTTTATGGTTGTGTTTTTCAAACTCACGTCATGGTGAGAATTACTCAAGGACATTCATTAAAAATCCAAGATGTCTGAGCCCCACTGAGAATCTGTGTGCAGAATTTCAAGAGAAGGTTAATTAAATCCCAGAATGGTCGAGTGACCTGCATAGGGTTATAGAGCTGGTTGGCAGATGGGTGAGTTTTGGGGGTATGCATTTTCTCTTCTCTATTCTTCTTCTTGCTCACTCTTGCCTTTGTTTGTCTCTCTCTTTAGAGGATGTCCTTCATGGCACACAGAGGGGCCTCATGTTGGCACTGGACCCAGAAAGAGCTAGTTTTCATCTAAACAGCCTTACCATTTACCATGTGACCTTGGGCAAGTTAGGCTGAGCCTGTGTTTCAACACTTTTCAATGGGATTTAGTGCCTCACACCTCACGGGTAGTTATAAAGCTCAGAGTTGCCCTGATGGCCAGTACCTGGAGACTGTGCCATCCTCTTCCATGTCCCTCATGAGGTGTGAGGGCATCTCCATGCCTTACAGCTTCTGGGCCAGATTTCTTGGATGAGGGCAGATGTGCTCCAGCCACCAGATCTGTCTGTGTCTGGATCCAATCCACCTAACCTCTGAGTGACAGCTCCTACTTATCATAGTCTTTCAACACTACCAACTGTGAATCTAGAAGAGTTATGGAAATAAAAGAAAATAGGATAATTGTGTTAACCACAGGAGGGTTTGCTCCCTGGTGACCTCATCTAAGAGAGGCCTTGATGTTGGGGCTCTGGATTCTTACTTTTGTATCAGGGCCAGGGGTGGTCAATGCAGCACTTTATAAACATTCTACATCCCCAGGCAAAGTGCACTCCATGCTGTGCTGCAGCGGCCCACACCCTTCGCAGAGTACTTCACACACATCCTGTCTGTCCAGTTCTCATTGCTTGTGCAGGGCAGTTCAGTGCCCTCCTTCTGCAGAGACCTGGCTGTCTTGGGATGGCGGTGGGTTGTGGGATAGTCTCTCGTGAAAGAGCGTTCATTCAGGAGACAGATGTGCCAGTCATTTTGGGCCAGTCTCAGCTTTGCTGTGTGCCCATAATCTAGCCAGCCATCCTTTCACCCAGCATGGCCCAGAGAGCCCTACCCACCAGGTTGGCCTTTATCAGGGGTGTCTGCAGCATGCTTTGAGCTCCTGGGTGGGAGGTGTGGGAGAAGAGAGGAGATTATGACCTGCCAAGCCCTGCAGAAATGCAGCCATGCTGTGGGTGAATGGACATGCTGACCTGCACCCTGACTTTATGCACATTTGTCGAGGCCCCTGGAGTCAAAGGCATTTGACTTTCTGCCTCAAGTTCCACTGGTCTCAAGGTTCTGGATACATAGATGATTTCACACTCTGAAATCACAGGTCACTCATGTCACCTTCCTGCTGTGGAGTCCTTCAGACACAATGGTGACAAGGTTTTCAAGTCCCTTGCTAGGTCAAGATTGTGCAGTCATTTACACCAAGAAAGAATAGAGGAAACACCGCTCCCTGGCCTAACTGTTGGCTGGCAGTGTCACCTGGCCTGGATTACAAACCATTGGTGGCTATTCTTTTGTACTGCATTATAGTACAAGGATAGGTTACAGCATCTTTTGAAAATGGGTACTTAGGAAACTTGTACCTCTTTGTGTTTTTAATTGTTAGAAATCAGTATTTGCTAAGTACCAAAATTGTAAAACTCAGGTAACCATTGAGGATATTCAGGAATCCACCTTTCTTTATATTTGTGTCTCACAAAATACCTACCCTTTTGTAACCTGACTTCCCCCTTTAATACTGAGAGACTTGCTTTCCACATTGGTAATGGTCCAGGTGACATGATATTGAGATATTGAATAATTCTTTTTACCTCCCTTTCTTGGTTCTTCAGCTGGAGTCTCGCAAATTACATTGAAAAGAGACAGATGTGTAACAAGAGAAAAACAAAGAGAAGTTTATTAATATGTGCATTGCACATACACATGGGAAATTCAGTGACGATTAAGGCAAAGGAGTGGTTAGAACTTGGGCTCATATAGCACCTTAACAAAAAATCAATAATTGTACAGAAAAGTGATAAGACAAAAGAAAAACTTTCAGGCTTCTGAGGATGGCAAACTCGGGGAAGATAAAACATTGAGGGAAACTGATAGAGTAAGGTTTGCCTGTGCAGGTCCATTTTGACATTGACTTTCCAGCTCCTTCATGGCATAAAACTGCCCCAGGATGGGGATCTATGACCATCTTCATTTCTCAGAAGTATCTGCTTTTAGTCAGGTAAGGGAAACTCTGGGAAGGCTTCTTTCTGCATCTGCTGAATCTCAAATACATTTAGCTCCAAATAATCTTTGTGTTCACGTGGCAAGTTTGGGGTGGCATACTCTGAACCTCTTCAGTTTGCCATTCAAAACTTCAAGAAGTTTCATGTATCAAAAGAGAGATGCACATTGGAAATTGTGAGAGAGCTGTAAAGGGGGAGACAACAGAGATTGGAACGAGCAGAAAAGAACAAACCTGAGCACATGGCCCTCTATTTATTGAATCAGCCTCTGAGTCTTGGGAATAAGTCAGTCCAGCTAAGCAGTTGTGTCTCATTTTGGGGGGTTACCCTGAATACTTCATGGTACCTCCACGGAGTTGCTATGTCAGGTAAAGCTGGTGGCACTGAGGGCTTGCAGCCCTAATGGCAAACATTTTCAGAGTGCGTGTGTGCAGCCTGAGAGCATGAACCTGGGCCGCAATCCCCAGCGGGGGCTCAGGAGCAACACCTCAGGTCTTTGGAATGAAGGCATGATGTCACTCAACCATGCTGTCACTGTAGCAATGTTTTACTTCTGACATAAGTGTTATTCAGTCTCGATACCAGAAAAGCGCATGGTGCTTCAAAGCAACCCATGAATGAACTTTATGTGTTCCTGCTTACCTCACCGTCCCTTCTCCAAACAGTTGTTGCAAGGCGGGACTGCTTAGGAAATGCCAGGGAAAGATAACGGGCTTTTCAGGACAGAGGCCCCTGGGCCCAGAGCTATTTATCTCTGGACGTGTGGGGCTCTGTACACATTTTTAGGTTGGTGAGTTTTGTTTTCCTAAATTTCTCGACTGCACTGGCACAAGGTTTGTAGGCCAGGAAATGGCAAAGAGCTGAGAAGAATAAACAGCGTCCCTATTCCTGCTCTCCCTCCACCCACCATAACACCACAGTGGGAGACTGGGGAAATGTTTTCCCAATCCTCTCTTAGGAAGAAAATGTAAACACAGAAAGAAAAGACAAAAAGCTTTTCTTACAGCTAAACACCACCTCCTAAGAGGCCTCCTAAAGCACCAGGCAGGATGTTAGCGCCACACGAGGCCTCGCTTTACCAGCCTTTGTGGGGCACCATCCCCCGATTCCCAGACACTTCTGTCTGTCCTGGGCCCCTTCTGACTCCCAGAACGTCAGGCCCTTCTGCTGTCCTCAGGCTCCAACCCCTCCTTCCTAATGAATGCCTTCCTAATGAATGCTTTCCCAGCTCTGAAAGGATTTCCTTTGGTGAAACAGCCTCCCCTAACTTGTTTTCACACACACTGCTTGCTTAAAAGGCTTCTGCCCCATCCTCTTACAAATACTTAAGAATGTATTTTGAGCAAAACTGATTTTAAACAATCACACAGTGGCCTCCTCTGGGCTGTTTTGCTTCTTGTTTACAGTATGGGCAGTCAGAGAGGCCCATCTGAGTGGCCTGAAGGTGTGCCGCAGGGGAACCTTTGCCCAGGACCCCACAGTTGTGGGCTTTGCCAGACAGCCATAGATCAGATAATCAGAATTCAGTGGGGAAAACACAGCACATGCCGGCACAGGAGAAGTTCACCTCCCAGACCTCATTCCTCACTTCCCTGCTGAGCAGAACACCTACCTCCTGTCCGCAGACCTCCACATCTCTATCATCATGTCTTTAGTTTTCATAGCGAAGCCTTGATGGTGAACGTGGCTGCTCTCCGAAGGCTGTAAATGAGGAAACTGAGTCTCAGAAAGGCAATGTATGCTGGTTGGCCTGTGGAGTAGTCATTCTTTATTCTTTTACTTTCCTAATAAATTTGCTTTCACTTAAAAAGAAAAAGAAAGAAAGTCAGTGTAGTGCCCAGGCTAAGAGCAAGACTTCAATCTTCTAATGAGGTGTGGGTTTGGGAGTTAAATGCAGTTGTTATTGTTGTTTTAAGAAGGACCGTCCCTTTGGGAAGCTGCTTTCCACAACTGCCTTGCGGTGGTTGCAGCCCCGCCACCAGCCCAATGTGAATTTCTTATATTGTACTCTGTAGGGGATCAGTCAGGGTGGTGGGATAAATTAAAAACATAAAGTTATAGGAAATAGACACAAACCTTCTTGGAAGGCCAGGAGATTTGCATAGCTTCAGCATGAGATTTGGCTGAAGGCAGCTGAATTCTCTTAAAAGCTTAGGGTGTAGATACATAGGAATGTAGAGGAGCTTATCTAAATATTTTGTTTACTCATGTGGTCCTAAGACCAACCTTTGATCATTTGTAGGACTGTTCTCTCTGGGGGAGGGCGATCAGATTAATTACCCACAGGTGTGTTGACTCAAAGCCTTTGTCCTTAAATCTGTGCTGAATAAATGCCTGCAGGGCCAGCTAGTCAGGGTTCATAGCTGCCACAACTTTTTCTGTGAGTGGGCCAGCCCCCTAGCTGCTCTTTCACTGAATATCAGTGTCTGAGTACGTTATTCATCCATCGTGCAGCCTGGGTCTATGTGTCAGACCCCAGCAGTACTCATCATTACCTGTTGCTTTTTTTGGTTGTTTTGTCTATTTGCTTGTGGTGATTGTCTCCCCCTGCAAGAAGGCAAGTTCATGGAAGCAGTAGCCTTGTCCTTTCTCCCTGCTGTATCCTGGTGCCCACGACAGTGCCCTGCACAGCATATGTGCCTGTAGTTATATTCGAAGGAGTGGACATGTGGACAGAGCCACTGGCCTAAAGTCACTGGGCTGGTGGATGACTGGAGGTGAGGTTGCAGTGTTGTGTTTTTCAGGCCAACGTCTCTGTTTTTCTGTGCAACACACTGCCTGCTGGGTGTCCAGGGCTGTGCTGGGCCATCCTCACCTTTCTTTAAGTAGAAAGACCTCATTCAGTTCAAGTAGGTTTCAAGGCCAAAGTTTCTAAGAAAGCCACAGTCCTGCTCAGAGAAAGCTCACTGAGGCTTTAGCAAGAGGCTTGCTGTGGCTGATCATGTGTAACATGTTCCCTTCTACTGAAAAGAAGCCATTGAGGTTGGATCAATGGTCTTGGGTGACTTACCACTGGCCTGTACACTGGGTCCCTCCATGGAACCACATGTGCATGACATCGAGGGACAGGAAGCTTCCTGCTGGGCCACTCCTGCTATCAGAATGTTACAGAGAAACCGATTACAGCTGACAAACCACTAGAAAATGTGCTTGGCTTAATATGATTGGAAGCACAGGCAATCTTACACCTATTTGGAGGCCTGGCTTTGAAGTGAGCCTGCCACTTTAAACCTCCCTAATGACAACACAGGCCCAATTCCATCCCATCCCATCCCATTCCCATCCCATCCCATCCCATCCCATCCCATCCCATCCCATCCTATCTGCAGGCCATGGGCAACTGGCAGTGATCTCCTGGGCTCACTTGCTGCCTGGGAGTTGGGGAGGCTGCTGTTGACTGTCCCCAGAGGAAGCTGCCCTGACTCAGAGACATCTCTGGACATCAAGAGGGCCAGTCTGTGTTTGGTCAGGACTCATCCCACTGTTATAGAGTGAGAGCTGCTCTGAAGAGGGGAAAGGCAGCTGGGGTCTCTGGGTAAGAATTGCTTCCTCAAATATGAGAGACTGGACTCTAGAAGCAGGAGGATCAACAAAGAGGATGTGGGCCCTAGCCCCAGCCCCTTCCTCAGGGCATGGACATTGGTGGGTTCAGCTGGAGTCTCACTTCACCTGTTTTCCAAAGAGATGGTGAGGTGAATTCATCCAGGCACTGTGACAGCTGATCATTCCAACCCTGGCCCTCCAGGTGTTGGCCACCACGTTCCATCTGCATCACTACCTTGAAGGCTGAAAGCCAGGCCTATTGTAATCACTATCCTGGGGTTTTGGCAGGCTGCCTGTGGCAGGATTTCTCTCCAGAAATGATGGCCACACCAGCAACCTCACACTGGGCAGCAATCAGCCTGGAGAGAAACCCTGTAAATGCAGGTGTGTAATAAAGAAAATACACACCCAGCCAAACATCCACCCAGGAAGCTCAGGCAGTGGGAGGTGGAATTTCCTTGTGTAAACTAAGTCCAAGGAAGATGCTGCACTTTACAGAAAAAGGCATCTGTGATCTCACCCACAGGAACAAAGGGCATCAGGGCGGGGGCCACAGGATGTCTCTGGGAACCTAGTCCAAGTGTAAGGTGTGCACTAACTGGGGTCAAAGACTCAGAAAAGCAGAATTTATATCCTGGCTTCCTCGCTCCCAGGCTTGGTGCACTTGATGAATCATTTAGCATCTTAAAAGGCAGGAGTGGACTACCAGCCCTACATCCCACCGGCCCTTCCTCTCACTGGATCTTCCTTTCACCAGTTCTTCTTCCAACTTATCCTTCCTCCCACCCACCCTGCCTCCTGCCCTCTCTGCCTCCCACCGCCCCTCCTCCCACCTGTCTTACCTCCCACCTGCCCTATCTCCTACCTCCCAATCCCCTTCCTCCCACCCCCCCTTCCTACTACCTAAGTCATAGGTAGGGATGTGACAGGAAAGAGGTGATGCCTGTGAGGCTCCTTCTAGAGCTGACATGTCATGCAGGTTGCAGCAGTGTTTGGCTGTTGAGCAGCCCCTGCCTTCAGAGCACTCAGCCAACAGAGAGGTGCTAAGTGGATGCATGCTTGGCCTGGCTTCCCGTCCTTGGGGCAGACATCTACGGCCTTGTCAGTGCTCATTGGATGACACTTCTCCTTCCCTATCTCACTTTCCTTCCCAAATGCCTCACTTGTGCCTCCCAGATTACCTCCTGAATAGATTCCTTGCAATCAAGTCCCTGTCTCGAGGTCTGCTTTTTGAGGAATCCAAACAAAAATCTTATTATAATACAGATATTCAGACTAGCCTAAGGGCAAGTAGGATTTTCTCTGGAAAATCCAATATTTAATTGGTTTGGGTGTGGCCTAAGCTCAAAAAACTTTTAAAGCTTCCAGGAGCTCTGCACCTGCCACAATCCAGGTGCACAACCACTGCTCTTGAGGGCTGCAGCCAGCAGCATGGGTCTCCCATGGGAGCTGGCCCAGCACAAAAAACCTCAGGCCCAGCCAGAACTACTGCATCAAAATCTGCACATTAGCAAGTTCCTCAGGCATGGGTGTGCTTTAGAGTTTGGGGCATGCTGCTCCCCACCAGACCGCAGAGAAGGAGAAGCTTGGGGTTTGGCCTCCCTCCTTCTGGGTTCAAGCCTCCTCAGGTGTGGCCTTGGGCAAATGAACTCAGTTACTGGCACTGCAGGGGCCTAATAGTACCAGCTCCTGCATGGTTACTGTTAGAAATAAAGAAACATAGGCTAGGTATGGTGGGTCATGCCTGTAAGCACTTTGGGAGGCTGAGGGGGGCGGGTCACGTGAGGTCAGGAGTTTGAGACCAGCCTGGCTAACATGGCGGAACCCTGTATTTACCTAAAACATACAAAAATAGCCGGGTGTGGTGGTGCGCACCTGTAATCCCAGCTACTCGGGAGGCTGAGGCAGGAGAATCACTTGAATCTGGGAGGCGGAGGTTGCAGTGAGCTGAGATTTCGCCACTGCCCACCAGCCTGGGTGACAGAGCGAGACTCTGTCTCAAAAGAAAATGAAAAATAAATAAATCAAATACCGTCTTTCTGTGCTTTGTAAGCAGGAAAACCCTGCAAACTTCTTTTTTGCCCGGTATGTGCTTAGAGTTGAAGTTCCACCACAAAGGCATCCATGGCTCTGGTCAGCCAGTTGTGCTGTTGCCCCAGTCAGGGCGAGAAAGAAAGAAACCCAAATCTTCCAGCTGCTTTCAGGACAGCGTCACCCTCTGATTTCAGCTGCATCAGCGACCTGAAGGGTGCGCTGAACACAGACAGCTGCACCCCACCCTACAGTGCCTGACTCAGAGGGTCTGGAGTGGTGCCGAGAATTCATGTTTTTAACAGCTTCCCAGGGGATCTCCATGCTCTGGTTAGCAGCCCCACTTTGAAGTTTGCCTCCTTGGCAGAGTCCTGTGGTGTGCACGCCTCACAGGTATGGATGCTCACAGGGAGGGACCCTGTTTGGTGTGGACATCACAGGCATGGGTGCTCACAGGGATGGATGCTCACAGCTGTGGACACCGACAGGCGAAGATATTCTTAGGTTCAGACTTTGCGGGTGCGGACACTCACAAGGACAGGCCGTTAGCAATGAGACTTCTCCAGTTCAAGGGCAAATGCTTATGTCTTGGCCTCACAAGCTTGCTGCCCGTTTCTTCTCAGTACTTTGAAATCTAGAGGAAATTTATAAAGTTCAACTGGCTCTTCAGTTAAGTCCTTAGCAGCCTTTTTAGATCTGAAATTGGGAATCTGGGCTAAGAGCACTGTCCTTGTGGAAATGTGTTTACATGTGGCTAAGGCCCACAGGGAACGCGAATGATAGAACCTATGTAGACAGGGACCAGAGCTGCGGAAAGGAAGGGTCAGCTCAGCAGGAGGGGGCTTCTCGCCCCAGGGTGGGAAGTTGAGGCTGTGTGAGCTCTCTGGGGATGCCAGGGTTCTATGACAGCCCTGATAGGCCTCAGACCTCTAACCTGGGTACCTGGCTCAGCAGTCACCTGTGGGGCCACTTTCTCAGCTCCTGCTCTGTCATCCACACAGGCTGGCCAGTGCCTTGTCCACTCAATGCACTTGCCAGATGCCCAGTGGCAGGCAATGGGGTCCCTTGGACCCCAAGAGCATGTGCCATTTCAGCCACAGAAAGCCTGTATAAATGAGATCGTGGATGGGCACTGTGGGAGCGTTAGGGGCAGGGGCTGAAGACTGGGCAGCATGGGCCTCAGGATCTGTTGTTCCCATCACAGCTTTTGAACCCATCTAAGTCGTCTTGTACACTGCACCGTTGGAACTATTAGCCCTAGTGTCAGGGGCTGAATTAGTTCCCCCGAAGTTCATATGTTGGAGCTCCGATACCTCAGAGTGTGACTGTATTTGGAGACAGGTCCTTTAAAGAGGTGATTACATTAAAATGGGATCATACAGGTAGGTATTAATCCAATACAACAGGTGTTCTTACTTGAGGTCAGGAGTTCGAGACCAGCCTGGCCAACATGGTGAAACCCTGTCTCTACTAAAAATACAAAAATTAGCCGGGCTTGGTTGTAGGCACTTGTAGTCCCAGCTGCTCAGGAGGCTGAGGCAGGAGAATCACTTGAACCCGGGAGGTGGAAGTTGCAGTGAGCCAAGATTATGCCACTGCACTCCAGCCTGGGCGACAGAACCAGACTCTGTCTCAAAAAAAAAAACAAACAAACAAAAACAAAAAACAAAAAAAAAAACAAAAAAAGGAGAGGGAGAAGATTAGGACACAGACACACATGGAGGGGAGAAAATATGAAGACACAGGGAGAAGATAGACAAGGGCAAACCAAAGACAGAGGCTTAAGGAGAAACCAACCCTGCCAGTACCTTGACCTCAGAATTTCAGGCTCCAGCACAGCGAGAGAAGAACTTCTGTTGTTTAAGCCACCCAGTTCATGGTATTTTGTTATAGTGACTGGTGTTGACTAATGCACCTGTCTTCAAGCCCTCAGGAGCCGGGAACCCATTTAAAACTCTTGTATTTCTTGCAGGAAGCAGCTCAGTGCTGGTTTATGATTTGGCCTCAATAAGCTTGTGTGGCTGACAATTGAGGTGACAGGGATTCATTCTTAGCATGTCTGATTAATGTCCTGGTGTCAATGTAATACAAATAAGGTGAAGGCAGGCTAGCATAAACTAAGAGGTTTAGTCTGTGTCCTGGCTGTGTCCCGGCTACGTCCAGACCTGCTGCCTCCTGTTCATGAGGCTGCCGAGATAAACTTATATCTGTGGGCCTGGAATGTCTCATTGTAAAATGAGGGTAATGAAGGCAGTTTTTTAATAAAGCTGTTGTGAAAATTTGCATGAGACCATTTAAATAAAGAACAGAACAGAGCCCTCAGAAATAACGCCACATACCTACAACTATCTGATCTTTGACAAACCTGAGAAAAACAAGCAATGGGGAAAGGATTCCCTATTTAATAAATGGTGCTGGGAAAACTGGCTAGCCATATGTAGGAAGCTGAAACTGGATCCCTTCCTTACACCTTATACAAAAATCAATTCAAGATGGATTAAAGATTTAAACGTTAGACCTAAAACCATAAAAACCCTAGAAGAAAACCTAGGCATTACCATTCAGGACATAGGCATGGGCAAGGACTTCATGTCCAAAACACCAAAAGCAATGGCAACAAAAGACAAAATTGACAAATGGGATCTAATTAAACTAAAGAGCTTCTGCACAGCAAAAGAAACTACCATCAGAGTGAACAGGCAACCTACAAAATGGGAGAAAATTTTCGCAACCTACTCATCTGACAAAGGGCTAATATCCAGAATCTACAATGAACTCAAACAAATTTACAAGAAAAAAACAAACAACCCCATCAAAAAGTGGGCGAAGGACATGAACAGACACTTCTCAAAAGAAGACATTTATGCAGCCAAAAAACACATGAAAAAATGCTCACCATCACTGGCCATCAGAGAAATGCAAATCAAAACCACTACGAGATACCATCTCACACCAGTTAGAATGGCAATCATTAAAAAGTCAGGAAACAACAGGTGCTGGAGAGGATGTGGAGAAATAGGAACACTTTTACACTGTTGGTGGGACTGTAAACTAGTTCAACCATTGTGGAAGTCAGTGTGGCGATTCCTCAGGGATCTAGAACTAGAAATACCATTTGACCCAGCCATCCCATTACTGGGTATATATCCAAATGACTATAAATCATGCTGCTATAAAGACACATGCACACGTATGTTTATTGCGGCATTATTCACAATAGCAAAGACTTGGAACCAACCCAAATGTCCAAAAATGATAGAATGGATTAAGAAAATGTGGCACATATACACCATGGAATACTATGCAGCCATAAAAAATGATGAGTTCATGTCCTTTTAGGGACATGGATGAAATTGGAAATCATCATTCTCAGTAAACTATCGCAAGAACAAAAAACCAAACACCGCATATTCTCACTCATAGGTGGGAATTGAACAATGAGATCACATGGACACAGGAAGGGGAATATCACACTCTGGGGACTGTGGTGGGGTTGGGGGAGGGGGGAGGGATAGCATTGGGAGATATACCTAATGCTAGATGACGAGTTAGTGGGTGCAGCGCACCAGCATGGCACATGTATACATATGTAACTAACCTGCACAATGTGCACATGTACCCTAAAACTTAAAGTATAATAAAAAAAAAAAAAGTGTGAGGCAAAAAAAAAAAAAAATCCTTTTGCTTATTTTACTTTTTCTTAAAACAAGTAGTCATTTTTGACTATACAAAGGCTAATATATTTCTAGAAGTTGCTTCAGTTAAATTCACATTGGTCCAGTGATACTTTTGCCAGGAAATATTTGTTGGCTCTATGTCTAACTACTTGTTCTGATATTCAATATGGCCTGTACGGTATGCACTTATGTTTTTGTATTGTGTGTTTTGTCAGTAATACAAATATAATCCAAGTGAGCTATATGTTTTTCCTGATTGCATCCTAATTTTGTGCCTTTAATAATGTTTTTTCTTACATATTTTCTTCTTTTTACTAGACCATCCATTATCTTCTCTCTCTCTCTCTTAATATACTCATAATTCAAGGCCTATGGGGCTCAAAAACAGTACTAATACAAGAAATGGTTCAATTACCTTTATGCAGGAAAAATTAATATTAAGCCATAGGTTTGCCCTCTTTTTGGGCTTTCTCAGATATACATGTTATGGTCCCAAGAGAGCAGCTCTACATTCTATGGGAAATTCAACATTAACCACACCCCAACACACCTGCACACACTTCTTTCACTCACACCAAAATAAAATCCCAAAACAAAATAAAACTATGTAACGGCCTCCTAAAAAAAAAAAAAAAAAAAAAAAAAAGAATTTAGCACAGTGCCTGGCATAGAATAGAGACGCAATTCAAGTTGGCTATTATTTAGATTTTTAAAAATAATAATTACAATAATAATGGAAAAAGAACATTCATTTAAAACATTTGCCTTGACACACTGCAGAATTAAATTTGGGCTTAGAAAGAAAAATTTAGTTACAAAGAGGCTTTGAAATTTGTTTGGAACATTTGCCTGCAGAAGACGTGTGTTGGCAATGACCTACCTCTATCTTTTTCTCCTCAGTCTTACAAACAGATTTTTGCTTCTTGTTCAAAAACGAGAAATGTGTAAAACAATCACTGAAAATTAGAAGATATTAAAAAGCCACTTGAAGCTTCATGAACCTAAAGTTGCAATATTTTGTCTTTCAAAAATTTTACTACATGTACTATTTCAACTTTACCCATGCACATTGTGTAAAAAGTCAAGTCCCTCTGCAAGATGTGCCCTCACCCCTGTAGGAGCAGCTCTCCCTTTTCTTGCCTATACCACATTTTTTTTGCTCCCCGGTAGCAGTAACCCCCTTATCTCCAACTCATTCTTCATATAAAGTTCATCTTCGTATCTCAAAATCACACATTTATATTTCTACATCTTGATTTTTCAGTCTTAGGCATTGTCTATTAACTTTCATTGTAAAAATGGAGATTAACTCTGCTGCCTTATCAGAACGGCAGTAGTGACAGGTGGGAGCTGATACGCAACTCAGCAGACACAATCAGCTTTAACCCTGAGCCAGGCTGGCTTCTCTCCATCTCAGGATGCAGGATAGAGAAGGTAGAATGCCCAGCATCTCCATCCATCTGGAGCCCAGCAGCCCTTGCATCCATGTGGGAAGTGCACGGCCGTCACAGAGGAGAGCCACAGTGAGTTGGGTCACTTGGACAGAGAGAGGCCACAGATTGGTTTCCCCTCAATCTTTTACATTTTTCTGGTCACTCAGGCCCAAGACCAGCAGGCCAGCTTGCAGACTCCCCACTTCAGGGCAGCCCTAGAAATCAGAGGTTCCAGAGCAAACCATGTGGGCAGCCCCTTCCTCATGGATCTTACCACTGTTGTCTCCAAGGAAACCACACTGTGTGAAGACAGACTCTTAGGTCTTTTCTCTAGTAAGGCTTTGATCAGCCCAGGCCCAGGCCTAGGCCTTGATCAGCCCAGATATTAACCTTTTATATATACACACGCACTTATTCTCCTTGCCTCCAGCATACACATACGCACAAATGCACTCACACACACATACATGCACACCCACACATACACACACAGGCATGCATGGCTGCACTTCCATCCTCTCTTCTTTTCAGGACAATCACACTGCAGGTTTTGTGAAGTCCCCCTATTCAGCGTTTTTATTTTGTGGTAATGTCACCCTCATTGACAACTGAGCCTGGTAGTACTATGATTGCTCTTCCTGCTTACATGACTTTTTGTTTTTCCTGGGGTTCATGATTGTGTTTTTGTACTTTTCAAATACAAATCACTAATTTATTCTCAAACTCTCCTCCAGTTACTTAAGATATCCACACCAGATACTCTTAATTTCTTTTTCTTGAAGAAGTCTCTCCTAGAGCCCCTGACTCCTCCAGTCTGGACTGAGGTCTAGATCTGGTGCATCACTGCCATCCTGGCATCTTCACTTGGAGTTCCTCCAGAGAGTCTCCTCTCCTCTCCTGTGCTGGATTTTCTGCTTCTTGGATTCTGTCTCACCACATTCTTTGATTCATTCTCTTAATTTGATGGAGTACAAACTCCAGTAGCTTCTTCAGAGAGAGAAGTGAAGGAACATTTCTGAGATCTCACATATTTGAAAATGTCTACAGTCTACCTTCCTACTTAATTGACTGGCTGGTGCTATGATCTGAATGTTGTTTGTCCCCCCAAAATTCTTATGTTGGAACCAAATCCCCAGTGCAATAGTATTAAGAGGTGGGGTTTTTGGGGGGTGATGAGGTCATGAGGGCTCAACCTTCATAAATGGGATTAGTACCCCAGGGAGCTTATCTGTCCCTTCCACCATTTGCATAGACAGGGAGGGGCTGGCTGTCTATGAAGTAGAGACTGAGCACTCGTCAGACACTGAATCTGCTGACACCTTGATCTTGGACTTTACAGCCTCCAGGACTGTGAGAAATTAATTTCAGTTGTTTATAAATTACCCAATCTAAGGCATTATGTTATGGTAGCCTGAATGGAGTAAGACAACCAGGTATAGAATTCTAGGTTGCAAATTATTTACTTTCACAATTGAGAAAGTTTTTGTTTGTTTGTTTGTTTTTTTGTTTTAAGATAGAGTCCCACTCTATCACCCAGGCTGGAGTGCAGTGGAGTGATCTCGGCTCACTGCACTCCAGCCTGGGCAATGGGCTGGGGAGCCTCCACCTCCCTGGTTCAAGCGAGTCTCATGCCTCAGCCTTCTGAGTAGGTGGGATTACAGGCACCTGCCACCACACGCAGCTAAGAGAAAGTCTTATGTCTTTGATTTATGTCTTGTAGCTTCCAGTGTGGCTGCAGAGAAGTCAGATGGCTTGCAACCCTTGATCTTTGGTATAAGCTTTTATGGTTTTGCTCTAGAATGCATAGGGATTTTTGATCTTAGTCTATTTTCTCCCAATGTGCTGGGCTCTTGAAGGGCACTCTCACCCTGGAAATTTTGTCCTGCAGTCATCTTTAGCCAGATTAGCAGGATATATTCCACAATGGTGTGGTTTATGATGCAGCTGGTTGGTTCCCTTGGTCTTGGCAGACAGAGTTTTCCCCTTCCCAGCTATGACTGCCTTGGAGCCTAGAGGAAGTTGAGTCACTTCCTGATACAAATCACAAACTGTGAAAAATGTTATGCTTGCAAGTGAATTTTCCACATATCTGAAGTAATGATGGCATAACAGGAGCTTTAAAAACACCGAGGCTTCATTGACACTAAACTGTAGAGCTTATAAAGTAATATGCAACCCATTGTCAGCTACTGAAAGATGAATGGGCCATTCAGGCTTCCGCTCTGGACTCGCCCAGGTTAATTCCCTCTTGCTCAGCCTAAGTGGCTTAGGAGTGAGCAGGGGGTTATTGGAAAGAGGAGGCTGACTATAAAAAAATCCTAGCAATATTGCATTCTGGGTTTATCAGTCATCAGGCACCAAGCTTTCTCACCAACAACATTTGCACAAATTCAGGCCAACCTCTAATCAATGATGCAATCCTTTCTCCTCTAAAGAAAGCCTTTTGAGTGTTTAATGGCATAATGATGGCTGCTGTTGATAAGGCTCACTCTGGGAGGTATGGCATCGGGCTTTATAAATGCTGCTTTTATGCCTCTGCACTGCGATGCCAGGCAGGGGTGATTATCCTCTCGTGATTTTGAATGAGCTGTGATTGGAACACTGTAGCACACTTGCCCAGGGCAGCAGAGACCAGATTCACATCTAGGTCTTTTTGCTTCAATTCCCCGGCTACTGGGCCACACTTCTCTTGATCCTCAGGTGGAAACATGTATATACTGACAGAGGAGAAAAGGGATGGCAGCCTATGAGGTGACCCTGTGGTGTGAGCATGAAGGCACGCCCTTCTGGGATGGGGGCTGTGTTCCTTTCCAGACAAACCACACAGGATAAAAACTGCTCCTTAGGTAGCACAGGATTATTGAAGGCCCTGAGCCTGGGGCAGAGCCTGGGCTCTGACATTAGCTGTGCCTCCTTGAGAAAGAGCTCTGCGCCTGATATTTTTTATTTGTAGATTGGAAATGAAAGTGCTGGCCTATTTGTGGTCACAGTGCTCTGTGAGGGCTCAGATGAGTAAGGTGTCTGCTAAGCAGTTGTAGAAACCTGGAAGCCCTGAGTGATTTTTTTCACCTGCAACTCCCAACTTCTTCAGTATGCTGGGTGTGGAGCTGAGGAATCGCTGCCCGAATAGACAGGTCTGTGCGCTTAAGTAGCTGGGTGGGTTTCTGCTTACATAGCACTTTTACTGTGGGAGAGAAAAGTGGCCAGCTTCTCTCTGGCCTGGCACTGGTACACTTGCCTTGAGGTGGGGGTGCGTCTCTTGGAACCCGGTGTGGAAGCGGAGCCTCTTCCTCCTGGGTGGGCGTGGGGCCCCTTGGGCTCCAGCCAGGATGGAGGGCAGGGTCTGGGGGAAGTGGGAGGGGCTGGGCTCATCTGCTCCCGGGGGAGGCATCTGTCTCTGTGTCTATTGTGTTTGTGCTCCCGGGGTCAGAACACGCCTTCCAGGGTCTTATCAATGATGAGTGACACTGCAGGGCTGGCCGCTGCTGGGGAAGGTGAGCTATTGGAAAGAACAGGTGGGAAGGTGGGAATAAGGCTTCCAGGGCTGAACTGCCAAATTACGTTTCCTGAGCTGTCCTTGTTATTAAGGGCAAATGCAAAACGACGTGTATGAGGACGTGTGCTCCTGGGTGTTTTTATACATCACCCTTTCTTTTTCTAGCCCTAGATAGGATGATCAGATCCACCATGCACTCATGGAGCACTTAAATGCTCACCACTTCCTAACATTATAAATGACGGCCTCTATTTTAAGATGCAGACACTGAGGTTTAGAGGGATTAGAGAAATTGGACACAGGATTTGGGTTGGAACCTAGGGTCTTTGTTGTTTAGTGTTGTGCTGGGGCACCTGGCCTCCTCCTGCTAAGAGCAACCTGCCTGTGATGCTTATACACACCGTACTGGGTTGAAGAGCACCTCCCACTCCCCACAGAAATCTATGTCCACACAGAACCTCAGAACAACATCCTCCTAGTGTGTTGCAGATGTAATTCTTTACATTGAGATGAGGTCATGCTGGAGTAGAATGGGCACTTAACCCAGTATGACTGGTGTCCTTATAAGAAGAGAAGAGCCACAGAAACAGAGTCACACAGGGAAGAATGTCAAGGTGGAGGCTGAGATTGGAGCGATGCAGCCACAGCCATGGAAGGCCTGGAGCCACCAGGAGCTGGAAGAGGCAGGAAGGATCCTGCCCTGGAGCCTGTTAGGAGACTGTGGCCCTTCTGAAACCTTGACTATGGACTTCTGGCCTCCAGACCTGGGAGAGAATATATTTCTGTTGCTTTAAGCCACCCGAATGTGGGATGACTTGTTACAATAGCCCAGGAAGTGAACACACATGCTGAGCATTGTTTGGATTCAGCCTGTGAGCCGCCAGGCTTGCTGGGCTCCATCAGACACAGAATTCCCTTCCTCACAGCTGAAGCCCTGCAACAGCTGCTCTGGCCCAGCCCGAAGTTTATGTTAGGAGTTGTGGGGAATCCCTCATGCCTTGCCTGCTTGGCTACAGGGTCATAGATGAGTCCCACCTAAGTGCTCCTGCCTCTCCTCCATGGAGGGGAGGGAGCCTGCTGGCCTGAGGCTATCATAGGCACAGAGTCCATCCCAGGGCGCCCCTGCATGTACCAGTGAAGTGAACAAGCCTTGCAGATGCAGAGCCCTGGAGACCCACACCCAGCAGCTCTCCCTGCAGGGTGGCCCCAGGCCACAGCCTCCAGGAGAGAGAGACAGGAGAGCTGCATCTGGAGGCTGTGCCTGCGACATCTGGTGGAGTCTCACACAACCCATCCCAGGCTGGGCTGGACCCAGGTCACCAGCAGCCATGATTTAAAATCTGAGGACAACGGGCTGCAAAGAAGGGGTTACCACTGGCCTGGAAAGCCAGCTGGAGACCCCAATTTAGTTCTGAGCAAACATTCCCTAGCACAGTCCAATCTGGCTTCTCCAATGTCTCTTCATAATTGTGGTTTTAGGGAGAAAAGCAGAGAAATTTAGTGCCTTCTCATTGCAGACCAGCCCAGATATTAACCTTTTATGTATACACACACACACTTATTCTCCTTGCCTCCATCATACACACACACACAGACACATGCACTCACACACACATACATGCACACCCACACATACACACACAGGCATGCATGGCTGCACTTCCATCCTCTCTTCTTTTCAGCGCAATCACACTGCAGGTTTTGTGAAGTCCCCCTATTCAGCGTTTTTAGTTTGTGGTAATGTCACCCTCATTGACAGCTGAGCCTGTTCTCAGGCATCACTGGGTGCAGAAGTTAGCCGCCCGGTTCCTCCTTTGTAAAGTTGCCCACTTTCCCTCTTCATACGCTGTTCTTTGGAAGCAGCTCACTAAGTCTGGCTCCCCTAAAGCGGGAGATGGGAATTAAGCTCCCCCTCCTTGAGGGGGAAATGTCCACATGTGTTATTTTGTGCCCCCTGTTTTAAATTGTGCCATCTCCCACTCCCATCTTGGTTCCCACTTGCAGATGTCATCCTCAGCACTTAGCATCCATGGACAGGCAGCATGTGTGTGGGTTTTTCCCCTGTCTCTCCCCACCAGGACATCAACTCCAGCAGGGAGGGGGGTGGGATGGGCTGGCGGAGAGCTCAGAGGAGGTAGGGAGAGGCATTTACTGAAGTCTGTCTTTGCCAACTGTCAGATGTGAAGCACTGTGGGCAACCTGTGAAATATTAATAATTCTGAGCCCCTCCTGAAAAATTGGGATGAGAAGATCCGTCTTTTAGGGATATTGTGAGAGATTAATGAGAATGCAAATAAAGTGCTTTGAACCAACCAGGTTCTGATCTTTTTAAAAAAACTTTCCTTTTGTTTGTTTAGGGCAAAGCTGCTCTAGCATTATTTCTCAGAATGTGAACCCTCTGAAAGAAAGTATTCCCTCCTTCTCTCACTCCCTCCCTTCTTCCCTCCTTCCTTCCCTCGTTCCTTCCCTCCCTCCCTCCTTCCCTCCCTTCCTCCTTCCCTCCCTCCTTCCCTCCCTCCTTCCTTCCCTCCCTCTCTCCCTCCATCCCTCCCTCTGTCCCTCCCTCCTTCCCTTCCTTCCTTCCTTCCTTCTTCTCCTTCATCCTTCCATCTCTGCCTCCCTCCTCCTCCCTCTTGCCTTCCAGCCACCTCCATGCCGGGGCCAGGACAATGAGTACATCAAAGCCCTTGCCTTCATGCAGTCTTCATCCTGGTGACCTGCTCTATGATCCTCGCTTCTATTTTAGCTTTCTCTGCTTGCCCACATGAAATTAAAGTTACTTTCTTGCTGTTTGATTATTTGCAGACACTCTCCTTCATGGGGTTCTGCAGCACCCCAGAGATAGTCTACAAAGCCACTGAAGACTATGCAAAGAGGAAGCTGCTTCAGGAGGCAGCCTGGGTACAGAGAAGCTGCCCTGCCGAGGCTGGACAGCCCCCACATGGCGTGGGAGGGGGTGGCTCACTGCTTTATCCAGAGTGGCCTTCTTTCCATTTATTGTGGAATAATGAAGCCATGGAATCTCAAAGCTGAAAGAGCCTGTTAAGCTCTTCCAAAATCCAGGGTATGTGGGGCGGTGGTGTTCAGGCCCATCCAGGCGGTGCTGGAGCCCGCTCCAACCTGAGAGCCAATTGTTAAACTGTCAGGATTCTCTGTAGCCAGTTTTTACATACAGCCTTTATGAAAAGGTGAATTATGTACACTTACAATGAAATAAATCATATTAAAACAAAGGGAATAGTTACACAAAACTCATCACTTTCTATTTTACGATTGTTCATGGTCTATGCCGTTAAGGCTAATTTCATCCACTGTGTCTATGTCGTGGGGATACTCTGTAATGGTGGCTTCTGCATATTCCTTCCCCAGTTCACATTTGGTGACATCATACTGGCAGCCTGAGTGGGCATGCTCTCTACATGAGGATTTCTGTGTTTTCTGGAGAGCCTGTTGTTCAACATTTACCAACACCACTGTATCCATCTCCAAACTATGCATCAGAATTTCTGTGACTGGGCCTGGACTTTTGTACTTTCTCAGGAGATATTGATGTAGCCAACCAGGCAAAGTCTTCAGAGTGGGTTTGGAAAATGCTGACCATCCACTCATGCAGAGCTGGGGAGATGTTGGTCAAAAGATACAAACCTTCAGTTACATGTTCTGGGGACCTAATGCACAGCATGGTGACTGTGTTAATAATACTGTATTGTTGACTTGAAATTTGATAAGACAGCAGATCTTTAGTGTCTTCACTGCCTCATCCCCTCAACATGATGGTAATCATGGGTGGTGATAGATTTGTTAGTTAATTTGACTGTGGTAATCAATATACCTGTATATATCTAGATCGAAGCATCACATCGCACCTTGAACAGATGCAATTTTTGTCAATTAAATATTTTAAAATAAAAAAAGGGTTCCAGCACCGCATGAGTGGATGGGCTGGCCAGTGTCTTCCTATGGTTGCTGAGCAGTAGTGAGTTTCATGTCATTGGAGATATCCAAATACCGACTGGACATCAGTTAGCAGAAATCCCAGCTGTTTGTCCTATCTTTTCAGTTTGTTGCGAACAATATGGTACTGATTCTGTCAGCCAACTTATTACCTTTTATTCCTAGTTATAGGCCAACTGCCTCATAAACACCCATTAAAGTGTTTTATGGGATGAAACCTTTAAATAGCAACCCTTCTTGAGACATTCAGAATCAAATAGACGTATATTTATTGTGTAAAGCAATGCCTTTTTTGCAGAGAACAAGATTTAGTAAGAATCAACCATCTAAATTCTTCCCAGCTGACTACCAATTCAGGATGAAATCTTAAATGAACAATTCCTTAATAAGATCTTTATCATCCCAGATTATGTATTCTATTGCTCTTGATTTTTTAAAAACTTTTTTTAGTGTTTACTTTTTTTTTGTCTGAGACAGGGTCTCACCCTGTTGCCCAGGCTGCAGTGCAGTGGCACAATCTCTGCTCACCGCTACGTCCGTCTCCAGGGCTCAGGTGATCTTCCACCTCAGCCTCCCTAGTAGCTGGGACCACAGGCGCTCACCACCATACCTGACTAATATACGTATTTTTTTTTGTAGGGATGAGGTTTTTGCCATATTGCCCAGGCTGGTCTTGAACTCTTGGGCTCAAGTGATCCAGCTGCCTTGGCCTCCCAAAGTACTAGGATTACAGGGGTGATCCTAGTACTGCCCCCATCCTTGCTCTTGGTTTAATTCCTCTGAACGCACCTTTCTGGTCTTGGCAGGACATCACTGTTGACTCTCTTGCCTCCTCATGGGTTCATCTTCACTAGGGCCTCTCATCTTATTCCCTGGTTGGGGTCATACGTCCTATGATCTTGTTCTTTACAGCCACCTCCACCAATCATGCCCACATGGACCCACTCTCTGCTGAGTCCTTTTTCCCCAGAGCTCATGTGCTTTATGTCCCATCCTTAGAAATGCCCATATGAAGCGCGTGATTCCAAAACCCAAAGGAACTGCAGAATCTTTCCCTGCCAGGGCCAAGAGGATATAACTTTTGGAACTTTACCATGTTGACTGGAAAGTCCTTGAGTTACTAGGACATGAGATGGGGGTACAGCCACCATGGAGAGGGTAAGCCAGTGCTTCCTGTGTGGCTGAAAGTGTGTGTAGAAATGGGACGCTGCTTAGAATTGATGTCCACACTCTTCCTTTTGCTCAATGTGCCTTTCTTCCTCTTCTTGCAAGCTAACAACTGAGAAGCATTTGTTCAGCATTTAAAAATACATTTGAGCACGTACTACGCACTAAGGATTGCTCTGGGCACTGGGGATTCTCCACAAAACACACCAGTATCAGTCCCCACCTCTGCAGCTCGTACAGTGATTCTCTTTTGAGCCGATACCTGGGGGAGGTGGTGATCAGGGGAAAAACTGTTTCTGACATCGTCAGAATCTATAACATCCCCAACTTATATGTCCCTTCTATTGTGAGAGTTGTCCACGTTTGAGGATTGGGCCCAAAGCAGGCTGCCATCAGGACTTTTTTGGCAGTTTCTATAGAGGCTGAGACTTCACAGGTAGCTGGGCTTGGGTATAAATCCTTGACTTGCTCAAGTCAAGTTACTTAACTTCACAAAGACATGATTTCCCCAGAGTGGCAATGCTTCATGAAGTGGTTTGGGATTTTAATAATAAAATGAAGGTAACCAGATGATCATGCAGGTATGACTCGCTGTGGGCACTAAACCCATGATGGACCCACAGAGGGCAGACAGATCCCCAGGGGGCTGGTCCCTCCTAGTTCCTGAGGCTGGAAGCCTGACAGAGCCAGGGCTAGGGGTTTTAGACCAAGCTGGGAATTTGGCAGAGGCCAGAAGCAAGCTCCTAATGGTGGAAGTTTAGGCACAGTCATCTGCTCAGGGCTCATTTTAAGACAGAACAGACTTTGGCTTCATCAAAGTCAACTGCAAGGTCTTGGGACAAGTTCAGAGTAAGAGCCTACAGGGCTTTGATAAGATTTCAAAGCAGGCCGGGTGCGGTGGCTCATGCCCGTAACCCCAGCACTTTGGGAGTCCAAGGCGGGCGGATCACGAGGTCAGGAGATCAAGACCGTCCTGGCTAACACGGTGAAACCCCGTCTCTACTAAAAATACAAAAAATTAGCCGGGCGTGGTGGCGGGTGCCTGTGGTCCCAGCTACTCGGGAGGCTGAGGCAGGAGAATGGCATGAACCAGGGAGGCGGAGTTGCAGTGAGCCAAGATTGCGCCACTGCACTCCAGCCTGGGCGACAGAGCAAGACTCCTTTTCAAAAAAATAAATAAATAAGATTTCAAAGCAAACCTATTAGGCACACAGAAAACAAGTAGCAGAGGCTGTCCTGACTGGGTGGTGAGGAGGTCCTCTCTAAAGGTGGTGGGAACACAGACAGATGAAACTCTTCCGGATGATAAGTGGGGAGTATTTATGGTCATAGGCAATACAGATTGTCATATAGGTTGACCCAATAAATCTCCTTCTAAGAATCTACTATAAGAAATAACAGGCTGGGGGTGGTGGCTCATGCCTGTAATCCAAGCACTTGGGAGTCTGAGGTGGGCGGATCGCTTGAAGTCAGGAGTTCGAGACCAGCCTGGCCAATATGGTGAAACCCCATCTCTATTAAAAATACAAAAAATTAGCCAGATGTGGTGGCGGGTGCCTGTAGTCACAGCTACCTGGGAGGCTGAGGCAGGAGAATTGCTTGAGCCCAGGAGAAGGAGGTTGCAGCAAGCCGAGATTTTGCCACTACACTCCAGCATTGGTGACAAAATGAGATTCCATCTCAAAAAAAAAAAAAAGAAAAAAACAAACAAAAAGAAATAACAAAGTGTCCAGGATATGTGTGTAGTGATGTTCATTGTGACTATTAATAATATTTAAAACTAGGAGTGGCATGTGCCCGGTGCCGAGCAATGCATTTTAGGATATGTATGCGTGGGATTCTCCACAGCTGGGTGCAATGACAATGCAGAACTGTATGCTCCAGAAGGATAATGAGAAGATCGGCTCATCCCAAATCCAGTAAAATGTCAGATAAGTATAAATCCTCAATGTGGGAAACTGCATTGGGTAGAAGTTCTGATGAATTTCTGAGAGAGAGAGAAAGTGGAAAGGATATGATCCATAAAGAAGCAGGGTAGAGGACCGCACAGCTCAGACACTGCTGGAGGTAAAAGCCTCACACATAGAAGCCATTGGGAATTCTGAAGCCAGAGGCCATGGATATAGAAAGCGAGGAAACTCCTGAGTAGCCTCAAGAAGCTGATCTGGGTAGGTGGATCTAACACCCCAGGCTGAGAGCTCTTTACTTCCCACCACCTTCTGCTGAGCAGAGAGAAGCGAAGGAAGAGGATCATACGGTCAACAGGGCAGTACAGCAGTGAGGCCAGCCAGGCTGGGTAGAGCACCAGAAATCCCGGCAGCTGGGAGTGAGAGGAAGGTACCTTCTTCATCTCAACCACCTCCAGCACCTCCATCACAACCCCTGCTGTAGGCTAAGATAAACTCAACAGGGATGACAAGGATTCTTAAGCACAGAGAGGAGCAAATCAGCACCAGAAAAGGCAGGCACTGACTCAACAAATGGAAATGACTTTCAAGGAAACAGAGCACACAGAATGCAATTTTAGCACACACACAAGTACTGTAAGTAATACCTTCGTATATGGTGTGTGTAGCCTTTCCAATACATGGGAAATTTCGTTATGTTCAAAAATGATACTTGGATTCAATTGTGATACTTGGATATAATTTTGGGAAAAAATAGATCCCTCTTTTCTGTCATTAATGTTTCTGGAAGTTCTTTATAAGAAAGAAAGAAATATAAAAACTAAAACTGCAGTTTATATGCATATGACATTTGTGAAAGGTTTTTTTTTTTTCCCTTAAAAACCTTTGTCTTCCATTACCTCTCTGAATACAACATAATTTACTACGGAATATGTATTCCTATTGCAATGCTTTCTTCCCGAGTAAGTATCTTTTCTTTTAGAAAGTCTCTTTTTTATTTAGTCTCTGTTTATTATTTAGGTGGACACATTTTCAAAAAACTCACAAAACTTATTAAGGAAAAGTGAAGGTTTTGATTACATAAAAATATTTTTAAAATTATCTGTGATAAAGGTACTACAAACAAAGTTAAAAGACATTTAAAAAACTAGGAGAAAAAATATACAAAGATTTAGTGCCAGACTATAGAAAGAAGTTCTAGAATCACTGTAGAAGACTCACTACATAGGGGCAAGGATGTGAGGAGGTTATTCACAGCAGTGGAGATGCTCTGGCCAATGTAAACATCACCAGTATTCAGGGAAATACAAACTAAAACAGCCATGAGATAATACTTTTCACCTATTAGGCTGGCAAACATTAAAGTTTGTAATGATTTCAAATGTTAGCAGGTGTGGGAAAACAGCTGTTCCAATTTCAGGAGAACACATCAGTACAGCTATTTAGAGAACAAACTGGTGTATTTATCAAAATAAAGAGTGTGCCCATGCTTTGAGTCAGCAGTTCCACTTCTCTGTGTCTGCTCCAGAGAAAGGGATGTGAGCTGGAGCCCTGGGAAGATGTTGACGGCAGCATTGTTTACTGGAGCAGGGAACGGCAGCAGCCAGAAGGGGATGCATGAGTGTGAGGGCTGATGGGGAAGGGGCTCTATTCATTTTTATGTTGTTTGAATCTTTTGCAATGTATTTGGGGACTCCAAAAAACCATTGGAAAGTTGAGAATAATAGATTGCAAGATGAACTCATTTTTATGAAAACAATTATGGATGTACATATATAAATATATATAATGCATACTGTAAAGAAAAACATCAAAACATGAGTGGTGTGAAGTAGGATCATAGTGAAGGGGAATTATAGGTATTTTCAATGTTTCTTGGCTTTGGTTCTTTTGATTTTCTAATTTTCCTACACAAACATAGAAAATTTCTGTAATATATGTTTTAAAAGGTGTCATCATCACCCAGGGATTGCCCGAATGACCTGGGTTGTCTGCGGAATACCATGACCTTGGGAGCGGTGGGTTCTGGGCCCAGCCTGCTCCACAAGGGAAGGGTAAGGACTGGGCTTGAGAGATGGGAGCTTGTGGGATCCTGCCCATAACCTGACTCAGGATCCCTGCCCATAATTCTGGGATCTGGCCGTCCCCCTCCTCCTTTCACAGGGGCTCTGGGTGGGGAACAAGGGCTTGTGTGTGATGGGGACTCCCCTTCAGGTTCTGCCAAAGTCCATTGGAACTTTCCACATGGCTCTAAGGAGTCTATTAAGGACAGCAAAGGCCAAATGTGTTACCAGTGCCCCTTTCATCCTCCCTGTGAGGCAGGAAACTGAGGCTCAGGACCCAACTCCTTGCCTAACTGGCCGAGGCTGGAGGAAGCACAGGCCTCCCTGACCCCAGCCTTCCTGGAGATCAGAAACCACCATTGAAGCATCAATATTCTTTTTGGGGTTTTGAACTTAAAATATGACCAGTGTTATGGCTCCAGAAAACATCTCGAGAGCTTGAGCCCTCCGGGGCTTTTACGTGGACAGGCTGCATTAGAAATATTGGTGCTAGGATAATACATCCGCTTTTGTTTCCAGGATCAAAAATTACTGGAAACCAGAACCACATTCTAAGTGTCTGAGCCGGAACAGGAACTGATACCCCTATTAAACGGGTCACTGGGCACCACTGCTGTGAGAAGTGCTGGCCATCTGTGAAAATCTCGGTGGCTTCAGCAGCTAAGAAAAGAAAACCTTTAGGGATAAAAACTATAGAGAGCACATTTTTCTCATGAGCATTAGGGAAAATTAGAAGATACTGTGGCTGAATTAAAGTTGTGCCTGGGCCCTGGAGGTGTGGCCAACTGTGCTAAGCGTTGCTGATGAACATTCAGCTACTGTCAGCCCCGGAGTGCAGCTGCGGCATCAGCACATCCCGCTGAAAAACACAGGGCTGGGTGGACCAAAGGCCACTTCCGTGGTCCTTTGCCAAAAGGTGGAGCCCGAAAATTCCAGACCAAATGTAATGTCTTGACCTGGGAACTAATTTTGCAAACAGCAGCCAAAGTTTCCTAAAAGTGGAGGTTTTGGAAAGAAAGGCAGAGAGCGAGGGTCGGGGTGGGGGAGAGCCAAAGAAAGCAACCTGTTTAGTGTATGAGCAGTGAATAATGAGTTAAAGGATGGGGTCATTTCTGTAATCTTGATGAAGGGTCGGTCCTTGCCTCAAGTAACCACGGGGGTGGGGTTGCCCTTCCAACTCCACTCACACTGGTTGCTCAGTCACTGGGTGAGTCCCGCCCTTTCCTTCAGCTGCTCTGGATAACGGGTTGATAATTTTGTTCTACAGAGAGACTCAGCATGCTCCTCTAGCATCCCATCGTCTCTTCTGTGCATAAGCAGTGGAGACGCTAGGCACACACTTTCCTTCCCTTTGAAACCTTTCAGATATTTATATCCAATTTATGCAAATATTTACATCCCCCAATTCATAGTGAGAAGTGACCCAGAAAACAGGAGACATAAGAGCATGGTGGTTAGGGACATGGGCCAAACATTTGCAAGGGATCCGGGCAAGTGCCCTAGCCTCACTAGGCCTCTGCCTCCTAATCTGTAGAAAGGGACTATAGCTGAGGATGGGCACACCGCTGGAGCGATCACCCATGCAAAGCTGATGGAGCTGGGCTGTTTTTATAGTAATTATCATAGACTTTCCTCTTGATACAACTGTTGTACAAATTCCATTAGCCTTAATTTTTCAAATTTAAGAGCGATTAGGATTCAAGTAGTAATACTAGGATTCCTTCAAGACAAGGCAGTTCATGGCTGAACAAGGCAGTCCATGGCTGAACAGTGTGATAGTAAGCTGTTGTAGTCTGCTTATTTTATTTACAACCAGAGTAGTGGGTCAGGATGAAAGAGGGGATGTGGGGAGGGGACACTCAAAAGCGCAGGGCAGGAGAGAGATAGCCCCAGGGAACCGGGACTTGGCCAAGTCTCCCCAGGACCCAAGGCTGACCGCTGAGAGCCCAGGGGGCAAGAAGGGATGCTCACTGCCTCACACGAGCGGTGACCAGAGGCTGATGTTTAGACAATAACTTGGTAGTCCACCTCCTTCTCTCCCTCCCTCTGTGCCAGCCGCTGAGCTCGACACCAAGGTGCATGTGTACTCCCAGCATCTGAGTTCCCATCAGCGCGAAGTGGCTTATCTGAGAGGCAATGCCAGGAAGCAGCCAGAAGAGAATGGGGAAGTGAGCCTGGGGAGCAGAGGCAGAGAATCAAGGTGTGTGCTCCAGCAGGGGCCGCTGTGGACAACTTCAGCTCAGTCCTGGGAGGAACCCTGGAGAACCAGTGTGAGTGCACACACAGACACACATACACAGACACACACACAGAGACACACACGCAGATACACACACAAAGAGACACAGACACAAATAGACACACAGATACAGGCACACACACAGACACAGACACACATGCAGATACACAGAGAGACACAGACACAAATAGACACACAGATACTGACACACACACAGACACAGACACATACACAGAGACACACAGAGACACAGACACACATACACAGACACACAGACACAGATACACACACACAGACACACAGATACACACACAGAGACACACACACACACACACACCAGCACTGTTCCTCCTGGGGCAAGGGAGCTCAGGTCTGCACACACACTGGCAGAGTCTCTGGGTGAGGGGTGCTCCCGGCCTGTTGCTTGTGTGCACCTGCGTGTACATGCAGACCTGCTCTTCTGGGGAAAGCTTCCAGGCACGGAGAAGCAGGCTCTGCTGTGGAGGTGGGCAGGAGCCATCAGGACGGGCAGGAGGAATAAGGCAGGTGCCTCATCAAGGCCTCACTCTAACGGGCAAGAGGGAGAGGTGAACGCCAGAGGGTGAGTGGAGAGGTCCTAAAGAGACTGATGGTGAGTAGGGCCAGGAGCTTTCCTGAGGGAGGTGGCCAGGTGGGGACCCGGGGATGGAGAGGAGTCCGTGAGGGGTGGGGCAGCGCCCGGGGTAGGGGAACTGCAAATGCCTTGAGAGAGGATGAGGACATTTTCATCTTTCCTGAGCTTTTAAGGAGAGGCGTCACTGTCCCATCCATATTTTAAGATCCCTCTGGTCCCCAAGTGGAGCCTGAGATGGGAGGGGTCATGCAGGGTCTGGGCGGAATCGTGGTCTGGACTGGGACCACGGCTGAGGGGAGCGGCATGGGGTGGACTTGGGATGTATTTAGGAGTGACCTTGGCAGCTGCCTTGGCTGTGGGAGGTGACAGCGAGGAAGGCGCGGAGGGCAACCTCGAGTCCGCCCTAGCGACTGGCAGAAGGCACACACTGCCCTGAGACCCCCGACTCTGTCCTCCTCCGTCCTGGGCCTGCTCCTCCCATCACAGACACCCTCCCTGAACCCTCTCCCGCTCTCGGGCCCTCCAGGTGGCCCAGGGCGCCGGCGCCACTCTGTCTCCTTAAGGTGTCAGTTCTGTGCACAGGGTGACCCGGGCTCTGGGCGCCAGTCCTGATGGGGCCACACGTTTCTTGCTTCATCCCCAGCAAGCCCATGAGCTTGTCTTATTTTCGAAAGCAGTAAACAGTGACTCAGTGTCCAAGTAGTCAATGCCAAGCTCAGCAAAATAAAGTCTCAGTAAGATCAGAATTCCAACTTCCTGGAAATGCATCTCGGAGAAAGACCATCGCCGTGGCTCCGTCGTTCCTTCTAGCCCTCAAGACAGAGCCTGCTGCCCTGAGTTTATGCTTGCTGCTCACACAGATCTGCCTGGTTCTGCGGTGACAGAGCCCTCTGCTGTGGGTTCTCTGCCCCGCCTGCAGCTCTGCTGTGGGCCAGCTGTGATTCGTTTTGTGAGCAAAAGTTCCCTGAAAAACAAAATTGGGAGGAAAGAGACTTCATCCCAGTGAACAGTTTGCAAACTGGGGAGACACAGCCTTTGGTGTAAAAGAAAGTTATCTTCCCGGGGCTAAAGAGAGGGTTTGGGTTTTGTAGCAAAGGTCCCACACAAGATCCCAATCGGGTCGGTTGATGCACATAAAGGAGTCAAACTTGCTTAGTTCTGATTGGTCAATGCAGCTGAGTTCTGATTGGATACAGGTGAGCCGTGATTGGTCAGCCAAACTTTGATTGCAAAGGTAGGTGAGCTCTGATTGGTTGGTTCAGGTAAGCTCTGAGAGTCCCAAAGCTAAAAAGGTGCTGGTTTTCAGAGTGCTTGTGTGAGTTACCTGTGTGACCTCTAATCAGCAAATAGCCACTCAGCTATATTTTAAATATAGGGCCAGTTACCCACATGGGACTCATCTTAAAGGATTGGCTCTTCCAGTTTTGCATTTTTTTTTTATTATACTTTAAGTTTTAGGGTACATGTGCACATTGTGCAGGTTAGTTACATATGTATACATGTGCCATGCTGGTGCGCTGCACCCACTAACTCGTCATCTAGCATTAGGTATATCTCCCAATGCTATCCCTCCCCCCTCCCCCAACCCCACCACAGTCCCCATGTGGAGAAATAGGAACACTTTTACACTGTTGGTGGGACTGTAAACTAGTTCAACCATTGTGGAAGTCAGTGTGGCGATTCCTCAGGGATCTAGAACTAGAAATACCATTTGACCCAGCCATCCCATTACTGGGCATATACCCAAATGACTATAAATCATGCTGCTATAAAGACACATGCACAGTATGTTTATTGCGGCATTATTCACAATAGCAAAGACTTGGAACTAACCCAAATGTCCAACAATGATAGACTGGATTAAGAAAATGTGGCACATATACACCATGGAATACTATGCAGCCATAAAAAATGATGAGTTCATGTCATTTGTAGGGACATGGATGAAATTGGAAATCATCATTCTCAGTAAACTATCGCAAGAACAAAAAACCAAACACCGCATATTCTCACTCATAGGTGGGAATTGAACAATGAGATCACATGGACACAGGAAGGGGAATATCACACTCCAGTTTTGCATTTGTTCACAATTTTCACAAAGGTGTCACAGTGGGGACAGCAGGGACTAGTCCAATTGTGTCCAAATGCTGATTCTGCCATGTGCTATCTGAGGTCTTGGGCACGGTCCTCATCCTGTCTGCTCTCCAGTTTCCTTCCCTGTATCTACCTAATCGGTTGCAGGAATGATCAAATGAGGTGCTGGGAAGCGTCATTAGCTGTTGCTGCTGCGGGAATTTGGCTGTTTCAGCTTCAGTTGCTGCAGCTGGTGGAGAGTGAGCTAATTAGCCTGAGCAGGGAGGAGTAGATGGTTTTTAAGAGAAAAGTCAACATTTCTCTCTGCTCTTTTTACCCCTTCTTCACAGAGCTTTTTTTACCTGAGCACATGGTTCTTGGGTGGCATCTGTGGTTTTGGCTCCAATAATTCTTTGGGTATTTAGGTCATGGCTTGGCAAATTATGATCCTTGGGACAAATCTGGCTAGCCACCTGTTTTTGCATGACCCATGGATTTTACATTTTTAGGCGGCTGGGAAGACTAATATTGCAAAACACCCCAAAATTATATGAAATTCAAAGTTCAGTGTGTATAATAAAGTTTTACTGGAACACAGTGACACAATTTGTTTATATATTGCCTATGGCTACTTTGAAGCTACAGCAGCAAGTTAACCAGTTGCAGCAGAGACTGGGTGGCCCCCACAGCCTGAAATGTTTGCTGTCTGCTCTTCACACAAGAAGTTTGCTCACCTGGTTCAGACTGTGAACTACCCTGCAAAGATATTAGGTCAAGCCCAAGGGTCAAGAAGGGTGCAGGCTGGCCCCTGTGTCTATTTCACTATCAGGGCCCTTCTGTGATTCCTCAGACATTTCCGTCCACAACCAGATGTAGGAAAATGTATGGACACTGGGGAGGGAGGGTGCTGAAGAGGAGAGGCTGGGGAGAGAGCACGTGTGTGTGTGAGTAGGCACCACAGAATGATGCTGGCAAATCCTAGGGCTGGTGGCCTGATGGGAACCAAGGCTCCTCTCTGCCCTCTCCAGCCAGGTGCAAATGTTTACCCGGTGGCTCCTAAGGAATGATGGGGACAAAACTTAAGTCATTGAGCTTTTTCTGACAAGCATAATGCCACATACATCTTGAATTCATCACGATTTTATTTTTAGATGTTTTCCTCACTACTTTCACTAAAGCCTCAGAGTCAAGAAAAATTCCAGGGGTCCTTTGCTGGTTGGTGAATTGAGGAGTGTCCCTGCAGTGGCATGGTGCCTGGTGATATGAGCCGGGTGGCAAGGGCAGTGAAAGTGTGACAGTTCTCCCCCAGCTCTGCTGAGGGCAGCATCCCAGAACTGGCCAGGCAGGGGGCCCAGGTTGCCTGGGCTCTGCCTCTCCTCTTCCTCCCTCAGACCTTCTGCTTCCCTTAGATGTCCTGTCAGCCTACTGTCCTGCCAGTCCTCTGAGCAGTGCCTCATGGACCCCACTTCTATCATCCACTTCCTCCCACCAGTGGATCCATCTGGTTGATGGAAAGAACCAGTGCAGGGACCTCACGTACATGAGTGAGCAAGTGCTGTAAACCCTTCAATAATTTGTACTTCAAAAGATGCTTGTTGGCCGGACATGGTGGCTCAAGTCTATAATCCCAGCATTTTGAGAGCCCGAGGCAGGCAGATCACTTGAGCCCAGGAATTCAAGACCAGCCTGAGCAAATGGCTGGTCTCTACAAAAAAACTCTACAAAAACATCTCTACAAAAAATTAAAAAATTAGCCAGCCATGATGGTTCATGTCTATAGTCCCAGCTACTCAGGAGGCTGAGGTGGGGGGATCTCTCAAGCCCAGGAGGTGGATGTTGCAGTGAACTGAGATAGCGCCACTGCACTCCAGCCTGAGTGACACAGGGAAGCCCCCCCAGCAAAGAAAAATATAAGATGTGTTGTTTTCCTAAAGGATTTTTTAAAGGCAAAAGCAAAGTCAATGCTCACTTCTATTGATTGATTGAAGTACAGTTGATCCTTGAACAACATGGGTCCATTTTAGACATTTTAAACTGTACAGTTCAGTGGCATTAAGTACGTTCGAACTATCACCACCATCCACTTCCAGAACCTTCTTTCTTTCCAAACTGAAACTCTACACCCATCAAACAACAACTCTCTATTCCCCTTTCCCCAAACACCAATTGTTTTTTAAGATTTATTCTTGTTGACAATGCATGAATAGCATGTTTATTTTAATCAATGTGTAGCATTCCAGTATATGAATATGTCATACTTTATCTATTTTGCTATTGGTGGATATTTAGGTCATTTCAGTTTTTACTTGTTGCAAATGGTGCTTTAAAAAAAACCACACCATGTATATTTCCTATTGTGCATGCATTTCAGAGATTGATACCTAGATTTTCTACAATAAAGTTTGCTGAGTCATGGGACAAGCTCAATTTTTAATATTATCTGATATTACCAGCTAGCTCTTCAAAGATGTCTCATCAGCAGTGTATACGAATTCACAATTTCCTAGCACACTTTCAACACTTGTTAGTGTAGGATTTGTTAGATTTTTCTTTCTTAAGAATTGAACATTTGGCAGGGTGTGGTGGCTCACACCTATAATCCCAACCTTTGGGAGGCCAAGGCAGGTGGATGAGCTGAGGTCAGGAGTTCAAGACCAGCTTGGCCAACATGGTGAAACCCCATCTCTATAAAAATACAAAAATTAGCTGGGCATGATGGCAGGTGCCTGTAATCCCAGCTCTTGGGGCAGCTGAGGTGGGAGAATCACTTGAACCTGGGAGGAGGAGGTTGCAGTGAGTTGAGATCATGCCATTGCACTCCAGCCTGGGTGACAAAGTGAGACTCTGTCTCAAAAAAAAAAAAAAAAGAATTGAACATATGATATTGTTATAGTGGATAGCTAGTCAAACACAAACAGGGCAGGAGAGGACGTCCACTTCCCCACCAGGAATGCCAGGTGACCATCAGGTGATGGTCAGGTGGTTGTAACACTCCCTCTCTAAAATAATAATTGGTCGCATCCAGTGCTAGGGAAAGGCAGTTTCCCAATAGATAAAAACACCTGTAACTGGTGATTGGCAGCCTCCTAATAAGATCTTAGGAACTGGACGAGTGGGCTCAGGCATGCGGATTAAGAGGCAAAATGAAAAAAAAGCAGGGTTGCAATCCTAGTCTCTGTCAAAACAGACTTTAAACCAACAAAAATAAAAAAAGACAAAGAAGGGCATTACATAATGGTAAAGGGAACAATTAAACAAGAGCTAACTATTCTAACTATATCTGCACCCAATACAGGAGCACCCAGATTCATAAAACAAGTTCTTAGAGACGTACAAAGAAACTTAGACTCCCACACAATAATAGTGGGAGACTTTAACACCCCACTGTCAATATTAGACAGATCAATGAGACAGAAAATTAACAAGGATATTCAGGACTTAAACTCAGCACTCTGGATCAAGTGGACCTAATAGACATCTACAGAACTCTTCACCCCAAATCAACAGAACACACATTCTTCTCAGTGCCACATGGTACTTATTCTAAAATTGGATCACATAATTGGAAATAAAACACTCCTCAACAAGTGAAAAAGAACTGAAATCATAACAATCTCTCAGATCACAGTGCAATCAAATTAGAACTCAGGATTAAGAAAGTCACTCAAAACTACACAATTTCATGGAAATTGAACAACCTGCTCCTGAATGACTTCTGGGCAAATAATGAAATTAAGGCAGAAATCAAGGAGTTCTTTGAAAGCAATGAAAACAAAGAGACAATGTACCAGAATCTCTGGGACACAGCTAAAGCAGTGTGAAGAGGGAAATTTATAGCACTAAATGCCCACATCAGAAAGCTAGAAAGATCTCAAATCAGCATCCTAACATCACAATTAAAAGAGGTAGAGAGGCAAGAGGAAACTAATCCAAAATTCTCTGAGCTAATTTAGCTCAGAGAAGAAGGAGATAGAGACAGGAAAAACCCTCCAAAAATCAATGAATCCAGGAGCTATTCTTTTGAAAAAATTAACAATATAGACCGCTAGCTAGGCTAATAAGAAGAGAGAGAAGAATCAAATAGACACAATGAAAAATGATAAAGGGAATATCACCACTAACCCCACAGAAATACAAACTACCATCAGAGACTACCATAAACACATCTATGCAAATAAACTGGAAAATCTAGAAGAAATGGATACATTCCTGGACACATACACCCTACCAAGACTAAACCAGGAAGAAGTCGAATCCCTGAAAAGACCAGTAACGAGCTCTGAAATTGAGGCAGTAATTGGTAGCCTACCAACCCAGGACCAGACAGATTCACAGCTAAATTATATCAGAAATAGGTGAGGAACTGGTACCATTCCTTCTAAAACTATTCCAAACAATTGAAAAGGAAGGACTCCTCCCTAACTCATTTTATGAAGCCAGTATTGTCCTGATACCAAAACTGGAAAGAGACACGACAAAAAAAGAAAACTTCAGGCCAATATCCCTGATGAACATTGATGTGGAAATTCTCAATAAAATACTGGCAAACAAAATATGGCAGCACATCAAAAATCTTATCCACCACAATCAAGTTGGCTTCATCCCTGGGATGCAAGGCTAGTTCAACATATGCAAATCAATAAATGTAATCCATCACATAAACAGAACCAACGACAAAAACCACATGATTATCTCAATAGATTCAGAAAAAGCTCAGCCTTTGATAAAATTCAACATCCCTTCATGTTAAAAACTCTCAATAAACTAAGTATTGGTAGAACATATCTCAAAATAATCAACCCACAGCCAATATCATATTGAATAGGGAAAAGCTGGAAGCATTCCCTTTGAAAGCCTATACAAGACAAAGATGCCCTGTTTCACCACTTTTATTCAACATAGTATTGGAAGTTCTGGCCAGGGCAATCAGGCGAGAGAAAGAAATAACGGGTATTCAGATAGGAAGAGAGGAAGTCAAATTGTCTCTGTTTGCAGACAACATGATTCTATATTTAGAAAATCCCATCATCTCAGCCCCAAAACTCCTTAAGCTGATGAGCAACTTCAGCAAAGTCTCAGGATACAAAATCAATGTGCAAAAATCACAAACATTCCGAGCCAAGTCATAAATGAACTCCCATTCACAACTGCTACAAAGGGAATAAAATACCGAGGAATACAGCTAACAAGAAATGTGAAGGACCTCTTCAAGGAGAACTACAAACCACTGCTCAAGGAAATAAGAGAGGACACAAACAAATGGAAAAACATTCCATCCTTTTGGGTAGGAAGAATCAATATTGTGAAAATGGCCACACTGCCCAAAGTAATTTATAGATTCAGTGCTATTCCCCTCAAACTACCATTGACATTCTTCACATAATTAGAAAAAACTACTTTCCATTTCATATGAAATCAAAGAAGACCCTGTATAGCCAAGACAATCCTAAGCAAAAAGAACAAAGCTGGAGGCATCACGCTACCTGACTTCAAACTACACTACAAGGCTACAGTAACCAAAACAGCATGGTACTGGTACCAAAACAGACATATAGACCAATAGAACAGAGACCTCAGAAATAACACCATGCATCTACAACCATCTGGTCTTTGACAAACCAGACAAAATCAAGCAATGGAGAAAGGATCTCCTATTCAACAAATGCTGCTGGGAAAACTTGCTGGCCATATGCAGAAAACTGAAACTGGAGCCCTTCCTTGCAGCTTATGCAGAAATTAACTCAAGATGGATTAAAGACTTAAATGTAAAACCCCAAACCATAAAAACCCTAGAAAGTGATTCAGTGCAGCTCCAAAGCTCCCTGAAGCTTAGGCCCACAGACAATACAATTTTGTCCTAAGTCTATTAAAGTTTGACCACAGGACTCCACACTCAATTCCCTGCTTGTCACAGTCTGTGCTCTGAATTTTACATACGGTTGCTTCTTATGTTGGGATTTTAATTATAATGTCTTTGCTAGAGAACTTGCAAGAAGAAAGATGAAAATAAGATGTTGTCTTGACAACAAGGACACTGGGGCCTGACAGTGTTTTCCATGGAATCTGTAAAATTCATTCTGTGCACTTTCCACACATAACCCTTGGTGGAGATGCTCCATGCATGGAGTGTCATGGGAGAGGTTATATAACCCGGTATTAGCACCATTCCTAGCCAAATATAGCCTTCCCCACTTATTTTATTTTTAACTCTTTGAACAATGACTTCATATTCATAAGGCAAATAATAAGATTTTCTGTAGGTGGCAAATCTGGAGAAAACATGTTTTTTCCTAGACCCGAGAGGGAAACACGCTGTCC
The DNA here is from genome assembly GCF_000001405.40 of Homo sapiens. NCBI lineage: Eukaryota > Metazoa > Chordata > Mammalia > Primates > Hominidae > Homo > Homo sapiens. The sequence continues at coordinate 23,236,798 of NC_000020.11, read as the reverse complement.
CAACCCCAGGCATCCTGGAAATGCAGCCTAGCCACCTCCCTCACTTCTACCTCTGTCAGCTTCCTCCTGACAGTGGCATAAAAGTGCCAGAAACTTATTTTTGCATCAAAACAAAGCTCAGCTATGGCATATAAGGCCGATGTTCTTGGTCTGGCATGTCCTTGTGTCTCTCTGTACTCTGTAGTTGACATGGCCAGATGTGTTTTTCTGAAACAGTGTCTTTTGGAAGTTTACCTGGAATCCTGCTCTTTTGCCTAGGAGACACTCAGGAAGGGACTTCAGGCTTGCAGAAATGTTTGGCCCTAAAAGGACAGTTCCACCTTTCTCTCCTGGACTTATTGCAGGTCAATTAATTGACACTGTCACTGGAAGGCCATACCTCTTTCAATGGACTATGTATTACTCAATCGAGTCTAGGCTTACCTGCACTGCTAGGTAAAAAGTGTAGAAAGATTAAACTTGTTCATCAGTTTCTCACAATATTCTGTCAACTGAATGTATGCATGTAGTCGTTAAGGATTTAAAAAGGTATGCGGACTGAAAAAATATTACTATAAAGTACACTGTAGGGACAACTGATAAAATTTAAATGGATACTGTGGATTAGATAACAGTATTGCATCAATGTAAAATGTTCTGATTTTGGTAATAATACTATAGGTATGTGTATAAGAAATTGTCTGTATTTTTAGAAATCATACTGAAGTAATCATCAGTAAATTAGGGAATATTTCTCCAACTTAACTCTCAAATAGCCAAGGAAAAGTCTGTCTTTTTCTCTCTTGCTTTCATTGCAAATGGAGAAATAGGTAATTAATTGGTGAATCTGGGAAAATGGCAAAACAGAGATCCTTGTACTATTTTTTGCAATTTTTTTAAGCTTAAAATTATATTGAAGTAAAAAGTTAACCAAAACCAGATGTGTTTTGGAGAAAGCAACTATAAGGTGTGTGTATAACCAGGATGGCCTGCTCCAAGTGGAGCGTAAACGCAATCCTGCTGTTTATTTTTCAGCCACTAAAATTTTATTGTCCTTATGCGTCTTAATGCCTTAAAGGCAGGAAGGACAACATCCCTTCCTTGAGCCACCATAGGGCTTATAAACAGAAGAGGGTCAGTCTTCACACCTAAGTGGGGAAAAACCTGCACCTACTCCATTACTACCATTCCTTCTTCCTGCCACACGGTGTCGCTGTTGGAGACGGAGCGCACAGATTCAGCAGTGCTGTGCTGGCCCAGGGCCGGGCAAATGAAGCCTTGGGTTTGCATGGAAGCTAACATGGAAGCTGTGGGCTGTAGAATGGGGAGGGAGACTGACGCCCTTGTGGGAAATAGTGGCAAGGCTTCAAGTTGTTGGAATAGCTTTGACCTTGATGGAGGGGTAGGTTTATTTAGGAAGAGAGGAATAGGGAGCAGCACACAGAGGTCCCTGCTGTGTACAGAGCAGTAGGTTGAAAATGAACCCAGTGTGTGATGGTCAGGAGCAGAGTTCTTACAGACAGGACAAGGGGCTGCTTCTTAGAGTCTTTGGTAGTTTGGGTTCCTGGAGCTGTTTTCTTGTTTGTAAGCTGTGCCCTGGCAGGTACTTGATAATATGCAAGGAATGAAAGATTTTGCAGCAGCTAGGTGTTTACCATAGCATATGGCAGAACTGGCTGCAATCTTTCACCACTCTCTATATCTTGACCTTTGCAATATGACTTGGCAGCTCCACTGACTTACTCCCCACTAGAACCTGAGCTGACCTCATGACTTGTTTCAGCCAGTGGAATGAGGTAGAAGGGGTTCTGGGTCAATTCTGAGACTGCACCTCAATATGCCTTGAGTGCTTTTGCCTCGTTTCTTGGAACCATGTCCAGCTTCCATGTAAACAAGCCCCTCCTAGCCTGCTGGAGGGTGAGAGGCCACAAAAGCAGAGATGAGCTGTCTGAGCTGAGGCCATCCTCAACCAGCCAGCCCTCAGCTGGCCCAACAGCTGCTGCCTATGCATGAGTCAGCCAAGCTCGGATTGAAAAATGCCCAAATTGTGAGAGGGATGCATGGTTTTGGTGCTTAACCTTGAACAAAATGCCAAATAACAGACCTCACCCCCCTCTACAGAGAAAGATGTCCACTTCCTAATCCCCAGAATCTGTGAATATGTCACCTTCCATAGGAAAAGGGCCTTTGTGAATGTGATGAAGTTAAGGGTCTTGAAATGGGGAGAGAGCATCCCAGACTATCCAGGTTGGCCCAATGCAATCACAAAGGCCTTGTTAGAGGGACATGTGGAGGTCAGACAGAAGACAAGTTATGGCAACAGACAGAGACTGGAATGATGCAGCCCACGAATGCCAGAGGCCTCTAGCAGCTGATAAGGCAAAGATCAGATTCTCCCTGCAGCCCCTAGAAGAAGCCAGCCCTGCAGATGCTTCAATTTTAGCCCAGGAAGACTCACTTTGGACTTCTGGCTCACAGAACTGTAAGAGAATAAATGTGTAGCTTTTTTTTTTTTTTTTTTGAGATGGAGTTTCTCTCTTGTCGCCCAGGCTGGAGTGCAATGGTGCAATCTCTGCTCACTGCAACCTCCGCCTCCTGGGTTCAGGTTTGACTGATTCTCCTGCCTCGGCCTCCCAAGTAGCTGGGATTACAGGTGTATGCCACCACGCCCAGATAATTTTTTGTATTTTTAGTAGAGATGGGGTTTTACCATGTTGACCAGGCTGGTCTCGAACTCCTGACTTCAGGTGATCCAACTGCCTCGGCCTCCCAAAGTGCTGGGATTACAGGCATGAGCCACCGCACCTGGCCAAATGTGTGGCATTTTAAGTCATTAAATTTGTGGTAGTTTGTTACAGGGGCAATAGGAAATGTGGTGGCTTGTTAGGCAGTAAAAACTGACTGATAGCCTTGTGGAAGCCTTAAGACAAGAAAGAGAAAAGGGTGGTGCTAACACAGATGAGAAGGGTATGTGCTTAGAGGCACCAATAAGTAATGCTTTAGCAGATATTTTGAGGAAAATGTTTTTCAGGATACCTGCTTTAAAAAAATATATAAGAGACATTCATTTACTGGTGAATCTCTTGGTTAACAAGCATCTATGTATTATGTGCTGGATGGAGGAAGAAGACTCAAAGACAAATGAAACTTTTTCCATGCCCTTATGAAACTCATGATTGCCCCACTCAGAGCTTGTCCTTTATGAAGTTGGGCCGGATGCAGGGGCTTGTCCTTAAAGGAGCCTCACAGCACTTCCTGATGAGCCTGGCCTCCCCTCCTCACCCCTCACCTCTCCTCGCACACTCTGGCTCCCTTTACGCCAGCCTCTCTGTTCCTCGATCCTTGGTGCATTTTTCTCTCCTTTTTTGTCTCTGTCCCTCTATCCTTGGTGCATTTTTCTCTCCTTTTTTATGTGATGAACAGTAGAGGCCCAAGTTTTCCATCCGCACCTTCCCCCAAGCTGAGCCTTAGTCTCTCGCCCTTGGCTTGGCACACGCATGACAACTCCTTGCAAAAGGACTCCTTTATTCGAACGGGTCGCCAGGACCACCCCAGCCTCTTCTGAAGATGTGTCCCCCGCAAAGCCCTGCCCCAGCCTGCCCTCACTTCCTACACAAAGGCCTGGACAGCAGTCACAGCTGGGGTTGGGCCCCAACATGATCCACGTGGTCTGAGACATTCTCTGATAGCCTCATGAGCAAAGTGCCACGGGGACGTGGAGAGGGCGGGGATGTCTTCTTCCCAGGGCCAGGGAAAGCTTCTCCCGAGAGGGCACAGAGAAAGCTTTTTTACAGCAGGTAGCTGGGACAGGGAAGGGCTTCCACCTACAGGTAAAGCAGGGCAGAGGTGCAAAGGCACAGAATGACACAGTATCAAAGGGCAAGCCTCAAAAGCTAACATATGATTCCCCCACAAATATTTTGGTATCAAATATTTACTTAGTTCATTAGTGAGAGAACTAAAATGATAAAGCTGGTTCAAAGGACTGGAAAAACTGACAGTGCATATCAGAATGAGAGAGTCCAATGATAAAGTCAGATACGCGACTGATTAATGTCCTGTAGGACAATGGAACCACTATCTTTCAGGTTATTTACTCTGCCAGCAGAAAGGGTTGCAATGTATCAATATTCAACAAGTTAACATCCAACTTCATAGAGTCTGGTCCTTAACCAACAAACAATTTAATTTTTTAGTGCGATGTCACCCTAAAACTCAGCAGCCTAAACCAGCACACATTTCTTGTGTTGCACAGTTTCTGAGGGTCTCTATGAGGTTTCGGTCAGGCTGTGAGCCTGGGCTGCAGTCTTCAGAAGGTGCTTCACAATCCGCTTCCAGGCTTACTCAGGTGGCTCTTGGCAGAGGCTCCAGATCTTCTCTGCGTGAAGGGGGCCTCTCTGTACGGCTGGTCACAAAACCTGGTGGCTCCTTCCCCCAGGGAGTGATGAAAAGGGACATGGGGAGGGAGGGGAAGGGGGAGGAGTCAAGATGAAAGCCACAGTCTTTTTATAACCTAATCTCAGAAGTGGCAGCTCATCACTTCCTTTGTGTTCTGTTCTCTAGGTGTGAGTCTCTAGGCCTAGCCCACTCAAGGGGAGGGAAACTAAGTTCTACCCTTTGGGGAAGGATTATCAGAGTGTGTGGACATTTCTTAAAAACCACCATATTACCTCCCCTAGGAAATCTGGTCACTCTCAGGCAGGCCTACTTGGCAGCCAATGCTCTGGTGTGGCTGTCAGAGGGTCACATAGTAATCTTTTGACTCATCCCCATGTTTTGGGTAATTCTTCATAACAAAGGCATATTTAGTGACACCAGGTCATCCAGCAGGATTGGGCAGAATAGGAGAAGAGACAGGCTAAAAGGACAAGCTGGCAGGGTGGGAACGGGCCTGGAATACTGGAATATCTTGTCACATGGGGACACTCTCCTGTGGCCTTAGTGTGGGCTCCGGGGCTGGTTGGGAGTTGGCACGGGAGGCCAGGTGGAGACCTTGGCTTTGGAACCTGCAGGAAGGCTGTGGGGCAAAGGGAACAGGGAGCTTTTGAAGGAAATGCTGGGGTGGGAATCGGCCAGGCCTGGGGCTGACTCACAGCCCTACTGAGCATCACAGAGCGAGCAGAGGAGAGACAGGAGGGCAGAGGTGGAGGCACTGTGTGGAGCAGGGAGAAGACTGGTGCATCGCAGTGCCCCCCAAGACCTCCATTTCTGCATGCAGGGTAAAGGTGTGGGATTTTGAAGGGGAGCTGAGAAGAGTGTTTGGCAGGTGACTGAACAAATGCCAGGTGGCCCGGGCTATGAGTTGGCCAATGTCTTGGGTGTGGGACTCTTAGAGCAAGCCTGGATCCCTCCTCTCTTTGGGGAGCTGGAAGAGCAGGCTCCTTCTGGGACAGAGGAGTAACAGAAGCCCTAGTGACTGGAGGGCAGCTCTGCCCAGCAGCTGGGAACTAGTAACAGGCAACGCGCCTGTCAAGACCAAAAGATATGGAATTAAAAACACACCAAGAGCTTGCAGGCAGTGGGGCCAGGCAGCAGGAAATTCTGTCTCCTATATAAGGTGGAGTTGCTTCCTGTGGGGGCTAGACGAGTGCTTCCGCCTAAGCACATGCTGGAGCAGGTGGCTCGGATGCAGGGAGCGCAGGTGGATACGCAGTGCCATGGTGCCTTGCATCCAGCTGGTGGAAGTCTCACTCCCCAGCTCTGGGACATGCCCGTCCAGAAAACACAGTGACAATGACTGATACCACACGTAGCGCAGCCTTAGTATTTGGAAGAACAAGAAATACTTGCAGTCTGCACACACCACACCTTGTGGTACCACTGGACAGGAGGTCGTGTCCATTGGACTTGATGACATGTGTTTATGTGGTCACCCTGAAAGCAGACTCAAGACACGGTGTTGGGGGTGGGCGGCGCACCTGCGAGGTGATCCCAAAACGCAGGTGTGAGGAGGTGGGGAAGTGAGATGGGAGGGGAGGAACATCTGACATGGGAGGGGGTTCTTATGAGCAGGGCTGGGCAATCCTGCCTCAGAGCTGTCTGGCAGCAGGGACAGGGAGCCAGGGCCCCTCTTCGCCATCAGTTATTTACCACTTCACTCATTCATCTCCCTGAACCACATGCCCGCCCGGGGCCAGCACTATTAGGTACACGTTCCTGTTTGTTCTGCTTCACTTTATTCATTAACAAAGTATTTATTCTTTTCTCACTGCCCTGATGTCTAAAAGTGTTGTTCTCTCTGAGTTAGATTGTAAATTTTCAGGGTTTTTTTCTTGCTTTCTTTCTGCCACTCCATCATTTCATTGTTAATTTTCTGGACAATTAAAACTATCATGAAAAATATATGCACCTCAGATGTGAACTCACTTGTCCAATGGTGTGTGGAGGCATCCTCCTGTGATGTCTACACTGGCAGGGGAGGATGAGAGGGAGACAGAGGTGAGAAGAGGGAGCAGGAGGCAGCTTCCTCCAGAGACACCCAGAGCAAGAATACTCCCTGATTTGACCATGGAAATCCCTTTTTCCCTCTCACTCAGTGACAGGTACTTGTCTGCTCTGGCTGTTGTCTGAGGATCTAACTTGGGTGTGGTTTCCACATTGGTCCTTTTTGTCAAAGTGCATCCTCCATATGTGTTTGGGCAGAGCAGGAGCAAGTGAGAAGAGGCAGGCCAGATGCCAGGTGGAATGGAAGCTGGAGGGCAGAGGTGGGCATGACTGGGCTGCTGGGTGGGTGGGGGCTGTGGACGGCGGAGAGTCTGGCATTGCAGTGTGGCTCCTCAGGGCCACCAGTCGGTGGAACCATCTGGGCCTCTGAGATCCCCAAAAATCTAAAAACTCATCCCCAATATATGAATGCATTATATATGTCTATGGACACACACATATTCTATCTTTATGACACTGACATAGTATATTATCTGGAAAATAAAATATACATTAACATAAAAAAGATAAAAATAAAACAAAGATGAAATAAACAATATTTAAAATATTTTCTTATTATGGACACGATCTTTTTTATTTTTGAACTAAAGTGGTATTAGAAGGATTACTAACACTATCGGACATGCTCCATCGATTTCATAAACTTTGGTTTATAATTTCTGAGGCAGCAATTCAACCTTCTCAGTTTGGGCTGCTTTGGGAGGACCCCTCTCAACACACCAGGTTCCCAGGGATCCAGCGAGTGCACAGAGCTGCCTAAATCACAGCACTCATGTTTTCAACTCCATTCACCAATCATGCAAAGGCTTGTGTTGAAATGTGGCTAAAACTTATTTTTTTATCTCAGTTTTTCTTACAAGGTATTTGCATTTTTATAATTTTTAGGCAAATAGCTTCAAAATCCACTAAAACACTTTGGAAGATTTTTAAACAGGTTAGAAAATTCCATTTGCAAGTGTTTTCAATGTATGAGATATGAAGTTTTTAAAAATAAATGACATGCGTATGTTATTTTTGGTAACAAAATCACATAAGGAGGGAAAAGTTCCATGCATCATTTTTCTATCTCTCTGTAGGGTAAGTTTCTTTGAAAAGCAGTTTCCTTAACATCTAGTGTTCAACATCACCTCTCCCTTGAAAAGACAGCTTGAGCATGTTTATTATTTTTGGAAACACTGCTGGGTTGCATGTTGATGACTAGCTCTTGTCCACCCACAGAGGACAGTTCAGCCAAAGAAGTGCCTGCCTTTTGTAAAAGAAAACCACCCACCTCGAAATCACTTGTCTGAGTACATCAGCTACACAGGGAGTTGCCAGCAGAGTGGTGTGAGGATTCTTCTCCATAAGGAAATCTACGCACCCTGGTGCATATAAACTGCACAATGTGCAGACAGGATCTCACGCCTGCCTCTCCACTGGGAAATTCCCACTCTTCCCTCTGGGTAGCTCATGGACTTTTGGCACTACAATGCTTGGCCAAGCAGAGTTAATCCTTACACTGAGTATTAGAAAACATTCTTTATTACATGCAGGTGAAATAAATGTAGAGATCGCTCTGTGTATCCTTCCCATATACCACTAGATTGTCATGCACTCCCCTGGGGTCCCACATCCTGCCTTGGAGACTGCTGATCCAGGCTAAGTGCTTGTAGGAGGGAGCTTCCAGTTCCACTGCCTGAGCCCCTCTTGTGCTGGTATCCTAACTCCATGGCACACTGAGTCAGGGCAGGTGTCTTAGTCTGGCTGCTCAAACAGAATACCATAGACTAGGTGATTTATACACAAAATAAATTTATTTCCCACAGTTCCAGAGGCTGGGATGTCCAAAATCAAGACACCTGCAGATTTGGTGTCTGCTGTGGGCTCTCTTTCTGGTTCATACAGACATATTCTCAGTGTCCTCACATGGTGTTGGGGGAGTGAGGGATCTCTCTGGGGTCTCTTTTATTAGGGCACCAATCCCAATCACAGGGACTCCACCCTCTGACCTAATCACCTCCCAAAGATCCCACCTCCAAATACCATTATACTGGGGATTAGGCTTCAACATATAAATTTTGGGGAATGAAACCATTCAGACCATACCAGCAGATGTGACCACCATGGTCGCATTAACAAGGATCGTGCCGTCCAGATTCTTCCACTGTATTAGTCACTGTATTAGTTAGTCTGTAAGTCCAAGAGTCCAAAAGCTGAAGAAATCTGATGTTCCAGGGCAGGAAGCATCTAGCGTGGGAGAAAGGTGAAGGCCGGAAGACTCGGCCAGTCAAGTCCTTCCACATTCCTCTGTCTGCTTTATTCTAGCCGCACTGGCAGCTGATTAGATGGTGCCCAAAAAGATTAAGGCTGGGTCTGCCTCTCCCAGTCCACTGACCCAAATGTTCATCTGCTTTGGAAACACCCTCACAGACATACCCGGGAACAATACTTTGCATCCTTCAATCCAATCAAGTTGACACTCAATATTAACCATTGCACCCATATTGTCTGCTAAGGGTTCCCAGTTATGGATCCCCGGGTCCTATGCTGGGTATTTTGGATGTGCATTTCTGATCCTTGTATCTTTATAAGGTAAATGCATGATTCCCATTTTACAGACGATGAGACTGAGCCTGGAAAGCTTCAGGTCTTCAGGCTAGAGAAGGGCAGATGCAGAAGGCACAGCACAGGCTGCCTCTACTTGCCATACTTTTCTGCTAGCCCAATGCCACTGTCTTGCTGCCTCTTCCCTGCCTTGTACACTTCCATTTGGTAGGGGAGAGGTCATCCAGCCAAGATAGAATTCTCTCAGTCTTTACTGCAGTGAACCATTGCCCTGGGCTTGCTAGAACTACCCCCCAGATGTCCTCCACTCAGGGCTGGGAAGTAGACTTGGGGATTGCAGGGCAATGCCCTCATCAGGGCTTTGGGCCAGCGCTGACTCTCAGCAGGGTTCTGGCCCATCCTTACCCTCCTAGGCACAGGCTGCTCCTCTCACGGACCTGGCCTCGGGCTGAATAAACTCACAGTTCATCAACCAGGCTCAGGTGGTCAATGCACCTTTATGAACTTGAGAAGCCCTTTCTATCTCATCATGGATGCTGAACCCTCAACCCGTGGAAAACTTGCAAGGAGTGCACTTGGCCAACTAAGCCTTCCTGTTTTTAAGCTCTGAGAGATTCTTTAAAAACATAAACAAATGGAGGTTGTTTTGGACTTTGAGTAAATATGCCCCAAGAGCACTTAGCGTGAAGCATGAGTAAGCAACATATGGGCTACATTTCCTTCAAAATACACACATTTTAGAGGAAAGGAGCTTAGAAAAGTACATCCTGAACTTTTATTGAGTGGAAAAATATCTGGAAAGATGACTGGATCTCATTCTTGTCTTTTTTTTTAAGCATTTAATTATATCATCTAAATGCAATTTCTGAGGCTTGCATTCATGGGGTGCCCATTGTTGAAAAAACATTCTCTACCTCTGTCCTCCTTCCCCCACAGGATTTATGTTTGTTGCTGGCAAAACTTGGTGTCAGCCCTAGAATCCAGGCCTGCTAAGCTGGGGTTGGGGGAGAAGAGGGCCACCTTCTGATTTTCACGGTAAAGAAAGGGATGCCCAGAGGAGGGAGCTCCAGCTGGAAGTCTGGCCTCAGTGCCTGGCTTACCTACCACCATCATAGTTGCTGCTGCACATTAGCTAGTGCCAAAGAAAGGGAGCACTTAAACATACCAGACCTTAAGGATCTGCATCAGTTCAGTTTCTTCTTTCTATGGGCAAAATAAACTGACTTGAGGCAGTTGGAATGAAGAAGGGAAATTATCGAAAAGATGTTGGGGCTTCTCGAGGAATTCAAGGAAGAGTTGGATTGGACAGGTTTGGGGACTTCTCTTCTCTGCAGCCATCATTGACAGGACTTGGCCCTCAACTCCCAATGCTGTGATCCCATTCCAGATTCCCAGGGGCAGGACTTTGTGTTCCAGGGTTGGGGGGGCCCATCCCCAGCCCCAGGAATTGACTTGCATTCTGCATGGTCAACCTTGAACAATTAGGCGTGTTCGCCAAATATGCCTTCTCATACTCTGGCTGTTTAGCAGCCCCAATTTTACTGATACACTTCTAAAGCACAGCCTCCTCCCTTCCTCCCTTCATTCTTTCTTTGAAGAATATGTAACTTTTTCAATTAACAGCTAATCCAACAACATCCAGTAAACCTATGTGAGGTATACAGTAAATTATTAGCTATTGGACTTTCCATGTATTATTTAATTTGCACAAAACCCTAGGAGTTACTGTTTTTCTACTATCTGTTATGACCACCATTTTACAACAAGGAAACTGAGGACAAAGGAGTCTGTCCAGGAGAGAGGACTCTTCTCTGGCTTCCCAGTGGCCTCCCACGTGTGAGCTTCTTGAGTCTGGGGTCACAGCACAGCCTGCTTTGTACCCCACACCCCAGCACAGAGCCCTGGGCAGTGAGGTGCTGCAGACTTTTGCTGCATGACATTGACTCTCTTGGTCTGCTCCTGGGAACCTCCGGCCTGGGAGGAGAAAAGACACAGTTTGGTAAGCACTAAGCAGATTAAAACAAAACAAAACAAAAAAAACGGTTGATTGTGGTGCCTTAGCAGCTGCAGAATCAGGATGAATGACCTTCCTCATCAAGTCCAAGCCACCCTTGGCTGCCATGCCCTTATTTGAGATTGCTCAGCCTGGACCTAGAAACCAATCTGCTATCTACTGGGGCTGGGCCATTGTCTTATCATGGATAGGAGGCCTGCTGGCTCAGAGATTGTGCAATCAGGAAATCAGTCTCGAAGGAGAACTCTGAGGTTTCTTAGCCCATTGGGATGCGATTGGGCAAGCTGCTCATTTCAACATCTTGAGAGACCAGAGACCAGAATACACTGAGTTACTCATAGGCTGGCACGGAGGTTGGGGGTGCAGGATCTTTGCTATGAAATGGAATGAGTTCTGATTTCTATCTGGGGTTCAGAATATACTGGAGATTTGCTCCGATGGGAGAGGAGACACAAGGGACACCCTAATGCCCAAACAGGCATTCTGCTTTTCTGTTTCACCTCAAAATTACTGGACTTCCATTCCTTTGTGGTTGGATAGGGAATGGCAGTGTTCCCTAGCCAACCTATTCCTTCCTCCTCGGCCTCCCTTGGCCCCCCTCCCTCCTTGTATTCCTCCGTGTTCTAAAAAGGGACTCTGAGGTGGCCTAAGTAAGCCTATAACATATATGATTTGGTTGGAAGGCATCTTGGCTTTAGGCATGACAGAAAATCTGTTTTATTTTGTGAGCTGTCTTTCAAGCTCTACCCTGCAGGACAGCAGGGAAAATGCATTGCTGCCATCGCATCCTGAAAGCCCAGTCCCAGGCAGCTCTGTCTGTGGTCTTGAGATTGACACAGCTGCTTCGGATGGCTCAGCCCTTCTCAGAACCCCTTCCAGACCTCTCCAGGATGGCGGGGCTGTAGGGGTTGCATTGGTCTGCTCAGGCTGCAAAACAAAATCCAGTCGGCCCCTGGCAGCCATGGGTTCCAGGTCCATGGGTTCTGTATCCATGGATTCAACCAACTGCAGATCAAAAATATATATATTTTCAAAAAGGTAGGTTGCATCTGTACTGAATATGTACAGATTTTTTCTTGTCATTCTTGCCTAAATTATACAAGATAACTATTTAAGGGCATTTACAATGTATTAGGTATGGTAAGTAACCTAGAGATGATTTAAAGTATATGGCAGGATGTGTGTAGGTTATACGCAAATACTGTACTCACCATTTTATACAAGGGACTTGAGCATCCATGGATTTTGGTATCCACAGGAGGTCCTGGAAGCAATCCTTTCTATGTACCAAATGATAACTGTACCTGAGAACAGGTGGCTTAAACAGAAATTTATTTCTCACAGGTCTGGAAGCTGAAGTCCAAGATTAGGGTGTTGGCAAGGTTGGTTTATCTTGAGGCCTCTCTCTTTGGCTTGCAGATGGCTATCTTCTCCCTGTGTCTTCACATATATGTGTCTGTGTCCTAATCTCCTCTTACAGAGACACAAGACCTATTGAATTAGGGCCCCACCCTTCTGACCTCTTTCAAGGCCCCATCTCTGCATACAGTCACATTGGGAGTTGGTGCTTCAACACACGGATCCAGGGGGCACAATTCAGTCCATAACTGGGTTCATTTGACCTTGTGGCTCTGGCCTCAGGCTTGCCTTGGTGTTTGCTTGCTGCTGTCCTCTGGGTCCTTTTGGTCAGGTGCCTCTCCTGGCCATGGGCAGGTCTGGCATTCACTGTTGCAGCCTGGGCTGGAGGATGTGTGCTATGCTATTCCAAGGAGTCCAAGAAAGGAGCAAAGCCAATGCCCTTCTGCTCTTGGTGTCCCCTCAGCCTGGACTTTGGCCTGGAGAGAGAGGCTATGGGCAGGAAGCTCCTCTCCTCCTTCCTACCTCAGCCTCGTCTTCCCACTGTGGCCGGACAGGATGGGTAACACCTTTCCCTCTTGGTGACCCCTGGGAGCCTTCTAGGTGACACATTTTTCTTTTCCAATGTGGTATCCATTCTTCTCTTTCTTCCCTTTCCCTGGGTCTATGAAGATGGATGGAAAGAGAGGAGGTGAGAGAAACATGCTTACATATAATGAATAATGTCAAAACTCTGTTTAAACATTGTGACATAACCATACAAAGATGTTGCTATGGTTTGAATATGGCTTGTCCCCACCAAAACTCATGCTGGTGCTTGGTTCCCAGTGTGACAGTGTTGGGAGGTGGGGCTTTTAATAAGTGATTAGCTTGTTAAGAGGAGTTATGGCCTTTCTCACAGGAGCGAGTGCTGCTCTCTGGACTGGAATTCTGTGGGGTCTCCTTGGCACATGCACACACCTGCTTCCTTTTTCACATCTCTGCCATGTTCTGATGCAGCTCTAGGCCCACAGATGCAGCCACCCAATCTTTGACTTCCCAGCCTCCAGAACCATGAACCAAAATACACCTCTTCTCTTTATAAATTACCCAGTCTGAGGCCTTCTGTTACAGCAACTTGAAACAAACTCAGACAGATGTGCTCCACTTTCTTCCTGGAAAAGAGAGCCATGGTGAGGGCACTCACAGAGCCTGGACAAACCTAGAAGCCACAGAGGGTGGAGGGGAAGAGATTCTTCTTCTCCCCACAGTCGCTCAGAGCAGCATCTGCTCCTGTCCCCTCTCACCAGCCTGTATATTCACAAGCTTCTCAGGGTCTCCCATGGTCCATCTGGTGACTCTTACTTCTCTCCTGCCCCTTGTGGGCCCAGACTCCTGCTTTTGCAGTCTGGGTCCCCAGGGGATGGGGTGTCTGATGACTGACTCACACTTTGAGCTTGGCCACAGAAGCCAGAGGTCCTTGCTGGTTGAGGACCAGCTATCCACCCTGTGCTCAGTCCCTTGTGGCCAAGTAGGGGCAGGGCCATATGGACCATGATGCTGATGGTTTTTCTCTACTGGCCCTGGTAGCCGAAGACAAAAGACATAAACTCTTGGGAGCTCTACGGCCCCACCCATTGCCTAAGAAATCCGAGTACTTACAAAATACTGGCCAATGTAGGACAAGCTTATATCCTCTCTATACTACCATAGTGATGCTCTCATGAAAGCACCACCTCCTGGCTGGATGCCAACCAACTCAGGTCTTTACAGCAACTTATAGCAGAACAACCCTGCTCCAAAGAAGGAGAAAACAACAGCTAATTCCACTGCCTACAACACCCTGGCTAAACAGAGATATTGAGTCTGTCCACGTGACAACTTCACTGCTAGTATTACCAGCATTGAAGAAAGCCAGGACACTAAAGAAAATTACAACCAAGGACTCTCACAGAGCCCACTTCACTCCCTTGCCACCTCCACTGAAACAGGTGCTGCTGTCCACAGCTGGGAGACCTGAAGATGGATCACATCACAGGACTCTTTGCAGACATTTTCCCAGCACCAACCTGGAGCCCCGTAGTCCTTGAGAGGCTACACCCAGAAGGGCAACAACAATCACTGCATTCTGGCTCTCAGGAAGCCCTATGCTTAGGGGAAGGGGAAGAGTACCATATCAAGGGATCACCCCATGGGACAAAAGAATCTGAACTGCAGCCCTTGGGTTCCAGATCTTCCCACTGAAACAGTCTACCCAAATGAGAAGGAACCAGAAAAGTAATTCTGATAATATGATAAAACAGGGTTCTATAACACTCTCAGAAGATCACACTAGCTCTCTAGTAATGGATCCAAACCAAGAATAAATCTCTAAATTGCCAGATAAAAAATTCAGAAGATTGATTATTAAGCTACTCAAAGAGATACCAGAGAAAGAAGAAAACCAACTCAAAGAAAAATTTTAAAATACAGTATATGGATGAAAAAGTTTCCAGATAAACAGATACCATAAAGAAAAGAGAACCACAACTTCTGGAAATGAAAGACATACTTAGAGAAATGCAAAATACACTAGAAAATTTCAACAATAGAATCAAACGAGTAGAAGAAAGAACTTCAGAATCCAAAAAGATGGCTTTTGAATTAACCCAATCCAACAAAGACAAATAAAAAAGAGTTTAAAAAAATGAACAGAGCCTCCAGGAAATTTGGGATTATGTTAAACAACCAAACATAAGAATAAGTGGTATTCCTGAGGAAGAAGAGAAATCTAAAAGTTTGGAAAACTTATTTGAGGGAAAGATCAAGAAAAATTTCCCCAGTCTTGCTAGAAATCTAGACATCCAAATAGAAGAAGCTACAAGAACATCCAGGAAATTTTATCGCAAAAAGTTCATTACCTAGGCACATAGTCATCAAGTTATTGAAAGTCAAGATGAAGGAAAGAATCTTAAGAGCTGTGAGGCAAAAGCATCAGGTCAGCTATAAAAGAAAACCTATCAGATTAACAACAGATTTCTCAGCAGAAACCCTACAAGCCAGAAAGGATTGGTATCCTATCTTTAGCCTCCTTAAACAAAATGATTATCAGCCAAGAATTCTGTATCCAGCAAACCAACCTTCATAAATGAAGGAGAAAGTCTTTTGCAGACAAATGCTGAGAGAATTTACCACTACTAAGTTAGCATTGTAAGAACTTCTAAAAGGAGTTCTAAATCTTGAAAAAAACCCTCAAAATATACCAAAATAGAACCTCTTTAAAGCATAAATCTCACAGAGCCTATTAAACAATAACACAATGAAAAAAAAACCCAAGGTATTCTGATGACAACTAATATGATGAATAGAACAGTACCTTACATCTCAATGCTAATGTTGAATGTAAATGGCCTAAATTTCCACTTAAAAGATGCAGAATGGATAAAAATCCACCAACCAAATATCTGCTGTCTTTAAGAGACTCACCTAACACATAAGGACTCACATAAACTTAAAGGGGTGAAAAAAGGTATTCTATACAAATGGAAAGCAAAAGTGAGCAGGAGTAGCTATTCTTATATAGACAAAACATACTTTAAAGCAACAACAATGAAAAAAGACAAAGAGGGATATTATGTAATGACACAACGATTAGTCCAACAGGAAAATATCACAATCCTAAATATATATGCACCTAACACTGGAGCTCTCAAATTTATAAAACATTTACTAGTAGACCTTAGAAATGAGATAGATGGCAACACAACAATGTGGGTGGGGGGGACTTCAATACTCCACTGACAGCACTAGACAGGTCATCAAGACAAAGTCAACAAAGAAACAATGAACTTAAACTATACCCTAGAACAAATGGATTTAACAGATATTTACAAAACATTCTACCCAACAACTGTAGAATATACATTCTTTTCATCAGCTCATGGGACATTCTCCAAGATCATATGCTAGGCCACAAAACAAGTCACAATAAATTTAAGAAAATCAAAATTATATCAAGTACTCTCTCAGACCTGAGAGAAAGTGAAATAAAATTCGAAATTAACTCCAAAAGGAACACTCAAAACTATACAAATACATGGAAACTAAATAATATGCTCCTGAATGATCTTTGAGTCAACAATAAAATCAAGATGGAAATTAAAAAAATTTTCAAACTGAATGAAAATAGTAATACAGCAAAATTGGTGCTTAAAGGAGAGTTCATAGCATTAAATGCCTACATCAAAAATTCTGAAAGAACACAAATAGACAATCTAAGCTCACACCTCAAGGAACTACAGAAACAAGAATAAACCAAACCCAAACCCAGCAGAAGAAAATAAATAACAAAGATCAGAGCAAAACTAAATAAAATTGGAACAAACAAAATACAAAATATAAGTGAAACAAAAAGCTGGTTCTTTGAAAAGATAAAATTGATAGACCATTAGCAAGATTAACCAAGAAAAGAGAGAAGATCCAAATAATCTCAATTAGAAACAAAATGGGAGCTATTACAACTGATACCACAGAAATACAAAAGATAATTCAAGGCTACTATGAACACCTTTATGCGCACAAACTAGAAAACCTAGAGGAGATGGATAAGTTCTTGGAAATATACAACCCATCTAGATTAAAACAGTAAGAAATAGAAATTCTGAACAGATCAATAACAAGTAGTGAAATTGAAACAGTAATAAAAACATTGCCAACAAAAAAAGCCCAGGACCAGATGAATTCATAGCTGAATTCTATCAGACATTCAAAGAAGAGTTGGTATCAATCCTACTGAAACTATTCCAAAAGATAGAGAAAGAGGGAATGCTTCCTAAATTATTATATGAAGCCAGAATTACCCTAATACCAAAACCAGGAAAAGACATAATTTTAAAAAAAAGAAAACTACAGACCAATATCCCTGATTAACATAGATGCGAAAATCCTCAACAAACTACTAGTGAAACAAATCCAACAGTATATCAAAAAGATAATACAGTATGATCAAGTGGGTTTCATACCAGGGATGCAGGACTGGCTTCACATACACAAGTCAATCAATGTAATGCACCACATAAACACAATTAAAAACCACATGATCATCTCAATAGATGCAGAAAAAGCATTTGACAAAATTCAGCATTCCTTTATGGTTAAAGCCCTCAGCAAAATCGGCATAGAAACGACATACCTTAAAGTTATAACAGCCATCTGTGACAAACCCACAGCCAACATTAAACTGAATGGGAAAAAGTTGAAAGCATTCCCCTGAGAACTGGAACAAGACAAGGATGCCCACTTTTACCACTTGTATTCAACATAGCACTGGAAGTTCTAGCCAGAGTAATCAGACAAGAGAAAGAAATAAAGGGCATTCAAATGGACAAAGAGGAAGTCAAACTGTCAATCTATAAATTCAATGCAATTCCCATCACTGTTTGCTGATGACATGATTGTTTACCTAGAAAACCCTAAAGACTCATCCAAAAAGCTGCTAGATCTGATAAATAAAGTCAGTAAAGTTTCAGGATACAAAATCAAGGTACACAAATTAGTAGCACTGCTATACACCAACAGTGACCAAGCTGAGAATCAAATCAAGAACACAACCCATTTTACAATGCTGCAAAAAATAAAATAGTTAGGAAAATATCTAATCAAAGAGGTAAACGATCTCTACAAGGGAACTACAAAACGCCACTGAAAGAAATCATTGATGACACAAACAAATGGAAACACATCCCATGCTCATGGACAGGTAGAATCAACATTGTGAAAATGACCATACTGCCAAAAGCAATGTATAAATTTAATGCAATTCCCATCAAAATACTATCATAATTCTTCACAGAACTAGAAAAAAATCCTAATATTCATATGGAAACAAAAAAGAGCCCACATAGCCAAAGCAAGACTAAGCAAAAAGAACAAATCTGGAGGTATCACATTACTTGACTTCAGACTATACTACAAGGCTATAGTTATCAAAGCAGCATGGTACTGGTATGAAAACAAGCATGTAGACCAATAGAACAGAATAGAGAACCCAGAAATAAAGCCCAGTACTTACAGTCAACTGATCTTTGACAAAGCAAACAAAAACATCAAGTGGGGAAAGGACACCCTATTCAACAAATGTTTGTGGGATAATTAGCAAGCCACATGTAGAAGAATGAAACTGGATTCTTATCTCTCATCTTACACAAAAATCAAATCAAGATGGATCAAAAACTTAAAACTAAGTCCTGAAACCATAAAAATTCTAGAAGATAACATCAGAAAAATTCATCTATTGGCTTAGGCAAAGACCAGGAACCCAAAAGCAAATGCAACAAAAACAAAGAGAAATAGATGGAAATTAATTAAACTAAAAAACTTCTACACAGCAAAATAAATAATCAGCAGAGTAAATAGACAATCCACAGAGTGGGAGAAAATATTCCCAAACTACGCATCCAACAAAGGACTAATATCTGGAATCTACAAAGAACTTAAAAAATTCAGCAAGAAGAAAACAAATAATCCCACCAAAAAGTGGGCTAAGAACAGAATAGACTACTCTCAAAAGAAGTTATACAAATGGCAACAAACATGTGAAATAATGCTAAACATCACTTTTATCATGGAAATGCAAATCAAAATTACAATGTGATACCACCTTACTCCTGCAAGAATGGCCATAATCAAAAAATCAAAAAATAATAGATGTTGGTGTGGATGTGGTGAAAAGGGAACTGCTGGTGGGAATGTAAATCGGTACGACCGCTATGGAAAACAGTATGGAGAATCCTTAAAGAACTAAGAGTGGAAGTACCATTCGATCTAGTAATTCCACTACTGGGTATCTACCCTGAGGAAAATAAGTCATTATATGTAAAAGATACTTGCACATGCATGTTTATAGCAGCACAATTTGCAATTGCAAAAATATGGAGCCAACCTGAATGCCCATCAACCAACAAGTGGATAAAGAAAATGTGGGATATATCTATATCTATATCTATATCTATATCTATATCTATATCTATATCTATATATCTATATCTATATATCTATATCTTTATCTATACCTATATCTATATATACACACACACCATGGAATACTACTAAGCCATAAAAAGGAACAAAATAATGGCATTAATATCAACCTGGATGGAGTTGGAGACCATTATTCTAAGTAAAGTAACTCAGGAATGGAAAACCAAACATCCTCTGTTCTCACTCATAAGTGAGAACTAAGCGATAAGGACGCAAAGGCACAAGAATGACTCTGGGGACTTGAGAGGAAGTGTAGGAGGGGAGTGAGAGATAAAAGACTACACAATATGTACAGTGTACACTGCTTAGGTGATGGGTGCACCAAGATCTCAGAAATCATCACTAAAGAACTTGTCCATGTAACCAAACACCACCTGTTCCCCCAAAAATATTGAAATAATTAAAAAATTTAAGAAAACCATGATAATGTAGTAAACCCCAAAACTAATTATAAAATCACTTTCACATACATTTCTTCATTTGGTTTTCGCAATAATATTCTGAGGTAGGTTTCAGATTAAGAAATTGAGAGTTAGAGAAGTTAAGTCATGTGTTAAAAGTTCTTACAGTTGGTAAGTCCATGCACTGATCCCATTGCTCTTCCCAACTTCCCATAGGTGATCAATCATACTACTACAATTTCCTTCATTCCAATAGGTGAATGGACAAGGGTTATCTTTCAAAAATCAGAAAAGCAGGTGAAAAAATTTGTTTTGAATTGTTGTCCATCCTATGGCACATTGTAATGGTGAAACTTTGGTGTATGATTTAGGTGATGATGCATTTGAACATGGAAGGAAGGGCAAGGACTCGGTCCTGGATCATGCTTCTCAAATGCTCATGCACAGATGGATCCCCTGGGTGCTCATTAAAGTGCAAACTTGGATTCCATATTTTCAGGTGGGACCTGAGCTTCTGCCTTTCTGTAGCTCCCTGCTGATGCTGATGCTGATGCTGCCAGTTTGTGGACCACACTTTGAGCAAGGGAGTAACTATATTTGTAGAGACATGATCATGTGCTATCTATTTGTGTCCTCTGAACTTACTGACTTCATTTTTTATTAAACAATAGGAGCAAAAAGGTAAGAACAGTGTATCTAGGGTAAAGGAATACATGAACAGTTATGCCAAAAAAAAGGAGTAACCGAGAGATTATTTAAAGTGTACGAGAAGATGTGCATAGGTTATGTGCAAATATGATGTCAATTTATATCAGGGACCTGAGCTTCCGAGAATTTTGGTATCCTTGGGGGTCCTGGAATTAATTACCCCCAACCCCTGCACAAAGGGCCAACTGTATTTGAAATTTTCTCTAGTAAAAAGATCCTGTCATTCCCTCCCACTGTGTCAGGGTGCTGGCTATTTAAGAGGACACGATTTAAAATATACCAGCATCCCCCTCCAACCAAACTTTTGGAGCAGTGTGTTGTGAGGAGAGCCCAGGAGGAGGCTGGGTTCTGAGACCCCTGTCCTAGACCTGGGTGGACGCCTCTTTGATGTCACGAAGAAAGGGTCTTTCATGGAGTCATATATGCTCTTTAAACCTCTGTTTTCAAATAGAAAATAACTATCTTGACCTTTTCTTCTTGCAGGCTGTGGCCTCACTCCAGAGGAGTCCAGGGCTCAGGTGGCCCCAGTACCTGTGGTTGGGGTTTGCCCTCAAATTTCTGTTCTTTGTTATCTCTTCCTCCTCTGCTGGTTTCGCCCTCAGACCAGCTCCCCTTCGACCACCAGCCATAAATGGGATACAATGTTTCCTTTTTCATAGCCCCTAGGAGAGAGGCTTTTTCTCCCAGTCATGGAATAACAGGCTCTCCTTCCAGCTGGATTGGGCCAGTTTATGTCATGGCTACTTACATCAATAGCATGGGGGAAAGCCAAGCACTGATTGGCCAAAGCCCGGACTCATGAGTCAATCAGTGGCAAGAGGAGGTGGGATCCTCAAGGAGGGCCTGGGCTTAGGAGAACCAGGCCTGGAGCTGGGGCAGGGCCCTCTTCCCCAGAAACAGGTGAGGGCAGAGCCTGGGCATACTAGAATTTTACATAGTATAGTAATATAGTATATTTTATGTAGTTCAGTAATTACTATACTAGCAATTAGAGAACGATCTAGTAATTGTAAATAACTACACTAGTAATGGAGATAACTGATCATCCTATAAATGACTGATCAACCTGCAAACAGTCATGAAGCCCGAACTGCTTTCAGGTGCCGTGCAGGGTAGGAAGGGATGGGAGGGAGAAATTCAGAAATCCTGCCCTTTAAGAGCTTTCAGTGTAGATGAGAACACAGAATGCAGGCCGAGCCAGTGAGTGGGGGTGTAGTCCTGTGCACTGGAGGGATCCACGCAGTCCAGGCCTCTCAGATGGACTCACGGGTGCATCCAACACATCACAAGCACACTCAAGCTAAACTTAAAAAATGTTCATAAGTGCTGGGATAACTCATGTGTTTGTTTTTTTAAAGTCTTGAGTTGAAATACTTGTGGCATACTTGACATGTAATGTGGTTTAAATTTGAAATGTGAAATTGGTTTTAGACTTGTGAGTTTAAGTTGATAAGTATATAGCAATGTTATGAAGTTTATAAATCAGCATTGTAATGCCTAAGAGAACATTGATTCTCTACAGTTCTAACTTTGGTTTATTAGATTTAAAGGGGCTGTTTAAGTACTGTGATGGTTTTCCATTGCTGCTGTTACAAATTACCACTAATATAGTGGCTTAAAAAAACAGAAATATATGATCTTCCAATTCTGTGGTTCGGAAGTCTGGCCTAAGAATCACTGGGCTGAAGTCGAGGTGCTGGGAGGACTGTGTTCCTTGCTGGGGCTCCGGGAGACACTGCCTCCTTGCCTCCCCCAGTGCCCAGAGGCCGCTTCAGTTGGGCCATCCAGTGGTCCCCTCCTGCCATCTGCAGCCCCACCTGGATAACAGATACATCTGCCTATGTTATGGTCAGTTGTTTAGCCAACTTAGTTCCCTCTGCCACCTAAATTCCCCACTTTCATGTAAACTAACATATTTACAGGTTCTGGGGATTAAGGTGTAGTCCTTTTTGGGGAGGTCACTATTCTGCTTATCACGAGTGCTCAGAACATTTTTCCTGTGGGGTTTATAAGATGCCTTCAGAGAAAGTCATGTGAATTGGGATTGATTTCCTAGTATGGCCGTGCTTGCATCTCCAGGATAGACCCTCCTTGATGGGCTATTGCTTCTTGAATGTATTCCTGGTTTGTATTTGCTACTATTTTACTTATGATGTTTCTACCAATAATTATAAAGAAGATAAGTTTATTGTTTTGTGTATGCTTTCTTGGAATAGAGTATCTTATTTGCTGAATAAAAATAAATATGAAGCTTTGTCTGTTTTACTGACCTAGAATACTTAAAATGGCATTGGAATTACCTGTTACTTGAACTGAAGGTTTTATCAGATTTCACAGGAATCATCTGGACTTTAGTGGTGAGGGTTCAGACCTTTAGTAACATTCCCAGTTGTTTCACGTAACTTCTCTGTTTAGATGTTTTATTTCCTCTGAGGTCAGGGTTGTATTTTCTAGATAAAGAAAAATAAAAATAAAAATACTGTATATATTTCTAGAATAACATCCATTTTATTTTATTTGCATTCAGTTAAACAAAATATTCTCTCAAAATTATTTTTTCTCTATTTCTATTATTTTTATTCTTGTTTTTAATTTTGAATTTTGTGATTGCCCTTTTATTCCCCTATTGTGAAAATTGTTTTATAGTATGTAAAAAATAAGCAATACAAAAAATAAAGTAAAAATTACCCTATATCACACCATTCTGAGATAAAATCATTAATAATTACTGTTCTTTTCTTCCTTCATAGTCTTTAGTACATATATATGTGTGTATATGTATTTTTCTAATGTTAAACCATCCATGAATTCCTGGAATATAATAATTTTGACATGGTCTTTTATGTTTTTATGCATATTGACTGAATTCAGTTTGCCAATATTTTGTTTAGTTTTTTTTTTGCATCTACGTTCATAAGTGATTGATCTCAAATTTGCTATAAGCTTTGATAACTATAGTTTTTATTTCAAACCTTTTTAATATTGAAAATGTTGTTTACTTTTCTATTATCTATAACTGTGCTGGTCAGTATAGTAGCCACTAGCCATAGATGGCTATTAAACACTTGGATCGTAGCCAGTAAGTATTGAGACATGCTGTGTGTGATACACACTGGATCTTGAAGCCTTAACATACAATATAAGAATGTAAAACCTCTCAATAATTTACATGTTGAAATCGTATATATACACAATATATGTACACATATATGTATAATATATACATATATGATATCTTATATATATTGACTGAAAATTTCTGACTATAATTCAGAACATATACATACTCAATTAAAAAGAACTTTTCAAAGTTGGGCATTTAAAAAACTCCACTGGAGCCAGGAAAGGAATGAAGGTATGAAGTGGGTGTACGGGAAGGGCTTTGGGCTCTGAAGTCAGCTGGAAGCTCTTGGATCCCATTTCTGTTCCCTCCATAAACTGGCTCATGTTACTACCGTGATTGTACTCTGGGTCTGATCACAGTTCTTAGGAACAAAAAGATGGTGGGTGGTGTCTCCACCCTAACAGAAAGCCCTTACCATGCGCCCTATCTTGGGTTTTCAAAGCAGCCTGTGATGGACTGCAGGTCACTAACTGGAATAAAACTATCAATGCAACACATAGCAAACAATTCGGCTCCCCAGCATCCTGCCCCAGGCATTTGTTCCCCAGGGGCGTGTGCACTGCTTTGGTTCTGCAGGGCTCTCCTGGTGTGGAAGGAGCCAGGCTGGTAATTTGATGTCTGTGTTAAACCAATTAGTCATATTGCACTGAGAAGAACAAGCGTAAGGGTGAGGAAAGCAAACAGAGTTCCTACAGCTTCTAGAATAAACAGATCATTTTATTAGACATTTTATGGATAGCCATTAATTTCTTGCTAGATAATCAAATAGTGAAGGGTTTTCTATTTATCCTGACAGCACGAATTTCAAACTGATATCATCCTCTCAGCACAAATGTCATTATTCCAGTCCTTGTGGAATGTCCTAGGCCAATAAGTAAATAAAGACACAAAGAGGAAGGATAAGATGAAAACCCAGTTCCTAGGGTGGGTGCTGCTTTGATGTCTGAACTTCTTGTGAGATGTCAATGGCAATGATCATTATCTCCTATCAACTTAGCAATCTTTGTAGCAAAGCTTGTTATTTCCTCACTCTGTAATTAAAAGCACCAGGCATCAGTGTCTGGCTCTTACAGGTCACATGATTGAAGGGGAGAGAGAGTCTTAAGCAACTTTTAGGGCAAGTAGCAGGGCAAAGAGAGAGCCTGGACCCAGGCTGTGAGCTCAGAGCTGGGTCTTAAGCTGTGGATTTGTCTCTGGTCAGTTTTGTGATCTCTGATAGCCATAGAGTAAGGATCATTTGTGAAACTATGATAAGAATCACTGAAACCCTCTGTACAAGATTCCCAACATCAGAGAATGGGAAAATTCCTGAACTACACACTCTAAGATACACTTTTGAACCAGAATCTTCAAGACCCTCAGGAAACTCCAATGTTGTCTGGAAGGGATAATCAACCACCAATGACCCACCTGCTGACACCTGAGCTTCAATCACTTTATAACTCTGAGCACAGGGCTGGGTCCCAGGAAAGGCTAAGTGCTTTGAGTCTCAGCCGGAGTCAAGGAGAGTCAGTGTTGGGTGCTCAGATGTGAAGTCCTGGTGTGGGGGTACATCAGAGACCCCCTTGCCTGCCCCAGGCTCTTGCCCCAGATCCCACTTTGCCTCAGGGAGGGAACACTCCTGTCCAATCGCAGCCTCCATGAGGCTTGAGTGCACGTGTAGTGCTGGCACAGAGGGAGATGATGTGGAGGAAAGAGAGGGAGCGTGGGCCATATGCTCAGGCTCCCTCTCCTTTCTAGGCCTTTTCTAAAGAGGAGGCTCTTGGAGAGGCAAGGAGTGCACTGTGTGAAAATATTGAGAGTCATTTTCTGAGAGCCAGTGCAAGGACCAGGGCCAGAACAAGCTCAGTGAGTTGAATGACACGGAAGGGAGTGGAGGAGAGGAAGGAGGGGAGGGCGGCATGGGTCAGATCACATCTGCAGCTTTGGAGGCCATGGAGAAGAGTCTAATCCAAGAAGAAGAATGCATTGGAGGGTTTTAAGTGGAAGGAATAGTATTATTTAACTTGTGCTCATAAAACAGTATTATTTAACTTGTGCTCATTCTGGATAATGGAGAGATAGAGGCATAGACTGTAAGAGGGAAGACAGGAAGCAGAAAGACCACTGAGAAGTGAATGAAGTAGCCCTGAGGGTGGAGGAGAGGTCTGCAGTGGTCTAGGCAGGGGCAGTAGGGATAGATTCCCTTGTACTGATTCAGGTATGTCCTCCTTCCTGGCTTGTCATTGTCTCTGTTGCCAAGAACTCCTGCTCCTTCAAAGCTCTGAGGTAGTGGCCCTGCATTCCCCTTCCCTCTCCCAGCTCGGCACCTTATTAATACTTGTAATTGTTTCTATTAATCTTTATTAATACTTGTAATTGCTTCTATTAATCAGACACATGCATCATTCAAACCTCACTAACATGCTGTCTTAGTCAGCTTGGGCTGCTATAACAAATTATCATTGACGGTGTGGCTTAAACAACAGATATTTATTTCTCACAGTTCTGGAACTTGGAAGTCTAAGATCAAGGTGCTGGCTCTTTCAGTGTCTGGGGAGGATCCACCTCCTAGCCCCCAGATAGGCTTCCTCTTGCTGTGTCCTCACCATGATGAAAGGACAGGAGAGTTCTCTGGGGTCTCTTTTGGAAAAGCAGTAATCCCATTCTCAAGAGCTCTACCCTCGTGAACTAATTACTTCCCAAAGTCTACATTCCTAATCCATCACATTGAGGGTCAGTATTTCAACACATGAATTTGGAGAGACACAAACATTCAGTCCATAACATTCCAGCCCTGGCCCCCCTGCCCAATTTATATTCTTGCATACAAAATACATTCATTCCATCCCAGCAGCCCCCAAAATCTTCACTCATTCCAGCATCCACTCTGAAGTCTCATCTAAATATCATCTAAATCAGATATGGGTGAGACACAAGGTATGGTTTATTTTGAGGCAAAATTTCTCTCCAGTTGTGAATCTGTCAAACTCAGCAAGTTATAATGATGGGAAAAGTATAGGATAGACATTCCCACTTCAAAAGGAGAAAATAAAAAAAAGAAGAAAAGGGTGACAGGCTCCAAAAAAGTCCAAAACCTAGCATTGCAAATCTCATGAGATCTTAAGGCTAGAGAATGATCTCTCTAGCTTGGTACTTTGCCTTCTAGACCCCTACTAGCAGGGATCAAGCTCACCCCCCTGCTTGAAACTGAAAATGCAGCCCCAGTGATTCTCTGAATCTTCTTTAGGGCCATTCTTCCCTTGTCTTGAAGAACAGAGCACTTTTAAATAGCTCTCCGGTCCTGTTCTATAAAATTCAGGAAGTCAGGTAATCTTCCCTCACTCCTTCCCATATTCTTGCTCACATGCAGTTTTCCTGCTGGGTTACCTGATTAACTTTGTGGTTCACAGCCGTGCTAATCTCTTTATCAAAGTGTCATTTGGCCACAGACTTAGTGGTCTCTTCCAAATATACTTTCTCATTTTTTTTCCATATGAAAAGGCTGAGCATTTTCCAAAACTTTAAGTTCTAATTCCTTTTTTGCTTATAATTCTGTCTTCAAGTTATTTCTTCCTTCTTGCATTTGCCATAAGCTGTTAGGAGGAACCAAGCCACTCCTTCAACACTTTGTTTAGAAATGTCCTCCCCTAAATATCCAATTTCATCATTCACAAATTCTACCTTCCGCAAAACACTATAACATGAACATGGTTTAGCCAAGTTCTTTGCCACTTTGTAACAAGAATGCCTTTCCTCTAGTTTCCAAAAACATGCTCCCCATTTCTGGCAGAGACTTCATCAGAATGGCCTTTATCACCCATATTTATATCAACATTCTGTTCAGAATTATTCAGGTGTTTTCTAAGGAGATTGAAGCTTTTCCTGCAGCTCTCTTCTTTTCTTTCTGAACTATTACCAGAATCTCCTTTAAAACACCCTTCACTTCCTTAAACCTTGGCTTCTAGCGTGTACCTCAAAGCTCTTCCAGACTCTGCTACCCACTTCCAAACCTGCTTCTATATTTTCGGTGTTTTTTACAGCACCATTCCCACTTCTTGATACTAATTCCTGTCATAGTTTAGGATTCTGTAACAATCTACCATAGACTGGGTGGCTTAAACAAGATTTTTTTTTTTCTCATAGTTTGGGAGGCTAGGGAGTTCAAGATCAAAGCACTGGCAGAATCACTGGTGAGGTCTGCTTCCTAGTTTGCAGATGGCTGTCTTCTTGCTATCCCCTCACATTGCGGAAAAAGAGAATGAGAGCTCCCTGAGTTCTCTTTTATAAGGACACTAATTCCGTATATGAGGGCTCTGCCTTCATGACTTAATCACCTCCCAAAAGTTCCACCTCCTGATGCCATCACATTGGAGATTAAGTTTCAGCATGTGAATTTCACTGTGACATGAACACTCAGTCTGTACATATTCTATGAATTATGAACCATTATGGTTCTCCCATAGGTGAGAACACTATGGTTAGGGCAGCTCATTAACTTGTCCAATGTCACACAGCTACGTCATTATGGTAGCGGTGACAATAGAATGCAGATCCTTCTGGTGCCAGAAACCTGTTTTCTTCCTACAAGTTGAGTTGAGCCTGGTGGAGGACTGGGAGAGCCACTTCTGAATAGAGATGAGATGAGCAGGTCCTTTTGTCCCCTTCCTTGGCCCCCACCCCATTTTAACTCAACCCTTGCATATACTTAGAGTAACCAACTTCCTGGGGCCAAATAAGAAACTTATTTATCCAGATATTTTAAAAAATCACTGTCCAACCCAAGTGAAGATCAGCAATACTCTATAGCTCTGGGGGCACTGGGCCCTGGAAAAATCTACCTTTAAGGAGGTCTGCTGTGGTCAACTTCCTCTTCATGTTTGTCCCTTGGGGGTAGACCCTCCCAGGAGAGATAGTCATGCACTTCATGGCATGACAGGAACCTAGGGTCATACAGAGGGTAGGGATGTGTCATTGTAGAAATGCATCCATCAGCTGCATCATTGTGAATGAGCAGGTGACACCAAGACACTGTGGCAGATTTTCTAAAACTATCCATCAGGTTGGAATTCCCTTTTTTGTGGAAAAATCCCACTGGCATAGTAACCCTTGGAAGCCCTAAGCCCTGGAAGATAGCCAGTGACCCCAGGGGAACTGTTTCCATGTGTGGATAAGACTCAGACACATTTCAGCCAGCGTGTGCAGTGCAGGGCAGTGGGCATGAGAGCTGGACCTGAGGGCCACAGTCAGGGTTTCCCTTGCCAGGGCCAAGGCATGTAGGTCAAGGGGTCCATTCCTTCTGCCTCTTCCACTGGGTCACTGCCTGGCTGAAAGCTGTTTCCTGTTATTTTTTGTGGAAGCATAAATCTGGATGCATTTTTCTTTGAATGAGATTTTCAGAATTTTATCAAGGGGATATAAGCTTAGTGTATCATTGACCTCCTCTATATGAGAATCAACATGAGAAAATCTTACATATAAAAATGCAGACTAATAACAATAGCAAACATAAATAAGCACCACCAGTTTGCCAGGCAGCATGCTATGCAATTTTCCTGCCTTTTCTCATTTAGTTCTCTCAAATACCCATGGGGTACATATGATTGTTGCCTCAAACCACCTAGTTAGTCAACAAATTGAACACCTACAATGTGTCCAGCATCATTCAGAGCCGGACACTTGATGCTAAGTAGAACAGCAGGACACCTGTCCCCATGCTGGTGGTGGGGGTGGGGACAGAAAAGGACATTGAGGCTTAGTGAGATCAGGTCAACTTCCAAGGTCATATAGTGAGAATTTTAACCCAGGGCTGCTGGTGGGGCACAGGAGTCCTTGTCCCCACCTTGGCCTCATCCTGGAGACCCCTGGGGAGCCTTACGAAGTACACATGCCCCTGCTCGCAT